>NC_000008.11:109464222-110714222 GCF_000001405.40 Homo sapiens
ATGCTGGCCAGGCTTTCCGGTTGGGGCGATATCCAATACATTGGCACCTGCTTGGAGACTTACAGTTTAAATCTTATGTAAGAGGCTGTGCAATTCACCAGGCCTATAACAGAGCTGTTACTATTCATAACACACACCATCTTCTGGTTGAGAGGAATATTATATATGATATTAAGGGAGGAGCATTTTTTATAGAAGATGGTATTGAACATGGCAATATCCTCCAGTATAACTTGGCAGTATTTGTACAGCAAAGTACCAGTCTTCTGAATGATGATGTGACCCCGGCTGCATTTTGGGTCACCAACCCGAACAATACCATACGACACAATGCTGTTGCTGGTGGCACTCACTTTGGCTTTTGGTACCGGATGAACAACCACCCTGATGGGCCATCCTATGACAGAAACATTTGTCAAAAAAGAGTTCCCCTTGGCGAATTTTTTAACAATACTGTCCATTCTCAAGGTTGGTTTGGAATGTGGATCTTTGAGGAATATTTCCCCATGCAAACGGGATCTTGTACATCTACAGTGCCTGCACCTGCAATATTTAACTCACTTACTACTTGGAATTGTCAAAAAGGAGCTGAATGGGTCAATGGAGGTGCCCTTCAGTTCCATAACTTTGTGATGGTGAATAACTATGAGGCTGGAATTGAGACTAAGAGGATCCTGGCTCCTTATGTTGGAGGGTGGGGTGAAACCAATGGAGCGGTGATTAAAAATGCCAAAATAGTCGGCCATCTTGATGAACTGGGAATGGGGTCTGCATTTTGCACAGCAAAAGGCCTGGTTCTCCCATTTAGTGAAGGCTTGACTGTCTCTTCTGTGCACTTTATGAACTTTGACCGTCCCAACTGTGTAGCTTTGGGAGTGACATCCATCTCTGGAGTTTGTAATGACAGATGTGGGGGTTGGAGTGCAAAGTTTGTTGACGTCCAGTATTCTCACACACCGAACAAGGCTGGCTTTCGCTGGGAACATGAAATGGTAATGATTGATGTTGATGGCTCACTTACAGGTAATGTTATTTTTTAATTTGTGATAAAAATCCATTGGAAATATGTTTGTGTTAGCACAGAATTGAATTGTTAAAGCAGACTTAGGTGCCTTACAGATCTTACCCAATAGCAAACTTTACTAATAATTTAAATGATAGAGGCAAGCACCAGGCACAGATGAGACATTCGTTTCTGGAAGAGCCCCAATCTGTCAGAGACAGCCTCCAAATATGTCCTTTTTCTCCTGCATTGGCACATTGATTTTAAATTAACAGAAAATTTTGGGCAATATTCATGGAAACATTGATCACAAAAGGAAACCATTTCAGTTTTAGAATGCCTCCATTTTAAACTCAGTTAATTGCACAGATAAGAAACTGCTTACATCACTACCCTAATTTTTCAGCCAGTCATGCTCCAGAAACATATAAATTGCAGGCTTATTTACAAAAGCAATATAGACAGACTGTATCTATCCTTGCGAAAATACTTTTAAGAGAAGAAATAAGTCACAAACCAGCTGTGAACCCTTTTATTCCAATCTAAATCCTAAATTTGTAATTTATTCAAAGAATACCAAAAGAACAAAATTCCATATACATTGTAGGTTAAATTTTTTTAGCATTTCAAGTTCAGAGTATGTCACATTTTCAATATTTCATAAACATTCATGATTTCTAGAATTTAGCATCTTTACAAATTGTAAATGATAAAAAATCTGTCTAAATAAGATAGCGAGGATATGTGCCTCATACTTTGTGAGTCAATCGACAGGTAAACCTATAGATGGTAATGATTTACTTTTGAAAGACTCTGAAGGATGAAAGAAGATTCATCTCAAAATTCAAATGCAAAAGTTGAGTTTTCAACCACAGTTGTTAACTTCTGTTTCAAGTATAATCGTAACTTTAAAGAGGGAGAATGTTTGGATGCCTTTGATATATAAAGCTTTGTGTAATGTTTATTGATTTACTTAATTCAGTTTAAGTTTTTAATGTTAATTGGTAGTCTACTAGTTTCGAGTAAAGGCTTTATGGTCATAACACCTGGATTTAAATCCTCTGTGTCCTTGAATAGGCTACTCATCCCACTTCCCATTTCCAAGTTTGACTCTTATGGGTGCTTCAGACCCTGTGTTTCAGCTAAATCTACAATAATATTCCTGACCAAAGAGCCACTGCAAAGCTTCTGTATGAGATCCTCTTGCTCCATGCAAACAAGCAAACAAACAAAACTACCCAGACTTTTAGACTGTATTAGTGGTACTATGGGTCACAATTCTGTATATTGTAGACCTTTTTTATGTTTCTTAATGTGAAATAAAAAACATATTTTGTTTGTTTGTTTCCCAGGGCACAAAGGACATACCGTCATTCCACACAGCTCATTGCTAGACCCTTCTCATTGTACTCAGGAAGCTGAGTGGAGCATTGGGTTCCCTGGATCAGTCTGTGATGCTTCAGTCAGCTTTCACCGTTTAGCGTTCAACCAGCCTTCTCCAGTATCTCTGCTTGAAAAGGATGTGGTTCTTTCAGACTCTTTTGGTAAGTGGAATATATTAGTTTAAACAACTAATTTAAATATATCTTCCTAAACTTTTGTCATCATCTTCTTGCATTGTTACTTGGTTGTTCAAACATTGCAAAAAGTATAACATTTATATTAGAGTCCAAGCAGGAAACAAATAATACTCTCGAAGTAGGTGTTTGAGAAGCATTTTATAAATGCAGAGGCTAGCGAAATATTCTGCTGATCAAGAAACCTCCAGACAATATTATGACAGAGAGAGGGAGCGTTGGCACAGCCCTTGGAGCAAGTAAAAATGTACCAGTGTTCCTGCCACTCAAAGCAAATGTTTTTGATTGTCCTTGCTGATTGAGATGGGATGGGGGAGCATTTACTAGGTTAATAGCTGCCTAACAGGTGCCAGGGATTGTGGATTTACTGATTTGTTCCGGTAAAGGTACAATACCTGGAACACCAGATACGCTTGGCATCATTACCTGATTATGTTGCATTAATTTACTGTCATTGTTCATAATCCATCTGGCATTTGCACCAGCCAAACGAGCAAGCTAACTAAATGGGGATGTGGTGAAAATCCTGAATCTCACGTTTCTTAAATCTTCAATCATGGCACTAATCTCTACATTCCGCCCCTGCCCCGCCCCCCTTCCCCCCACTGCCCCGCCCCAACTCAAGGATTTAAACTTGCTTTTATTTGATTAAGGAGGTGGCAAAATGGTTCCTAGAGTATAGAGTATCCACATAGTTCCTCCTACTATATTTGACCCTACTCCATTAGTTGGGGAACCAGTGTGGGAATTCTTCCAGTTATTAAGTCTGCCTAGTCTCACTCTACCTGACCTAACCTACCCTGACTGGCTCAGATCTGTATCTCTATCTCTTTATCATTCCATCCATCATCTCTCTAGAAATTATTAGTTAAAATATCTATTTATAATGAATCCACTCTCACAAAATATACTGTTCTGAGGGACTGCAGATTCTGAAAAATGGAAAAAGCATTGATGAATCAAAGATTTGCTAAACAAAATCTTTATATCATCATCAAATATGGTTTTTTACATTTTCTGGGTAAATCTAAATGATGCAGCTTCTTGACAGCAATATGGAAAACTGTCATCATCAAGGTCTAAACACATAATAAGGAATCGTAAGTATAGAAAAAGAGTTTAATAACAGAATCCAAGTGCACTTATTTTTTCTCTTATAGTGTCAATATTTACCATTTCTCATCAGTATTGCAAATACTTTCATGTTACTTTAAAATGCTATCAATATTGTTGAATTTCCCCCATTTAATGATATTTACAAAGTAGAGACTTGCCATTTAAAAATTTTAAACGATGTATCTCAATATAAACCAATTAAGATTTGAAAGTGTTTAGCATAATTATACCAGCCACATGACAGCTGCTAAAATTACTTATGTCAAATCCATCAGGACATGCTGGAATTTTGTTATTACACTCCATGTTGTCAGCTTCTCTTATTAAGATATTTCTTAGAAGAATTTCAACTCCTGCCCTCATTTCAAATGGAGCCAGTCTTTTAGATTTTATATATGATTCAGGAAGGCAGGTATTTCTGCATTTATGACATAATAGCTTTCTTGTTAAGTCTCTCTGTGCCCTTTAAGAATTAAGATTTTTTATTTAGTTACTAAACTGTGAATACCTAGAGGGCAATATCTACAAACTTACATTTCTGATGCCGTAAGACTCATCACAGAACATTGTAAATAGTAAGTACTCAGCAAGTGTTGAATTAAATGGAATTAGTTGCAATACTCAGACCATATTGCAAATACTCAAACCAGATTTTATATGTCTGTTTCCACTGTACATTCTGGAACTGGAGAAAGAACCATAATATGTCCCCATGACCCTACTGGTCTCACTGTGAGACTAAGTGAAGACTCATCCATCACTTGCCCTTGATAAGCCCCCATTCTGGCTGGTGGGCCATGTTAGCATGTTAGCATTGGTGACTTCGAGGATTATTAGCATCAGTTTAGAGCCAGGATCTAATAATATGGAAGGTCTGGTTATTTTTCTTTCCTTAGTATAATCGGCCACATATCTCTTTCACTCAGTGGTGGGGCTTTTGGTCTGTGAATTGGCTTGGATCTAGAAAATAGGTAAGAAGCAGTGAATTTCTACCTAGGTAATTTGAGTTAGACTTCTGCCGTCTTAAGACCTCTGTTAGTTTTCTTCCTATATGCAAACCAAATATCACCTTAATATGCTACTCATCTAATCTTTGGAATCTCAAGATCAATCAATCAGCTATCACAGATTCCTGCAGTTCAGAGCACTCTGATTCCTCTGCCCAGTGACTATTGTGCTAATTAAACCTACCTTTATATCTAATGGTTAAGCACTGACTCCTGCCACTTTTAGATTCCGTTATTCTTACTGGGATCAAAAAACCCAATCCCATGGCACCATCCCCTACCAGCATTTCTGGCATTGAGAGAACAGCTACCATAGAACTCTTCAAAGAGCTAGTAAGGGGAAAATGCTATTACCATTACTGGCCCTGAAAAGATGAAGGGAAGGAACAGTTACATGGACCCAGAGACAGAGCTGTATGAAGAAGGCTGCCTGAAAGAAGCTGTGCCCCTTGGTTGAGAGATACAAGAGCCCACCAATATCCCCCTACATTCCCTAAGGGTGAGAATCAGGGCAATAAATACCTCTCTTTCACCTTTCTCCTTCCCTCTCTTCTCTTTACTGTGTTTCTTACTGTCTAAACCCAACCAGAAGCTAGAAGGCAAAGGAGCAGGGTAGAGAAGGGTGAAAAGTGGATCTACAGGAGAAAACCTAAGTGTGCAGTGCCACTTCCATCATTCCTTATGATGATATAAGTTATTACATTTAATTTTAAAACATTTTTTCTAGGTTTTTTTCCCCTGTGAATTAAAAGGGTCATGTACCTGCTATCTGAGTAATAGCTATACCCACTGTCACAGTGCCTTAATAATATAAACCCAGAAACCTTTGCTTTTCTTCTGATAACTAGATGTCCAGAATGGAATGATGTTACTTAAACTTTTAAAGTCTGTGGTACAATAAAATATTTTAAACAAAATATCTATGAATGTTTCTTCCAAATAAAAACTGAAACAAAAGTAACCAAAACATCAAAAGCAAATGAAATTATTTTATCTAATGAAGTGATATTTTAGTATTTCCCATTACTGTATCATAGAATAGTTTCTTATTTAATCATCCTTTTACATACTTTATGGCATACCTGTGAGTAAACTGAACATTAGTACTTTATTAAAACATGATTTAAGATACACTTTTTCAGAAACACAGACATGTGCAACCTTCCTAAGTAAATTATTTTAAATATACAACATAATAAAGTATATATTCCTTACAAGTTGATCCCCAAAAATATTTGGATGAAGATTGGGAAAAGTATCTGGAGGATCCTGCTTTTGATACCAGTTACTCTACTGAGCCTTGTTGGAAATACTCAGATCATCATGAAAACAAATACTGTGATCTGGAGTGTAGCCATACTTGTAACTGCAAAACGAGGTCATCATCATATTTAGATAACTTAGTTTGGAGAGAGAGTGAAGTTAACCATTACTATGAACCCAAGCTTATTATAGATCTTTCCAATTGGAGAGAACAAAGCAAAGAAAAAACTGATAAGAAAGGCAAATCAAAATGTGAAAGGAATGGATTGGTTAAAGCCCAGATAGCGCTAGAGGAAGCATCACAGCAACTGGCTGGAAAAGAAAGGGAAAAGAAGCAGGGATTTGATTTTGATTCCTTTATTGCAGGAACTATTCAGCTTAGTTCCCAGCATGAGCCTACTGATGTTGTTGATAAATTAAATGACTTGAATAGCTCAGTGTCCCAACTAGAATTGAAAAGTTTGATATCAAAGTCAGTAAGCTGAGAAAAACAGGAAAAAGGAATGGCAAATCTGGTTCAATTAGAAGCCTTGTACCAATCTTCTTGGGACAGCCAGTTTCTGAGTGGTAGGGAGGACTGTTTTTTCATAAATCAGTTTTGTGAGGTAAGGAAGGATGAACAAGTTGAAAAGGAAAACACACTAGTTACTTGGATAAGTTCTTTAGCAGGAAAGAAGATCCTGAAATGCTAGAAACTGAGCCAGTAGAGGATGGGAAGCCTGGGGAGAGAGAAATGAGGAAGGATTTCTGAACAACAGTGGGGAGTTCCTCTTTAACAAGCAGCTCGAGTCCATAGGCATCCCGCAGTTTCACAGTCCAGTTGGGTCACCACTTAAGTCAATACAGGCCACATTAACACCTTCTGCGATGAAATCTTCTCCTCAAATTCCTCATCAAACATACAGCAGCATCTGAAACATCTAAACTAAAACACTCAGCAGACATTTACCTTTGTATTCTTCATGAAATGTGTTTTGTCTTTTTTTATTACTAGTGTTTAAGTCATTTTTTACTTGAATCAGATGGTGTCATTTAGTAAGGGTTTTATGAGTTCTTCTTTTTTAAAATCCAGACTTTCTTTTTCTACATGTGAGATCGTTTTCATTTTAACTGGCATGTCATTTGCACACAAAAATAAAGACTAGAGCAAAATAATGCAACGCAGGAGGAGAAAAGAAATGCACAAAGACAAGTAAAGAACATTCTCTCATAGAACAATGATCTGTTTTACAGGAAACAGACCTTGCCTTGAAATTTACACAGTGAGACTGTACATAATTGCATGAAAGTAGCTATTTTTTTCTAAGACATTTTTCATTCATGAGTATTTCCAAGTATTTCATACTGTACACATTTCTTAAAACACATGATACCAGCAGCAACTGAAAATGAATGCCGAATTTGGTTCACATGTGTTATCTACCTCACGGTAACAAGAGTATGTGGCAAAACATATACCGCCCATAGTGCTTCACAAAATGCGCTTCTATTTAGACAGCCTTTATTGTAGTAAACTGTTCTTAATGAAACTCATTCACTGTTTACAAATGTTCTGGTATGCATTCTTTATAGTGAAGTGTTAATACATCACATCTTATTTATTTTAGCAAATCAGCATATCTTCTGTATTTAATTATAAAAATTAACTTAGTTTTTAAAATTTATTTGCAAATACACTTTTTCCATTTGACACTATGGTTTGTTGCCTACCTAGCTGAATCTATAATGTCAGCTTATCCTAAGGCTGTCCACATACTTAATTTACTTAAGTGTTCATTTTAAGTAACGTGCTCACTGTATATAGGAATTTGTATTTTGGAGGTGCTTGATCTACAAAGAAAAATTAATTAGGAATTACTTTATTATAAAATGCTCCTAGAAGTCTTAATTGTGTTTATTTTTTAAAAAAAATAATGTTAGACTTGTGCGCATGGAAGTAATTAAGGTACATCATATTGTAGTTTAAAAGTTGTACATGATAAGACATTTTGTTTTTACTGTATGTTTTTACTGAATGATCTATCCCCCATCCCAAGGCAAGCATGAATAAAATTAAGTTAAACATAAAAAAAATAAAGTATATATTCCTTTAACTATTAATTTTTAAGCACTAATATTCAAACATCTAAGCTTTCAAATCTCTAAGCTTTCTTTTTGTGGTTATTTTTAGTGGTGGTGAGGATTTTAGAAAGGAGCTTTTGTTTGCTTATTTGTCTATATTCTGGTTTTTTGATTCAGGGAATCTGGTATTTCTGAATTTATAACATTTTAGCTTTCTTGTCACGTTTCTCTGCACCCTTTCATCTATTCCCTTCAAGAATTAAGATTTTTTATTGAGTTACTAAACTGTGAATACCTAGAGGGCCAGATCTACAAACTTATCTTTCTGACGCCGCAAGGCTCAACGCAGGACATTGCAAATAGTAACTACTCAGCAAGTGTTGAATTAAATGGAATTAGTTGCAATACTCAGACCACATTGCAAATTAGAGAAAACACTATGCTAGGCATTTTACTTCTGTGTGTGAAAAAAAAAAATCAACTGTATAGTAAAGTACATTTGGCTACTTTGATCTCCATTAAAGTCAAATAAAATTATTTACTTCTAAAAGTTAAAAACAGAAAAAGATAACTTGTCCTGATTGTATATGTATGCTGAGTGAAACAAAAGTTTAAAAAGTATACTAGATTAGTGGGAAGTAAGGGTTTGCTATAATTTTACACACGTCCATATATATCTTTATCAAAGCATCTCATGCATGATGGTATATCTTTATGTAAATATATGTATAAAGTTATACCAGATGGCAAATTAATTTGAGACACTAACTCTTAATGATCCTATTTTTAGAAAATATCAACTTCAAAGAGTTTATATTTCAGTCCAAGACACTTAAAACCAACATACTTGAAATGAGTGCAGCTTAAAAAATTAGGAAAAACACAACTTAAAAAAATGGAAATTTGTTTCACTTGTGAAACTGAATTATTAAGAAATGTCAGGTTAAATGCAATCCCAAGCATCAGAAAACTTCACTGGAGGCTGGGTGCGGTGGCTCATGCCTGTAATCCTAGCCCTTTGGGGGGCAAAGGTGGGCAGATCACTTGAGGTCAAGAGTTCGAAAGCAGCCTGGCCAACATAGGTGAAACCCTGCCTCTACTAAAACTACCAGAAAAATTAGCCAGGTGTGGTGGCACATGCCTGTAATCCCAGCTACTTGGGAGGTTGAGGCAGGAGAATTGCTTGAATCCAGGAGGCAGAGTTTGCAGTGAGCCGAGATCATACCACTGGACTCCAGCCTGGGTGACAGTTAGAGACTCCATCTCAAGAAAAAAAAAAAAGAAAAGAAAAAGAAAGAAAAGAACTCAATTCAGTGGAATTCCACTTAATTGAGTTCTGCAAATCCAGGAGCAAATTCTAGAGGTTTTGGATGATTTTAATCAGCTCTTCTATGTTAACCATTGCTTCACAACAGACTATCTCAAAACTCAATAGCTTAAGCCTACAATCATTTATTCTTAGGTGTCCACAGGCTAGGTTGATTGATCTAGGCTGGGCTCTGCTGGAAGTCTCTGCTTCAATATAAGGCTTTGCTTCTCCCCAAGGGCTGAGCTCAGGTAACTCCACATGTACTCGTTCCAGGTGTCAGGCAAAGGGAGAGCAGTTACCTGGAGGAGGCTCTTCTCTTTGTGAAGATAGAGGCTTAAGAAGTCAAACCTCACTGAGCAAGCACTTTTCAAGCATTTACTAGTGTCAGTTCCACTAATGTCCCATTGGCCAAGATCAATGAAGCAGGGAAGTCTACTTTGCCCTCAAGGAGAAGAAAGGAGTGGATATTTGCTGAACAATAATCCAACTAGTCACAGTTCTTTTCATACTTTACGGGATTTTCTGGTAGTGAAAGTTTTTGGTGTCTCTGGTCATGAATCTTTTAAAATTAATACTAACTCATAAAGCATAGAAAATCATGAATTTTTTCTCTCATGGCTTTGGAATTTTGTTGGGCCTTATTTCAGACAGATTATTTTATAATCTTGCTTCTAGCTTCTTCCTCCTAAATTTTTAAAATAAGAGGTTGTTACTTTAATATAAAATCCAATCTGAGATGAAAAGTAAAGGAAGGGGGAGAAAAATAGAGGCAGTTAATGAAAGACCTTTCCTTTATATTGTAAGAGAACTTTTCAAATCTTCTATTAAAGCTATCAGGCATTCTCTTGTGACCAAAGCATTACTAAATTATATAGTTTTTCCTGTAACAGGTAGTTCAGGTTCAAGGTTTGTATTCCTAAAATGTATATATCTTCATCAGTGTTAAGTTATAGGTCTAGTTGTAGCCTTGTTCTTTAATAATTCTAAATCAAAACACCATTAAAGTCAAACAAAATTATTTACTAGTAAACATTAATATGTGTTGTACAGATTTTAATTAGCTCAACAGACATAGAAAACTCTAATAAAGAATCAGAGCTTATGTTTTTATATATTCTACATCAAGGATTCTGAATAACTAAGTTCTTAAAGAATAAAAATGAAATTATGTTTAGATCAATGACCTTTAAATAATTATATTAATATATTTAGGCACTTTCGTTTTAGCAGTTGTAATTTCACAATGTTTCAAGTGTATCTTTCCCTAAGGAATAAAGGCTCCATCTCAATTCAAAATTCCAGGTTTGAAAGCATTTTACTTTCCAGTTAAATATAATATTAATCATTTCAGTTCTTCAGTCAAACGAAGACATTTAGAACATAAGTAATGAAATGCCATATTAATCTTTTTAAAGACTGTCATAGACTAAACCAATATTTGCTAAACCAACATTTGCTAAACCAACCAAACTAAACTAACTTTTGCACTTGTTTACAAAAGGAGGAGTTTATTAGAGGTAGAGATTACTATTATTTTCTTGTTCTATGTTCTCCTATAGGCACAAGCATTATTCCATTTCAGAAGAAACGACTGACTCATATGTCTGGATGGATGGCTCTGATTCCAAATGCAAATCACATTAACTGGTATTTTAAAGGTGTGGATCACATAACCAACATTTCATATACATCGACATTCTATGGATTCAAGGTAAAAATATTTATCTTCTAATGATTATAATTGTGTATTACCCAAACACAGCCTACATCCTCATACTTACTCACAGACATTGTCAGGCCAGAGGGACTTTCATCACAAATTGAGCTATTGAAATCCTGCACATTCTTTGTGAGCCACTCTGAATCTAAGAAGTAAGCCAAAAAAATCTCATTTGAGAATCAGAAGTAAGCAATCTTTCTGCCACATTGCTGTAGTACTAAGCTTATTCCCCTGTCATTATTACCATGATAATAACTTACCTTTACTGAGAGTTTATGATATCTCAGGGACCAGCAGTTAAGGACTTTATTTTTTATATCATGAAATATATCAAACATACCTGAGGTCAAGAGTTTGAGACCAGTCTGGCCAACATGGAGAAACCTCGTCTCTATTAAAAATACAAAAAAAAAAAAAGATTAGCCGGGTGTGGTGGTGGGCATCTGTAGTCCCAGCTACTTGGGGAGACTGGGGCAGGAGAATCGCTTGAACCCAAGAGGCAGAGGTTGCAGTGAACCAAGATCGCCCCACTGTACTCCAGCCTGGGCGACAGAGGGAGACTCCATCTCAAAAAAAAAAAAAAAAGCCACTACCTAACTCTATCTAAATCTAACATTCTGTGAATATTTACTTTCTAATTTATAAAAAAAGTAAAATATGGTAGATAAAGTGGAAGCCTTCTGTATTATTTACTCTCATGTTATTCCCCATTCTCCACCTCTAATGGTAGCCAGTATCCTGAATTGGATGTTTTCCATCTTATACATGTTCTTCCACTTATACTACACATTTGTGCAGCATTGTTTTAAATATTTTTAAACATTATAGAAATAAAATATTGTCTACAATTTTATCTGTCAGTTTTTAAAATAAAATATTTTCTAAATATATGCATATATACACACATACACACATCACATATATGTGTGTGTATGCATATATATATATACTATACATGTGTATACTTAATGTATATGTATTTATATATACATACACACACACAGGAGAGAGAGAGAGATCCTTTCGTTGCCTTAGTGACAGAACTAGCATTATTGTCATAGACATGTAAAACGTTAATAAACAAAATAGAAATTCAAGACAAAAAACAAACTAAAGCCAAAACTTTTAAATCTTAACATAATATAGGGGCTAATTATATGTCATTAAAATTAATGTGTTATACGAAGAATATTAACATACAAGTCACATTTTTCTATAAACTTTTATAGGAAGAAGACTATGTAATTATATCACATAACTTCACTCAAAATCCTGACATGTTTAATATTATTGATATGAGGAATGGTTCCTCAAATCCATTGAATTGGAATACTAGCAAGAATGGGGACTGGCACCTTGAAGCAAACACTAGTACTCTATATTACTTGGGTATGTGTCATTAGGCAGAAATGATAGTTTATCTAATGCTTTGTCTAAAAGATGAGAAAAATTGCTTAATAAGCAAATGTGTTGTGCAGTGCTTAATATATACAGGATCCAATAAATGTTTGCTGAATGGAAAAACTGGAGACAAAATTTATTCTTGAAAAGGTTTTGAGTTGAATTAAGAACTTTCATTTTATGTTGAAGGTGACACCAGCATGCTTGCACATTGACAGTTTTATTTCATGGGCTTAGAGAAAATGAATACAATGGAAGCTGGCATATGTTTTGTTTCCATTTTTATTATTTAATTATTTGGAAAATTAAAATATTTAATAATAAGTTTTAATTAAATTCTAAAGCATTCATTTTTATCAAGATATTTTGACCGTGTATATCTTTATAATACATACATTATCAGAATTTCTCCATACCTCTTCCATACATGTGAATTATAATTCAAGTTACTACCTAAAGAACATTTTCCAAAATTCCATAATTTTGTTTACATTCAAGTACTTTGGTCACTATGTTCATTTAACCCACTTTTACTTCACTTTCAGTGTCAGGAAGAAATGACCTTCATCAGAGTCAGCTCATTTCTGGGAACCTGGATCCTGATGTGAAAGACGTTGTTATTAATTTCCAAGCTTACTGTTGTATTCTCCAGGATTGCTTTCCTGTACATCCGCCATCAAGAAAACCAATTCCCAAGAAGCGACCAGCCACATATAAGTACATAGGCCTTTTGTAGTTGATACCCTTCAATATCTCTTAACATAATCCTTTTCACATGTCACTCCTGGGTGAAATAATAATGCTTTACTCTTGCACAATGTCTTGTAGGTTACAAAGTACTTTCACATTCACTGCTTTGCTTGAGCCTTACAAAAACCTTCGTGAGAAAATGAAAATGTCTTAAAAAAATTATGTGTGAAAGTTGCTGGTAACCTCACAGTTGCAGAATGTTAGATTTAGATTCTTAGACCTGGCCCAACTCCCTTATCATATAGACGAGAAAGCTGACACCCAGTGAACATAGGTGCATTACCTAAGATCACAGAGCTCACTGATGGCATATCCAGTACAGCACCAGAAACTAAGTCTCCTCGTGAATCCAATGCTTTCTTAGCAGGTGCTGTCTCTAGAATAACCATCGTGGTCAAATCTCATAATAAAACTTAGTTAATTTTCTTTCAAATATATTTTAATTCTTTTAGTTAAAAACAATATTTCTATCTTTGTAACTTACATAGCTCTTTACCTTTATTTCTCGTGAAGCATCACTTTCTACCTTGTATTAGAGTAATTACTGGACATGATGGTACTAGCACATTCAGTATTAGTCTTTAAGATGCTGAAAGGCATGATCCTGATTTGATGTATATTTGCATCCCTTATGGACAATACTACTGACAAAACATGATGATGATGCTAAAAACTAACATTTAGTGGGCACTGAATAGCCCACTACTGTGTAACAAGTACAACTCAATGATAATTATTAGATGAATTACATTTCAAAATAAATAGACACTGTAGTGGTTATTGTACAAAAGAACAAAAATTGAATTTGTTTATATATTCATTCAACCACTAAAAAAAATTTACTGAGTATCCACTATGTGCCAGGCATTTTGGATTCAATTATAAACAACATAGATGTGATCTCTGATCTCATTACACTCATATTCAATCCAAAGAGATGACAAAACAAGCAAACAAACAAAAAAGTAAACAGAAGATAAAGTATGTAAGTGTGAGTTGTGATAAATGTTATAAAAAAATGGATATGGGGCTGGGACAGAGAGCAATATGGCAGGGACAGCCTTTGGGTGGGGTGGTTAGGAACACCCTCAGGGAGGGGTTATTCCAACTGCAACCCAAAGGATAAGGAAGAGCTCGCTGCGTGAAGGGTGGGAGAAACCTAGGGAGCAACTTGTGCAAGTGCCCTGACATAGAAAGGGTGTGGCATGTCAAACAATGGAGAGAGAATCATCAAGGCCCTTATGCATTCTGAGGTAGATATAATTATTAAATATTTAATTAACATTTATTATGACTACTATAACAGATTTAGATTGCTCTAGGCCAGAATGTGATAAAGGTAAACTACGATAAACTACATGTATATGCCATGGTATAGTTTTTCTTTCTTCCCATGGTATGAATTTTCATCACTGGAAATAGTTATAATTGGATTGATTAATTTGTATTATTCAGCTAGCTATGAATAATACAAGACAAAACAGAATCTTGACCCAGAAGTGCTACCTCAGGATTAGAACAGAAGGCTCAAGCTATATAACTTAATGCCTAGTTTTAGAGGGCTTTGTTGATCGTAACATGGCAAATAAGAAGGGGAATGCATAACATGATTATTGATAGTGAGTGATGGTATTAATAAGAATGAAGGGCTATGATTGTGCATATTTTCCAGTGGGAAAATATCACCAATTTTATAATAATATCCTTCATAAAAATTTGCATTAAAAGGTATTTTCTAGAAGGCATAGTGATGAAAACTGAAGACCGTCTGTCCTCCCATACACTTGATGAAATTATTTCAATTTAACCTAGCTTTCACTTTGGATACAGACCTGCCACCCCCATCCCAGCCCAGGGGCTTAATGGCATTGGTGCATCCTCGTCAACTCAGAGACCATCCTTCTACCCCTTTCTTCACAGAATCTAGCCAACTATATCCTCTACCCCTACTCCCCATGAAATAGCACCATGTGTCAAGGGTCTTTAAAAGGACAAAGCGTGCATTTTTTTTCTTCTCTACCATGTAAAATCTTATGGGGAAATGGAACGGTTTACATTTTAGACAAAATTAGGGAATATCACAAGTAGTAATTCATGGAAGTATTTCTCTTCTCTTTTCAGTTTATGGTCAAATGATTCTTTTTGGCAATCATCACGAGAAAATAATTATACTGTACCTCACCCAGGGGCAAATGTGATTATACCTGAAGGTAAATGCGTAAACACAAATGAATGAAATGTTTGTTTTCTGCAATATTAACACTATGGCAGGGTAGATGTCACAGTTTTATCAGCACACCTTTCCAAAAGAGCAAGTGTGGAGAAGTGGACTCTATTAATGCATCCCGGATACTAAACCTAGCCTTCTGGGGTTTCTGTGGATTTAAACCTGACCATTAATTAACAAGAGCAGATTTTCTGGGAGAGATAGGAATCAGGTATTATATGAAAAGACATGTCATAAACACTCAAAACTAGGACTCACTGATAAGCTTGTCAATGTTTTGCTATAAGTTGTAGTTTATGGATTATGTTATATTTCTTAAAGTATTGTTTTATAGGAACATGGATTGTAGCTGACATAGATATGCCATCAATGGAAAGACTCATTATTTGGGGGGTTCTAGAACTGGAAGATAAATACAATGTAGGAGCTGCAGAATCTTCTTACAGAGAAGTTGTTTTGAATGCTACCTACATATCACTGCAGGTAAGAGTGAGGGCCTTGTAGTTTATATCTTTATTAATCTAATTCTAAAATGTGTATTTACTCAAATAATAAGAAAGAAGCATATTCAATTGGTGTGAATAAAAACACAACTGGCTCTATCCCATTAAATGCAAGTCTCAGTTAAGTCCAATATATTTCTGTTCTCCTTTAAATTATGGACTAAACATTTCTTAGGAGTAGTTACTATAGGATTCTTGAGTCTGCAGTTGGCCCAGTTTCCATTGTGTATAGAATATCTATGTCATTATGAGGTCAGGCTAAACCAACAGCTTGTTCCAACAAAGAGTCCTAGGAGTTCTGAAACAAGTAAAAGAATTTAAGCCTTTTGTTCTTTAAATAAAACAAACAGTATTTAAAAAAAAAACCAAAGGGACATAGATGGAATTGTGAAAGCAAGAGAAAATAAATCAAAATGTTACAGTTATTCGGAACAATCCCCACATTCCTTGTAAACCCCAGATGGTCTTGAACCTGTACCAGCTTAATCAGCTCGATTGTCCTGTCAGTCTTGTAATATTGTTCATGAAAAAGAATTGCTTAGCCAAAAAGCTATTAAGCAGCATTAAAATAATAAGCAGTTAGCATTATTATTATTTCTTTGAGAAAAGGAATAAAGTCCAGAAACTTGGTTATTAATATTTTAAAAGTGCATTGTATTTTGATTAGACATATGGCTTTAAGGTAAATTAAAATTACAACTGAATTTTACCTTATTGTTTTTTAGTTGGGTAACCATGGGTAAGTTATTTGACCTCTTTCACCATTAGTTTTCTCACCTGTGAAATAAGGATAATAATACTAATTCATGAATTTGGTGTAAAGAAAGGTTAAAGGATATATGTGAAGCCTTACACATTATGCATGATGGAAACAGCAAGCATTTAATGATAGCTATTAACTATTAGTATTAACAATGATGGCTCATAAATTGCATAGCTTGGGTGTAAGCGTAAAGAGTATATTTTACATATAGGATATTACTTTCAAATACATTATGGTCTGTTCAAACACCACTAGTTTAGGTCTTATGAAATCTCAGTTTTAGGTCTAGTTCTGTCAGTAAGTAGATATTGAATTTGACCTTTGAAAAATCATTTAAACTGCTTATCCAAAAGTGAAATTAAAGTCACTTCCAGTTATAATGCTGTTCTTTATATAACAAAACTCATTCCTTTTTACTAGGCTTCCAGTGACTTCTGAATTCCTTTTTTATGGGTGGATTTTTTTTCCTGGTCAATTTTTAAGTATTAACAATTTTCTGCTTCATTTCAGGGAGGTAGATTAATCGGTGGCTGGGAAGATAACCCTTTTAAAGGAGACTTAAAGATTGTTCTTAGAGGAAATCATACTACACAAGACTGGGCTCTTCCAGAAGGACCAAATCAAGGGGCAAAGGTCTTAGGTGTGTGTCTACAGATACCAAAAGTGTCACATCTGTTTTAAGAATCTACTTTAAAATATATGGCACTAAAGTACATATCAGTTCATAATGATAAATACTTTATCATAAAAAGTACTTCTGATACAAAAGTATCAGAAGTTTTTACAGAAATTTATTTATTGTAAAGGGTTATAGAAGTAGCAGAGATTTTAGAATTAAATAACCTCACATTTCACCAGGTTAAAACAGATATAAATGTGTGTATTTTAAACCAAAATGTAATTTATTACAAAACTAATAGTAACAAATCTCTTTGTATGTATATTATTTTTCCAATCTGGTTTTCTTCATACAGTTTTCTTTATGTAAGCAATACTATGTTTCACATTTTGGTACCTTTCCTTAAAGGGTAACTTTCCTACACATTATTCCATTTATAGTATTAATAAATAATCTGTGGATCAGTTGACTCTGCAATCAATTACCCAATCACAGCTGTTGCTGAGATTTAATTTCCCAGTTGCATTAGTATACCGTGGATATTCTTATTTGAGCTCAGAAAGCAAATGGCTTGAAAGAGTTTAACCTGGTCACAATTAAGAACTGCTTTTATGAATGGTACTGCATATTTATTTAGGAGACGCATATAAGTATGTGCTACCATTGTTTTACTGTACAATTTCTAAAACTGACACCAAGTAAATAAGGGGCTAAACAATTGCTTGAGATTGAATTAGCTCACCATTCACAAATGTCCTGAGGCAGACAAATTCAATCTTAAAAAAAAGTATGTGCTTTTTATTTCAAAAGTAACACTTTAAACAACATAGAACAGTATGAAGAAAACATATCTGTAAAGAATACACATCTTTCTAATTCTCTTTTAAGGACACTAGAATTAGTTAAAAATTTTTTGTGTGTTTTCCTATGTTTTTTATCTATGCCTATATTCATATTACATATACTGATTTGTGGTGATAGTATTGTTCCTTTCATAAAACATGGTCACATTAAGTATATTATTACGCAGTTTTCTTTTCTCAGTGAACATATTATGAAAATCTTTCCTGATTTAAACTTACAGATAAAACTCTTTTTTATAGCCTATTATTTTACAGTATTAGTAAACTTTATTCCATCCTTTTCCTATTGATGTATATTTGGATTAATTCCAGTTTCCTTGTGTTTCTAAATATTGCTGTGGTAAGCATCTTCATTCATGTACTCTTGTATACTGGCTTTAATGTCTATGAGCCAGATTTCCGGAAGTGGGTTAAAGGGCCACGTCTTCTTACATGGTTCCAAGCAGAGAGCACCAATTCATTCCTTTTGTTCTAAAATGTTTAATCACATAATAAAATATATCAATGAACATTTTCATTTTATACTAGCACCTAACTCAGTACTGTGGGGTGAATAAGTAGGAGTGTGCTTTTCTTCTTTAGGGGTGTTTGGTGAGCTGGATCTTCATGGAATTCCACATTCAATATATAAAACTAAGCTCTCAGAAACTGCATTTGCAGGTTCCAAAGTCCTGTCTCTGATGGATGCTGTGGATTGGCAGGTAGACAAAATAATTATGTAATGGAAAATGAATATACACAGTGGGTCAGCTGAAAAAAGTTTCTATTCTACTCTCATGGGCATTCATTTTCTCATGTGATTAACCAGATGAAAAATGTGTATTTTGCAATAAGCTTGCAAAAATGTATCCGATAGGAGGCATTTAAAAATTGTGGCTTCAATGGTCCTTTAAAATAAATAGAGAACATTATGTGTGTGTGCATATAATACATAGGTATGTATATTGTATTTATATATATTTTATGACTGTATATTATGTATATATATTTTATGACATATATGACTATAGATTAGTCATACAATATATGACTAATATATATTATGTATATACAAGCTAATATATGTAATATATGTCATTAAAATGTATGTACATAATATAAATTAGTCATATTATTTTATATTAATATATATGTAAGTCATAAGAAAAATATGAATATTTTTGGATAAAATTAAAATATGACTATTAGTCATAAAAATATATATACATAATATATTAGTCATATTAGTCATATTTTATGCCAATGTATATTAGTCATAAAAGAAAAATATGAACATTTTTGGATAAAATTATTTATTATAAATTCTTGCAAAACAGAAAATTGAATTATTTAAAATATATTTTATTATCTTGGTTACCTCTTCACTTCTAATTTATGATTTTACATGTTAAGAATTTGAAAAGAAAACAAATTCTGACACCCAGTGACATCCAAATACTGCCTGTGTTAAATGAGATATTTTAATAAAGTATAAATGGTAGCAATTCTCATCTCTACTGTGCTCATAAACTATGCACAAGCCATAGAGTCCACAGGTTTTACAAATACATTTTTTAATGCCAAGAAAAATTAGAGAAATGGATGGATTTCATCTCCAAGCTCTCAGATCTCAGCCAGTTCCTTTCTGGTGAGAACAAGCTTTAGACTCACAGAACAAAGAGAGCCTTAGTTTGGGCAAATCAATGCAAATCATCAAAACATATGGTTTTGCTCTCTTAGTGTAGTTTATAATTGGTAAATAGAAAGAGGGTTTATTGAGAAGTATTATCATCTACTTACAATATGTTTTTATTTGTGATAGTTCTGGTGTGATTACTTTTTGAAGAGAGTAATTAAGTGATTTTGATATCCCTATTATTTATCCAATTAATACTGTCTGCAAATTTTGTGTCAGAGTAATATTTAACCAAGTGTCACACAGTTTTCTAGGCATTGGGGATTTAGTGGTGAAGAAATTTGTCCAATCTATCATGGAACTTCCATTGGAGTGGGAGAGTCAGATAGTAAATGAACAAATAAATATCTATTGATTTCAAATAATGTGCATAATGAAGGAAATAAAACAGGTAGTGTGATAGAGACTGCCATGGCAAAGAGTAGCAGATAACATTGAATATTCCAGAGATGGTCTTTGTCAAGGGTACATCTGAGCAGAGATTTGGATGACAAGGAGGAGCTCAATATACAAAGTTCTAGGACTCAGCCTTGCCCTTTAACTTTCCTCGGGCTTTTCTGCCTTTCAGGAATAATAAGTGATAGTTAATTGTACTAAACAAACAAACAAAAAACTAGGGAAAAAATTCAACTCTTAATAATATTGTCCTGAGCAGTTTTTAATAAAAATGTGAATATGTTTGCTTTGATGTCTTTGCTTTTTTAAAAAAGGTATATTGCTGTGGTTTTACTAAATGGCTGAATTAAAGTTAAGAAAATGCTCAGATAATTCAAAATTTATAATTCTTAATATCAAACACAAGCATATATACCTTTAGAGACTTCAATGTACTGTTTATTCTTTCTGATAATACCATAATTGCCAATGAGATATACATTAAATTTGAATGATTTAATAATGATATCAAGAAATATAAATCTATTTTTAAAATTGTTCTTAAATTTGGCACTTGAATTTTTCTAAGGAGGGAGAAGAGATTGTGATAACAACCACAAGCTACGATTTCCACCAGACAGAAACAAGAAGTATCGTTAAAATCCTGCATGATCATAAAATTCTCATTCTTAATGATAGCCTTTCCTATACTCACTTTGGTAAGTGGATGCTTTTTAACCAAATAGATATATAATTGTGTTGAAAGATTCACATTTACTCTGTAATTATAATTCTTTGATAAAACATGTCACAAATATGTTAAAGGAGCATTTTATTCAGATTGGCAATGATACCCAGTGAGTGCTGCTCTTTCTGTGTTGGTTACCGATAGTCCCCGCTATGTGCTTTCATTCATTCAGCAAATATTCAGCAAAGACTTACTGTTTGACATTTTATAGGGTAAGGCTCAACACTTTCTGTTTGAAGCAAGCTTCCAGGTGATTCTTGTGCACGCTGAAATTTGAGGATCCTTGATCCAAAAGCCTTGTCCTAAATTGTTTCATGGATATAGTCTTTAGCGGTAAATGCATTTAGACAAGTAATAATGGAAGGATAAAACTATAATTGTTGAGGAAAGAAGGAATAAGCATGATCTGAAGATGAGTTTTCCACTTACAGGAGCAGGGCCTTCCCAGCATTCTAGCCTTTCCCCATTTGGCATGGTACCTTCATCCAAATCTCAGGAAGTGGGAGCAGACAGTAGTGAAAAGTTAGAAAATCCTTTCAGATGCCCATGATGCTCATGGGAACTCCAGATGCAAGACAGCATGATAGACTAGCAGACATTTGACCTGCATGAAAAAGAAATTGAAAAGAACTTCTCAAAGCAGTACTTTAATAGAAGCGCATGTGTCTATAATTCTATATCATATATTTTTCTTTAAATCATAAAGAAAAGTTTTATTTGAAAAATGTTTCATTGTAATTAGTTGTAAAACAGTTGGTTTTTGAAGTTTGACATTATAGATTCTTTCATTTAAAATATCAAGCATTTTTCTCTGTTTGAAATGCACCTGCTTGTCTTAAAGTTTTGAGTAACATTTCTTAAAATGTAGCGTGTAATCTAGGTTATGTTTTACAAATTGTTAAGATGTAAATGTACAGATGGTGTTGGATATGCTACTACCTATTGATGAAGACTTGTGGTTGATATAAAATATGCCACAGAAAAAGTGGAACAAACCAAGGTTTAGGTGGCAGGAGTGTTAATAGCTATGTGTTGTTGATTCTCCTCCTAGCTTTGGGCAAATTCTTTTACTTCTCTACCTTATTTCCTCATCTATTAAAATTACAATACACTTCTCAATTTGCCACACAACAGGGCTTTCATGTGTAATTTGAAGTGATTATATACTACCTTCAAGATTTGTTAAGTAGTAACTTTATACTTGCTGATTATAATAATCATTTTGATGTAAATAGAGGAAATATTTTTGATTATATTTCATTTTATAAATACGAATATCATAATATCAGACTGCCATCTATATATGTTTAACATGTAAATGTAATCATGCATTCATGTTCATTTTTGGCTTATTAGAAGGCTGTTTAGCATATAAACTGCAAAGGAACTAGTAAAGACAGATACTTCTCAGCATTGGCAATAATCTAGCTGCCTTTATACTGCAGCTGAAAAATACCATGTCCCTGGAACTGGTGAGAGCTACACGTTAGCAGCTGATGTTGGGATACTGAGTAGGAACATCAAAATAGTTGGTGAAGATTACCCCGGTTGGTCTGAGGACTCTTTTGGAGCACGCGTACTGGTTGGCTCATTCACTGAAAATATGATGACATTTAAAGGTTGGTATCAATTCAGTTTATTTTTCTAAATGAGCTATAACATTATCTCATCTATATGTAGTCAGCTCTTACATAATTCTCACTTTTTTAATAAGATTATGTGGGAAAATAAAGCATTAAAAGTGATTATGTAGCCCAGTTTTTACCTTCCAAGTAAATTCTCTTAAATTACTGCTTTTAATTTTATCTTCACAGACAAAATGAATTATCAAATTAACAATGACCTTAGGTAACAGTTAGACCAGTCTTTCACCTAACAGAGATAATTTTATAATAAGTACCACAGATCATTTATTGTTTTTGTTTTGTTTTAAGGAAAATTTCAAGCATACACCAAAAACAGAGAAAACAGTATAATGAATCCCAATGTACTAATCACCAATTTCAACAATGATCAACTTTGGCCAATCTTGTTTCACCTACACCTCCATCCACTTTCTTCATGCTCCTGGATTGTATTGAAGTAATCACGTATTATATCATCTAGAAATATTTTAGTATGCAACTCTAAGACATTTTAGAAAACATCAACAAATATCAGACCTAAAAATGTTAATTTCTTAATAATAATTTCTTATCATCAAATGATACTTCAAATTTCCCCAGTATCCTCCCTCCCTCCCTCCCTCCCTTCCTCCCTCCCTTCCTTCCATCCATCCTCTTGTTTCAAATAAGGATCTAAATAAGATCCACATTGCAACTGATTATGAATCTTAAATCTCTGATTCATTCCTCTCTCCTTGCAATTTATCTATAAAAGAAGTTGGTCCTCTAATTCTGTGGAGTTTCCAACAGTCTGGAATTGAGTGATTGCATTCCTGGAATTTAACTTGTTCTTGTCCCCCTGTATTTCCTATGCCTAGGTGATTTAAAACTAGAGATTTCAGGCTCAATTTTTAGTCAAGAATTATGCCAGACAGGGTGTCTCAGGCCTGTAATCCCAGCACTTTGGGAGGCCAAGGTGGGATGACTACTTGAGGCCAGGAGTTTGAAATCAGCCTGGGCACTATAGTGAGACCCAGCCAAAAGAAAGAAAGAGAGAAAGACAGAGAGAAAGAGAGAGAGAGAGAGGAAGGAAGGAAGGAAGGAAGGAAGGAAGGAAGGAAGGAAGGAAGGAAGGAAAGAAGGAAGGAAGGAAGGAAGGGAGAAAAGGTACAGTTGGTAGTGTATTTTTCCATCAGTAGGTACATAATGTATGATTGTTTCTCTTCTTACAATGTTAATAGCTACTAATTAACATTGCCTAGATTCATTAAATCATTAAGGTTTAAAATTTCCTTCTCATTTATAATAAAGAAAATCTCCCCTAAACAACTATTTGACTGCACTGAAAAATAGTTCATATAGGAAACACAGGAAAAAATGCTTGATTTTTCCTCATATTGACTAGGTTTCAAGATAATGTGTTGGTTCCCAAGCATCCTCCAAAGGTGACAGGGAGTTTTTATTGTTTTGTTTTTAGTATCATTATGTGCTCCTGGATCAAAACATATTTGACCTGTTCAAATCCATTGTGATTGTTAATCTGATTAATACTCAGAATGCTCCATTATTGACTTTCAGAACCTTTTCATGTTGATGCCTGTCCTCTTGACATGACTTAGTTTTCTAAGCTTCTTTACTTTCTGATACGGCAAGCACATATTGTAATTTTTTTCTAAGACTGGAACTCATTGTTCCTCCAAGTAATTCTGGTTCTTTTTATTGGAAGATGTTATTTGGATCCCACAATCTGGGTACTAGGAGTAGACCATCCATTCTTGATTTGAACTGTTTCTGCAGGTACTCATTTGTTCAAACACTGCCTATTTCGTTTTGCAACAGATCTATTTTAGAAAATCTTTATATTGAGCAAACAGCAGTCTCACTATAGCCTCTACTTGTTGGTCATAATCTGCCAGAGGAAGCTTACCTGATGATGATGGTGCTGCTGCTGCTGATAATGATGGTGATGGTAATGACGAACATGACACAAGATCACAGGCACTGTGCTAAGCATTAAACACATACAATCTTATTTAATCCTCATAATGTTATGGCATAAATATTACCCCTCTTTTAAAGATGAACAAACAGATGATTAAAGGGGTAAAGTTGCTTTGATCTTTAATATTAATTTGTGTCTTTCTCACTTCAAATTCAGCGATGAACCCTATTCCTATGACAATCTTTCCTTGCTCCTATAAATTGTTTTGTGACGTGAGTAAAGACAACACATCTATGGCTTTTGTAAGCCCAGGTGGCTTGTAGTAATCATGTCTTCTCTATCATTATCTCAATTATTCATATCTTCTCAACCATGTATAGAAGAATTGCCTCATGGATTTTAAGGTAGGCTTTCCTTTCTAGTACAAAATAACTTTTCTCCAACACATCCTATTAAGTATCAGTTTTTGAACAAATAATATTCTCTTTTGTTATTTTCCAGCCATGAGTTCCTGTGCCTCAGTTTTTTTTAACTAGATGATAGAGATATAAAAGTTCCTAACCCACAGGGTGCTTTATGGGAATTAAACCCCATATTGCCTGTTATGCATTTAGTACAGCACTTGACAAAGAGCAATCTCTCATGGATTGTTATTGCTGTTATTAGTAGTCTGTAAAATTACCCTTTGTCACCTCGATGGTACTTATGATAAGCTGACCAGCAGATAATTGGCAATACATATTCTGAAAGAGATTATAAAAGGTAATGCCCTTAAAAGCTCTTTATGGCATCAAAAGGGAAATATCAGGTAAATTATATTTTATGCCTTATGCCATACATTCTCAATTCGAAAATATCACCCCCCAGGAGGAAAAACTTAGTTCTTGAGGTGGGGGCAAAAAACGTAGGTATTACAATGGTTTGTGGTCCTCCAAAGGGCCACTGTATACTAACAGATATATGGTATATATGCGTTATTAAAATTTTGCGGGAGAGTGCAGGCTATTAGGAAAAAAAATGTTGAAAAAGGCTATTTGTGAGTACAATGAAAAGAGGTCTGAGAAATACTACCTCTTCTGGATTAAAGGAGCAAAGAATAATGATTTTTTCATGAAAAATTTGAACAACTTTGTGTAGCTTTTCAAAAATGTTTTATTCCAACTGTTTTAAGAAAAACAAATTTTAAATCTTTCCCTACCTTAGGAAATGCAAGAATAAGTAATGTGGAATTTTATCACAGTGGTCAAGAAGGCTTCAGGGATAGCACAGATCCAAGATATGCTGTAACGTTTCTTAACCTAGGACAGGTTTGTGCTTTATTTTTAATTTTGTGTATATTAAAAATATGCAAAATATTTTTATTTTCATTTGACTTCTAAATAGCCACATCTTATATTAGCTAAAATTATAATCTAATATAATAAAACTTTCTTGGCCCATTAACTTTTTAGACCTATATAAGCAGGATTTTATTCCACCCATATTGTGCGTTTATTTAAGGCCAGTAAAAACCATAGGAAAAATAGTATGGAGGGTGAAAGAATCAAAGATCTATAATAGTGGTTTATATATCCACTTTATTTTGCAATGACCAAAAACATTTTTCCAAATGGTTTCTAGTAAACAAAGAGAGTATTGCTTAAATTTCTCAAATGAAATGCATGTCTGATCTACACCTCCATCAAAAGTGGGAAAATAAATATTCTGAGAGGGCTGGTGATTTAAGAAAAATGAGAGACAGCATATTTCTTAGTAGAAATACAAAATAATCTGTAGGTTTAAATTGAAACCCCTAACCTGTTCACTGAATGGTTCTTAGAGACATTTGAATAGTAACTCCTTGACTAAAGTATTATTTTTTGTAATTAAAAAAAAATCCCTGTCATCATAAACTATTCTGAAAAAATAAATTTTAGCACCTTAGCATTTTATAAGTGATAATAGGAATATAAATGCATAGAAAAGAACTGGAGAATTTTGAAATCTGCATTTAAAGTAAGCATATATATTCAATATATCTAATAATAAATTCAGATATATGGAAATTTCCATATTTTATATATGGATATATTAAAGACTTATGGAGAAATCATCTTTAAGAGAAAGTGAATTGAGTATTGATTATTGATAAAGGTTTGTTTACTGAAAATCATTTACTTCAATTTTTAAAAATATATTGTAATTTTATTTTAAAAATGTTCTCTGTATCCCAATGTTGTATAGATTCAAGAACATGGCTCATCTTATATTCGAGGCTGTGCTTTTCACCATGGCTTCTCTCCAGCAATTGGTGTATTTGGGACAGATGGATTGGACATAGATGACAACATCATTCACTTTACAGTGGGGGAAGGTAATATAATAATATTTTGGTTCAAATTACACATCCTGTGGAGGCTTTCTTATCTATATACTCTAGAGCTACACTGCCCAATTGATCTTTCTGTGAGGATGGAAATGGTCTATATTTCTGCTGTCTAATATAGTAATTACTAAGTCATATGTGTCTATTGAGCACTTGAATTATGGCTAGGAGCTGAATTATGACTGAGGAACTGAATTTTTAATTTTAATGGTACATAATTTAATTGTACTTAATATACATTTAAATAGCCACATGTGGCTATGGTTATCATATTAGACACTATAGCCCTATAAAATGGAAGAATTTTTACCACATCACATTCTTACATGAGTTATCTAATCACTAATTATTTAAATTTAATACTCCTCACTTATCAATCACAAATATTATTACAAATAAAGGTTATATACAACTTTAGGCATATTATATTTATTTTTGTCAATATGAAGTATAATAAACATATTTAATGTATATGAAAGCTGTGGGTGTGTTTGTTAAATAAAATCTGAGATGGACCCTGTGAACCCACATATTTAACAAGCATCCCAGAAGATTCTAATTCAGGTAGTCTATTAAAGAGGTAGAGTTCATTATCAAAGAGTTCAGAAGACTCCTTCGAAACTCTAAGAGGATTGTTTGTCAGGCTCAAAGTAGAAAAATAATTTTATGGAAAAATCAAAAGACATTACTCCTAATAGTCGTTGCAAATTGACTTATGTTTTTTGGGGATTTTCTTTCTTTTTTTCTTTTTTTAAACAGGCATAAGAATATGGGGGAATGCCAACCGAGTCCGAGGGAATTTGATTGCACTTTCGGTTTGGCCAGGAACCTATCAGAACAGAAAAGATTTAAGTTCAACTCTCTGGCATGCAGCAATTGAGGTAGTGAAAACAAACTTATAATTATACTAATTTATAATTATATCAGTTATTGAAAAATATCTAATAAAATGAGCTAACTAAAGGAGTGAATGCACTTTTAAAAAGATGATGTAAGTTTCGATGGCCATTGATTTTTTTTTTTTTCTGTCAATGTCTATTGGTTTAAATAGTTCTCTTACCTCATTTCTTTTCCAACATTATTTCAAGTTCCAGTACAGGGCCTCTTTGCTGCTGCTCGACTGAGTGCTTTAGGTGTATTGCTACTTAATTCTGGATTTAGTTTCCTCCCTAAAAATGAAAATAGACAATGGAATCTCTAAAATTATTTTCTCATCTAAAATTGTCATGATTCTACAGGCAAGGTTATTATACTTATCTGATATTACTAATTGGAACCTTCTTGTTTCCCATGGAGTTTCTTCAATTACTATAGGTGTTTGTTGAGATATAGAGTAAGATTACAAACAAGAAAAGAGAAAGTAGAGGAGATAGCTTCCTCCTGTCTTTACCTATGACATACAATCAAAGGAAATTTAAAATAGTTATCTTTGAAAGATGGGATAAGGATTGAGTTTTTTTATGTGCAACTATTAATACCTTAAGGTAAAATCTGAAAGCTGAAATTTAGTATACATTTATGAGGTTAAAAATATTCTCTTTTTATCTGTTTATACGTATAGAATATCAATTCCAAATCTTTAAGGCTATCTATGGCTTTTGAAGGAAAAAGTACTTAATTGACATTTATGAATTCATGTGACTCTATTTTTATCAAAATATTTAAAAATAAGTGTGTTTGATATGATCACAACTTTTGACTGTTTTGCTGACACCATAGGGAAGAACGAAATGTGTGCTCTATGCTTCCATTTTTTATTACTTTGACTTGGGTTATAAAATAAAATTGTTTGTAATTACCTAACACTCATGCTAACCTACTTTGTGATTATAGCATACATTATATAAACTAGTCAATGTCTCCACTGAATCTTATGATCCACTCTCATTGCCTTAGTTGTCCTTTTTTAAATAAATTAATCAAATTGGTAACAAAATGTAACTAAAAAGAGCTTGCACCTGTAATCCTAGCTACTTGGGAGGTTGAGTTAAGAGGATTGCTTAAGCTTAGGAGTTTGAGATCTACCTGGGCAACATAGCGAGACCCTGTCTCTCTCTCTCCATATATATATATATGTTATATGTATTCTATATATGCATACTTTTATATAAATATATATTTATATTAAACATATATAAATATAATACATAAACATATATTTATCACTTTTTCAGTGATCACAACTTCCTGAAAAAAGTGTTAACATTCTCCTTACCTTCTTGTAATACTGGAATTTGTTCTGTGCCTTGTAAATTTTAAACCACATTCAGTGGATTTTGTGACTGAAATAAGAAATAATCTCTTTAATGTAGTTTTTAAATGAAGTCCAGGCTGTAGTACTTAATGATGGTTTTACACCAAGAACCTGGTGTAATTTCATCATTTGTAATTAAGTTTGAATGGGGTAAATAATAAATACAAATTTTCCTCCTGAAAATGTAGTCATAATTAAAGGTTTTCATAAGTGTATTGTCATATACTTACTCTCGATTTATATAAATGTTTACTAGCCTGATGCACAGTATTTTTTTTTAATCATTGCACTAGATAAATAGAGGGACCAATACAGTTTTACAGAATAATGTAGTGGCTGGATTTGGAAGAGCAGGATACCGCATTGATGGTGAACCTTGCCCAGGTAAGTCTTTTAAACCAGGAATCGCTAAAACTAGGAAATAACTTGTACAAAATTGTTAAAATAAATAATTATTGTTTGTTAATTCAATATGTGATGTCTTTTCCTTCCGGGCACTGAAATAACTCAACAAGATAAATTATTTCAAGATAACATTGGATCTAAAAAAATAAATAAATAGGTTTCTAAGGAAAACTTTATTTTCCCAAGTTTATGATCCCAAAACTCCAACGACAACTTGAGTTCTTGATTTGGTTGGTATTGGGACAGTAAGTACCTCATCCCACCACCATTTTTAAAAAAACGGCACTTATTATAGAGATACATGTTGACATATGCCATTATTTTAACTTCTGCTTTGATAGAATAAATGCTCACTATTCATATGTTAAACCTGCATGCATCAAAAAGTCAACAAACATGAACAGACACTTCTCAAATATAGATTTCTCTATATTGGATTAGTAAAAATTAAGAGGTAACTGAGCATCTACTCTTTTGGCAAGGCTGTAGGGAAAGCGAAACATTTACACCTTGCTGGTTGAAGGACAAAACAATATAATCTCTACTTAGGGTAACATGACAACATCTACCAAAATCACATGTGCGTTTACCTTTACTCAGTATTTCCACTTCTATGAATCTAGCTAACAGTTGCCTTTACAAACTTAGAAAATTATCTATGAACAAGGTTATTCATCACAGCATTGTCTGTACTAGCAGAAAACCGAAAGCCACTTTGTGTCCCGCAATGGTAGAATAGTTATATAAAGCCAGACGATGGAACACTAGACTACTCGAAGAAAGAAAGCAGAAGAGTTCAATGTATTGATATGAAGAAATCTCTAGAATATTCTTAAGTGCTTACTGGAGAGTGCAAAATAGTTTATATAATACTATTTTAGGTATAATACCTATAAAATATGTTTTGTGGAAGAAAGGGAAGGAATCAGAATGTATATGGTATTTGTATTTACATAAGGAAAGTATAAAAATCATAGAAAGTAATTGGGAACAAGGAGACTCAGTACTTATAATTGCATACTTTTTAAATAACCTCTATATTTTCAACCAATAATTTATAATAAATAATTACCAGATCAAAAAAGTAAAATACATAATAAATCTGCAGACTTTACCCCTCAAGAAATTTAAAGAAATTTAAAGAAAATGGGACTTTCTTTGAGAAATGTATGTCCCTTCCAGAGTTGATTTTAAAAGAAAAGTCTCAGTATAGTTACTTTTTAACAGCTTTATTTGGCATGATTTATATAGCATAAATTTCACCTTTTAAAAAATATACTAGTTAAAAGTGTATTTATTTTTAAGATTCTTTGAATCAGCATTTTTTTTCTGTCAATTCAAACATTTTTAGACTTAAGCTGGTTTTATTCTTGTGCAAAATACATTCTGAAGGAATAAAAACTACTTTGTCAACATATTTAAGTGATTCCTTGATATATGCTCTTGTTAAATATTTTAGTTCCCAACCACTTAAAGTGGCTTTTCTTTGACTTAAAAATTTAAAATATGTAATTTCTTTACAACTTCAATAAAGTTATCCTTATGGATTTTTCAACATCAAAATATCTTTGAATATGAATATTTACTAGTATGTATAATGCTATGTAATGCATTTTTCACTGACTATGTTGGTATTCCTAAATAATTGAGACTATTTATAAGGAGATTTTGGAGTTATAGCAACTGAAATATGAAACATCACAGAGGAATGAAGAGTTTACGTTCCTGTAATGGTACATCAATTTATTCAATCCATCCTCCAGGCAAGAGTCTGGGAAACTGGGGATAGTGATATACACTGGGTTCAGGGGTCAAACCCTATTTGTCCATGCATCTATATTGTGTGATTCTAAGGGAGAGAAATGTAAACATCTTCTTTTAATAATAATAATTTTAATAATGCAGGAAAATTATCAAAACCAGGAAAATCATAAATAAAATGTAAAACCCAATGGACTAGGAAGAAGGGAAAATCAGCAGAAGATAAAAGGAAACAGATACCAGGGAACCTGAACAGGAGAGCTGGTATTAAGTACAATTTAGGAGGTGGTGCTGCTCTTTATAGACAATCCTCCAATTCATGCCTGTGTGGGGAGGGAGTTATTAAGGTTATTGAACTGACTTGGACATAAGTAAAACTTTCATGAAAATCCCCTTTGTTGTATATATTAATAATGAGTATAGTTGCCATTTATTGAGAGTATTTGCTAGGCACTGTATGTGGGTTATTTCCTTTCATTTTGAAACAATTCTGAATTAATCATTAAAACTTTTTACATATGAGGAAACTAAGTTCCTAAAAGGTTAAACAACTTTCCCAAGATAATGCATACACCAATTGTTAAAATATTTAAAGACCACCTATCTCTGTACTACCTTCTAGGCTCCAAGAAATGATGGTGAATGAGCTAGGTGCAATGTCTTCTGTCATGAAGCTTACATCTTAGTAGGAGAGAAGAGATGGATAATTCACAAATAATTAATAATAAAAATATCAAGTGAAAGGAATTTTAATTGTAATGTAAAGTGACTGAGGTATTATATTGTATCAGGTATTTAGGGAAGGTCTTTTAAGGAAGTGACATTTGACTTGAAAATGGGATGGCCAGAAGGACATAGCAATGGAAAGATGTTCAGGGGAAGCATTTCACAGACAGTAAGCTCTACCAAGTTTAGGCTTATTTGTATCTAAATCCCATGCTCTTTCCCATTAAATTAATCTTTAATCAGATAAAATAATGTAAGTGTGTTAACACTAAACTTTTGCAAATAAGTATACAGTTATTTTAAGTAACAGTGAAGAGACTAGTTAGACAAAAGTAAATACTAATTAGAATAAACCAGGCGAGGTGGGGCATGCCTGTAGTCCCAGCTACTCAGGAAGCCAAGGCAGGAAGATGGCTTGAGTTTGAGACGAGTTTGAGTAACATAGTGAGACTCCATCTCAAGAACATTTAAAGAAAAACACTAAATAGAGTGAACCATAAATGGCAGAGCCATAAAAATATTTGATCATATTAAACCTGATATCAGAATTATGTATGTAATTTTGAAAAGAATTTTGTTAACTTTAACTGATACTGCTTATTAAAACTATATGACATGAAATGTAGTGTTCATTCTCTGGTTCTATATTTCCCTCCAAGGCCAGTTTAATCCTGTGGAAAAGTGGTTTGACAATGAAGCCCATGGAGGTTTATATGGGATCTATATGAACCAAGATGGCCTTCCTGGATGTTCTCTTATACAAGGATTTACCATTTGGACATGCTGGGATTATGGAATTTATTTTCAGGTAATTATGATTAAAGATGGTGATTGTTTATTTTCTTTTATGATTGTCCTTAGTATTATGTAACCTGCAAATTCTATTGCAGACCACAGAGAGTGTGCACATTTATAATGTGACCCTGGTTGACAATGGAATGGCCATTTTTCCAATGATTTACATGCCAGCTGCTATATCACACAAAATTTCCAGTAAAAATGTACAAATTAAGGTAAGAAATTAATACAGCCACACCATGGAGAAAAAAATAACTTGGAGAAGGGTGGAATTTCTGAAGGACTAATAAGAATAATCTCCTTAACTTCTATCTCTGTCTCGCCCACACCTCCCTGCCTTTGTTCCCACTGCCCTCTGCCTAAAAAACCGTTCTTTTTTTTTTTTTTTTTTTTGAGATGGAGTCTCGCTCCGTAGCCCAGGCTGGAGTGCAGTGGCACAATTTCGGCTCACTGCAAACTCTGCCTCCCGGGTTCACATCCTGCCTCAGCCTCCCGAGTAGCTAGGACTACAGGTGCCCGCCACCACGCCTGGCTAATTTTTTATATTTTTAGTAGAGATGGGGTTTCACTGTGTTAGCCAGGATGGTCTTGATCTCCTGACCTCGTGATCCGCCCACATCGGCCTCACAAAGTGCTGGGATTACAGGCGTGAGCCACCGCACCCAACAAAAAAGCTGTTCATTCTTATCTCTCCTCCTCCCTTCCCTCTTCTTGCTTATCACCTGCTAATCTTGAAATAGTTAAATTTTCACTCCCTCTATGAAGTTTTTTCTGAGCCAGTTTAGGTGGTAATGACACTTCCTCCACTTTTTTGTGCCTACTGTTCCCTGGATGTATTTATCACAGAAACATAACATGTCCTTATATGTAATTATTTACATGTCTGTCTTCCCTCTCCTATTCTTAGTGCTTTTCCAGTTGGGGTAGCAACCTTTTTCATCTTTGTTTAATGAATGATCCACTTTTTGAATTTATAGTTTGCATTTTATTTACTACAGTAGAATTTAGTACTATTCATTATCATGTTTTCTTTTTTTTTTTTTTTTTTTTTTTTTGAGACGGAGTCTCGCTCTGTCGCCCAGGCCGGACTGCGGACTGCAGTGGCGCAATCTCGGCTCACTGCAAGCTCCGCTTCCCGGGTTCACGCCATTCTCCTGCCTCAGCCTCCCGAGTAGCTGGGACTACAGGCGCCCGCCACCGCGCCCGGCTAATTTTTTGTATTTTTAGTAGAGACGGGGTTTCACCTTGTTAGCCAGGATGGTCTCGATCTCCTGACCTCATGATCCACCCGCCTCGGCCTCCCAAAGTGCTGGGATTACAGGCGTGAGCCACCGCGCCCGGCCCATGTTTTCTTTTAGTAAGAGCTATTATTAATGCTATATTGTTTGGCTTATTTCCAAACAGAGCTCATTAATTGTTGGAAGTAGCCCTGGGTTTAATTGCTCTGATGTCCTAACTAATGATGATCCTAATATTGAACTCACTGCTGCTCATCGGAGTCCTAGATCTCCATCAGGTGAAAAATTTGAAACTTTAATGTTGTTGTTCATATGAGTGCATATTCAATTTTCATTAACTTTTTCTTTTTTGGTAAAAGGTGGGAGAAGTGGGATTTGTTGGCCTACCTTTGCTTCAGCTCATAACATGGCACCCCGAAAGCCCCATGCAGGAATCATGAGTTACAATGCCATCAGTGGCCTTTTGGACATCTCAGGCAAGTACACAGTCTTTTACAAATCTTCTCAATTAATTTCTGTAAAGAATATGTAGAGGATAACTAATAATGTTTCATTGTTAGTAAAAATGATTTAAGTGAATTTTTATAGCAATCTGCTCAATATGACAAAGAAATCAGACATCAGAGTCAATTTTGAGAATGGTTTCTTGGCAGGATTCTTATACTGTATGTTGAAGAATTGATGTTAAATTTTCCTTCTAAAACAACAACAAAACACTGGCATTTGTGATTTAATATTAATTTGTATAATTTGTAAATGCCCTTTCATGTAAGTAGGATTATATATTATCATCCCTTTTTAAAATTGAAGAACCTTAAGCTCAAAGAACTTAGTGCCTGGCCAAATTCCCACAGCTATTGGCACAGCTAGGATTAGAATCAAAATCTTCTGATTCAAACTCCACTGCTCTTTCACTGAACCAGGATGGCTGCTTAGAAATGTAAAATAATTATATATAAATTAATGTAGTAAACACATCAATTATTTTCATTTGGCCTATTAAATAACACTGTGCATTTCCTGTTTTAATGGAGCAAGTGTCCCTTCCAGGATAATTTTAACCAGTGTCTCTGAAGAAAGTAGTTCAGTAAGTTAGACATCTAAGTTTTAACATATTCTTTCTCACAGCTTTAGATCCCAGAAATGTGAAACAAATTAGCAACACTTTTAAGTGTTAATTGCAATGCTCATACCCTTGGAGGAAATTGTATAACATGCTACATAGGTTGTAATTGAACATATATGGCTTTTAATAAATAATATGCTCCAGAATATTATAAATATCATGTGACAATGAAACTGCCCTTATGAAATGAAGCCTTAAGATTGAAATTTATTGAAAGAACATTAATAACTATTATTCTTTCATAAGATATAGTCTTTTAAAATAACATATAAAAGTTGGTTGACTGAGATTCACTAGAAACAGCCTTAGATGAGGACTTTCATATTAGTGGCTTCTTGGAACACCTAGTAGAAAGGGAAGGAAGAGAACAGGGCAAGGGAAGTTGCTAAGCAAGGATGTGATATGAGCTGAAGGGCAGCTATACTTGATGCCACTGGGAAACTCTAGAGTGTAAGTTAAAATTGCCACGGAGTTGATCCCACATCTGGTGAGGTGGGTAGGGGACGGAAGTCATTTGTATCCCCATGTTAGTTTTTGGTTACAGCTGCCCCTATGGGGAGGACCTTGATTTCCCGGGTATGTGGCTCCTTTTTGGCTAAGCTAATTGTCTGGGAAAAGGGAGATTTGTTAACAGCCAATATTCAAAGAGATGAGAGATGGGTGTACCAGCCTGTATCCACTTTAGTCCTCTCTTGGGACTACTGGGATCTACTTGCTTTCTTCATTGTTAGTTATATTAAGTTATATATGATTTCTCCAAGATTCTGCATGGTCACAATTTTTGGGAAAAACTTTAAGAAGAGGTTTGGTGGTCACCCTGCCATAGCTGGTCCCTAAACCATAAATGATACTCATCATCTCTCTCATCCATCACCCTTTCTAAATTTCTGTCTTCCTTGGTTAACACTTCTGCTTGTCAAGATGGCTTGCCTGGTAGAATGGCTCAGACCCTCATTCCTGTTATAAATAGGCCCCTGGTCCATGGTGGCTCATGCCTGTAATCCCAGCACTTTGGAAGGCCAAGGTGGATGAATCATGAGGTCAGGAGTTCAAGACCAGTTTGGCCAACATGGTGAAACCCCGACTCTACTAAAAATACAAAAAAAAAAAAAAAAAAACCTAGCTGGGCATAATCCCAGCTACTTGTAAGGCTGAGGCAGGAGAATTGCTTGAAACTGGGAGGCGGAGGTTGCAGTGAGCCGAGATCACACAACTGTACTCCAGCCTGGGCAACAGAGTAAAACTCTGTCTCAAAAAAAAAAAAAAAAAAAAAAAAAAGTCCCTGGTTTCTGTGCCCTTATGAAGCCATGACTTCTGTACTTGCCATTTTACAACTAACAGTGGGCATATACCCCAGTGGATCATGTGAGTGCATCCTGCCTTCATTCTATAGAATAGGCCTACCTCTGCATGGTGATCAGGATCAGTTACTTCTGCCAGGTGGTAAATGCCTTCTTTGTCTGACGAGAAGCCTGAAGTGACAATGAGGTAGGTATAACTTTATTTTTATTGAGTCACTTACTGTATGTCCTGCTGAAACACTTCTCATCTGGGAACTATGACCTCCAGACTCATAGAACCTAAAATTTTAGTATTGGAAGCACAAGTTTCCCAAGTGAACTTCCAGGGATAATGGTGAAAACAGTTACTCCTACTTCTTGCCTTTGGTACCAGCACCCATGTATTCTATATTTTTGATATTTACCACCATATAATGCCCTTTGTTTTAGGTTAATAACACATTTTTTGCAGGTTGTCATTTCCAAAGTTGACACGTCAGCTGTGCCTTCAAGAATCTATTCCACCAGTCTTTTGGGGTGACATTCTCCAGATGCTATATTGTATGATTGGAGCAATTCTTCCATGGTGATTCCATTGTCTTATGCTCACCCCTGTACCTATTTTGTCGAACGTGAGTTCTTTAGTCCAGGGTGATGTTATGCAGGAGCCCGTGCCATTAGATCACTTTGTGAGTCCTAGTATGGTGGTGCTAACTGAAGCCCTATAAGAAAGGAAAACTCACACCAGGAATACATGTCAGTACTACTCAGCATGAATTGTTACCTTTTCCAGGGTGGAATAAATCTGATGTCGCCAACTTTAATTTAAGTAATTGTTTGATTTCCTGAGGAATGGTAGTATACTAAAGACTACATTTTAATTTCTGTGCCAGGCAATTTGGGTCAGACATTATGTAGTAGAAGTAGCTCCACTAACATTGGAAAGAAGGTGTCCATACTGTTGGATCCATGCATAGCCTCCATCTTCACCAAAAAGGCTACTCAGTTCATAAGCTGATTTTGTAAGGGCTGGGGTGTCTGAGGACAGAGATTAACTGATATTTGTTGGACAAATCATCCTGCCCATTTGGTTTTTCAGGTACTCTTCTGTATTGAATGCTTATTGGTGGGAAATAGCATGCCTTTTATACCCATTTTGACATGTCTATCCACATATTTTTTCCTGAACATCCAGTCTACTTCCTTCCAGGCCCCTTACCAACCAGCTAAGCCACTCATCACTACCCAGGAGTCCATATTTATCCTTACCTTAGATCAGTTCTCTCTCCACAAAAAGTAGGTGACCCTGTGTACTACCCAAATTTCTTTTAATTGGAAAGATCTTCCCACACCACACCACACCACACCACACCATACCACACCACACTCATTCAAGGCCACCTCTGAGTTGGGCTGAAATGCATTGGAATTATGTAATACATCCAATATAATACATGCAATTTCAATATTCCCATTTTTGAGCCTTTGACCTGCATTTTTCTCACAACATGTCATGGAAATTTGGGCATTTCTACTTAATGTGGGCCATCACTATTTCCAAGCTTCTAAAAGTCATTCCAGCAACATATTAAAACTGGCCATACTAGTGTATAATTCCCTTGGAACAGGTCCTGTGGAAGATAAGATTTGTCTTGTAAGGCTCTGTTGAGGTCCCTGATGATTTCAAGCAAGCAGAGCAGGAAGTTACTTTCTAATAAGAAGGAATATACCAGTTATACACATCCAGAGCATTCAGCACATTCTGAGACTTCAGGGTCCAAGTGGCTCTTCCCACATATCTCCAACTAACTTAGCATCGCACTTTGTTTCTGTCAGGGCCTTTGATGTAGGGGATTTGGTAGGTCTCAGAACCCAACCATCTCTTAAGTTGTAAGGTTCCTCTGATCTTACACTTAGATCCTGAGATTTGCTTTGAATGTGTGAATAACCACCATAGTTTCCTTTTCTTTCTTCAAAGCATTAATAAAGTAGAAGCAGAAATGGAATTCTTATGCAAGTGGCTTATTGAAGGTATGCTCTCAGGAGAAAGGGAGTGAAAGAAGTATTAGAATAGGGCAGAGGAAGGAGCTAAGCAAAGATATGACCTCAGCTGAAGTTCAGCTTCTTCTACCTGAAACTTCAGAGAGCTGTGGAGTATAAATTGTGCCAAATATTTTTCCCACATTGAGGCAAAAGGTTCTTCCATATCTCTTGTCAGTTAGTTAGGCATAGCTACTTGTGGTAATGGACGGGAGTACATAATCTCTCAGGTGAGGGAACTCTCAAGTGGCTAAACGCAATTCTTTAGAGAAGACAGCAGCTGGCCAGGTGCAGTGGCTCACGCCTGTAGTTCCAGCACTTTGGGAGGCCAAGGAGAGTGGATCACTTGAGGTCAGGAGTTTGAGGCCAGCCTGCCCAACATGGTGAAACCCTATCTCTACTGAAAAAATACAAAAATTAGCCAGTCATGGTGGCAGGCACCTGTAATCCCAGCTACTCAGGAGGCTGAGGCAGAATTGCTTGAACCCAGGAGGCGGAGGTTGCAAGGAGCCATGATCACACCACTGGACCCCATCTCAAAAAACAAAAAACAAAAACAAAAACAAAAACAAACAAAAAAAAAACAGAAGACCGCAGCTATGGGTGGTTTGCAGCCAATACTTATAGGAGGAACTAGGGGTTGGGTGCACTGGCCCAGTAAAGGAGATCTGGGCAGGGCACAAACAGCATCTGCTACTGTGATATTTTCTTAATACTAATCTACAGGTTTGTATTCCTGTATATAGACTCTTCTTAGGAGAAAATATAATTAAGAAGGGGCATAGATAAAACATAACTGATTTAAGAATTTTAGAGGTCACCTTTTGCTTTTCTGTTTAGAGTTATTGGATTTTAAGTATAATGGAGATTAAGTTTTTGGATCCAATCAATTTTCTCTTTTAGCCACATAATATATACAAAGAAGCCAAGGGAAAAATAGTGGTTCATTTATCTTAGCTGGATAACAAACAACCCCCCAAATTTAGAGACTTTAAACAACCATTTAGCTCATGATTCTGTGGATTGTCAATTTGGGCTTTGTTCAGCTGGATGGTTTTTCTACTGGTCTCACCTGGTCTTGTCCATTAGGTGCCATCAGTTTACAGGATGGCTATGGGCTGGTTAGTCTAGGATAGCCTTACTTCCATGACTGGAGGTTGGTGCTTGCTGACAGTTGGTGCTGGCCATTAGCTGGGGCGATAGGAGTGATAGAGCCACATGTATCCCAGGCTTACTCATATGTTGGAAGTCACAGAATTCCCTGGAACACTAAGAAAGAGCAAGCTCCAATATGCAAGCACTCTCCAGATCTCTGTTTATGCCATGATTGCTATTGTCCCATTGGCCAAACCAAGTTACATGGCCAAGCCCGGAGAAAATATGGGAGATCATTACCCAGTGATATGGATATTGATATTGGGAGGCAACAGGCTACAACAAATAGTGGTAGACTTATTTACCATATCAGGCAAGAGCTCCATGTTTAAGGTAGTGACAAAAGATGTGTTTGGCAGAATGTGCATTAAATCTGATTTTATCACTTTCTTTAGAGAAAATAATCACTTATCTATTATTTATGTTTTAGGTTCAACATTTGTTGGATTTAAGAATGTTTGTTCAGGGGAAACTAATGTTATATTCATTACTAACCCTTTAAATGAGGATTTACAGCATCCAATCCATGTGAAGAATATAAAACTGGTTGATACCACTGAACAATCAAAAATATTTATACATAGGCCTGATATAAGGTAAAATACATAAAAATTGTGGTTTTTCTATCTTTATAGTTTTTCATTCTCACTTCCTCCTGCTCAAGATCTGAGAAAGTTGGCATATTAAAATAACTGCCAGTTTTTATGATACTTTAATGAGCATTATGAAAATTAAGACCATTTAATAATGTAAATCTAAATGTTCTCAGATGAGTTTTTAAAACTGGGCTTTAATATATATGTTTTCTCCCATTGCTTTTTTTGTGTGTGAATCATCAATAACATCATCATTGTTAAATATGAAAGCTATAGATGGGGTCTGAAGTGTGTTATACATTAATATCTTTCCATTTAGAGCAGGCATAATGTGCCTGTAGTTCTAGCTACTCAGGAGGTTGAAGCAAGAGGATTTCTTGAGCCCAGGAGTTTGAGGACATCCTGGAAAATAACTCTGCCACTCAGGCTGGAGTGCGATGGTGCTATCATGGCTCACTGCAGCCTCAAACTCTTGAGTTCAAGCAATACTTCCACCTCAGCCTCCCAAGCAGCTGAGACTACAAGCACAAGCCACTATGCCTGGCTTAATTATTATTATTATTATCATTATTATTTTTGTAGAGACAGGGTCTTTCTATGTTTCCCAGGCTGGTCTTGAACTCCTGGCCTCAAGGGTTCCTTCTGCTTTGACCTCCCAAAGCACTGGGATTACAGGCAAGAGCCACACACACAATTTTTTTGTTTGTTTCTCCAATGACAGTCATTAATAGATAAGAGATATCTCTTATTATTTCTTCCATTTTTCTTACCCTTTTTGGTTACCTATTGCTTCCAAAATATCCTATCACAGGTACCCCAAATGTGCTTGGAAATTAAATGTCAGCCATTATAATCACTGTGATTATAAATACACATAAACTTAGAACAATGATTTTCTGATCACAAAGGTCAGTTGGTGTCAGGACATTTCCAGAAGCGATCATTTAGATTCTAAGCCGTAGAATAATATATCTAATAATTCCTACTTTTTATTAGAAGTACAGACCAGAAATTTAGATATAAGACAATACTGGAGGCAGAAAAAATTTTATTACTGATCTTTGACCATTTTCAGCTTAGGGGAAGAGAAAAGGAATTATGTTCTGTATTTAAATAGGCATCTTAGCCAGTCATTGTGGCTAGTGCCTGTAATCTCAGAATTTTGGGAGGCTGAGGCAGGAGGATTGCTTGAGCCCAGGAGTTTGAGGCCAGCCTGGGCAACATAGGGAGATACCATCTCTACAAAAAATTAAAAAATAAAAATTAGCTGGGTGTGGTGGTGTACACCTGTGGTCCTAGCTACTCAGGAGGCTGAGGCAGGAGGATTGCTTGAGCCCAGGAGGTTGAGGCTGCAGTCAGCTGTGATCACACCACTGCACTTCAGCTTGGGCAACACAGTGAGACCCTGTCTCAGAAAAAAAGTAGGCACCTCTTCAGATAAATATAATATTTCATAAATTGTTTGACTTCATCTGATTTTGCTTTGCTGACAGCCCAATGCTTACTCATTTAATTATTGTTGAATTCAGTGTTTGGGGGGTCAACAGAGCCCCTCTTCAGTAGGCAGTTATTAGCTCTTATTTAGTTGTCACTGAATCTTTCAGATTCAACATATAATTTTAGTTTCTAAGTCCTGAAGAAAATACCACGTTTTCAAATATGATTTTTCTGAGTTCTGTGCTTGCAGGCGATGCCATCAGTGCTCTCCCAGATCTTTAGGGGCAGTGTACCCAGCCCCCAAATGTTCTCAGTGTTGGCAAATAACAACCCATGGCTTTTCAGAACTTTGCTCTTAGCCAAATAGAACTAGCCGTAGGAGTCCAAAGTGCTCCCTCCCACCAGCCTGCAGTCCCTGTAAAATGACTGACTGATTCAGGAGTACAAGACTGGCTGCTTTGTCTTAAGGTGGCAAAAACTCTGCTGTGCGGTTCATATGCCAGAGGTTTTCATGGGATCAGATTATAGCTAGTGGATAAACCACTTCTCTTCTCCCCCTTTTGAGAGGATTCTTTTGCTAATTTACTTGAACAAAAATCCATATCTCAGGCTTTATTTCTTGGGAACCTAGACTAAGAGCCCAAAGCCACAACATAAAAGACTGCCACTGAGCACTCTACTCACAGACTTGCTTACAAAAGTACATTGCACATATTTGAATACAACGAACACATGAACTACAAAAATATTTATTAAAATCCTTCTCTAAAACTTGTATATTATGTAAGGAATAACTTGTATTAATAGCTTCATATCTTTCTCATAGCAAAAAGGGAGAGCTATTCTAGATACTATTTAATAGATCTGAGCTGTCCACTATTATTTTGTTACTATAACTCTGCCCATGGTATATATCACGGTATTCTATGAGTATATTGTATGCATACCATTTGAATGTATAGTACCTCTCACATTAAGTAGCTATTTTATTATTATAATCAGGTAACAATCAATCAACACTCCAGGTAACTCAAGATGAGGCCAAAATACCATCTACATTTGAACTGCATGATGAGTTTATCTTACCTCTTACTTTTATCTATAGAATGGTTACTAAAATATGTAGCATAATAAACACAATCCAAGTTTATCTATATATCCATAAACAAAGGTCTATAAGAATATATACTAATCTGCAATTGGTGATGAGCCTAAAAGATTAGTATAGGAAGGTGATAGGGATTGAGCTTTTAATAAATCTTTATATTATTTTATAGTAAGCAATAATTTCATAATTTTTAAAGACAAGAAAGGAAAGGAAATAATAATAAAGACTTCCCTGCCAACACAGGAATTTTATATGTCCTGTATAACAGTAATCATTCACCTACTCTCTGGAGCAATGTTAGTATGCTGTGAACAATGCACAAATAAGAAATCTATCATTCAACAATATATAGAATAGAAAAGTGGAATTCTGATTTTATATCCCACAGGTATGACTTGTCGTTTTGAAATGTTAATGAATTCATAATCATAGACCAAATCAACACAATGGAAAAGCAGACCTCATTATAATGCAAATTACATAGGCTACTTGGTCCCACTTTGAAATCTCTCTGAAATAAAATTCAATAGATCAATTTTTTTGGATATCCTCTAAGTAAATATTCAAGTGTATTCATATTGCTCTCTAGAAACAATGAACTGAATAATTCAACTTTTCTCCACAGTAAGGTCAATCCATCTGATTGTGTAGACATGGTTTGTGATGCCAAGAGGAAATCTTTTCTTAGAGACATAGATGGCTCCTTTCTGGGGAATGCTGGTTCTGTGATACCTCAAGCAGAATATGAATGGGACGGAAACAGCCAAGTAGGAATTGGAGACTACAGAATTCCTAAGGCGATGCTCACATTCTTGAATGGAAGTAGAATTCCTGTCACTGAGAAAGCACCTCATAAAGGTTTGTTGGATCTTGCTTAATCTGTCATTAGGCCTTAAACTCATGAAACAAAATATGTTTTATTTTTAATGACTTGCCTACTCAACCAATAACTTTTATTTTCTACTTCTTAAACTAGCATAACAAGAAATAGATGTTATAAGGATTTTTTTGCAAAGAGATTCTGTATTATTGCTAAAATATATATACATATGTTTCTAGGAATTATTAGAGATTCAACCTGTAAGTACCTTCCAGAGTGGCAGAGCTATCAGTGCTTTGGGATGGAATATGCAATGATGGTTATTGAAAGTCTGGATCCTGACACAGAAACTCGAAGACTTTCCCCAGTGGCTATAATGGGCAACGGTTATGTTGATCTTATTAATGGTAGGTATTCAATATGAGTAAACTACAATTACTCAAAACATTGCTTGTTATTAAATGCATGAAGCCATCTCATAAATTATTTACCCCACACAACTAGCAAACATCAGGCCTTGTTTGCCTTCCATTTGTAACAATGAGCAATGCGCAGGGGAGAGACTTGATCCTGCAGTACCTCATCCAGGGAAGCAAGGACAGTTATTTAAAATTGGGCATTAAAATAAAAAGAAGGAGGGGAAGAGGGATGGAGAGGAGAGCAAGAAGTAGGGGAAAAGTTATTTCTGGAGTGATCTTCATACTTTATTGATAAGGTGGTATAAGTATTTTAAAGAAAAAAAAGGTCCAAGTATCTCCAAAAAATACAATTGACCTAACGTATATTAAAAACTGATAATGTGTTATTTGGAATACCTGACAAGCAGTATTCTCAGCCTGCTCATGTTTTATGCTCATGAATCTTTGGAAGACTTATCTTGCTATCAACATGTTTTTTCGTCTCTAATTCCTTTGACTGTCAAGACCAGCTGGTCAAGCTCTAGCATCAGGTTTCTTCCATTCTGGTCTTAGGAGGCTGTAGCAGAGAAGGAAGGTAATGGCCTCCATGAGGATGCAGATCAGCTTAGGAGACCAAGGCTTTTTGAATAAGATGAACTTCTAAAAGGTACTGAAAACACAGGACAGGGATTCATCGTATATCCTTGAAATGACACCAGGGGCTCAAAACTTAGTCCCTAAACAGGCTTAGATTAGGATCTTTCATGTGCTGAAAGTGTACATAGCTTGGATTAGATAGATTTATGTGCCCTTGTAGTGTCATAACATGTACTAAAATATTCTAGAAATCAATAAAATATAACAGAATGAACTAAATCAGGAGTATTCCAAAGTTTCATGATTTTAGGACTCTCCTCACTTCTCCCACCCCAATGTGTGCTATGCCTGGTTTCTGTGACCTGCAGTTAACCCAATTTTAGATGCTGCTTTTCGGATTGTATGAAGCAGAGATCATGAGAACAACTTCAGAACTGTCAATGAATAATGGAGTAATAGAAGAGATCTTTCCCAATAGCTCTGTTTTATATGGTGAAAAAGATTTCATTGTCTTATTTTTACATTTCCCTTTTCTGGCAAGCAATACAAGTTTTCCATTTATGACAATGACAAGACATATTTCTTCAATATGAATTTAAATTTTAAAAAGTGACTATCAATTTAAAGAAGTCTTATGTAAATGATAGCAGCACAGAAAAATCATGAAGGTGTTAGAAGAATCACTGAAGCTTGGGATGTGCTATACTAGATGGGAAAAAATTCCCCAAGATAAAAGTTACAGAAAATCACTGAAGTTTCCTTTTGAATATTAATATTAAATTTTATTTATTTTAAAAATATGACTTTTGTCTCTAAATTTTTATGTTATACATGGATATTTCTTTATGTTTGTTTTCAAAACCCACAAAGAAAGTATATTTAAAAGTAGGATTTATATTTTGTATGCTAAGGAAAAGGTTAGGCAATACATGAACTTTAGAAGTTTATATTGATTTAAAATTTGATTGAGGTGTAGTTATAAATATTGATAATACTTCCAAGTAAGCTAGGAAATTCAGAAAACCTAATGAATAAATACATCAATACAATTCATTCCATATTTCACTCAATGTTTTATATATGTATAATCTCAGCCACTTTAAGTGAAATAGAGAAGTTTGTTATAAAAGTCATTTTAAACCTGCTCAGAAAATGTTTGGATTCAGGTAGAAAAGCATTCACTATCTCTTGGCTTTCTAGAGGGTTTGATAGAGTGTTATTTCTTAGGTGGCTTCAGTTCATTAATGATGTCAACACTCTAATAGTCATAACTGTCAACAAAAATTTCTTAAAATTAAAATGGAGGAAGATTAATTACTTGATTAGACGAATGTGTTTGTTGAATTTACAAATTAACTACTTTTAAAAAACAAGTGCATGAGTGAAAGAACAAATTAATGAATCAATGGTTCAGGCATTCAAATGTCCATGTTTGCCAGGTACAGAGCCTATTGTTAACAAATTAACTCTATTATAGCACATTTCCTAACAAAGAGCCTGAGAAAGTTCAATTCCCACTCAAGCTTATATTTGGTAGAGAGAAGAAAGAATCAAGCATTTTCTTCCTCACCATGTGGCCTAGGCTTGAATATTATCATTAAAGAAGAGATATATGGAAATCTACTATTTCTATCAGTGACCTTCCGATACAAATTCTTATTAACACATTAATGTACCCTTCTTGCCCTGGGCAGTGTAAAAGTAGGGTGATAGGAAGAAGTTTCTTCCCTGCCTTCCTTTTTAAGCCAAGGTTTGAGAAATAGCTTAGCTGGCTGGGTAACGGTGGATGGGTAATAGGTATAAATGCTGAACTTGCATTTGAACTTGACCACTGCAATTTATTTTTAATACAATTACTCTTCAGATTTTATACTAATAAAATGTATGATATAGGAGTATGCACTTTCATTTTGCATGGATTTAGGCCCACAGGATCATGGCTGGTGTGCTGGATATACATGCCAGAGAAGGCTGTCCCTGTTTCACAGCATTGTGGCTCTGAACAAATCTTATGAAGTTTACTTCACTGGCACCAGTCCTCAGAATCTTCGACTGATGTTGCTTAATGTTGATCATAACAAGGTAGGGCAAGATGTCTTAAGAGTAATTGCTGTTGATTATTTGCATGTTATTTCTATCTGCTAAGGCTTGTACCTCCTCCCCTGTTCTAACATTGTCAGCCTTACAGCTCATTTCCAAGGATGCATCAGGGTACCACTGAAATTATTATTAGCCTAGACAGTTTTCATCAACCTGAAGGTACAAGTACCAAGCATCACCATCATCCCCTTGCCATATGCACTTGATTCTGGTACTCCATACGTGAAGCAAACCTAAATTTTTATTTTTTTATTATTATACTTTAAGTTTTAGGGTACATGTGCACAATGTGTAGGCCAGTCACACATGTATATATGTGCCATGCCGGTGCGCTGCACCCATTAACCCGTCATTTAGCATTAGGTATATCTCCTAAAGCTATCCCTCCCCCCTCCCCCCACCCCACAACAGTCCCCAGAGTGTGATGTTCCCCTTCCTGTGTCCATGTGTTCTCATTGTTCAATTCCCACCTATGAGTGAGAATATGTGGTGTTTGGTTTTTTGTTCTTGCGATAGTTTACTGAGAATGATGATTTCCAATTTCATCCATGTCCCTACAAAGGACATGAACTCATCATTTTTTATGGCTGCATAGTATTCCACGGTGTATATGTGCCACATTTTCTTAATCCAGTCTATCATTGTTGGACATTTGGGTTGGTTCCAAGTCTTTGCTATTGTGAATAGTGCCACAATAAACATACGTGTGCATGTGTCTTTATAGAAGCATGATTTATAGTCCTTTGGGTATATACCCAGTAATGGGATGGCTGGGTCAAATGGTATTTCTAGTTCTAGATCCCTGAGGAATCACCACACTGACTTCCACAGGGGTTGAACTAGTTTACAGTCCCACCAACAGTGTAAAAGTGTTCCTATTTCTCCACAACCTCTCCAGCACCTACTGTTTCCTGACTTTTTAATGATTGCCATTCTAACTGGTGTGAGATGGTATCTCATTGTGGTTTGATTTGCATTTCTCTGATGGCCAGTGATGGTGAGCATTTTTTCATGCGTTTTTTTGGCTGCATAAATGTCTTCTTTTGAGAAGTGTCTGTTCATGTCCTTTGCCCACTTTTTGATGGGGTTGTTTGTTTTTTTCTTGTAAATTTGTTTGAGTTCATTGTAGATTCTGGATATTAGCCCTTTGTCAGATGAGTAGGTCGCGAAAATTTTCTCCCATTTTGTAGGTTGCCTGTTCACTCTGATGGTAGTTTCTTTTGTTGTGCAGAAGCTTTTTAGTTTAATTAGATCCCATTTGTCAATTTTGGCTTTTGTTGCCATTGCTTTTGGTGTTTTAGACATGAAGTCCTTGCCCATGTCTATGTCCTGAATGGTAATGCCTAGGTTTTCTTCTAGGGTTTTTATGGTTTTAGGTCTAACATTTAAGTCTTTAATCCATCTTGAATTAATTTTTGTATAAGGTGTAAGGAAGGGATCCAGTTTCAGCTTTCTACATATGGCTAGCCAGTTTTCCCAGCACCATTTATTAAATAGGGAATCCTTTCCCCATTGCTTGTTTTTCTCGGGTTTGCCAAAGATCAGATAGTTGTAGATATGCGGCATTATTTCTGAGGGCTCTGTTCTGTTCCATTGATCTATATCTCTGTTTTGGTACCAGTACCATGCTGTTTTGGTTACTGTAGCCTTGTAGTATAGTTTGAAGTCAGGTAGCATGATGCCTCCAGCTTTGTTCTTTTGGCTTAGGATTGACTTGGCGTTGCGGGCTCTTTTTTTGTTCCATATGAACTTTAAAGTAGTTTTTTCCAGTTCTGTGAAGAAAGTCATTGGCAGCTTGATGGGGATGGCATTGAATCTATAAATTACCTTGGGCAGTATGGCCATTTTCATGATATTGATTCTTCCTACCCATGAGCATGGAATGTTCTTCCATTTGTTTGTATCCTCTTTTATTTCCTTGAGCAGTGGTTTGTAGTTCTCCTTGAAGAGGTCCTTCACATCCCTTGTAAGTTGGATTCCTAGGTATTTTATTTTCTTTGAAGCAATTATGAATGGGAGTTCACTCATGATTTGGCTCTCTGTTTGTCTGTTATTGGTGTATAAGAATGCTTGTGATTTTTGTACATTGATTTTGTATCCTGAGACTTTGCTGAAGTTGCTTATCAGCTTAAGGAGATTTTGGGCTGAGACAATGGGGTTTTCTAGATATACAATCATGTCATCTGCAAACAGGGACAATTTGACTTCCTCTTTTCGTAATTGAATACCCTTTATTTCCTTCTCCTGCCTAATTGCCCTGGCCAGAACTTCCAACACTATGTTGAATAGGAGTGGTGAGAGAGGGCATCCCTGTCTTGTGCCAGTTTTCAAAGGGAATGCTTCCAGTTTTTGCCCTAAATTTTTACATAAAAATAATGTACATCCAAAACTGATCACTTGGAATTATATACTTATTCTTCAATGCTGCTATTACTTATATATATATCAGAAATACACCTTTGAAATTTACTTCAGAGACTGCAGCATGTTATTTTTAATATCTTCAATAATGTCAAGTCTTTGCTAGAAACTGAACTCAGCCAGGATCATTAAATTTATATTTAATAAGTATGAAAAGAGTATGAGTTTAACCAGTAGTGTCATCACTCAGATTTTCTTTTCTAAGAATATGAGACTTTAAAGTCCCAGGGTGTTTAATGTGAAGAAAGAATGCTGATAAGGTGAAGCAGAGAAAGGAGTAAAGAAAGGAGGCACCAGCCCCTTCCCAGGAGACAGCAGTTCCATCCCTTCGCTCCAGACAAAACCTTGGAACCACTCTTGACTCCTCTCTTTTGCTCACATTCCTCATCCAACCCATCTGCAAGTTGTTTTGAGTCTGTCTTCAAAATACCAGAATCTGCCCACTTCTCACCACCTCCACTGCTACTATCCAGTTTGAGCCTTTCCTGGATCATGGTAATTGCCTCCTAATTCCTCTTTCTACTTCCACCTTTGCCCTTCTATAGTCTGTTCTCAACTTAGTAGCCAGATACCGTGAAAATATGTCAGATCACGTCTCTCCCATGCCCCAAACCCTGTAACAATTTCCCTATCGGTCTCTGTCCAAGAGTCAGAATCCTCACCATGGCCTGTGAGGCCCTATGGGAATCTCTCCCACCCCTGAGCTCTCTGGCTTCTTCTACTCCTCCAGCCCCACTGAGCTCCTTGCTGTTCCTACGGTCACCAAACATGCTACCCTCCCGGGCCTATGTTTCTGATGTTGCCTCAGTCTAAAACATTCTTCCCTAAGTGGCTAAAGTTCCGCTCTCCTCAGATTCCACTTTCTCAATAGGCCTCCAAGATCACGCCTCCTTGCTTGGCTCTCCCAAGTTACATGCACCCTGATTTACTTTTTTCTTTTCTCCACAGGATTCATCACCATCTAACATGTTTCCTACTTTACCTTTTATTATTTCTATTTTTTGTTTCTCATCACTCTTGAATATAAGCTCAGAGAAGCCAGTGGCTCTGCCAGCACTTAGAATACCACATGGCTGAAATAGGAACTCAAAATTTTCTTTTGTAAAAAATTAGAAGAGAATATTTTACCTCTAAAAATGAGAATGGTGACTACAAAGTAATGTGACTGTCAATATTCTGAGCCTCTGAAGACAATATCCAAAGAAGATTCCAGAACTAATGTATAGCTTATTAAGCTCCATATTAATCCTTCCCTGCTCTTGGAAAAGCCAGTCTCTTTATGATCATAGCTGAGAGCATGAAATGTAAGCAATATAAACATGAAAAATGAATAAAATTGAATCAGAGAGGATAGTTATTTTGACATTTATTAGTCTTCCTACCAAATTTTTCTCAGAGGTAATCATTTTTTTTCCAACGTTAAGTACCTAATTTTGTGTGGCTGCATTATACAGAGTATAGCTAAGTCCCTCTTTCCCTGCTCCTGATATTGAAAGCCTGTATTGTTCTTTGTTGTCTTTTAAATGAATCTTTCTTTAAACTCAGAGATACTCCTCTAATAATTTCTCTTATTGTACTTTTCTACTAAGAATAGTCAATTAAGGGTTAAGTTGTACTATCTGTATGAATGGTTGAATGTAAGCCCATTTTAAAATTTTAGTTCATCCCTTATCCCAAATCCATAAAACTTAGTTTTAATAGTTTGCAGAAAGTATACAATATTGAAGGACGGTTTAAGTGCTAAATTACAAATATTCTATTTTGTTGCTTTCTTAAAACTTTTTTTTCTTTAATAGGCTGTTCTAGTAGGAATTTTCTTTTCCACACTTCAACGTTTGGATGTCTATGTGAACAACTTATTGGTCTGTCCAAAAACTACAATATGGAATGCCCAGCAGAAACACTGTGAACTTAATAACCATCTGTACAAAGGTATTGTCTCAGAAAAAATACAGTACACATGGAAAATGTACTTATTTATAATATTTTAAGTGTCTGATTATTAGTATTTTTAATTCCTTATCTATCAATGATGGAGAAGAAAACAAGTTTTTAGCCATAGTCCACCAAATACTAAGATGTTTTCATTTGTAACATGAGTGTCTTGAAAGATCACTCCTAATGGAACTTATTTATCTGTGCACATGCAGATATGAGTTTTTGTTTATCATGGACATTCTTTTGCTTCCTAAGAATGTTTTCATTCTGCATACATTGAGTTCAGTTCTTCCTATGTCTAGAAGAGATTTTGCTTAAAAGTTTCACCTTATCTTGGCTTTACTTCTATTTCATAGAAGTTAGAACCTAAATTAATTGGCAGTCATAAGAATTATTGCCAAGAAAGCTAATATAACATCAACTGAAGGTTGTGAAGTAAATATGATAAAATAAACTTGTGTTAAATGAAACATGTGGAAGAGGCTAAACTTATTCATTGACCGATATTTGTAAAACCAGCATTTATCTCTGCTTATGTAAGTCTTTTTGTTAAACAGGGTTCTAATGAGGCCAATAGCATACATTCCATTCCACATGGGCTACTCATCATCATTTTCTGATATGATCCATATTCTTGGCTAACCATTATATAGATGTGTGTGGTAGATCATAATATGAGCTAGACTTGAAAATATGAATGGGTAATCTGTTTGCTTTACCATTTATAGAAGAAGTCATATTCCTACTAATAACATGAACTGCTAATGTTTCCAGAGACATTACTATATTTCAGGCACAGCTCTACATGCTTTATATGTAACTCATTGTTACTACATCATAGTAACTCTATGAGGTAGGCACAGATGAGTAAATTGAGACACAGGAAGTAATTTGCCAAGATAGTGGTCTTAGTTCAGTCTGCCATAACAAAATACCACAAATTGAGTGGCTCAAACAACAGAAATTTATTTTCTCTGGATCTCTGAAAGTCTGAGATCAGGGTGCCATGATGGTCATGTTCTGCTGAGGGTTCTTTGCTCGGCTTGCAGATGGCCACTTTCTTGCTGTGTCCTGACATGGCTGAGAGAGTGCAAGCAAGCTCCCTGGTGTCTCCTTTTAGAAGGGCACTAATTCCATCATGAGGTCTCCCCCTTCACAATCTCATCTAAACCCTATTTCTTCCCAAAGGCTCTCATCTCCAAATATCATCACCTTGAAGATTAGGGCTTCAACATGTAAAATTTGGGGACACAATTCAGTCCATAGCAGTCTCAAGCTGGTATGGTGCACAGCAAGAACTCAAAAACAGTCTAGCTGTAAAACCCATGCACTTAACCATTATGCTATATTTCCTTCTTTTAAATTAAGAGAGTCAGCGTTACTACTTTTTATATATAAATAGTTGTGTCATGAATAAAATGGCATTTATAGCTTAATTTTAATAAATTGTTCACTCTTTTCAAATAACAGATATGGTACCAAGCACAATATCATTCAGAGTTAGGAAAATAGGAACTATCTTCATAGGCAGAGAGTTCCACTAACATATATTGAACCCAGACAAATGCTGAATTGTATAATTAATAGTGGAATAAGGCACTTCGCTTCTTATCACATTTCATTGTGAGGCTTATTAGGAAAAAGAAATTAAAATTTTAAAAGGAGGAGGGCATTTCACAGTAATGAAAAAAGCAGACATAGATATTAATAAAACATTTCCAAAACCCCAAAATATGTATAGATCCACAACACAGGGATATTATTTTGTTCTCCATAGACAGAACGTAATGTAAAGAATTGATAATGTAGGTGCTGAAGAGCCAGAAAACAACTCCGCCACTGCCCTCTTACAGATAAATGTGTGTTTTATGGTAGTGGTAGTGGTGTTTTTCTGAAACAGCGTTGCTTTTAAGTGAACGTTTTGCTTTGGCACTTGGCATGCAAAATAATATCCCTGTGTTATGAACCTATACATATTTTGGGAGTTACCCAAATGTTTATGATCTTTGTCTCTGCTCCTTTCATTACTGTGAAATTCCTTCTTCTTCCTAAAATTTTAATTTCTTTTTCCTAGTAAGCCTCACAATGAAATGTGGTAAGAAGCTACATATCTCATTCCACCACTATTACACAATTCAGTGTTTGTCTGGGCTCAATAAGTGTTAGTGGGTTTGTTAGCTCTTAGAAATTGTTGATACTCTGCCATAAAATCATACATATATTCATTCATTATAATGATCTCAATCACTTTTGTAAAATTCAGTTTCCTAGCAGAATTTGTCTTGCATTAGCCAAACATTTTTCAGGCTGAAATGTAAGCCTGTTTAGTTGGTATAAGATTCTTCTGAGATGTTTTAATGTATACTTCATTTTTATTACACAGTTTTGTCCTTAGTTAAAATAGAAACACTGAATTGTAAATGCTCTTTTAAGAGTTGGCATATAGCACTGTATAAATTAGATAGCTAGTAAAGTTAAATTTATATTTTTAAATTACCAAATGCCTTCAGTCAAGGCTTTAAAATTATGAGCATGTGAATAGGGTTTCAACTACAGTATAGGCTCCTGGGATCATAACTTGATTTGTTTCTCATTTATACTGTGTCTATATAGCTAATTTTTAAAAAACAAACAATGTGTAATGATTATTTGTGGTATTTTTTAAAGGAGTGGCTTTAATTTCGCAGGTCAGTTCTATAAGTGTTTTTGTTTTTAAAAAGGTATGCTTTCTTATGAAAGAATGATAAAGTTGAATTTGGGGGACTTTCTAAATTCAAACAAACATTAAGTAACGCATGTTGATTGTGATAATATAAAATACTTAGCTGTGATGTTCTGGCTTTTTTCCTTCATAGACCAATTCCTTCCTAACCTGGATTCCACTGTCCTTGGTGAAAACTACTTTGATGGAACCTACCAGATGCTTTATCTTTTGGTTAAAGGAACTATACCTGTTGAAATTCACACTGCCACAGTGATATTTGTTTCTTTCCAATTATCTGTTGCAACAGAAGATGACTTTTATACCTCTCACAATCTGGTTAAAAATCTTGCCTTGTTCCTAAAGATACCAAGTGACAAAATCCGTATCAGCAAAATAAGAGGGAAGAGTCTGAGGAGGAAGAGATCCATGGGATTCATAATTGAAATAGAGATTGGAGACCCTCCTATTCAGTTCATAAGCAATGGCACCACAGGTATGAATAACAGGTGTTTGAGATGGAGGAATGCAATTACCAAATCCATATCCATAAATAACCTGATCAGGGCTTGGTGAGCCTGGCCTCAGGAAATCCCATCAACCCCACATCCTGAACCCTCTAAGTGCCCAGAGACCCTTTTTCCTTCTTTGCTCCTGTACTACCAAACTGTTTTAGAATTGGAAGGAATTTGAATCTCTGTTTTGTTATTGTGATGATTAATAAGTTCAACAAAAGAATTTGATCTAATATAAAAAGATCTGGGAAGACCTACTTAAGCAAGTGACCTTACAGATGAGAGATTAAGGATGAAGATAGTCAATGAAAAGACAGAGGAAAAAGAGTGTTCAAGCTATGGAAACTGTTGGTGAGAGTTTGGTGCATTTGAAGAGAGGAAACAGGTCCGATTGGTCTGGAGTGGAAGGAGCCAGGAAGGACAAGCTGCTGGAGGTGTAGCCAAGGGGTAGACAGGTGCTAGATGTGGAAAGCTTTGGAAGTCAAAGGAAGGACTGTGGATGTTTTCTTAAGAAAAAGAGTAAATATTCTTGGATATTCTGAGCAGTAGATTGGTGGGTTAGATTTCCACAGTAAAGTCACAGATTCAGCCCAAAAAGGGCAGATGTGCAAGTACATAATCTGTCTTTATTTCCTGTGACTGAGCGAATCATCCTCACAAGCCATCATCCCCTCTCTGTGTCCCTCACTTCCTATTTTTTATCAGAGATAAAAAAATAAGCTCAACTGTCCCATCAGAGAAATCTCTGCTGGCTGAAATCATTTCCTTAGGGTCACTCAGTTTGGGCACTTGAGTAAATGCTCAGCTCTTCAAATTTTCTCTATCCATCTGCTCCTTTCAAGTTGGGGTCTGAATACCAAGGGGCTGTTCTGGCCTCCGTCCTCATGTTATCATCTTGTCTTCACAGCCTCTGGTACAGAGTGGGTCATCTTCTCTGCTCTACATATGCATCTCTTGAGGTACTACTGAACTTTCCTGGTCTTCTGGGATGCAATAATATCCCCCACTGCTAACCTGCAACCATGCCTTTGTCTTCAGTGGTCAAGCACAAGTACTCTGATCTAGGTGTACCCCTCCCCAAGAACAGGAAAGGCAGGTATCTGTCAGAGGAAGACTTACCATCCAGTTAATGAAGCTTACACTTCAAGCCCCCTCACTGATACAAGTCCTGGGAGGGGCTTTCACTTTCAATACCTTAGGAGAGGTCCTCATAATGTGGTCAAATCATTGAATGTTATTATGAAAGCTACAAAGGTATGATTTTTCTGCATTCCTTTTCCTAAAGAGATCGTCCAGACATATATAAACTGCAGCCCCACTAGGTTGGGATCTACCCTATCTACCTGTGTTCAGTCACTTTATCATTAAACTCCCAGGCTCTGTGTAAACCTGGGTACTGGGTGAAGTTCTCACTTTATGCCACTAGAGATCTTCACTCATTTTCCCAAGAGGTTTGCTTCTAGGCATTGACCCTATGCACCTACCACATTATCACTCTGGAATTCTATCAGCTAAGCAGGTGGAAGTTTCTTCCATTGGGGGGATAAGCCTGTGGGAAGGCTTGCCTGTGTGGAGGGAGGTGTTTATAAACTCTTGGTTAGAAGAGCGTAGGAAGCCTAGGCTTGTGTTGCAACCAGATCTCCCACGATGTTCTCTGCCCAGAGTAATAGTTAACTTTCCTTCGTCAGTTCTGTACTCACTTGGACTTACAGGCTCAGGGTTTGGACTCAGCATGACTTTGCCTGTTATTTTAGGAGTTGTAAAGGGCCCATGGCACATATACAGATTACTCACCTACTCTTAGAAATCCCTGGTGAGCCCTTACGTGTCGTGAGGTCCAAAATTTACCACACTAGCCACTAGATATCCAAAGAAACTGGGATTTATTTCTTACATGTGACATATATTTCCCCACATACAATCCCTCCTACATCCATCCCCTTAAAGCAGTTTTAGCTTGTTAGATTTATCCAGACAGGTATAAGACCACTGAAGAATGTAGAAGTTAGGGATGGTGGGAGGGACAGGCTAATGGCACATTTTCTAGACATAGACTGCGATAGTGTTTCAAGTCTCAAGGAGAACCCTACAACTTGGTGAATCACAGCAAAATGTTGAGAAGTGGCAAGAAAGATGTTCATGTAGTTGTACTCCTGGCTCCTTATAGCTTTTATATAGTATCAGGATATCCAGAAATTCCCAGATGTCCTAGAAAGGGGTTACCTATGTATTAAAGGCATTTATGAGCAGACAGTCCTACAGCCAGGAATAAGAGGCCTTCAAGTTAAGGTCTTTGGTTTCTAGATGGCAATCAGCAGAAATGAATGCCCTCACATGTCGAACGGTCAGCGAGAACCTGTTAACAGTGCAGACTGCATCAGACCTGCCACTCCATGCCAAAAACCAGTGAAGACAAAGTAGTAATAGTAGTGCATGGACCTGAAGCAGTTCTGTACTGCTACAGCTAGATATACAAGCCCTCAGACTTGGGAGGCCTCCCTGGAGAAGGCTGTTTCTGGAGGGAGTATGAGGAGAGGGAGGAATCTGAAAGACTGAGCCTTTTTCCAAAAGAGTCTGAGTCATCCAAAAGAGTCCTTTTAAACTGACAAGGACTGAAATAGCTTAGGACTGTGGGGTTCATAGTGTCATGTCAGACCTGCTGGCCCAAGACGTTACCTCCTTCTTCCTGAGCACTCTAAGCCTTATGGCTTAACTTTAATAGAAGAAACTCAGTGATTTGATTCCTCAAGGCATGACTCTGAATATAGAAGGTACAGGATACCTAGGAACAAGGGATTAGCAAGGCCTGCAATACACCAAAACATTATCCTGGTTTACAGTTGTTTCTTAAAAGATCAGTCTGACTCCAGAGGCCAGTTTAAAAGTGGTTTTAGTAACCCTGCTGATGTGGCTTTAATTAGGATTTTAACAACAGGGACAGAGAGAGTTAGAAATTGGTAATGGATTAGATGTGGTGTAGTGGAGAGGTGAAGGAGCAGGGATTAAGCAAAACTACTAGGCTTCTGAAAAAAGGAATATGGTGCATTAAGGTACCACTTTTTAAGGTAAGGAGCACTGTGGGGGCAGAAGGTTTAAGAGGAAACCCCAGACCTGCCATGCTAGAAAAGGGGAACAGAACTATATGTAGTGTTAAAAGTAACTGAAAATTGTCAAATGTCCAAAGCAAGTAACAATTGGTTAGTAATTTAATAACTTTAGCAACTAGTATATTAATACATACACATAATATGATCGATTCTAACAATCCTTCCATTCCAAAATTAACACTTTATTTTTTAAAATGACACATGATAATAGAAATGCATGATAATGCTTCATTGGTAAACAAAGATTGGTAGGAGAAAGTATTAAATTAAGAGACATATATTCTCCCACTATGTTTTCATTCGTTTTTCTTGTATCTGTTTTATCTACCTTTGTTTTTCCTTTAATTCCAACTTAAAATATATTCTCCTGAGTTCTTCCTTTTCCTCCCCTCATTAATATGACTGCTGTGTTTTGCTCAGGTAAGACTAGAAAGCCTTAGAATTCTATAATGTGATGGAGCAATGCAAAGAATGCTAAAGTGAAAAACTCTCATGTGTTCTCACAATTCTATACTTTTATAATCCAAATGTCATAATACTTTTCCCCATAGGTCAGATGCAGTTATCTGAACTCCAGGAAATTGCTGGTTCTCTTGGACAAGCTGTAATTTTAGGAAACATCAGTAGTATCCTTGGATTTAACATTTCGTCCATGTCTATTACTAATCCCCTCCCCAGCCCAAGTGACTCTGGGTGGATTAAGGTAAGAAAATGCAACTAGAAAAAATGCATTTTTTGGGACTTAAAATATCATTACTTATTTCTTATTTTAACTCTCTGTTTCTATTTCAAAACAATAATTTAGCAGGCATGTCTTTCTTATTTATTGTTGACTTTTTATAGGCTCGCTAAAATGATAATAAAGTTGTTTGAACAAAGGAGCATATCTTCCAAAAGTTGTGTATTGGTTATAAATTTGTTTTGCTTTGCATATTTATAACAATGCTTCATAAATGTAATGGAGGAAATATTGTAATTATATTAATTTTGCATATTGAACATATTCCAAAATAAATAATGAATATTTTATACTCAGCCTGGCTAAAATGAGTTTGCTGCTGAGTGTAGTTTATCATGAAGAAACCAGTTCATCCCTTGTGCATTCACAGGTGACTGCCCAGCCAGTTGAAAGGTCTGCATTTCCTGTTCATCACGTGGCCTTCGTGTCCTCACTCTTAGTGATCACTCAGCCGGTGGCAGCACAGCCAGGACAGCCATTTCCTCAGCAGCCTTCGGTAAAGGCAACAGATTCTGACGTAAGTCATAACTCAAAATTTTACTTAAGTGAAGGAATTAAGCTACAAATTCTGAAGGATGAGCCAGTTTCACTCATCCTGGTGTGCTGGCAGCCTGAGGATCACACGGCCCTTTCAGAAGTTGGACTAATATCCAAGGATACCATCTTGTAATGTCTCAAAAATGTTTATGTTAAACGAACTTCTGCTGCTCAGGTTTATGAACTCTTTGTGTGGAATAAGGAGCTTCTGCAGATTTTCAATTTATAATGAGGCATTTTTAAAAATAAAGTTTTGCATATATTTTTAAAAGCATGGAAACAGGACAATTGTTATAATTATCTACTTTTTTTTTTTTTTTAGGGTAACTGTGTATCAGTTGGAATTACTGCACTAACTTTGAGGGCCATACTCAAGGACTCCAATAATAACCAAGTCAATGGCCTTAGTGGAAATACAACAATTCCGTTTAGCAGCTGTTGGGCCAACTACACAGACCTTACTCCCCTTAGAACAGGTGGGTGCACTATTTTGGATCCTCACATATATAGCCATAAATAGAGACAATTATAATGTTCTTTTAATGAACAAAGCATTCTGTAACACTCTGGTCAATAAATTATAGACATCAGAATGCTATATTTTGCCTTGTTTCAGAAAATATTTAGTCTAGCTTAAGAATAGATTTCATATGTGAAATAAATAGAAATTAAAATAAAAAATTAAGGAAATCGAATTATATCATGATTTATCCATTTGTATACTTTCCTAAATTTGCTCACTAAAGATGTACTACATTTATAGTAAGAAAAATTAACATACAGATTTTCAAATTCAATAAAAGAAAGGATAAGGTAGGCTCATATAACTTTAATGTCTTAAGGAGGAGTTCAGAGTTGGGCTAGAAAGTTGGCTGTGGTCTTTCTGAAAGCCAAAGCAAGAGAGAAAATGAGCATTATCATAATTTACAGTACCCATCAACTAAACAGATCAGTTGCTGTGAGAATTATAATATTCTCTGAGAACAGAACAAATGTCTCCTGTGATTTTTCAGAAAGTGTGCACAATTAATCTGTATTAAGTGATATCTTCAACATCGGTGCAGTAAATACAGCCATCACTGCCACAATTACTTTTTTTATACTATCTTCATATAGGTTGATGACACAACTCTGATTGGTAAAAACCATTCTACCAGGGTCCAGATGATATATCCCTGAACAGATCTCTCTTGGTGATAGAATGTAGAGTATCTAAAAGAATGAAATGGATAAACCGCTTACGTTTGAGAAAGGCCTCCATTGTTCTGTTTGTCCCAACTCAGGGCCTATTTAAGATAGTTAGGGGCCTTAACTTCTGAAAAGGCTATGTAGTGGCACCCCTCTCCCCAGTTTTTTCCCTGAATTTTTGTTTCTCCATGCTTTGATAGTGCCCTAAGCCAGATATGTTCAGTCTGCCTACTGGGCAGCAATATCTCAGCCTAATGTTTGATAATAATTAAATGATAATGTGTCCCACTGCTTTCTGGTTTAGAACAGAGCTAAATTCTTTTAACTATCAGCCCAAATGGAATTTTTTTTTTATGGGAAATGAGGCAGCTGGCAAGAATCCTACCTGAAAAGAAGTTTGCTCACCTCCTCATGAGGGTGGACCCAATAAGTATCCAGTGGAAAAGAACCAACCTTGTGACTAAGGTCTTCAAACTACAATGTTCCAAAAGTACCCAGGATCACTGGAGCACTAAAGCACTAAAATAGGTTTTGGCATTTTACTGTGGCAACAAAATAATAATTTAAGCATTTTTCTTTCATACGTTAAGTTTTTTTTCAGAATTCAAAGCTTCCCTTGGGAGGGTCTGTCTTACTTGCCAAGGAGAAATGCCAGTGCTCTTCACCTGTGTGTTTCCTTTTCCTCCTTTCCTTCCTTCCCTCCCTCCATCCCTCCTTCCTTCCTTCCTCCCTCCCTCCTTCTGTCCTTCCTTCCATCCCTCCTTCCCTCCCCCTCTGTCCTCTCTGTTACCCTCTCCTTCTCCCCTCCCCTCTTCCTCTCTCTCTCCTCTTTTCTTCATCAAGTGTGGCATCCCTGGTTATGTACAATAAGGAAAGCCAAGTATAGGAATCTCTTCATTATTTTTAAATCAATTAGCCAGTTGTAGATTAACCACAGTAAAATTAGAATAACAACAAAGCATTAGTGAGAAAATTAACAAAATATCTTTCACTGACTCTTTCTAGCAGTTAACCCCCACAGTCACTGCACTGAAGGAAATCCCCTTGCTGATCAGACTGCGGCCTGACAGCACAGCACCCCTCTTCTACATATAGCTCCATAAAGAGCAAAGCAGGGTACTTGGGTAGAGGAGATACAGGTTGTGGTTTCTAACACAGAAAATAGTGATGTGAGAAATGGGTGGGAGAAAAAGGATCTGCATCTTTAACCAACCTAGATAAGGAGAATATTACTAACAGACACTGGGACATATTTGTTTAGCGTCCTATGTAATGTTTAGTGTTTGTTTCAGTTTCTATTGCTATGAAACAAACCAGCCCCAAATCTAATAACACCATTTCATTTGCTCACAATTGTGTGTGTCAGAAATTTGGGCCAGGATAGCTCACCACTGCTCCAATGTCTGCGGCTTCAGCTGGGAATTTCTATTAGCTAGAGCTGGCTAAGATGGCTTGATTGAGGTCATATCTCTATGGACCTGATTCTGGATTTTGGCTGGGTTCTTCAATTCTCCTCTATGTGGTCTTTCCATAAGGCTAGCTTGGGCTTCTTCACAGTACTTCAGGAGGAGAAAAACAAAATAAAAGAACTACCCTAAATTATTTGCTCATCAAAAAAATTAATAAAAAAATTCACCTGCCACAAAAATTCAGATTTTTTAATGCAAAAAGAAAAAAATTTTAATACACCATTGTCAGGAATTGTCAGTGACAGAAAATTCTATAGTACAGTGCCCATATATCCTGAAAGTTATATAATGAATTGCAATTGTTCATGAAACCACAGATGTGATCAAGATCTAATTATATTCTTTTCCTAAAAAAGAATGAAAACAGGAATGACTTTTTAAAAACAACACAGAAAACAGATGAGTAAAAACTTACAGGGCTGTACAAGTATTAGAAATGCTATTCTGTGTGGTGACTATTATTAATGATAGCATAGACCCAAAATAAATTATAGGAAGGAAAAATATATTGGTTATCTCCTATTCAAAACTGTGGGAAGATTTAACCTGGAGATTAAATAATATTGGATGAGCTCTTTAACATTTTTACATTCTAAACACAAGTAACAATGTTTCTAAAATGTCTACCTGGAATAAGGAAAAAGGGTCACAGCCTTGTAATACAAAAATAGCATCTAACTTCAAACAAATGTGAAACATGGTAAAAGTTTTTTGAATCTTAATGGAAGGCATATGGTTGTTTGCTGTATTATTCTTTCAACTCTTTTCTTGTTTGAAATTTTTCAAAATAAAAAGTTCAGTATCCAACCCCACCTCCCCCAACTGAGACTGATGCTTCTCTACTGCTAGGTCAAGTACGAAGGGATGAAACTGAGATTCAGCACCCTCACCTCTCTTCCCTATTGTCCCTCATTTCCAACAGTTTTTGTCCAGTCCTGGGCACTAGGAAGGGGCTCTAAGAAGCAGGTACTGCTGCTGCAGAAAGAAAATCTACCCAGCTTCCCTGTTGTTCAGTTAATGGGCAGATAGAACTCTTCTAACTCTGAGACCCTGTCTATACTTGTCTGTACTTAAACTAATTTATTTGACTCAACTTTCAAAAATATTTCATCAGGATCTATATAGTGTTTTTCAGTCAATGAAAATCAAATGGGAACGGTATGAAAACAAGTAAAACATAAAGGAAATCAAACACTATGATGCTTTTTTTTTCCAGGAAAAAATTATAAGATTGAATTTATACTGGATAATGTTGTTGGGGTAGAATCCAGAACTTTCAGCCTGCTGGCAGAGTCTGTCTCTAGCAGTGGCAGCAGCAGCAGCAGCAACAGCAAAGCATCAACTGTGGGTACATATGCCCAGATAATGACTGTAGTAATTAGCTGTCTGGTTGGAAGAATGTGGCTCTTGGAAATATTTATGGCTGCAGTTTCAACTTTGAATATAACTTTAAGTAAGTACAGTCCATTAATACATTATTTCTCCACATGTTGAAGTACCAGTGTTTACTGGATAAAGGCTGTGTGCACAGCTCTTGTGCATGATATCACTGTGTGCACAAAGAGAAAGTAACAGCCTCAATAGCAGAGACAAGACAACCTATGGAAAATGTTATTCACTACATGTTGGTCTATAAGAATGTGGTGAAACAAGGCTGGGCACAGTGGCTCATACTTGTAATCCCAGCATTTTGGGCGGCTGAGGCAGGTGGATCACCTGAGGTCAGGAGTTGGAGACCAGCCTGGCCAACATGGCAAAACCCTAACTCTACTAAAAATATAAAAAAATTAGCTGGGCATGGTGGTGGGCAACTGTAATCCTAGCTACTCAGGTGGCTGAGGCAGGAGAATCGCTTGAGCCTGGGAGGTGGAGGCTGCAGTGAACTGAGATCCCACCACTGCACTCCAGCCTGCGTGACAGAACAAGACTCTGTCAAAATAAATAAATAAATACGTATGTAAATAAATAAATAAATAATGTGAAACAAAAGTGCAGGTCATATCAGAACTCTTTTTGAGTTGCAAGATGCAGATTCTTAGCTTGAATTGATCTAGCTAGTAAAGTGATCACTTAGAAGTCCAGAAGTTGTCTGGTTTCTCAAACAGTTGGATCTAAGGACTCAGATGATATCTTCTAGAACCTCTGTCTCTTCTTCTCTTGGCTCCACTCTCTTTGGTGTTAGCTTTACTCCCAGGCTGACTCCTCACCACCCCCAATCTTCATTACAAAGGTACACACCAACATCTTCTACCAGCCCATCAACCAATACAGAAAGAGCTAACCTCTTTCCCAACAGTTCCAGAGAAAAGCCCCAAAGCTATGTCATTGACCTGGCTTGGGTCACATGCCCATTCCTGAACAAATCACTGTGGCCACAGCATTCTAATTAGCTTGGCCTGGTCACATGGGGTAAGGTACTGAGAATGGCAGAGGTGTAGTTTCACTAAGGATAATAAAGGTGCTAGTACGAGGAATGACAGGCAGACAGAGACATTGAATATTAGAGAGATTGATAAAAGGGAGACGTCCCTATATGATTAGAGAAGACTGCAAATATCATTGCATTAGCAACACATGAAAGTTGGGACTGTATAAAATGTATAAGATTTGGAAAGGGAGGGAAAAGGCACTCAAGAACAGGGACATGATAGGAGCAAGGAAAAAATGGCAGTGGAATAAAACATCTTCAGTTATACATGTTTAGCACAGAATTCCTCATCATCTCCTTACAAACATACTTCTCCGCCCGCAGTTAATGCCAGTGCCATTTTTGCCTATCCTCCATATTGCTGTCAGATTTAAGGTCATGTAATGCTAACAGGAATCTCAAATCCTCAACTATTCCTCACTACATGCAAAAAATATAATCAACATCAAAGATCTTGAAAACAGATTTGAAGACTCCCTCCTTTTACCAAATCATTTCCAGAAAGAATTCTCTCCACCCTACATATTCCCTATATCTATACCTAGGCTGCCAGCCTCTACTCACCAAGGTTACCTCTCACAGCATCCTTCTAGGTCTTGCTCAAATTCCACCTCATCCAGCAGGTTTCCCTTCTTCCTTCCCACTCTACATTTAATTCTCCTCTCCCTTGGTCTCCAATTGCACTTTGTGTTTATATCATTATTATAGTCCTTTCTGTAATATACTTGTATTAAGCTTATATTCAAATCTATCTTCATCACCAAATTGTGAGCACTTACAAGACTGTATGCCTTACATATTATAAGTACGAAAAATCTGGTTTAATTGATTTTAAATCTTGAAAGTGAAAGTTGCGTCTTTACCTCTGACTTAAGGGGAAATGTTGAGTAGGGGTATTGTGGGCAAATTGTAAAGAGCTTTGATTGGAACATATTAATCAGTTTGCAATTCATTTGATGGGGGAGAGTTTCTGACACGTTAGTGAAAAAAAATCACATAAGAGATACTGTATAATAAAGTCGAGGAAGAATTTGAGGTGGGGTAACAATTTAGAAGAATACTAAAGCATATTGAGCAATAAAAGCCAAGACTAGATTTTAAATTTAAATATAAAGGATCAGAGGACATAGTAAGGCTGGGTCTGGAAGTGACAAAACAAACTGGAGGCTGAAACAAACTGCTGGGCTTTCATGAATAGCCAGAAAACAAGAAGAAGGAAATCCTTTCTTCTCTCCTAATGGAAGAAATTAATTGGAGTCCAGCGGTCAAGGGAGAAGCATAGTTTGCAGAGACCTTGTTCTGGCCTCTTATAGCTGAATATAGACAAGGGGGTTTATGTTATTTTTATGCCAGTTTTCTTGTCTCCAGAATAGTAATAAAAGTAAGACCAATTGTTTATTTTATAATAGGATGACAAGCATTTCTTTAATTAATTTTATTTTTTTCTCAGAAGCATTAAAATATAAGGTCTAATTGGCTAAATATTGCTCAATATATATTTGTGCATTTTGCATTGCCTCATTAAGTGCAAAAACCTTTATAGACTCTCATCCTGCTTACTCCTGACAACTTTGGTACTTTACCAAATTAATATAATTCTATTCTCAAAGAATTAGTAAATCATATAGCTCCTGAGTTTTTTCCAGGAACTTTTCCAGATAAGAAGATTAATCAATGGCTTCTTCTTTGCTACTAAATAAACTACCATTTTTCAATTAGAATATAAGAAATTTAAACACCATTAATGGATTAAAATGCTGGGTTCTTTAATAACTTTGCATTCTGAATGAATAATATATTACTTTTAAGAGGATCATGAAGTTTCACTAAATAAAAGACCTTATATTTTAAATGTGTATTTTTGAATGTGAAAAATAAAAAATAAAACAATCTTGTATAAGCACCACAATCTATAAGTTTCTACAAAAAAACCATTACTGATTCTAACATTAAATGGGTAAACTTGGAAATACTGCTAACTGTACCATAAAAATGAGAAAAGTTAAAATTAATGAAATATATTTTAAATTATACTATATGCTATTTCTACTTAAAAATTGTTTTGTATTGTTTCCATTTTTCAGGAAGCTACTAAAGTGCTGTTCCGAAGAATAGGCTGAAACAAAAATATAAGAATTATTAGCTACTTTGTTGGGCAATAGGCAAAAGTCTATAGCATTTTCATGAAAATATACTAAAAATATTTTTATGATATATAAAATGTACTAATTAGCTTTAAACACTAAAATCAGATTTCTTCAAAATATAAATTTGTTTTGATTCTTTATATTTATATGTTTTTATTTCATTTCAATAAACTTCCAGAAATTTGTCATTTGGAAGTAGATATGACACCTCTAAGTTATTGTACCAACAAATCATAGAATCCTTTAAATAATGGAAAGAGCTTGTCTAGTTCCGACTTAAGCTCTTTACATCAGATTGGAAGCATTTTAAGTATTCTTTTTAATACTTGAGGGGGGGGGTTCTTATTTTCTCTATCCATTTACAAGGTTTTGATTTCCAATAATCTAAGCCATTCTAGTTTCTAAGGATTTTGGAGAGACGAGATTGTCTTCACACAATCTGAGATGACAATCTCATCTCAGATTTTTCACACTGAGTTCCTGTCTTTCAGATTCACAGTAATCCCAGGAATTCTAGACTGTCCTGTATTTCTGGATCTGCCCAACTCTGGCCAATATTGGGAAAAGTTTTCTTGTCCTTGGAATGAACTTTTGGAACAAGTCCAAACTCCTTCTCTGCCTACCCCTCCTTCCCACTCAAAACTGCCACTACTAAGAGCAGGACTCCCCTCAACCCCGGGCATGAGTTGAGGGTTGAGGGGTTCCCTTAACTGGTGGATGCTTATTCACTGTTTACTGGATGAATGAAGTATAAAGTGTGGGAAGTCAACAACAGAACAGAACTTATTTTCAAGAAGATAAATTAGAGAATGCAAAAAAGCTACAGACTAAGGTAGCTAAGTTAACCGAACTCTCTAACAGTATTGAAAATAGCAATTCTTTACTCAGAAAATTCTAAAGGGAATACTTAATTTGACAGAACTCCTAATAAAGACATTGTAGCCAGATCCAGAGCCTTCCAGCAAGTGACACTCAGCAAACATTTGGGACAGCTGAGAGAATTCAACAAAGCCCATACCGTTGTCTCTTGTATAACATCTCCTAGTACATTCACCTCAGATCATTGTTAGTCTTACTTAGCAGAAAATGTATAAACACTTACCAGGTAGTAAAATCAAATATCTTGGTATAAATGTGGCATTTCATTCACTTGAGCAGTATCTGTTGGGTGTTCTAGTAAGTAGGAAGGCTACAAGAAATAAGATGCTATGCCTTCCCTCGAAGAGTTTTCAGGATATTTGGGGAAAGAATGGAAACAGACCATTTCAATACAACATGATCACTGTCTCAGGGAGAGAGAGACAGAGAAAGACAGAGAGATAGAGACAGAGACAGAGAGGGAGGGGGAGAGAGAGATAGATAGAGAGAGAGAGAAAGCATGAGGTTGCTAGCAATATGGAGGCCTTAAGCCTTGTTCAGGAGGGCTACCTAGAAGAGCAGTGGAAGAAAACTGGGAGAGGACCACTGAAGGCCTAGGGGCTACAGAAAAAATTCAAATGAACAGCTGGAATGGAAATAGTCACAATTTTAAGGGAATTGCAGGTAAGAGGTCCCTGACAAGGTAGTCTTCAAAGTATACATGAAAGCCCCTTCATGAGGAACATTTGCCATGTCCAGAGAGCATTGATACTTCATTGTACAGCACCAGGTAACAGAGCACTTTTATACTCCCCTCAGTTCCAACCCTGGTGGGGTGAAAAACCTCTGTTCCTGGGATAGGGAGGGGGAAAGAGACCCAACATGGGCCATTTCACGCTGAGACTTAAAAATCAGTCTTCCTAAGGCAAATCTAGTTTACTGTTCATTCCGTGATACTTCCTTTCTGTTGGAAAACTAAATTCCAAAAACTGCAATTCCAGCATCTATGGAACAAATTCCTACATTTGGGTTCTGGAAGAGATACAAAAATATTCTTCACACCAGAACATTGTAAAAGCCATAAAATTGTCCACCATCTGTATTCTTTTCTTACCTAAAGGTTTAATTCAGCCCACTGGAGTTTTTTGTCAAGATTTTTTCTGTCAGTTTTTAATAAGGAAATTTTCTAATACAAGTTATATGGCAGTAAAAGGAATTTCTAAAAATTGCTTCTTAGCCACACAGACTTTGTTAAAAAGTTCCTGTTTTAACTGCTTTAGGCTTCTGGCTGTCTGCTTTTTAAGAACATTCTAGAATTATCATAATAATTCCTTATTCCAGATAAATTACAATTTAATTACTACTTTTAAAAATGCTTGAATTATTGGAATCCATGGGCAATACATCTTCACATGTCCCTTATTCATATGCTAAGCAAGTTTTATTTTTGCTTTTTTTTTGCATTTAAATAATATTTCTCTGAACATTCTGTCTCAGAAATTGATGTTTAAATTCTTAAAAATAATTTGTATTGTAAGAAGTGGCTATCTAGCTCTTGAACAAGTCATAAAAATCCTTTGATGTGTGAATATTCTTCTACCTAAGACCTGAAATGTTGGCGAAGTAAATATGTTGTTCCAATTTTGGTCAAAGTAAGAAACAGAGAATAAAAAGTTAATAAGAATAGCTTCTTGTATTTCTCATAGTAAGTGAAATGTTTATATCTTGTACTACTGTCTCTACTCATTCCTAAATTCCATCACCTTGTGATCATTGCAATGACTTCTAGATGGTCCATCTGTTTTTACCTTTTATCCATTTTATCCCCAAAAGTGCTATTTAAAATATCCCTAGCACTAATAATAACAATAATCAATAATAAAGTAAAGGTTTATCACATGTTCACTACATGCCAGACACTATGCTGTGTGTTCTACATGGACCCTTTCCTTACAGCAATCCTATGAGGATAACCTTATTCCCTTCTCCAAATGAGGAAACTTGAAATGTTGAAGGGTTAGGTTAAATTCCCAAGTTCACAGAGCTACTAATGGTAAAGCTGGGATTCAAACACAGACAATTTAACTCCAGAGCCCAAATTCCAACATTTAATTGCTTCCCACTTTTCCTCAAGCATGGGCAAGTGCTTCATTGGGAAGAGTTTTTAATCCAAATTCCTGTTCAAATTCTTGGTTTCTACTTTACCACTTCTATGCCCTCAGGCAAGTTCTTAGTTTCCATTATTCTCAGTTTCTTCAACTGTAAAATGTGGAAAGTGTGACATCTGAAGACTGATGGTATCATATATATGACATGTAACACAGTGCCTAACAGGCGGTAAAATGATAGCCACTCTTGTTTTTATTTCCATAATGTGGCCTATATCATGTCAATCCCTGGCCCAGTAAACCATTAGGCTTCTTATTACACTGGAACAGTGCCTGGCATGTAATAAGCACCATGTGAGTGCTAATTATTAGAATTATTGGCTGGGCACTGGGCCACCTAGAACAAAGACAATTTCCCAGCTTCACTTGCAGTGAGACTGATCAATTTCTGTGCAGTGGGTTACAAAAACAGACATTATCTCGTGGCATATTCTAGAAACTGACCTTAAAACATAGCTATTATGCATCCCTTTGCCTTTTCTTCATCCCTTTCTGTTTTTCCAGCTACATGGAGCAAGATGGCTCCTGAGACCTGGAGGATAAAGGCCAGTGCCTTTTATTGCTCCATAACTTGTGTTAGAAAATCTCCTTACTAAAAATCTACAGAAAAATCTTGACAAAAAAAAAATTCCAGTGGATTGAATTAAAACTTTAGGTAAGAAAAGACTAAGATGGTGGACAATTTTATGGCTTTTACAATGTCCTTGTGTGAAGAATATTTTTATACCTCTTCCAGAACCCAGAGAGCTCAGCTGAAAGGAGTTTGGGTTCCTGACATTGTGGTGCCCTATACCAGCCCTTGCTCCTTTAGGGTTTCATTGTTATTTGGTGGTTATCCTAAATCTCCTGCTTTCATCAGATGTCTGAGATGGCAAAATTTGGAAGGATCAAGAGAACAGAGAGTTAATCCTTCCTAATGGGAAAGGTGGACAATGCCAAGGTTAAAATACCACATGCATCTTTGAGTTACTACTATACCCTCCCGAATGGAAATGCTTCAACTTTAATCTGAGGCTAGGCGCAGTGGCTCACGCCTGTAATCCCAGCACTCTGGGAGGCCAAGGCAGGCGGATCACGAGGTCAGGAGATCGAGACTATCCTGGCTAACACAGTGAAATCCTGTCTCTACTAAAAATACAAAAAAATTAGCCAGGCATGGTGGCGGGCACCTGTAGTCTCAGCTAGTCGGGAGGCTGAGGCAGGAGAATGGTGTGAACCCAGGAGGCGGAGCTTGCAGTGAGCTGAGATCTCGCCACTGCACTCCAGCCTGGGTGACAGAGCGAGACACATCTCAAAAAAAAAAACCCAAAAAACTTTAATCTGAATCCATTATGTGTTGGGTTGGGTTGGGGAACCTACCAAAACAGTGGGAGAGTCTTGCCCTTTTTCTAAGATCATCAGTGGGCATTTTCAGCTTCCCCATTATGGTAGTAGCTGCAAGGAGTGTTCAGTCTCCAGTGAAAGAAATATTAAGATTTATTCCCCCAATTTCCCCTCCCCAGAGAGTAGCTACAGACACACTGTGTAAGACCAAATAGGAAAAGTCTGCCACAGGGGACACAGTAGGTACTTGAATACTTGTGGGCAGTCTAACCAGCTACAAACCTCTTGTTGCCGTACTTGCAAGTCCTAATACAGTACTGTAGTTATTATAATTCCATCATTCTGAAATTAGAAAGATGGTCATGGAGAAACTGTTCTAAGAACGCCATTCACCCATGAATGTGACTTTATTAGAGGTTTTTTTTTTAGGTTAAGGACTATGTATTCTTTCAATTTCTCTAAAGTGCTTAGCACACACTCTGCCCATGGTAAGTGTTAAATAAACTTTCTGATAAACCAATGATTGGGTAGCATGATGAAACTTTTCCTATCCTGCTTTTTGAGATTAAGAAATCTTTTAAAAATATTACAGAAACTGCACTTTATCCTGACTTACAGCCTTAATGTTTGAAGTAGCAGTGTATAAAATTCACACCCAGTTATAGACTGAGTAATTATAGTTGCTATGGTAATGGGCTCTGTGCCTATGAGCAAAAAAAAAAAATTCCTTTTGTGCAAGATATTTATGACTGTGCCTGGCTACATGGCAATAGTATTTTCCTTTGGTTTTTCATTACAGTAACTTATGCATTTAGGCAGATGATCCTTTATATATGTAAACGCTATAAATTCTTAGGAAGAAAATAAATTTATTAAGTTTTTCACATCAAAAATTTCTAGTATGATTATGAGTTCAATTTTCAAGTGAAAGTAATCCTTAAAGGATTTAATTTCAAATAAGAACTACGTACAAAATATAGATTTAAATTAATTTTCACTGTATGAAATGTACAGTATACATAGACCAACTCCTTTAACAAGAATTTCTGGTATGTCTTAAAGGGCATGGGTGGTTAGAGGGAGATCCCCAAACAAACAATTCAAAATTAAGAGTTTAAAAAGCAACAATCAAGACACATATCCTCCTAAGTGAATTTGAATTAGACACTGGAAAATTTAAAAAGGTCAGTTACTATGAAGAAGGTGTAACAATATTTATATTAATCAGACAGCAAAGTAACAAACTGACTTAGAGGAAGGAAAATAGTAAAATACAAAAGACTAAGTTAGCAGATCATTTTGATATCCAGATGTGCTGAAATGATGGACACTGAGAAGAAAGAATAGACAAAACTTGGCAACAGATCTTGGTATGAAATAAATATCCCATGAGTAGTACATAAAAGCCTGGAGAGAGAGGGGAAGGATTGTAAGTGTCATAGTTCTGACAGCTGCTCTTTCATCCTATGCCTTTAAAACAAAGGGAACAAAGAAGGGAACAAAGAAGGTAGAAGCGGGGGTATGGAGGGTTGACTTCTGGCTGTCCCTCCCTGTTTCCCTTTGTTAATATATTGCTAGTAGACATGTCTACTTCTGGTTGCTGATGACATAAAATTCACCTCTATTTCTTGGAAGCACTATTCCATGTTGTGAGCTAAAGGGGATTGTACTGATCTTGAAGATAACAAATCTGCCTGCTTCAAAGGTTTCACCGATTTTATTGCTGTGTTTCCAACACATTTCCACATATGGTATGATATTTAATTTGCAAAATAAATCCGTAAAGCAGGAATTACTAACCTAATTTTGCAGATGAGAAAACTGAGGCTTAAAGTTGTTCAAGGTCAAAGTCACGATGTCCATCATGCTGTAGCTCAATGAATGAGTCTCACATTGTTTCATGTTGTTTTATTTCTACTTTCTCAATCCATGTACAAGATAGATTTACAAACTACTGTTTTATGTTGGTTGTATGAATTTCAATACATTTACTGTTAGAAATAACAAAAGGTCTTAGACTGCCAGATGCTGTTCCCATCAACTCTACTTAATTCATAATATAGCTGAACTCTGTCATAAATCTAATAACGATGTGGACATTAGCCAGAAGTATGATGTGGCTGAACCTCACCACTGAACACAAAATGAGAATTCACCTCATCTTTTCATTTGAATTTATTTCTACTAAAATATATGTATTATTTTTCTTGATTTCTAACCAGGCCCCTTCTGAAGAAAACTGGTTAACTCTAAATTGTTACTAAATTTTGAATCTTCCTGTATTTAGCAATAAAAGTTACTGCTAATTGTAATAACAATTATGAGGAAAAATTTATTTAAATGCTTCATAGAAAGTTAATTTTCATTTAATAGAAAAGAAATAAAAAATCTGCTTCAGACTGTTTGATTTCTCTATTAGGCAATTGACCCTAACTAGTATATGGTGATTTTGAGTATTAAAAAAGAAGTTATAATTTTCCAGAATATTAATGTTTATTATTTTGAAAGCAAGTAAAATTCTCCAGTAGGAAGATTAATAAAACAATTCATTAAAATTCTCATCAGAAAATCCTATGCTTTCAAATGTATCTGCTCAAAGATGTCACTCTATGTGCGGCAAAGCTTTGTTTTACTTGATCAAGAAATGAATGTGACTTTATGATCTTGTATTCAACTGTGAACAGCTGCTCATTAATAAAAAGCCATTAAAGTCCAAGTCAGAACAGCAGGTCTAAAATTGTGTTTGAGGGAAAAAAAACCCACCCTTTGATGAAAAGCCAGGGAACTGGGTTGGGAAAGATCTGGAAGCAGAGGGCTGTGTTTGCAGTCTGCTCCTACCTCCTGGGCCAGGTCAGGTGACAAGGCCAGAGTTAGCCCCAGCTGGAGAAGTCAGAACAAAGCCTATGTAGGCTTTGAAAGGGGAGAGTAAGTGGTGGGCTGGAGGTTGATAGTGTGAATAAATCAAGCTGGTAATTGGGCAGAGGCTGATCAGAAGCGTTAAAGTGAGCAAAATGGTTTGGACACAGAGCAGACAGAATTTACTATATTCCATTGAGTAAAAGAAATTCATATGCCAGGTTCTATCCCTTATGTTCCTCCCATTTGACATCTGGTGGTTTCCTACCCCCGTCCCACACAAGCTTTGGGGAGAGGACAGGACTTAAAGTTCCCTGTTCCCAAGAGGTGGTCCCTAAACCCAATCCCAAATTATTGACTTGTGATCCCAATTATGGGCTTACTATTTAACAAGTAAAGATGATTTTAAAATATTATTTTATAGGTATTACTAAAGTAAATTTTAAATTTGCAGTCTTTAGCGAGCTTTGTTTTCTGTTTTGCTATTGTGTTGGGAAACAAGTACTCAGTAACTAGCTGTTTCTGGAAAAGTATATACATTTCGTTTTGTTTCATTTGGAAATGGCAAATTTAATAAAGAAAACTGAAGAATCAGGAAAAAGAAGAAAATATCCTTGGGCATAATAAATTGTCTAAAGCAATCAACTCTTTAAGAAAAAAAATTTAAACACGTTTATATCCGAATATAGGTTATTTTGGATTTTTTTTTTTTTTTTTTTTGAGTCAGGGTCCTGCTCTGTCTCCCAGGCTGGAGTGCAGGGCCCAATCATGGCTCACTGTAGTCTCGACCTCCCAGGCTCAGGTGATTCTTCCCACCTCAGCCTTCTGAGTAGCTGGGACTACAGGCATGCGCCACCAAACCTGGCTAATTTTTAAATTATTTGTAGAAACGGAGTTTCGCCCGTTGCCTGGGCTGGTCTTAAATTCCTGGGCTCAAGCGTTCCTCCTGCCTCGGCCTCCCAAAGTGCTGAGATTACAGGCATGAGTTACCGTGCCCAGCTAGATAACTCGATTTTTTAAATCCAAAAAAAATTTAGAAATTTTATATTGAAATTTAGGCATTAGAATTCTAGAGATTAAAGTTAGAGCAGGTGTTTAAGGGACTGAAAGGGGTTGCATGGCCTTTGGGAAATGCAATTACCGGAAATGATACTGTAGTAATGCAATAGTAATGCAGTAGTAGTAGTAGCTGCAGCAACAACTGTTATCTATGAATGTTTGCTATGTGCCAGGCTCTGTGCTAAGAGAGCTTTGCAAGCATTACTACTGCATGAAGTAGGCACTATTATGGCCATTTTACTGATGAGGAAATTGAGGTGAACAGATTAAATAATTTTACCCAACTTTACACAGAACCATTCCAGAGCACGAGCCATAAACACATCTTTCCCGTCTTGGAAATTAAATTATTAATAAAAAACGTGGTGCAAATTGGAAAGAGGACGGTTGTGGTAGATTATCACAAAGTTAAGTGGGTAGGTGGTTGCTGGGTCAGGGTGGGAGAACAAAGGCAGCTGTAATAAAAAAAAAAATTAAAGGCATATAAAGAAAAAGGCTTGTTGAGAACAATTTGCATAAACTGATTTTGGCCTTAGACCCTATTCACTTCTCCCTCACCAGTCACTTTGCAACTGTGGAGCATAGTATTCTGAGGGTCCCCTGCACATAACAACCCCTTTCATAGCATACAAGATAAAAAGAAGAATCAGGCTGCAAAGAGAGAAGCACTGAAGGAAAGAACATCTCAGGTTGAAAGAAGGGCAAGTCCAGGGTGCATGTGAGGAACAAATGCATGGACACGGTGAAGTGCCACTTCTTCATTTCTAGTTCAACACAATTCAATTAAAAATTACTGGGAGGAGGCTACGTCTTGAATTAAACTCAGCATTCCACATCTTTGAGGTGGCGGAATGACTGAGGGGAGGGGGTCTGTCTAGCCACATCCAAATCTTCCTGAGACAGAGGGAGATCCCTCATTTGTTGCAGTGTATTTTCCTTGGTCGCATCTGACACAGGGGTTCTGTGGGTTGAACAGAAAGGGACTTTGCTGGAGGGGAGGCACTCTGCATAGAAGGAAAGTAGGGACATCTGGCAGAAGCAGGCGCTCCGAGAATAAACAGTCAAAGCAGCTCGCAATAGTCCCAAAAAGCTACCCCTCACCGAACCTGGCGTGCCTGTCGCCGCTTGCCCCGCTCCCAGGGCTCATTGGCTCCCAGTCTCGACGTCAGACCCGTAGCCTCTCACCTATTGGGCCAGCCAGGACCTGAGGCGGAGTGCAGAAGCGAGGGCCTGGAGACAGCCGAGAGCCGCCTTCAAGGAGGGCTGGGGGCGGGGCTAGAGGAGGGGCTGGGGGCGGGTTTCCCGATGAAGGGGCGGCCATGGCAGCTGCGCAGAGGCAACGCAGGCTGCTACGGAGCGCGCGCCCGGCTTTGAATGAGCGGGGCTGGGAGTGAGCGGGCGGAGCGCGAGCTCGAGGAAGAGACAGGCAGCGCGCGTGAGCGCGCCTTGTGTGCGCGCGCGGCCCGCGGCAGCTCGGAGCCTCCGCCGGGCGGGCGGGGAGGGGGAGGGGCAGGTGAGTGTGTGCGGTTCGCGCGTGCCTGGGAGGGGCTTTCCTCTCCCTACCCCCATCCCGACCCCAGCCCTAGCCTCTGGGGCATTGTCTGCCCTTCGCCGTCGGCCCTCCGCCTAGCCGCGCACTTCCCGCCCTCCCACCTTCCTTTCGCCCTTCCACCAGACCTCCCTCGACGCCCGACAGCTGCTCTGGGTACTGTTTCCGGGTCAGGGTGACCTCTGGGGTGAGGAAACTGCGACTGGGAGCGGGACCCAGGCGTGCAGCATTCGCCATGCTCCGCTCACGCGTGGGAGACTGGGCTGTGGGGTACCGGCCCGGAAAGCACGCAGCCTCCAAAGCCGCCTTCCTCAGGGAAATTTGCGTGACCTTACTGCCCTCCGTCTACAGGCCTTGTACCTCTCCAGGCCGATTTTTCCACAATTTAAATCTCAGTTCACCTGGTATCCAGCTCCAGCAACTTAGAGCGTTTCACGTCACGCCGGGCGCCAGGCGTCGGCTTGTATAACCTGAAAACGCTCCTGTTTTTCTCATCTGTGCAGTGGGTATGATTTTTTTTTCATCAACAAATTTCACGTGGGTAATCTGAAATGAAACCACTTAAGTTATGAAACTCTTTCCTTTTGAGTTATTCTGGAGACCTTACTCCGCCTTCGGAACCGCCCCAGTGGTGTCACATACTTGAGGGCCTGACTCTCGGTTGCCAGACATGGCACAGAATGTTCGATTTTACTACCAGCTCTCACACTCCGCTTCTGTTTCCCCTTCTCTTACGGGCCGCTGCTCAAACCTTTATTTATCAAATTTAAGTGAGTTCAGGTAAATTTTATTTTGGGAGCTTTGTAATATTTTCTAACCCACTTCAGAGAGTTATAGTTTGAGGATATTCTGGACTGTACTAGATCATATGGTTTTCAAATTTTGGTATGAAAAGATTCGTAAATAGAGTTTTAGAAATACAGCACCTGTTTAGTATGTACCGAACATAGATTTTGGCTTTGCTTGTTTTGTGAATTGTGATGTATTGAGGCTACTTGAAAGGACCTCTAGCAGTTTACCGAGAATTTCAACAAGAAAAGATATAATACATTTGATCTATCAGTTTCTAATGTAGCATTCTTTTTTTAATTGTATTTTTTTTCCGTTAACATGGCAGAGCTCTCATTCTTGATTTCCTAGAGTTGTCATTTCTTCAAAAAGCCTTAATGAGGATACATTGCCTCATAGTTTTGAATCTCATTCTGATATACCTCAAATTTTTGTCTTTGTAATTTTTAAGGAAATTTAATGTTAAGATTAGATTATATTAACATTGTTCCGTTCTAGAAAGTGTTTTAAAGCAACTAAAGTGTAAAGTAGCGTAAGATACTTATCAAATTGGTGATCTAGAGGGCATTTCAAAAATCGCACTGAGGCAATGTGCACACAATTAAAAGGTTTCTTAAGTAGGATATGATGTAGGGAGAGCCTTGGGCTTTCGGGTCAGTCCCTTTAAATCCTGGGTAAGTGAATCTAAGTCTGTCAACCTCATCTATTAAACGGGAGTAGTGAAAAACCTACCTCTTTTGGTTGTCCTTAGGATTCCAGTGAGGTGATCGAACATTGTCTTGAGCGTTCAAGTGCTCAAGGAATGTTAGTTTCCTTCCATTCAACAAATATTTGAGTACCTACTATGTGCCCGGCTTTGACTGAGACCTATAAATACCAGAATGAGCAAGACTGATGGACGTCCTGCCTCCTTAGTTTCTTGCATTCCTCAGGGATAAGTTTATGGGCAAGCTCATGACAACTGGGAGTGAACGCAGAGTTTCCCCATGCGGAGTTGGTAGTATTTCCCAGCTTCCAAATCCAAAGTAGCGACTGAAACATAGTAGGTGCTAATATATATTCATTTAGATGAATAGGGACATTAAGTAAATACAGGTCTCAAAGGATATTCCTGCCTGCCAGTCAGTGTGATTGATAAAATCAAAGTGTGGCTTGATCGCATTTTCCCTATTTTAGTGCAACTGGTTGGAAAATTTATCTTGGAAGTGGTAGTATCACTGAATTATTAAGAATGTTCCTTGTTCATGAGATGTTCTTGGCTTTTGAATTAAATATACCTAGGTTTGAATGGAGTCACTGGATGTGCTTACTCTGTGTTTAATTCAATGAAACAAGGACAATAGTATCTATGTCATAAGATGGCTTTTTGAGTTGTGTGTTAACATTTTGATAGTGCATGGTTCATAGTAGACAGTCAATGAGTATCAGTTCTCCTCTTTTATTAATCACAAAAGGAAGTTTTCTGCAGAATGAGGATATTCTTGATTGCTAGGGAGAGAATTCTATTCTGTAATCACTAAAAGACCCAGTTTCTATTTTTTATTGGGAAAAAAAAAACAACCTTTAAATTTTACCTCCAGTTAGCATTGAAGTTATTCAAGTTGGCAAATATTTATAAAACAATGACACTAACAATATTTGGAAAGGTGATGGCTGTGGTTACTAGGGCAGTTTATGAAATTTATTCTCAACTTTTATTCATGTATATCCTAAAACTGACAGTCCCAAATGGTAAATATCATTTTTCTTCACAACATACTGATAGAGTATCTCCTTGATTCTATTTCCTTCCCTGCCAAGTACCACACGTTCTGTAGTCTCTTTTCTGGCTCTTTTTTCTTATAATTTTTCAGAAAATTTAGGCTAATTTTCATTTGAGAAAGTTTTCTTTTGATTGAGAGTTTTGTTCTTGACAAATCAGCTTTAAATGAAGTGATTGTTCACCATCATAATTTTTCAGATCATTCTACTCATAATGAAGCAATCAAACTTTTTTTTCAAGTCTTACTTTGCAAATGGTAACTGAAGGTACCAAATGAATAAAATACTCTAGAGAAGGGTTGTACAGGGCAAAGTAAGGTATAGAAATAACCATAATACAAAATAAAAAATGTTGTTTCTTGGGAAGAGTAAAATACTAGAATTAAGAAGACTTTACAGTACTCCAGCAAGAGGTAGTAAAGGCTTATGCTAGATAGATTACAGTGGAAATAGGAAAGAATATGGGCAGTACTGGGAAATTGAATAGGGTCTTTTTGGCAATTAGGTGTAAGGAGAAAGAAAGGAGGAGTCAGCATTGTTGCATGATTTGAACTTGAGTAAACCACTGGTTGGGATGTTTTTGACAGAAGTATTTAAATAACTCGAGTACAATTTTTAATATTCTGGTTCTTTTTTTTTTTTTTTTTTTTTTTTTTTTTTTAACAGTCACTGTTCTTTTCATCCTGTCAATTAGTAGGCCACTTCCAGGTTAGGCATTCAGTAAATCTTTCAGCTTATATGGAGAGACAGCCTCCATATGTACAAAACTACTTGAGTATTGCTAAGGTAACATTTTAGAGCCCTGTCTTTGTACCTTAATAGCCTACAAGCCCCTTCTGACCCTAGAAATAGAAAAGACTAGTGTGCGTTTTGCCTTTCCTTAGAAGAAATTGGCAATGATGCCTTTACAGAGCAATCAAGATCAGATACTATGAGAGTTAAGTATGTTTTTCTGGCTTTCTGATTTTGTTTTGTTCTTATTTTTTATGTGTTTGTTTGGAACTTTCGTATTGAGGTATAGCATACAAACAGTACATACAGTCAAGTATGTGGTGTTACTACTCAGATTGAGATATTAGATCTTAGCTCTCTAATGCTTCAGTATACCCTATCAGAGATGACCATTTTTTTTTACTATATAATTTTTAACCTATTCAATGTAATATTTTATTAGGTAAAAAGCTGCTTTTTTCAAGACTTTAGGAGTCTTGAATCCCCATGAAATGCATTTTTAAAAAGCATGGGCTGGGCATGGTAGCTCACACCTGTAATCCCAGCACTTTGGGAGGCTGAGGCAGGCAGATCACTTGAGGCCAGGAGTTCGAGACCAGCCTAGCCAACATGGCGAAACCCCGTCTCTAGTAAAAATACAAAAATTAGCGGGTGTGGTGGCATGTGCCAGTAGTCTCAGATTTGGGGGTGGCTGAGGCACGAGAATAACTTGAACCCAGGAGACAGAGGTTGCAGTGAGCCAAGATTGTACTGCTACACTCCAGCCTGGGTGACACAGCAAGACTCTATCTCAATTAAAAAAAAAAAAAAAAAAAAGTATGTTATAGTACAGGGATGGTGTATTTATCCAGGATGATTTTACTCCTTATGTTTCTAAATGTTATTGCTTATCTTATGCTCATGTAAGGTAATTAAAAAACTAATTAACATTTCAATTTTAAAAAGGTATATAGCTGTCCCTTTAATGTGGTCACATGATAATTATTACTTAAGTTAGGTTTTATCCGCTTTTAAGTAAGTATGTGTAGAACTGAAGTCCAAATATACTGCTTGTGCTTTTTTATTCTGGGAAAAAAAACTATCAAATTACTGTATGTTTTTTCTTTTTGTTTTAAGAAGTCAGCACTCTAAATAATTGTATTAATCAAGTGTTGTGATTGTTTCTAAAGGTGTTACTAATGGATTGAGAGGCCAGTCTGTTTTAGTTGTGATTTTGTTATTACCTGGTTGTTTCACCTTGAGCAGAACCGTTAACTTCAGTGTATCTTAGTTTCCTCATTTAGAAAATTTAAGAAGTTGGATGACGTATTCTCCAGCTGTTCCAATGACAGGAATCATGATTCTGAATACATAGTAATTCTCCTCCTTTGACAAAGAGAAGGCAAGGAAAAGCTAAGACATGAGATTCCATTATCAGTAATGTTATTCCTGTAAGTGTGTGCACATATGCACACACATATGTATGTTTGCCTGTGTATTTCTTGTGACTTGATTTAACATGTGGTCTGTTCTACCTCTCAACAGTGGAAAAATGACTATCTCTAATGGATTAACAGATTTTTTTCCCTCTTTCGTGTGTATTTTGAGGCTCTTAGTCGGGACATTGTCATAGTTACTTAAGTTTTCAACTTTAACTTGTGCCAAAACTCATCTTAAGAAATTTTTAAAATTAAATAGTGATTATTAGGGTAAATATATGCAGTACATATATAGTATACAATATATGCAATACATATATAGTATAGGTGACTAAGATGTATAAGAAAAATTTGGAAATTAAGAACCATGTTTAAAAAGGATACAGACCGGGCGTGGTGGCCCACACCTGTAATTTCAGCACTTTGGGAGGCTGAGGGGGTGGATCACTTGAGGTCAAGAGCTCGAGATTAGCCTGGCCAACATGCTGAAACCCTGTCTGTACTAAAAATACAAAAATTAACCTGGTGTGGTGGCAGGCACCTGTGGTCCCAGCTACTCAGGAGGCTGAGACAGGAGAATTGCTTGAACCCGGGAAGCGGAAGTTGCGGTGAGCTGAGATTGCACCATGGCACTCCAGCCTGGGCAACAGAGCGAGACTGTGTCTCAAAAAAAAAAAAAAAAAAAAAGGCTACCAAAATAATGCCAGTTTTACCTTTTTTTTTTTTGAAATGGAGTCTCACTGTGTTGCCCAGGCTGGAGTGCAGTCATGTGATCTCAGCTCACCGCAACCTCCGCCTCCCAGGGTTCAAGTGATTGTCGTGCCTCAGCCTCCTGAGTAGCTGGAACTACAGGCATGTGCCACCGCACCTGGCTAATTTTTGTATTATTAGTAGACGCGGGATTTCACCATATTGGCCAGGCTGGTCTCGAACTCCTGACCTCGTGATCTGCCCGCCTCAGCCTCCCAAAGCGCTGGGACTACAGACGTGAGCCACCGCGCCCAGCATAGTTTTATCATTTTTAGAATCTTTATTCCTATCATTGCTATGGCTGTAGTTTTCAATTCCTATATCATCTCTTTCATAAAGACATATATCTTGTTATTTAATCATAGGGAGGCAGTATGAGTGTGATATTTAAGGACTGAGACACTACAACCAGACTCTTTGGGTTCAAATTCCAGTTCTATAACTTATCAGTTCTGTATCTTTGGCAGCTTACTTAACCCCGCTGTGCCTTAGTTTTCTTATCTGAAGTAGAGACAAAATAGTACTTGCTTCAAGTCCTTCCCAGGGTTGTTGTGAGCATTGAATGAGTATTACATGTTAATCACTAAGAAGAATGCTTTTTATGAAATATAAAGTAAGCTATTACAGTATATTGAAATGCTATTGTGAAATCAGATTTCTGTTTTTAGAGAAGTTCTGAAATAATGTTTCTTTTCACTAATTGTCCTAGTTTCCTAATGGAAGTTGGCTTTCTAGAAAGTAACAAATAATTGATACAAGATTATGATGGTGTTAATGAGTTTTTAAAACAGTATTCTAACCAGAATATGAACACTGTTCTAATTTAAGTGACATAATATTGTTCAAAAATGTCTTCGTGTAGATTGTTTTAACAGCTCTTTTGAGCTCTAATTGAAATGCAATAAACTGTATATAATTAAAGTATACAATTTGATTAGTTTTGATGAATATATATACACTCACCTATGAAACCACCACAACTGAAGCCGTAAGTATATCCATTACCTCCAAAAGTTTCGTCATGTCTGTCAGTGATCCTTCCTTCCCACTTCTCCCTGCCTCATTACAAGGCACTGCTGATATTTTCTGTCACTCTATATTTGTTTATAATTTCTCGAGCAACCTTGTCCAGTCTGCTGCCTGTGGGCCTCATATAGCCCAGGATGGCTTTGACTGCAGCCCAATGCAAATTAGTAAACTTTCTTAAAACATTATGAGATTTTTTTGCAATTTTTTTAGGCTTATCAGCTCTGGTTAGTGTTAGTGTATTTTATGTGTGGCCCAAGATAATTCTTTTTCCAGTGTGGCCCAGGGAAGCCAAAAGATTGGACACCCCTGTTCTAGAGCTTAAAAAATACTATATATGGAATCATACAGTGTATATTTTTTTGGTGGTCTGACTCTTTTCATTCAGTATAATTATTCTGAGATATAGTCATGCTATTACTTGTAACAATAGTTCATTCCTTTTTATTGCTGAGTAGTAAGTAGTCTGTTGTATTTATATACTACAATTTGTTTGTCCACTCACCTGTTGATATACATTTGTGTTGTTTCCAGTTTGGAGCTATTAAATAAAAATAAAGCTGCAATTCAAATACAAGTCTTTTATTTATTTATTTATTTCAATTTTTTTTTTGAGACGGAGTCCTGCTCTGTCACCAGGCTGAAGTGCAGTAGCTCAATCTCAGCTCACTGCAACCTCCGCATCCTGCATTCAAGCTATTCTCCTGCCTCAGCCTTCAAATACAAGTCTTTATATGGCTATATACTTTTCTTTATCTTGGGTAGATTACTAGGAGTAGAATGGCTGGGTCATATGGTAGATGTTTGTTAAACTTTGTAAGAAACTACCAAATTGTTTTTCAAAGTGGTTGTACATTTTACTTTCCCACCACCAAAGTGTGAGCGTGCCAGTTGTTCCAAATCCTCACCAGTACTTGCTATGGTCATTATGTTTAGTTTGAATCATCCCAGTAGGTATGTAATAATTTCTCACTGTGGCTTTAATTTGCATTTTTCTAATGATTAAAGATGTTGACTATCATTTAATCTACTTATTTACCATTGTATATGTTCTTTTTTTTTTTTTCGAGATGGAGTCTCACTCTGTTGCCCAGGCTGGAGTGCAGTGGCGTGATCTCGGCTTACTTCAAGCTCTGCCTTTCAGGTTCACGCCATTCTCCTGCCTCAGCCTCCTGAGTAGCTGGGACTACAGGTGCCCGCGACCATGCCCGGCTAATTTTTTGTATTTTTAGTAGAGACAGGGTTTCACCGTGTTGGCCAGGATGGTCTTGATCTCCTGACCTCGTGATCCGCCCGCCTCGGCCTCCCAAAGTGCTGGGATTACAGGTGTGAGCCACCACGCCTGGCCTTGTATATGTTTTTTGATGAAATGTCTAGTTAGACCTTTTGCTCGTTTTTAAATTGAGTTTTTAAAAATTATTTTTGAATTTTGAGAGGTTCTTATATATTCTGGGTTTAAGTCCCTTATTAGACATATGCTTTGCAAGGATTTTTCTCTCAGTCTGTGATTTGTCTTTTCATTCCATTAATAGTGTTTTTGAATTGTAGTTTTTAATTTTGATAAAATCCAATTTACTAATCTTTTATTTTATGGATTGTGCTTTTGTTGTACTACCTAAAAATCTTTGCCTAACCCAGGGTCACAAAGTTGTGTTGTTTTTTTTTCTTGCAAATTTTGTAGTTTCAGACTACATTTAGGTCTATAATCTATTTTTAATTACTTTTAACTGGTGCCAGATATATATAGAAGGTTTTTGTTTTGATTTTTTCCATATGGATATGGATATCCAGTTTAACCAGCACTTTTTTTTTCTTAATAACTATTCTTTTCTCTCTGAATTACCTTTGCATCTTTATCAGATTTCAGTTTTTGTATATACGTGGGTCTATTCCTTTACTTTCCATTGATCTATTCGTGTATTTTGATTCCAATACTACACAGTTTTGATTACTGAAGCTTTATAACAAGTCTTGAAACCAGATAGTGCTAGCTGTTTTACCTTGTTCTTTTTCAATGTTGTTTTGGCTGTTATATACGTTCTTTGCATTTCCATATGAACTTTAGAAATTAGCTTGTCAAGTTTTAAAGAAAAAACCTGCCCAGATTTTGGTTGAGATTGCCTGGAATCTATAACTCATTTTGGGAAATGTTGATATCTTAATAAAAATATTCTGTCTCTGAAAAAGTCTTTTTAAATTAATAGGCCTTTTAACTGTCTCAGCAATATTTGATAGTTTTCAGTAGTCAAGTCCTTAATTAGATTTGTCCTCAAGTATCATTTTTTTATGCCTATATAAATTTTTTTAACGTTTCAATTTCTTATTGATTGTTGTTAACGTATAGAAATACAATTAATGGTAGATCCCGTTGAATTTTCCACATAGAATATCACACTTTTATTTCTGCCTTTCCATTCTGGATGCCTTTTATTTCTTTTCTATTTTTTTCTTTTTTCTTTTTTTTTTTTTTTTTGCTGGATTGCATTGGCCAGAACTTCCACTACGATGTTGACTAAAAGTAGAAAAAGCAGACATGCTTGTGTTGTTCATGATCTTAGGGAGAAATTATCAAATTTTTTTACCATTAAGTCTCATATTACTGTAGGTTTTTCATAGATGTTTTTGATCAGGTTGAGAAAGTTCCCTTATACTTTGCTGCAATTTTTTTTTTTAACAGGAATGGATGTTGAGTTTTGTCAAAGGCTTTTTCTGTCTCTATTGAGATGTTTATATGGTTTTTTGTTTTTAGTTTGCTAATATAGTGAATGACATTTGATTTTTAAATGTTAAACCAATCCAACATTTCCAAACTAAGCACCAGTTTTTCACAATGTAGTATCCATTTATATATTGTTGGATTTAATTTACTAATATTTGGCTAAGGAGATTTGTGTCTAGATTCATAGAATATTAATAGTTTTCTTTTCTAGTAATATCTTTGGATTAGTATCAGTGTAATACTGGCCTCAAATAATGAGTTGGGGAAATATTCCTTCTTCAGTTTTTTGGCAGTTTGTATAGAATTGGTATTATTCCTTCCTAAGTGTTTTGTAGAATTTACCAGTGAAGCCATCTGTGTCTGGGAGATTTTTATAACTACAAATATAATTTCTTTAATAGATATATAGATTTTCAGGTTGTTCTTCTTATGCTTTAGTAATTTGTGTCTTTCAGGGAAGTTGTCCATTTCATCTCACTTGTCAAGTAAATACAGGCACAAAGGTGTTTGTAATAGTTCTTCAGTATCCTTTTAATATCTGCAGACTCTAACAATGTTATCTGTCTTGTTTATGATATTGGCAAAAGTCTGTTATTAAGGACACGTGTTTTAGATTGTTATGTACTTTTTATTAATTGACCCCTTTATCACTGTGAAATGACCACTTTTATACCTGGTAATGTTATTTTTCCTATAATCTGTCTAACATTGAAATAGTCACTTCACCTTTCTTTTGATTAGTGCTAGCATAGTATATTTTCTCCTATCCTTTTACTTTTAACCTATTTGTGTCTTTTTATTTAAAATGCATTTCTCATTGGCAACATGGAGTGGGGCGGTCTTTCTTTCTTATTCAATCTAACAATCTCTGCTTTTCAATTGGAATGCTATACAATTTGCATTTAATGAGATTATTGATATGGTTAGATTTACGTCTGTCATCTTATTTGTTTTTGGCTTGTCCCATGTGTTATTTGTTCTCTTTTCTTTGTTTCCTGCTGCCTTTTCAATTGAGTAGTTTTTATCTCCCTGCTTGTCTTATTGGTTATGACCAGTCCTTGCCCCTCAGAATATATGATTTAATGGACTTACTAGAGGTACTCCTAGGTATTGGCATTTCTTTAATAGATTCCCAGATTTGTGAACCACTGGACTAAATGAGCTCCATGGTAACTTTCAATTTACTAGCTATGTGACTTTGGTCAAGTTATTTGACCTCTCTTAATTCAATTTCCTCATCTATAAAATGGATATAAGGAAATATATTCATCTGCAAGTTAAAAATATTTAAAGTATTTTAAATAGTATTATGTTCATGTGGTTCAAACTTTAAAAGGTACACAGAGATTTAATATATTCTATTTTATACTTTTTTATTTTTTGAATTGTAGATTTTTGTATTAATAGATTTAGGTAAAATTATTTTCAAAAACTCAGAATGAAGGGTTTTATCCTTACAACCATTGAAAACTCGAAAACCTGGTTTTTGACTTGTTAATATGATTTAAATTATAATTTTAAAATTTACTGTGTTATAGTTTCTAGAGAAAGGTAAAAAATATCTTAGATTTTTCTTAGTGCATAATAGGTCTTTTCAGGACAGGAGTATGACTTTTGAAATCAATTTAATGCATTTTTTGTTTTGTGCCTCTTCCACAGGTTTTGATTCCCACCATGGCCATCACCCAGTTTCGGTTATTTAAATTTTGTACCTGCCTAGCAACAGTATTCTCATTCCTAAAGAGATTAATATGCAGGTAAATAAGTTTTATGTTCAAACTAACCTGTTTATCTCCTCGCTGGTTTTGGATACCTTCAAAACTTCAAATTTCGTGGACAGGACAGGTTATATTTAAGCTGAATATCTTGATTGCAGTATTTATTCATTAATTCCTAGTCATTTTTAGATACTTTTTCTCTACTTCAGATCTAGAAAATAGAGGTTCAGTTGTTTTGTTCATTCAAATTCTTACACTTTCCACTAAAATAACATGCTTAATACTATTTAGGAATAGACAGACCAACTTTCATTATTATAATCATCACAGAACTTTGATGTATTCGTTTCATTATGGGAATGTTTTAAAGTGGTTAGGTGAAATTCGGAATAGGTATTTCTGTCTATACTACAATAGTGTTGTTTTTATATTTAAAAAAAAATCCTAAGAAAAATCCTAAAAAAAAAAAATTTTTTTTTCTGTTTGAGTAACATTCTAGAATATGCAGGAAGTCAAGAGCAGGTAAGTCATTTGCTTTAGGACATCATCTGTAGACTTCAGTTCCTTCTGTTTTGTCACACGATCATACCCAAGAGCTATGATGTCTAAAATGTGTGCTGAGGCACCTCAGGGCTTTACATGAAATTCACAGGGATGCCATAGAATATTTTAAATTTTGCAGTGAAACATAGTGATAGCATCTGTTGAATACCTCAACTCAAAGTAGTTCACATTTGCAACATTAAATCCTGCAGTATTTTTTTATGATGGTGTTCTTTAATGTTTGAGATAAGTTTTTGTTTACTTATATTTTTGGTGACATCTCATTGCAAAGCCAGGATTTTAGGTTGTAATTAAAAGCGAGTACTGCACCAAAATTAATGTAGAACTGAAAACAAGAATGATGGTCTCCAGTCTTATTCTAAGGCATAAGAAGCTGTGCAGTGTTCAACAGGCACACAAATTTCATTAATAAGTTCAGTGATTGTGGTTATTTAAGAATAAAATAAAAATATTACTTTTTCTTTAAATGTGTATTTTTTACAATGGCTACTAAGCAGTTAGGATATACTTAAGTTTTTTGGGTGTAACTACCTTATTCAGTGGAATTGTTAGGTGTTTCTGTGGCCTAAGGGTACTGTGAAAAAGTTACTTACATACTAAGAGGAGGGTATAGTAAAAGAGGAAATGGACAGCAATCAGCTCTTTTTTTAATATATATAGACATGACTTAGAGGTTACACACAACAATTTTTGCACTGCCTGCTTTCCAGAGCTTAGTCATATGGCCCCCTAGCTGCAAGGAAGGATAGGAACTGCAGTCTCTGGCTATATGACCATTTGATAGCTGCTAAATTGAACTTATTGCTAAAAGTAGAGTGGTCTGGGATTTAAAAAAAAAAAAAAAATCCAGGGTATTGCAAGAGAACAAGTGGGTGAAATGATCATCTCTGGATGATCACTGGGGCAGAAGTGAAGAAAGAAATGGAAAATTTAGGTGGTTGACTTGAAATCACCCAAGAGGATAGGATTTGGGAAGTAGAAAAAGGAGCAAACTAAGTGTTCAAATTACCAGAGAATGAGGAAGAGAATGGCCAGAAATTCACCAGGTAAAGCAACATTAAAAATGGGTATTAATTGCCAGAAGGCAGGAAGTTAAAAGAAGCATTGTGTTAACAGTGGTGATGAAATGTAGATGTTTTCTTCTTATACTTCTATTTTTTAAAATTTTCATTAAATATAGATTACTTCTAGGATAAGAAATTTTCTTGATGTAAAAATATTAAGGACATTCCTATTGGCACTATAAATTTCTGTTGTAAATGTATACATATTTAGAATTGATTGTATGTTCAGTTTTAAAGAAAACTGACCATATGTTAGGATAAGCTTCTCTTTGGTGTCTGAAGGAACCTTAGACCATGTATTTTAAAATACCAGACTTGGCTAGGCATGGTAGCTCATGCCTGTAATCCCAATGCTTTGGGAGGCCGAGGGGGTAGGATAGCTTGAGGCCAGGAGTTCAAGACCAGCCTGGGCAACACAGCAGGACCCCATCTCTATGGAAAGGAAAAACACGCTTGTATCATAAATTTCATAAAGGACTATATTACTTTTCTATTCACCCTTTAAACAAATATAGCTTTGAATCTGTAATAAAAATAGCTGACTTTATCGTTCTTAGTTCTTAGTTGATGCTTTTTTTTTTTATAGATTATTTGAAGTGAAGTAAATGACTAATTATCTCTATTACCTGCCATTTTTTGTATGTTGTGCTATGTAGCAGGCACACACTGTCTAGGGTTTTTAAATATGTCACTTAATTAAATCCAAACAACCCTGCAAAAGTGGGTTTGAATACCTGCATTTTATAGATGAGGCTGTTGAGGCTGAAAAGTAGGTAATTCTAACTAGACATAATAGAAGTAACATTGAAAACTGTGGTTTACACAGATTCCACAGCCCATGTTCTTAACAACTGAGTTATAGTACGTCCTGTTGAATGTGGTACTTTTCCTACTAATCCTTAAAAGTAAGTTACCATTTGGTTCAAACTAGTGATTTTTAAACTTCTTAATAGTTAATCTTATCAAGAAACCCCATGTGTAAAACATAAAAGCCAAGCCACCCTGTTTAAAACAGCAAAGGTGGCCCAGAACTTCACCCACAGAACCCACAGCACTCCAAGGAGCATGCTCTGAAACCGTCTTGCATTTTTATTTTTGACTTTATATTCCTCTTGAGTTTGTTTATAATTCTGAGTCCTAAGCCAAAAAGCAGTTATGTTGTTCTGTCCAAGATTTAAAAAACATTCACAGGATGTCTGATTTATGACTTTTTTTTACCATAAATTAGTGAGTAACTGTTACTAAAATCAATAATCATAAAATTGAGAAAGATCTTGTTTTATAAGCCTTCAATTACCATACATAATAGTGCTTTTACTTTGCTTGTTTTGGTGGTTCTTGAAATAAATTATTTCATTTTTGTTTCAGATCTGGCAGAGGACGGAAATTAAGTGGAGACCAAATAACTTTGCCAACTACAGTTGATTATTCATCAGTTCCTAAGCAGGTAGGTTTTTTTTGTGTGTTCTTTTGTTTTGTTTTGTTTTGAAAGATTGAATAAGTGTCCTAGAACAATATTTTAAAAACTGGATTGCAGATCATTAATAGAAATTAATTTTTGTTGTGTTGTTAAATTTATCTGGTCTGAAAATTCTATTTGGTTCTACATTTTATCTTCTGTTTCTTTGTTGACATTTTCTATTGTGTTTTCATTGGTTTCAAGTGTTTGCTATTGTTTGTTGGAGCATTTTTATAATAGCTATTTTAAAGCCTTAGAGAATTCCAACATATCATTTTGGTGTTGGTATCTGTTGATTAACTTGCCTTGCAAATTTAGATGTATTGTTTTTATATGCTGAATAATTCTGGGTTGTTTCATGAACATTTTGAATACTATGTTTTGAGACTTCATCTTATTTAAATCCTGTGGAGAAGCTTGGTATTTTTTATCAGATGATCAATCTGGATAGGCTTGGGTGAAAATGTCCAGCCCTTCTGTGAGTTGTAGTTTTAATGTCAGTTCAGTTTTCAGAGCATTTGCTTTCGTTTTACTTTGTTTTTTGTTTTTTGATGGACATAATAGAATAAAATAGAACAGAATATATCAGAATGTCTTGTATTTTTTGAACTTTTGATCAAGTTTTGATCTGTGATATGAAATGTATGTTTTCCCGTGGGTTAAAAAAGTTTGAAAACCAGTGTTTTAGAAAGCCCATTTTTCTAATAAATCATCAATGATGTGTTCATTAAGTTGCCCCTTTGTGGCTGATAATGTTGATCAATTAAATTTAGACAGATGTTGAAGAGTGGACTTCCTGGGATGAAGATGCACCCACCAGTGTAAAGATCGAAGGAGGGAATGGGAATGTGGCAACACAACAAAATTCTTTGGAACAACTGGAACCTGACTATTTTAAGGACATGACACCAACTATTAGGAAAACTCAGAAAGTATGTTAAGATTTATGCTTTTGGAGATTAAACTACTTTTTAGATTCCTATAGTTAAAATTAGGTGATACAATTCACATTTATTAGAAAGCCTATTTCTTTTTTTTTTTTTAATACTTTAAGTTTTAGGGTACATGTGCACAACATGCAGGTTAGTTACATATGTATACATGTGCCATGTTGGTGTGCTGCACCCATCAACTCGTCATTTAACATTAGGTATGTCCCTAATGCTATCCCTCCCCTCTCCCCCAACCCCACAACAGGCCCCAGTGTATGATGTTCCCCTTCCTATGTCCATGTGTTCTCATTGTTCAGTTCCCACCTATGAGTGACAACATGCAGTGTTTGGTTTTTTGTCCTTGCGATAGTTTGCTGAGAATGATGGTTTCCATCTTCATCCATGTCCCTATGGAGGACATGAACTCATCCTTTTTTATGGCTGCATAGTATTCTATGGTGTATATGTGCCACATTTTCTTAATCCAGTCTATCAGCATATTTCTAATTATCAGTTGTTTGTTTTCTGTCATGTTAAGTAAGAATTTTATATGTTCAAATGACCTAGACATAGTTCTAGTAAGTTGTACCCCAAGTCTTTTAAAATTATATTTATATATGTATCGAAATCCTACTATATGTCAGATTCTAGACTCCAGTCTCTGCCATGGAGACTAAGGTGAATTGGATAAGAGTTCTAACAAGTTTGTACTTCAGTAATATCTACAAACTGATAGGTAGAGTTTATTGTTTGTAACCATTATAAAACTGATGCAGGACTCTAAGAACTTAAGAGTAATTGTGAGTTTGTGTTAGTCATCCATACATTATTTAATCCCTTTTGAATTGAATATGGAAGATCATTTAGAGATGCAGGGAATTACTGGAAAAAACAGAATGCTTGAGTATTTTCGTTTTTATTTATCAAAATAGTACATGTACTTTTTTTAAATCAAAAACTGTAGAAGAACTTATAATGAAAAGTGAGACTTCTGACCCATCACTCTTAGCCAGTTCTTCCAAGAAACAGCCACTCAATAATTTTCTGTTTGGATTTCTTCAAGTGTTTGTCATCGTATCTATCTATATGGTTATATTGCCATTTCTTGTTTACCAGTAACAGACATTGTCCACTGACATTCATACTATGGTAAATGAAGATTTATTTCTTACTACCATTCCCTCTCCTTTATTCCAGTCTACCTCACTAATCACTCTGCTATATCAGAAAAACACACTTAAAGTTCACTTTCTTATTCAAACATAGAAAATATTTTTATCATATATATATATAAACACACACACATACACACTTCATAAAAATTAGGACATTATTTCACATTTTCTAATACAGTTGTTCCTCACCTTCTTTCTCTCAGCTGATTTCAGCTATACATTTATATTTACATTGTCTAGGTTGATAACATTTACATTCTTTGTTGTTGAGTTGTCCAAATGTCTCAATGCTAAAACACATTAAATTGTGTATTTTTAAAGGATCCTTTAAGTGAGTTTCTTAATAGATGAATACCTTGCATTGTGGAAGTATACTGCTGCTCTCAGTAGGAACCTAGTATATTGCTATAGTGCCTTATTAAATTAGTTAGAATGGAAATGCTTTAAATGAGGCTACCAACATATCATATAAGTGTATTTTGATGCTACTGGCCTGAATGAGTTAATGTATTCATAGGTATCTCACATGCTGAGAGAGTTGTTAATACTATTGGCAGGATATGATACCTGTTGTTATTTAATACAGTAACTAAAAGTGATTGATTATATTTTGAGGTCTGGGGAAAGTAGGATAGAAAGAAAGAAAATGGGCCTGTATTAATTTTTAAAAGTGAAATACAATTTTTCTTAGTATGTAACTGATTTGTACAACAATTCCCTGGGAAATTGGTATTTACAGACTTTTTTTTTAGTTTTTACATTATAAATTTTAAGAAGAAATATTTTAAGTAATTAGAAAATGTTTTGGTTGTCTATTTTTATGTAGTGATTTGTAAAAGATCCCTATAATTCTTTTTCAATTAATCTTTCAGATTGTTATTAAGAAGAGAGAACCATTGAATTTTGGCATCCCAGATGGGAGCACAGGTTTCTCTAGTAGATTAGCAGCTACACAAGATCTGCCTTTTATTCATCAGTCTGTAAGTATGTTAATGGTTCTAGGGAAGGGTTTTGTTGTATTTCTGTTTTCTTTAAAGCAGAGGAATAAAATCTAAATGAGTTTAACATAGTATTTATATTTTTGTAACTTTGAAACAGGTTTAGCAGTTTGATAGAAGTTAATCTGGAGTTTTACCAATCCTAACCTTTTATGAGATTGTAAATTACCTTAGATACTAAGATCAAGGTCTCATTGTACACATGAAAGATAGAGATACAATGTTATTTAAAAATATAAACATCAGAGAGATTACCATTAAAATGAGAGATTAACCCTAATGGTAGATTATTTTAAAGTGAGTTATGAATTGTTTTCTTCATAGAGTGTATTTTCATTCAAAGTATGACTTAATTTTAAACGGTTTGACTTAAATGAAACTTTTTAAAGGAAAAATTTATGAAACAAGTAGACAGCTGAGGTTCTCAACCTTGGGAGCATATCAGAATCAGCTTTGGAGGTTTTTTAAAAGCACAAATGTCCAGACCCCTCCCTACCTAAGCTTTAAGCATGCTTTGATTGATTGATTATATTATCTGTTGTTGTGTAACAACTCCAAATTCAGTGACTTAAAATAATTACAAATATTAATGTAACACAGTTTCTGTGGATTGGGAATCCAGGTGACTAAACTGGGTGGTTCTAACTCAGAATTTCTCATGAGTTTGCAGACAAGTCATTGGGTTGGGGCTACAATCATCTGAAGGCTTGATTGTGGTCGAAGGATTCATTTCAAAGACAGCTCACTTCTACACCTGACAAATTAATGCTATTTGTTTGCACAAAGCCTCAGTTCCTTGCTGTGCACCTCTCCAAGGAGCTGCTTGAATTTCTTTATGATGTAACTCCTGATTTTCCCAGTAAGTTATAAGACGGTGAGAGCACTTGCTCATGGGTGAGGGTGACACCACAATGCCTTTTTGTGATGTGGTTTTATAAGTGATACACTGTCACTTCCATGTTATTTCATTAGAAGCCACTAAATCCAGCCCACATGCAAGCCTCCACCTCTTGAAGGAAGGAATGTCAAAGAATTTGTGGACATATTTTTAAATTACATCTGTCTGTCAATCTATGTATTTTATTTGTTTGTTTAAACTGCACAGTTGCTTCTGAGGTCCCTCTTCCCAGGGGACCCATGTATATGTATGTTTTTAATTCATTGAGTAAAAACACTGTTTTTACTAAAGCCAGGCCCTGTGGCATTAAAGGGTCTTTGCCTCAGAAAAATGCATTCTAGTAGGGGAGACATGATATTAAATGAATGATCACACACGTCAATATAATTACAAACTTTGATAATTCCTATGCAGTTACACGATGCTATGAACACATAACACCATAAATACTTAGCTGAATAACATAGCATTATAATGTTTTTTATTTTATATATCTCAAAATTAAATTTTATTCATAAATGTTTGATCCATATTGGTGAAATGCTTTAATCCCACCCACTGAATTAGCAATATTTGCCACCTAAATATAATTATAATACTATCATAGCTCATTGTAAAGTTTTAAATATACAACTACTTACAGAGTTGAGAAGGGGTAAATAGGGTAGATGGAGAATGTCTCCACTGCTATTTCCACGTATTTTCCTCCCAAGCAGACAGAATAAAGGGGCATTGCATAGGAGAGGATGGTAACCTATTGGACTTTGTTTTCTATACCAAAAATATCTTACCATTCATTCTACAAATTAGATTCTTCTTTTAAACTACACATTTTATTCTTTTCTAGAATTCATCATTCGTATTGTTGTGAGAGTTCTTTTATACCAAAGATAAATGTCATGTTTTATACTTTTTTAGTTTGTTAATTGGTTTGGATATTTTTGTTGGGCAGGTGTATTTAGTTTTTATGTAGACAAATCTATCAATGGTTTCCCCCTTTTCCTTTTTACTAAGGCCATCTCTACTAAAGGATCAGATACCACCCTTTTTAATGGTCTCTATAGTTTTACTTTTTAAAAAAAATCTAAATATTTTATGTACTCTAACAGTCAAATACTTTAGTGGAAGAATAGATAATATGAATGGGAAATTTACAAATAAGAAATAGACATAACCTAATTTGAAGAAAAGCTTGATCTTATTAGTGCTCAAAGTAGGCCCAGTGAGGTGTTACATGCCTGTAATCTCAGCACTTTGGGAGGCCAAGGCGGGCAGGTCACTTGAGCTCAGGAATTCGAGACCAGCCTAGGCAACATGGCGAAATCCCCCCTCTACAAAAATTAAAAAGTTAGCTGGGTGTGGTGGTGCGTGCCTGTAGTCCTCGCTACTTGGGAGGGACTGGGGTAAGAGGATTGCTTGAACCCAAGAGGTCGAGGCTGCCGTGAGCTGTGATCACACCACTACACTCCAGCCTAGGTGACAGAGTGAGACCTTGTCTCAAACAAAACAAAGTAAAATAACAAGATACAATTTTAAATCTTGTCAAATTAGTAAAGATAGAAAAGAAAGCCAGCCGAGTGCAGTGGCTCACACTTGTAATCCCAGCAATTTGGGAAATTGAGGCAGGAGGATCACTTGAGTTCAGGAGTTCAAGACCAACCTGAGCAACATAGCTAGACCTCATCTCTAAAAAAATGTAAAAAACAATCAGCCAGGTGTGGTGGCATGTGCCTATAGTCCCAGCTACTAGGGCAGCCGAGGTGGGAGGATCCCTTGAGCCCGGGAGTTTGAAGCTGCAGTGAACCATGATCACACCATGCACTCCAGCCTGGGCAACAAAGTGAAACGCTGATTCCTAAAAAAAAAAAGGGAGAAGAAAAGGCAGGATTTCTACCTACTGCGGTCAAGAGGATAACTTGGTACTTTTCAAGGCTGTCATTTGCACTTTGTTTCAGTAGCTTTAAAAATCCTCCTTTCAGAAATGTATATTAAATAATTAGAAATATTTTAAGAATTTTTAACAGAGTATGGTATTACATATATTCTCAGGAGAAGAAAACTCAAAACATTCTATTTCATTTTTAGGGGTAAGTATTTAAAACAATATGATATTAAATAAATGTGTTCACAGATTGGTACCAGTTATTTTACACACAGTCACTTCCACACCTACCTAAACAGTCCAGCATGACCATTTTCATTGGTTATTGAAAGAAAACAGTGAACTTTTAGAGGTCTGGCTTGGGAAATAGAGGTAGGGACCAGTAGATGATACCAGGTAAGAAAGACTGGGAAAAGGAAGCATGACCTAGAAGTATTTCATTAAAGATAAATTTTGCATGATTTGTCATTTTTGCCTAGGATTGAGACAGTAAGTGCCAATAAAAAATCTCCAGTAAGTTACATATGCTTAAATGAAGAATGACTGTGCTAGTTTTTGAACTTCAGCTCGCAGTTCTTCTCAGCACAGATTAGTCCAGTCAAGGATTTCTAATTCAGTCTGGGATCAGTCAGTTTCTTGTCACTCTATCCCCAGCTCCCTCATCTTACTGAGGAGAGAAAGAAACAAAAGACATGTTCTGTTCTTGTTCCTTCCAAAATAAAGTACAGCAAAGAAGAGAATTTAAGAGAGTATCCCATGAAACATAAAGAAGAAAGCTGGCCTTGCCTAGGACTGTTGAACACTGAAAGTCATACATCAGTTCTAGGCAAGCCAAAAGCAAAATCATCTGTGCCTTGTATAGGACAGGGTAAGGAAGCTGAGAAGACATAGGAGAATGACAGGTTCTGAGTTATGTGTTAAAAGATACTCTTTTTAACGGCTATGTGGAGAAAGGATGGCTTTTACTCTCTTAATTTTGTTTTACTTTTCATTGTAGTCTGAATTAGGTGACTTAGATACCTGGCAGGAAAATACCAATGCATGGGAAGAAGAAGAAGATGCAGCCTGGCAAGCAGAAGAAGTTCTGAGGTATTTGAGTGGCATTTATATTGCAACCTGAGTAGAAGAACTAGATTTCTTCCCTGCTGTGTTTCAAGTCAAGGGAGCCTATTTTGCCAAATATTATATTTTTCTTCATTTGATCCTTAGATAATAAGGACTTTTTTTTTTGTATTTCAGACTGCAGATACTATTTTATATGATTAAAACCTCACAGAAACCAAGAATTTTAAGCTCTATAGGAACAAAATAACTTTATTAATGGCAAATGGAGTGTTATATATACATGTATATAAAAGGTTTTATATATATGTTTTATATATATATATATAAGGTTATATGCATATACATACCATATTACAAGCTTGATATTCCTCTAGGTCAGAAGTTACAACTTTATTTCCATTTCCTCATGATCTAGCATAGTGCCCAGTACTGCTCATTTGAGTGAAAATAACTTATGTGACACTCTACATTTGTACATATATCTTAAATGATGTCCATGAAAGCCCTATGTGTTAGATGAACTACCCATTCTGCAAAAAAATACTATTCTGGAAGTTTTAAAGTTCATTTTTATTGGTTGTTCTTTTTTGTGTGTGAGCAGCAAACATATTTCTTAGTACTGCTACATTAGGTCAAAGAGTAAAGAGAAAATTTATCTTAAGGGAGAGCTAGTGACTGATTACTGCTTTTTAAAAGTCAGATATTTAAATGCATCTAAAGAATTCATACATTTTTTAAATTGTGTAGTAAGATACAGCAATATAAATTTTTTTATTTTAAAATTGAGATTGTTTTTACCATAGGAATAGCAGACAAATTATTCTTTATCTGACTCAACAAAAAAACTGATTTCATTTTTGTATTTTCCTTTCTTGGCTTTGTCAATAAATTACAGTTACTGTGAACAACCAGCAGAGGGTGCAGCTAAATAACTGGGAATTTTGTTTGAAGTTTTTGTTTTTTTCCTTTGAAATATATCAAGCCCTTTTTTTTTTTTTTTTTTTGCAGGTTAGGGGACGTCACATTTCAAAATTCAGTCAGTAAAATTGTGAGAGTTTTTAAAATTTAGTTCTTATTTAATCAGTATAGCTTATCTTTTATAAAGGGAATATTTTTTAAATTGTGAACTATAACACTTAGGATATTGCATGGATCATCAAAAAAGATAAATCATCTCTTTAAAATTCTGTGTTATTTTAAAAAACAAATAATAGATACAGATGTCTGAGTATTTTAAGACATTTTGGGGATTCTAGTAATTATTAGTGCCATTAACCACAAAGACAAAGGAAGGGGTCTGTCCTTTTTAAATACAGTAATCTCACTGTAGAGTTCAAGCCATGAGTTCACAAGTATCTTAATATTGTACAAAAACCTTTTCTTTTTCATTCTAGCCTCTTAACCCCTAAGCAAAACAAATGAAAAAATGTACTTAAAAACTTAATGTTTTACCCTTTAAGGACAGCTTGGGAGAGTGAGATTGTTAATCCGTAATAGACATGCTTCATGCCGCAAGTACATAGGTAGAGCCAAAGAGAAATGGAGGTGTCAGTACATTGTTACTGCCCCTGAATAGACATTGAGCATTTTAAAAGTGTATCCACATTCCGTATTGTCTAACTCTGAGCTTTTTTCCTGTTGCCACTATAAATAATGCCAGTACTGTGATCAGTATTGCTAAGAATGAAGATTCTGGTACTTTAATAATTCCCAGCATGAATCTGGATAGGTAAAATGTATTTTTGTCTGCAGCTATCTCGTAAGTTGTCTCTTTTATACTTTAGTTTTTGATACAGATTGGGTATCCCTTTCCAAAATGCTTGGGACCAGAAGTGTTTCAGATTTTGAAATTTTTGAGAGTTTAGAATATTTGTGTTCTGCTGCTAGTTCATCATCCCAAATATGAAAATCTAAAATCTGAAATGCTCCAATGAGAATTTCCTTTGAGCATCAGGTAGGCCCTCAGAAAGTTTCAGATTTTGGAGCATTTCAGATTTCGGATTTTTGTATTTGGGATGCTCAGCCCTTATATTATTTCAGCTAGTAACCAGGTCAAAACTTCGTTATCTTACTTGTTTATAACCTAGCCAGCCCTTTATAATTTTTTCTCTACCTCCCTTTTTTCTTCTGGTTTGACATTTTTAGTTCAGATTATTAGTTTTTATTGAACATCAGCAGAGTGATGAAAAACAGATTTTTTAAAACTATTCTTCAGAAATTGATAGCAAAAGTCAAAATGTTGCCAAAAATAGTTTCTTTACTTTCTTGAATTTTGGTCATCCATAACTCTGCCTACTCCTGTTTATGACTGAGAACTGTACATACATTTCACTCACTGTAGTTAATATTGAGCTCCCCCAGACATAGATAATCCACTTTGGATTTTTCTGCATATAACCTAATGTTGCCTATTCCATGCCCAATTGTGACCTGTAGCTTCCTTCCTCAACGTTGCATACTTGAATGATTTTCTCACACCCTAACCCTTCAGATCCAGGACCAATGTATGTTTACTCTGCTCTCTCCTGTTTCATCATCCCACTCCTACCTCCACTCCCTACATTAACCAATCAGTAAAGATAGAGAGAGTGAGTCTGGGTCAGTGGAGTTACGGAAAGAGTAAGGAACAGGTATGTATTTCACAAAGTATGATTAGTAAATACCTACCACTCTTTTTTTTTTTTTTTTAAACTTAAGTTCAGGGGGACATGTGCAGGATGTGCAGGTTTGTTACACAGGTAAACATGTGTCAAGGGGGTTTGTCGTACAGATATTTCATCAGCCAGGTATTAAACCTAGTATCCATTAGTTATTTTTCCTGATCCTCTCCCTCCGTCTAACCTCAGCCTTTCCGGTAGGCCCCAGTATGCATTGTTCTCCTCTATGTGTTCATGTGTTCTCATCATTTAGCGCCCACTTATAAGTGAGAACATGCAGTATTTGATTAAATACCCACCACTCTTCTCTTTGGTAGAGTTAGTCACATGTTAATCCTGAAATTTACTTGGTGGAAGGTGTATCTTAAGTTTCCATTTTCTTTTTGGAGCGTGTGTTCTGTTCAGCTGTGTTCATCATGCACTTTAAAAACTGGCTGTTTGTAACTACTATAATAACAGGAGATTATCAAGCTCAATATCAAGCTTTTCTGAATGGTATCCCCAGAAAAAGATGTGGTTCAATGGAAGTATTGTTTTACAAAATGGAGATAATCTAAATAAGAAGTGTCAGAAGATGTGAGTTCTTATCCCTGTACTTAATCCTATGACTTCGGGCAAGTCACTTAGCCTTTATGCCTCATTTTACTTATTTGTAAAATAGAGATAATATTTCTTCTATTTCACAAGTCACGTTCTAAGGACTAAGAGAAATCCTGTTTTTGAAAATATTTGGAATTTTCAAATTAGTGAGAAAATTTTAAGACTTTCAACATTTTATTTGGTGATAATAAAAAGGCACTGCTATTTCTTTCTAGAATTTATTTGCCATTTTACCTGTTTGGTATTTTCTAAAAGTAAAAGTATGTTTCTTTTCAGACAGCAGAAACTAGCAGACAGAGAAAAGAGAGCAGCCGAACAACAAAGGAAGAAAATGGAAAAGGAAGCACAACGGCTAATGAAGAAGGAACAAAACAAAATTGGTGTGAAACTTTCATAACACATGTTCAAATTTTATCATGCCAGTAGGAGAAATCTCAGCTCCACAACCCAAGCAACATTTGTATGGATTTAAGAGTATTTTAAGAAGACATACTGCTTGATTTTAATACATTGATCAGGCCATCCAGGACACCACGATTCTCCCAAAGTACCTTGAACTCTTAGTGATTGAGACTCAAAAAAACAAAAAAGACTTGAGACAATGTTTTCTTCAACATGCTCCAAATATAAGACATTTGTTTGCTGTACAGAAAGTATCACAAATGGAATATATCAGTACCTCTCAAGCTAGTGTTTCTAGCTAAATAAATGGGTGTATATAATTTTATGGTGGAAAAGAACTGTACTGTCTGTTATGATTTCCTTCAATGTGCATAATGATAAAATAAATAATTTTAATATTCTTTTGTTTCCATGGTTACCTGACCTAAATTAGATAAATTGTAGGGCTTTAGCTTTCTTATTTTTGTCAAAAGTTGGTGTTGACATACATTCCCTCTAATTTGAACTGGTATTGTTTACGTTTGATACAACATTAAGGAATTTGATGATTTTCATTTCATGAAAATGACATTAAATGCAATAATTTTACTTATCATAAACATTTTGTACATCATTATTTTCTTTTGGATTAGTGTTGTCATACATGTAATTTATATCACATGTATAAACATTGAAAATCAACTAAAATGACATTTGTTCTACATTATAACTTGTGAGTTTCAAGAACTAGTATTAGTAGTTTTTTCCTTTCATTATAGATTGTAAGATGTTGTGGTATCTTTGAGTGCCTTAGTTCTTCCTTCCTCCCAAAAGCCATTAATTTACAAATGCTTAAAGCCATCAGGTCAAATATTTCAAAGCCTTTAGATGATTTCTGTACTAGCTTTAGATGTCTGACGTTATGTAGGTTACCTGTGTTCTTGGCTAGGAAAACATTATTGATTCATTAAATCATAAAGGTGGGAATAATAATCTTTTATTTATGATGTTGATTGGCTCCAAAATAGTCTTAAGGAAATAAATACTGGGTCTGTAGGGGAAAAGTAGACTTCATAGTTTAAAATCCCATTAACCTTTTCACCGCAGTTGAAATGCATCCAGCCTGATTTTCCTATCATTTTGGAATTTTTAAGGATTTTTACTTTCTTAAGTTACTGCCTAGAATCAACATTCGGTGAGATTTTGAAATGTCATAGATACTGTACAGGCCAAACCTTACTAATTTATTTTACTTAAAGTGATATTTTATAGAAAAATCATAAGTTATACAATGAGAACCCTTTAAGCCCTTAGCCTAAGCTTTCAGACTAAATGTGATTATAGAATAAGATGAAAGTTAACTTTGGTACAGAGCTTTTTATAGCCCCAAATTATATTTCCAGTTATTATATTCATTAGAATTTCTGCTAATAAACTCCCAACTTAAATAGAATTGGGCTCAAAGTTTTAATAATGTATTCTCTTCCTTCTTTGTATTTATAGTTAGTTATTATGGGAATACAACATATCTTCTCTAAATTTGGAATTCATAAAGGATAACTTCCTTTAGCTCAATTACTTGTATTGCTTTTCCCTAGTAGCTGAAAAGTATTTAAGTTTGGTTTGGTCATGATTTTCATGTGTTTGAGGTTTTTGTTGTTGTTGTTTGGCTTTTTGGTTTTTGATTATTTAAAAATAAAGACATTAGCAATTATAGTTAGTATGATTAGGAAGAAATAGATTTTTCTTGTGGAAAGAATAGATAACAATTCTGGAATTTATTTTATCTCTATTGATGTGTAAACTAAATTCCTGTATTAACTTGGGTATATTTTGGTCCCAAAAGTAGTCACTGAGTTAAATGCATATGACAAACAATTCATGGTAGCATACTGTCTCTTTTAGCTACTAAATTTATGGTTTCTATTTTTTGTTTTCTTGATTTCAATAAAGAATTGTCAGTTTTAGATGCTTATTAGAAATAATAAGAAATACTGGTAGGCATAGATAGAATTAGTGAAGTTTTAACCATTAGCAAAATCGTGCATTTCATGTACTGAGATAACAAGTAATCAAAGACATGGGAAACTTACCTTGTGTTTTTTTTTGTTTTGTTTTGTTTTTTATGTAGTAATTTCATGGTTTCTAGCCATTTCCTCTTCTTAAGCTTTACCTAGGGATATTCTCTACTTGGCTCTTCTTTTAGTATAGCATGTTTAATTGAGTTGACATTTTAGAACTGAAAATTTGAAATTCTGCATCCGAATTTCTCAGTTTTGACATGCACTTGCCTCTGGGTGATTATTTCTAGGTTGTTTCTACATGAAGATTGGTGATTGGGCAGAAGGTACCTACAGAAACCAGCATCTGGATCGAGCTTCCAACACCACTCTACAAGCTACCACCATGGCGTAAACCTAACCATAGTCAGTGTTCCAAAAAGCCTGAATTTTGTTGAGAATGGTATGTTTACTAAAGGATGGTTTGAGCCAGACAGAGCTAACATACTCATCTTGTTTGATCCTATGAAGTTCAGATTTGGAATAACCAACGATGGTTTTCATACTCCTTAAACCCCTTGCTCAAAGGAAATCTTCAGGCATGTAAGCAAACATGACAGGGTTCCGAATGGATCCCTGCTGGGAGGTTGGGAGTGGGCTAGAGCCTACAGATTGTTCCAGGGAAGGAGCTAATACCCTCTCAGGTGAACTGGAGGGCTGAAGAAGATAGTGGGTTCATGAAGAGCATATTTAGTAGCTAATAACTTAAACTTGTTTTTGTCATTTGCATAGTTTTTTTTTTAAATTTGAACTGCTCTGTCCTAATACAATACGAAGAGATTTATTTTTTTCTTTGTGTAATTCCTTTCACTTTTCTTTAACCAAAACTATCCCAAGCTTACAGCAACAGCTAGGTACTCTTTTTATACTCAACTGTTTTTTGTTTTTTTTACATTGCCTTCTGCTTTTTATCTTCCATCCCTCTTGGTCATGACCATTGGGCATACTCAATAACCAGAGTAGGTTTTGAGAGCTAGTAAAATGCTTTTTCACCAGACACCTTCGATCTTCTATAGCTTGAAAGAAACACTCTATTCTAGGGACCTCCTTGACCATCTTTTACCTTCAACAACAGATTTGTTTCTATCCTTTCATACCTCCTGCTGACACTGCTAGTTCACCAGTGGAAACTTTTGCAGAGAAGCTCACTGAAAGTCTGCGGCCAGTCCAAGATAATCCCAGCCTTCCCTTTCAGGGGACTTCTTTTCAGGGGATCTTTCTGTAGATGCTTTCCTTATATACATTGATCAGATCACCCCGGCTCTGAGAGGTTCCCAGAGTTCTCAGAGCTTCTGTAGAGGTAGTACAGCATTAAACAAATTGCCAGAGTTTGCAAATCTTTTAAATGGAAATGGTGGTTGTAAGGATTGAGACTGTACATAAGTGTTCAGTATAAGCACTCAATAATTGGAAGTTGGTATGAGGCCCTATATACTTCCCACATCTCACCATGCAGTGGTATTGGCAGCCCCTTCCCTGCAAAGAGTGGGAGAAGTTGCCTAATCTTGCAGTATTTTATACACCTTTAAATTGAACTTGAAATTTAGCAAGAAAGAAAACATTTATTGTAAGTCTGAGTCTTTGACTAATTATATCAGTGACTCTTAGCAATCCTGTAAGAGATACTACCCTTATTTCACATATAAGGAAACCAAGGCCTAGAAAATAAATTGTGTACTTGATTAATGGAATGGAAAATAGCAACCTTAGAGAGGAGGTTATAATAGTGGTTAATCAACAGTCTATGTAGACTATGATTTCTAAGGCCTCTCTTGACGGAACTATGAGCCGCCAAAATGCCTTTTAAAGTTTCTCCTAGTTCTTAATGAAGATAGCATTACAAATTATAGTAGATAATACCCATTTGTGTTTTCTAATAATTTAATAAATATGAAGAAAATTAGCTTGGTTTTTATTTTCATATAAATGACAACTGTAGTTGAATATCAGTGCCATATAATTTCATATTTGCAGTTTATTTGGGTCAGATAAGGCAAAATGAAATTGATTTATATTCACACAACTGCAGAAATAAGCCAATTAGCTCACTTGATTGGGTCATAATTATAATGAGGTCAAGGCCACAGGTTCTATGCATGTGCAGATCAGTATCGTACGTAGAGTCCTTCCTGCTACAAACTGTCCCTGACCTTGTCAGTTATTAGTGAGTGTCTAGGATTTAGTTGAGAGAATGAATGGCACAGAAGAAAACATCTCCTTGTATAGAAAATTCAAAGGACATACTCTGATCAGTATGTTGACTTATTCTTGGAGCAATTTTGGCTCTTTATAAGATATTAACTACTGCCCATAATTAGTTTTATTTGTTAAAATATTCAAACCTTAATTTGAATTCTTATACAGCAATGCCATTTCCAAACCTGTTGACTATTCCTGAATAAACGCAGTGCTTACCTATTTTATGGAGAAAACACCATCGTCAGATATAGTGGCCTCTGAAATTAACTCAGCATTTTATTGCAGTGCTAAGTGAAGATGTGCATAAGAATATAGATATATTTAGCTTGTCACATTTAAGTTTAAAATGTGAAAATACAAGTGCTTTTTTTGCTTTGTGAGGCTCTGCAGTGCATCTGAACCTCGTAATTACCTAATCTGTCTTGATTAGAAGGAGCCCTTATGGAGTGAGACAGTGCACGGGCGATCATTTTTAAAACTTGTCCATGTACAGCTTCCAGTGGGAGATGTAAAAATTATTGTCAGCTTTCATTTTTCATTTTCTGTATACAACCAACAAGCTAGAAATAATGTGCTGGTTCAGAAGAATTAAAGGTCAGTTTTAAATGCCAGCACCTATTGTTTACTGTAGAAAGTGAGGCTGGCAAACCATTTCAAACATTGTGAGCTACTTTAATTGCGAGGAAGGGGAGAGAGGGTCTTAACTGCACCATCAAATTAGAGAAGCCATGATACCTACCTTTAATATTCACAAGGGGAGTCAGACTTGATTTTATAATACATTGTCATCTTATATGTATCATGATAGTCCCAGATACTTACGTGGCTTCTATAATCTGAGGGAGAGAGAATGAGTCCTCTTCATAGTTAGACCAACAAAGCACTGGCAGACAAAATTTTGTAACAAAGGTTTAGAAAACAATTTTGTTAAGCATTCCTTATTTAGGGCAACAGAGAAACATATCTTCAGCATTAACCAGAGCAGTATTTCAAGTAACAGTTTTCATACGTGAGATCTTACATGAACTGGAAGTTTTCAAAGAACCTGGTATATAGGGAAATGACATGCAAGCTCTTCTCAGAAGTAATACCAGGACCCCCGCAGGGGGCCAGGGGGAGGCCAATGGCAGGGCTTCCCGCCTGTGCAGTCATTTGTATGTGTTTTATATATTGGAGTGTTTAAAATACTTATTAAAGTTGTACATCTTTTAACAAACTTGAATGCTTACTAAAAATATTTCAACCTTCTAACAAAAGGTCTTCTAAGTAGAACTTAAACCTTTTTTAAATTTTAAAATTCTTTGAAGTTATTATTGTAACCATTAGTTATAACAATCATTATGATTGTGGGAAAATCAGTGGTCACAGCAGTGCATCCAGTGGGTTTAAAATAATTACCTGATATAAGCCTGTTTTATTCTATTTGGACTTTCTAATTGTTTTTGTTCAGGACAATTGAGAGTTTGTTGACATTCTTTCAAGATTTGTTATAAACTATTAATTTCCTAGGCTACTGCCTCATTGTGCACATTTTGCCGGCAAGATTGGAAGGAAATAATATTTTTTCAAGTGCTCACTGACCCAAAATGGAAATGGGAAACTACCCCAAATCTTTTAAAATGAAAAACCCTCAAGAGGAAAACATATCAGACCCAACCACTACTTAGGCAGGGCCAAAGATTAATGCAAATCACAGTCTTCCTTTTTCTTCTGCCACAAATGTCAGAAACGCTTGGCATCTGAGTGCATGGCATTTTTTCCCCTCTTTTCTGAACAGCTCAACTTGGAAAGGTCAACATATCCCTTTGGGAAAAATCTTTTCTTATAAATTGGAATGTTTGCACACATAACTGTAGGAAATGTTTAACATTTGCTTTGATGGGACAGCAATTTGTTCAATAGAGTGGAATTGTTCTCGTTTTTTTTTCATTTTCCTGCCTGTTTGTACACCATAGGCACTCAAATTACTGAAAGCAACTTCGAGGCACTTCTTTCTATGGGATCAGATCATCCTGTCCACAAAACCAGCCAATGCCTTGGGCTTCCAAAAGGCAAACATGTTCCATCTTTTATTTACTCCAAGGGACTCATTTGTGAGAGACTGTTCTGAATAAAAGCAGTAATTTTCCACAGACTATACAGCTGAAACCCTAAAGAAGCAGGAGAGGGAGGGTGAGGGGGTGTCCAGTGTCTCCAATGGGTTGTTTGAATCTTTTGGTTTATGTAAAGGAGGATATAGGACATTAAGACAATAAAACTATTTGCTATTGGTGATCAGCTACATCCAATCTGACAATTAATAAATATTTGTGGTTTGTGGAGAATTCTTTCTAACCAGAGCCTATCCTTTCCCTCCAACTTGAATTGATGGAGAACAATGCTGAGTTTGTGTAGTTATATTTGTTTCTATGGAAACAAGCAGATACTCAAAACAGGCTTATAATCTTTTTAAAGTAAAAATGCTTTTAGCAATGACTGCAAATAAGCACAAGGAGGGACTTTAAGGAAGATACCAGTATCTAAGTATTGATCTGGGCTGGACTACAGGAAGGGACCTGAGTCAGCATGGCTCATTATTTCAGGACACTTCCGATTATTCAGAAATAGTTTCCCTTCCATTTCAAACAAATCCTTCTACTGCTGACTAGAGCTGCAAGACATGTAAATACAAATGTGTGTGCTTGAGACACGTGTGTATTCCAATAGGAATGTCCTATCAGAGACAAACCATCTCTCCTCACACACACATTCCCATGCCCTGGATCCTATCCCTTCTTTTCAAAGGCTCTCCTTCTTCAATTAATTTATAATTTTTTCTTATTTTTTCCCTGCTAAGTCGTTAATTTGTTTTTCTTCATTGGCCTAATAACAAAAGCATACAAACATGTTCTGTCTCTTCTCAATATTGAAAAATTAACCTTTGACCTTATGTCTCCTTTTAACTACCACTCAATTTCCTATTCTCCTTAATTGTAAAACTTAATAAAACAAAAAAATTCAGCAGCACATATTTCACTTTCTCGCTTCCATTCACTCTTCAACCTGCTCCAATTGGCCTCCCATCCCCATTTCTCCAAGGAATGATGTTGACACAGTCATTAAGACCTTGCTGTCAAAGCCGGTGAATATGTAACTATTCTCATATTAATCTCTTGGTGGGACTTCAACACAATTGACTGCTCCATTCTTCTTGAATTACTCTCTTCTCTTGGTTTTTATACTACTAATCACCTAGTTTTGCTCCTACATTTTGGGCTGTCATTTCTCTGGCTGTTTTGTTGGTTCTTCATCCTCCACCTCTATCTAAATATAGAAGTACCTCAGAAATCCATTTTTGACCTTTTTTCCTTCTCTACACTCTTCCTGGATGACCTCACTTGTTCCCATGGTTTTAATTACCACACAAATGCCAGAAAGGTTCAATGTTATAAGTCTAGTCCTGACAGCTCCCTTGATTTTCACATTTATATATGCAGTTACTCTTGATATCTTCACATAGATGTTTTAATAGACATCTCAGTTTTATTTTTCCCAAACTTGTTTCTCTTGAACTCTTCCCATTCTGAGCAAATATGGCCGCCATTGATCCAATTGCTCAAGCCAAAAACCTGAGTCACCCTTATTTTTTTTCTTTTCCTTACTCCACATTTAATCCATCAGCAAATCACATTAGTTCTATCTTCAAGCTATATCTGTAATTTTTCAACTTAAACTCTGTATCTACTTCCACCTCCAAATTGGCATCATCTCTCATCTGGACATTACAATAGACCCCTAAATGGCGTTCTTGAATAAACTGAAACCTCTACCATGGTTTGTGTGGCCCCATATGAAGCAGCTTCTTGTCTACTCCAACTTTCTCCTTCCTTCTCACTCTGCTCCAGCCACACTGACCTCCAGGATGCTCCTGTCACACTCTGAGTCCTTTCTGTCTGACGGCCTTTGCATTTGTTCCTCTTGCAACAAGATTTTGTCCCATATTTTTGCATGATTGACTCTTTTTCATCCATTCCCACCAATGTTATTTCTTCAGAGATGTGTTCCTTACTTTCACCTCTGCCACACTTGGTCAAAATACCTTATTTCCTTTGAGGCATTTACCACTATCTGAAACCATCTTTTGTTTATTTGATGGCATGTTGTGTCCCTCACAGACACAGAACATAAGCTTCCTGAGGACAGAAACCTTTTCTGTCTCCTTCACTTTTTAAGACCCATCCTGGAAAGTGCCCAGTTAGCATCGGAGTACCTGGTAAATATTTGCTGGATTAATTAATTCATTCAACAGCAATTTTTAGACTTCCCACTATGTGCCAGGTGCTGTACTAAGTTATTGTTAAATTTTAATTTATTTGTAGAAAATTAAAATATTTTAAAAATATTTTGTGGGTACCCAGTAGGTGTCTATATAGGGCTCATGAGCTATTTTGGTACAGGCATGCAATGTGTATGCAATAGTCACATCATGGAAGATGGGGTATCCATCCCCTCAAGCATCCTTTGTGTTGAAACGATCCAATTATATTATTTTAATTATTTTAATATATGCAATTAAATTATTATTGATTATAGGTTCCCTGTTGTGCTATCAAATTCTAAGTCTTATTCTTTCATTTGTTCTAGGTTCTTGACATACAGCTGTGAACAAAACAGAACAAAGATCCCTGCCCTCATGGAGCTAATATCTCAGTGGGAAAGATGGGTAATAACCAAGGCATTGTAAGTAAAAGGGTGGTATATTTAAAGGTGTTAAGTGCTATGGAAGAAGAGTTTCTGGATGAGAACTTGGGGTATTATCCAGCCTCTTTATCCTCCCTTTGTGTGGCAAAGTAGAAAAGGCATTTGCTTTTGCAAACACTTGAAATCGTGGCTTCTGGAGATGAGCTCTGAGATCCTGAACATTTTTCCTCTTTGAGGCTTAGTTCCCTCAAAGATATGTGTAAAATACTAATCTCAAAATTTTGGTGTAAGCACTAGATGAACATAGATCAAATACCTTCTCATCCCTTCCCAGCCACCCACCCTCATCCTATCATTCTGGGGAAGGAAGCTATATGGCACTACCATATTCTCCCTCTCCTGAACACCTAGCATGCTTAGATCAACCCAATGTTCCTGAAAACACTCAAGATGTACTTACTGCATAAACATATGGACAAAATAGTGTATGGGCAATTTAAAAGTAAACAAATCTACTTTTATTCAGAAATGATGCTTTTTAAGTAAGGGTAGGAAATCTTCATTTTCTTTAATAACTAACTCTTTTTCCCTCTTCCTAATTTAATTCAATTTTTACAGACCCCCTATTGATAAAGATGTAAGATCTGCTATTCATTGTCTTTCTTATACATAGAAGTAAAATCACAGAAATAATTATTATTTTATGGGAGGATAAAACATTTATTTAAATGGAAACACTAATCTTTATTTTCATCATGCTGAAGTGTGTGGTTACAATTTCCAATAAAACACTATATATAATAAGCAAAATAAGTTAGTACATTGTAAACTTATGCACAGTTTCATCAATTAACAGTTTAAGAACAAACAAGCCATTTAAGACTTTGGAGCTACATTTAGTAAAAAATTGCAAACACTCAAATCTTATCAACCCCAAGTAAGACAGTAAAGAGCTATTCAAGACTTCTTCAAACCAATTACACAAATACATGTTTATTTTTGGTTACAGTCCCCTGCTATGCACAAGACCATTGGAATGCTGGAACAATTACACATTTTAAAACGGCAAAAAGCAAAGCAAGGAGATAACATGCCAGCCTTAGAGAAGCTGTCTTGAAAGTGCAAACTGCGTTTTCTCTTCCTGAACCACTAGGATAAGAACGGGTACCTCAGACGACACGGCAGGGTCATGAGCATGCTTTCTATACCCCACTGGTGGGACATTTACTGGAACCAGGTCTCCATGCCTTTGAAGATACCTCCGGTTTTAAACAGTGAACAGGCTTCAACTAAATATAGTGCAAATCAAATACCAAGGAGCAAAACGACAGAATAGAGACTGTCACAGATGATTGACTTCCTGTTTCTCTACCTGGCACAACCCACATGGGACACATTGGCACACGGTAACAACAACTTCTATTTAGGTTTTGATACGGAAGGCGGTGCGGCGGAGCGAATGCAGGGCAACCACGCAACAGCCCCTGAGCAAGGCCCCGATGTTATACACAGGATCCGTTCCCCCTCTCTGAGTACTGAATGCCCACAGAACCGTGGGGACCACGGGGGCAGCCACAGCCAGGAGATCCACCAGGAAGCTGCTGCTCCAGTACTGCCTCACGACGCCCCCGCGAGCCAGTGGGATGACACCATCCAACCTCTCTTCCACGCAGGCTGCAAAATCCAGCTCTCTCATGAGGCGGTTTGCATGAACTTCTGCATCCACATTGGCGTAGGGGGTCTCCACGGGAGACAAAAGGATGGCTGAGTTTGGATTTCTTGGAGTTAAATCAACCACTAAGGCAGAGAGGGACTCTGGGAAGCTCTCCATCGAGTCTGGTTCAGACTCATCAGGGGACGCCAAGCTCGAGGGACAGGGGTCCTGGAGCTTCTGCAGCACACTCTGAATGAGCTCTGAGATGGCTGGGCTGTAGGGCACCACGTCGGTCTGAACGGCTCGCTCCACCACCACACTGCCCTCCTCCTGACCCATGACTATGGGCAGCAGCTCCAGGACGTTAGCCCCAGGGGTGGAATGCACAAGCTCCAGGTCACCAGATTCTGTGGTGGTGGCTGTCACTATCTCATCGAACAAATCTGTGCTGTTGGCTATGCTATCTCCTACCAGTAGCTCCCTGTCAGCCCCTTCCCCCGTGACCTGCTCTTCCAGAGATAACCCATCTGCCATTGTGTCAAGAGGGGGGTTGAGGGTTAAGCTCTTCTCTGGGGAATCACATGGAAAGTCTAGGCACAGTTCGTCCCTCAGAGAGCCACTGTGTGCCATCTCCATGCTCTGAAGGAGAGACTCCAGCTTCTTGTTTTGGATGTTTATGTCCACAAAATATTTCTGAATGCCTTTATCTTTATCAGCCAAGCTGCTCCGCATGGTTTCGATGACCTGTTTGAGCTGTTTAATCTCTTTCCTGGCTTCTTTGAGTGCCAACTGGGCCTCTACCCGGTGACACTCCTCCTCAATCCAGTCCTCTCGCATGCGGGCCAGCTGGGACTTAAGCTCCACGATTTCACTTTCCCTAGAGTGCCAAGACAAGCATGGTTAATTAAAAAAAAAAAAAAAAAAAAAAAAAAAACTTTCAACTGGGCAACAGGCAGTTCAGGCAGTTCTGGCACAGAGCCAAGAGCTCATACTCTTCCACTTGAAATACAGATGTGAAATCAGTTTTCAATGCAGGGAACTCAAGAGAACACAGAAAAACTTGAGAAAACACTCCAGCCTAAACTGAAAGAAGCAGTACATTTTCTCTTTGGCGGAGATTAGCTGTGAACTTTCTCTTTACTTGTAAAATGGCTAAAGTAATAATAGTAATCAGAATCAGAATCAAAATAGCTACCACAATTTTTTTTGAGTACTCATTATGGGTCGGATATTGCACTGTGTTACAAGTCTTATCTTCTACTCAATCCTTAATATTTGAAACTTTATTATTAGAACATCTTAGCATCTGTTAGCCTGTTTTTATCTCCATATCCTACCCTTTCCAAATGTCTATAGTTTGTGGAAGGCCAGTTCACTTTTAATTACCTAAGACAGAAGGTAGACTGATAAGTTTTAGCCTTGCTAAATTGTTCATATGGTATTCCAATGATAAACATTTTTGAAATAATAAAATGCTACACGTGGCAGGGACTTTACATGATGACAAGCTGCTTATTCTGTCTCCTCTCAGGTAGGATAATATTGAATTCATCCTACACTAAGGAGAATCTATCCTATTTTTCAGATCCTTCACAGGACAACCCTATTTCAAGATCTTTGTATATAAATTCTTTCTTATATATAATTTTTTCATATTCAGTCCTTACATTCTCAGTGGATATGAAGATAGGGTAGTCAGGATCCTCATATATATGAAGAGACATCAATATTGCTCATTTAAGTTTAGGCTAGAATATTTTCCCAAGTTTTGCTGCATTCCCATTCCTTCCTCGAGTGCTCCAATCCTCCCATGGACTCTGCAAATCACAGACCAAACACTTCCAGACATAAGGTCTGACTCACCCCAGAGGGGAGTTTGGGTCTCAAGTCTATTTCAGACAGATGATGAGCCAGATTAATTCGGAAGATGAAAAATTTCCCTTCCTCGCAGTCTGCACCCTTACCTGCCCACAGTTTTAGCAACCAAGGTATTGAGTTTTCTTTATATCTTTGTGGCAGCAGAAGAGGAGGTTTGGGCTGATCAGGTAGCCCAGACTCTTAGAGAATGCACATGCCACCCTCACCCTGAGCTCACAGCTACCCTGGTCAGAGCTTTCCTGGTCTGTTCCAAAATGTTCCAGGGGAAAATGATCAAGCAGAAAAACTGGCCTGCTGCCCAGATGTCAAAAGTCTTCTCCCTCAGATAAGATCTCTTAAGCATGGGCTTTTTTTTTTTTTCAGCCTTAACACTTGGCCAAGAACAATGAGCCCCTTCCTTCGGCACAGAAATAGCATGCAGGAATCACAATGCACACAGATATCCATTCATGCACGGATATAAACACGGCTTAATTGGTCCACGGTTGTGACCCATTCTGCTGGAAGTATGGGATTGTTCCCGCACGTGTTTTTGCCATTTAAAAATAGTCATGCACACACCTGATTATTTCACATCAAAGCTGTATACACTGCAAAACAACAACAACAAAAAACGACAACAACAACGAAAAACAAAGGTTCCCCTCTAACCTACGGGCCTCCCTGAACTCCTGAAACAGCCATATCACACAGAGTTATGAAATGACTCTTTTCAGAGGCTGACTTTAAAAATTTGACCAAAATTGAATACAATCATTTTTTCTTTTCTATCTTTCTATAGTTTGGGTTCATATTTCATTTTATGGAGAAAGAAGTTGTCCTACACCCCACCGTTCAAGGAAGGCAGATTCACCTTTCATGGAGTCGGCGCTCAGATTCCTTCAGCTTGGTTTTGAGGTGTCTCACTGTCACCTCTTTCTGCTGCAGTGGAGTCAAATACTGCTCTGGGTTTGGGGGTCTGACACCATGATTTTCACCGCAAGACATGTACCTTCCAGAACGCCTGAAACAATCCAAGTAATGAAATGTTACTTTTTGCCGTTTCCTTTTCTATAAAAAGAAGAGTAACACAGAGTGTTATCAACTGAATGTCTGTGTCCCTCCAGAATTCATATGTTGAACTTCTTACCCCAATATGACGGTATTAGGTGGTGACGACTTTGGGAATTAGCCCATAAGGGTGAAGCCTTCATAAATGGGATTAATGCTCTTATAAAAGGAACCCCAGAGAGCTTTCTAGCTTTCTTTTTCCACCCTGTGAGGATACATTAAGAGGTCAGCAGTCTGCAGCCCAGAAGACAGCCCTTCCCAGAACCAGACCTTGCTGGCACCCTGATCTCAGACCTAAACCTACAGTATGTAGCCCATGGTTCTCGAAAGATTTGGACCAACATCTAGAGTACTTTGTTATAGCCACCCACATTGACCCAGACACAGCTAACAGCTTGAGAAGGAATGGTAGCTGTGTGCTGGGGTCTTAAACCTCAATAATGGGTGACCTCACTTCAGAAGGTGAGCTGTAATAGAATTGCCGATCTTAGGACTGTTAATTACTTTGAAGATTGAAGGGGGTATTGGTGTATTTATGGAGAGAATAGGGACCGTGGAGGAGGAGAATTCTCTATGGCTTAGGAATGTTCTCATACAAAATAATGCACCATTGTCCAGGTGCCTGAGCTGTCAGTTCAGAGTAACATGCAGCACAGTGGGTGAGGGTCAGGGGATGGGCCCGGGCAGAAGAGAAGGAAGCCAGCCAGAGGACCTAACTTTCTGCACAGTGTGCCACTGCCTAAAGATCCTGATGGCTATTTGCTGAATGCAAGTTGTTCTAAAATCAATCCCTGCTGTGAGTATGCCAGTTTGGAGGAAATGGAAAGATCCTTCTTCTGAAGGGAAGAAGTTTCTTCCTCTACTTAACTCTCCCCAGTGTGTTTTGTAAGACAGGCTCAATGTTTTACAAAACAGCCCTTGCTGGAATCTTGGCCCCTCTCAGGCCTGGCTGGGAGCTGGGAATCCCTGCTGTAAGAGAGCTGACTGACGAGAATAGGGATGCCCAGCAGGAAGAAGGCCGAAGGAGGAGGGCAGCCAGCTCCTTCCCTGACTCTGGACCCAGTCCCAGCCACTATGCTGCCAGCTCCCTGAGCACCTGCCTGCCTCCAAGATGACCTGTGTCCATGCCCACCATCCAGTCCTCCTGTCGTGGCCTCTTTGGAAATGCAGTTCCTTCTTTCTGCTCCACACTCCCTACAATCTCATATGAATTAACTTGTTGCTTGCTCTTCAGACCTCAATTCCATTTCACTTTCTCAGGGAGGCCACCCCTGATCGCTCCAGACTGCGTTGGACACCCTCCCCACCTTTCACACACCCCTGTAGCAACAGGTGCCTACAGAATCATCTTAAGTTGTTTTTGTTTGTTTGTTTGTTTGAGATGGAGTCTTGCTCTGTTGCCCAGGCTGGAGTTCAGTGGCGTGATCTCGGTTCACTGGAACCTCTGCCTCCCAGGTTCAAGCAATTCTCCTGCCTCAGCCTCCTGCTGCCTCTGTGGCATTTTCTCTCCCTATTCAGGAACTGCTTAGATTGCTGTGCCTTGTTAGAAATTGTGGCTTGCGCTCTTTCTGCAGCAGCCCTTGAGGAATGAGCCGAATGTGGGAAAGAAAAATGCAGTGTCTTGTAGAATCAGGCAAGGGATCAAGAGTTGTATAACTTTTTTTTTTCTTTTTTAAAGAAAAGCTTACCAAGTAGGACAAACTAAGATGCATGAATTAGGTGAGCAGGACTCACCTCATGATGGGGCTACAGTCGCTTCCTTTGTAGGAGCCTGAGTTGCTACTGCTTGGGGAAGAAGGTGCATAACTGGGATGGATATTGACAGGGCTCAGCTGATTCCTGCACAGCATGGACAGAAGGTCCTTTTCCCGCGGGGATGATGGGCTGCTGCCAGGCTTGTGTGACGAAGCTCCATTACTCCGCCCATGAGGACCTCGACTGGGAGAAAAGAATGAAAAATGTTAAAATTCTTGGGGCTACAGATGCCCAAGGGCTAATGTCTTACTCCTTAAATCTAAGGAAATCCAATTTATAGAGTTGAAAGGCGCAATACAATTATTCGTGTAGACTGTCCTTAGGAGCGGCCTTCTTCCCACCTGCCTGGTATTTTCTCTCCTTGTGACATCAGCACAAGCAACCTCTCCCTCTGTTGTTCTTTCAAATAGTTTCTGACCATAAAGCTTTTTTTGGATAACACCCAATAGCCTGCTAAGAACATACACAATGTAGAATATTGATTTAGCTCAGGTTTATTTTGGAGGCTGTTTATTTTGGAGGCTGTTTTCAAGATATGGTTTTTGTTCTAGTCCACCTGTTTCAGTTTAGAAATATTTGCATTTGGTTCATGTCAGGGTAAGAAAATTAATGCGGTTCATTTGGAGGATGGGGGAAGGTGGTACCCCATACAGGAGGAGGAGAAAACAGGGCAAGATAAACAGAGCACACATAAATGCATCATTGGTAATTTTGATTACTTAAAATTTTTGTTTCATTTTCTTCTAGCCCCAGTGACTTAAGACAACCTTTGTCATTTAACTGCTGAAATACTGTAACAGCCCCATCTTGGTTCTCCTGCCTCTTGCCTTGCTCCCTCCAGTAGAAGGTTGGCTTGTGGCTGGAGTGGCCTTTCAAAATGGAATCTGATTCACTATCCTCCTCAAAGCCTTGCGATGGTCCCCCACTGCCTCCAGAACAAAGGCCAGCCTCCTTAAGATGGCTCACAAGGTCCAATCCCACTACTCCATCCAACCCCATCCTCCACCACTCCTCACTCCTCCCTCCTCCCTCTGTACTACAGCATTCCAAATCACTTACAGTTTCCTGAAGGATCCATGCTTGACCATCCTTAGGTTTTTGAACTCATAATCTCCTCTAATTAGAATGTTCACCTGCTCCCTTCTCTAAGCCCCTGGATACCAGGATACTTCCTACTTTGAGACTGATGGGAACGTACTCTAAAGAGCCTTCTCTATATTCTTCCTTCCCTAGGCCAGTGTAGGCACACTCCTTAATGCTCCCTAAAACTCTGTGCAAACTTCTACCATTGGACTTATCACATGGCGTCACAACTGCATACTTATTTGTCCTTCCTGCTAGGCTAGGGCAACCTTGAGGGCAGAAACAGCTTGTTCTTTCTATCCTCCTACTTTTGATACATGGTAAGTGTTCCCTAAAGGACTGCTGAATAAATAAACCAGGTGTGAGTCATTGGCACTGCCACTTAGTAGGAACTTAGGCAAGTGAGCCACTTAACATGGGGATCAAAACACACACACATGCACACACACACCCACCCCTTTCCTACCTTCCTCACAGAATTGATGTGAAAATCAAATCAAAGAATGCATGTGAGTACATTCCACAAGCTATTAAGGGTAACTCAACTGTAGAGTATTATTAGAGGATAAACTTGTTCAAACTTCACCATTAATCCTGACAGAGATTTGACACCCAGTAGTGTAAGGAAGCATCTTGAGAATGTTGAAATTACTTAAACAGGATAAAGTTCTATGTCAGGAATATTACTTGATGGCAAAAAAAGAGAAAACAAGATAGCTTTCATATAGTAGTACTGCTTTCTGACAAACCTTTCTTTGCAATTTTAATTACAGCTGTATCCAACTGACATCTTAATGAGAAATGTGTGTAAATGTGAATGCAAGTGTGCATGTGGGTACACTTGGCTTCAAAACCATGATCACTTATTTACAATCAAATATAATTTCAACTGGCTGTCAACCTTGCAAATCAGACATAAATAAAACGTAACCAAGTTCTAAAGTTAAAGTTATTTCCTTTTGAAATCATTCAAATGAACGCCGCTCTTCTCTTCGTGAGAAGAGGACACTTTATACGGAACAGATGGGCTGATGGCTTTGTGACAAAACCAACTTCAGCAGCCCATGGTAGAAAGAACTTCATGAGTAGCTGAAAGGAACATGTACCCTGGTGTGCATTTTCTTTTCCATGCTTCACTTCTAAGTCTGGCATCAACCAGACTATTTCTTAATCTGATTATGAGAAATATGGAAGATTAGCTATTACACCTTAGGCAGGAATGTAAAGAGCTATCCCATATTTTGACCTGGGGAATTTTATTACGAGTTAACTTCCACTGAGGACCTTCTGTGACCCTGGCGCTGTTTCAGGTGCTTTCTGAATATTGATCAGGAAATAAATTATCAGACAGTTTGTAAGAGCTAACTTTTTAAAAAGAAGCAACATGCTTAAAAATATCAGTTCTCTTCATTTAGTAGTTCAAATGCTAACATGTATAGGTGCAAACTCATTATAGGCATTGATAGGAAACATTTTCAAAGGAGACACTGAGATTCCATGTTTGTCATGGCCATGAACTGTGAAACCCAATGCTGTCCTCTTCAGCCCATCCCAGATCCTTCAGTCTGGTGGACAAGAAAAACGCAGTCCACAAAGAGGAAAGAAAATTCTGCTGACCCTGAACCCTTCTACAAACCTGAATACGTAACTAGAAGGTCATAGACAGAGGAGTGAAGATGACACCTCATGAGTGACTCAGGTGAATTTCGATTCCCTGACCATGGCTCTGGACTTCAGGTAATATCATCATCATCGTCATCATCATCATCACCATCATCACCATGATCTAGGGTTGAACTGTGTCACCCCCTGCAAATTGATATGTTGAAGCCCTAACTCCCAGTACCACAGAATAATGGGGCTTTAAAAAGTGATTAAGTTAAAATGAGGCAGTTAGGGTGGGCCCTAATCCAGTTTAACTGGTGTCCTTATACAAAGAAGGAATTTGAGCAGACATAAACAGAAGGAAGATGCTGTAGAGACACAGGGAGAAGATGGCCACTACAAGCCAAGGAGAGGAGCCTCAGAAGAAGCCAACCCTGCAGACATCTTGGTATCAGACTTCCCTTTTCCAGAACTGTGAGTAAATACATTTCTGTTGTTTAGGCCATCCAGTCTATGGTACTGGGTTATGCAGCCCTAGCAGACTAATATAATCACTACCACCATGATTACCATCATAACCACCACCAGCAGCAGCAGCAGCAACAGCAACAGTACCATGTCTCCTAGTACTACTTTCACCCCTACTGACAAAAACCACCTTTTACCAACGCTTTCACTAAGTTCTGGGCATCATGTCAAGCACTCACACATATCATCTCATTTAACTCAGTGAGGTAAGATGCTATTATTATCCCATATCCCAAAACAGGAGACTGAGGCTTGGGGTCATACACCTGATAAATAATGGAGGCTAACCTCAATCCCAGGTCTGTCTGACTCCAAATCCCAAGGTTTTTCTTTTTCTGTCTGATTTTTATCTTCCAAACAGATTCATGTTTTAGTTTAAGAAAGATAATTCCTTAGAAATATCAGCAGAGTTGCCCTTCTATGAGACAAGATACTCTGTAAGCCTTTAAAGTTTTTGTTTTAAAAATAACTCGTCAAAAATATTCTCACCAGCTCCACCTGTTCCTCACATGTCCCACTGATTGACCAATCTTCCTGTTAGCCTTCCTTCAGGGAGCTAATTCTCCACAGAGAAAATTCATTCACTACATGGGGAAGCAGCCAATTGAAAGGATCACAAACTACTACAGAGTTTGGCAGAGATACCCAGCTACTCTAGAGGAGCTGCCCCCCCATGCGTGGCCCTCCAGAACACAAAATTTATGTGACATTGCTGAGATAGTCCATGACCAAAATCTACTGATGGTACTCTGTGCCTGGGTGAGATTCTTTTATTTATTTATTTACTTATTTGAAACAGTCTTGTTCTGTTGCCCAGGACTGGAGTGCAGTGGTGCAATCTTGACTCACTGCAACCTCCGCCTCTCAGGTTCAAGCAATTCTCCTGCCTCAACTTTACGAGTAGCTGGGATAACAGGCACCCACCTACATGCCCGGCTAATTTTTTTTTTTTTTGTATTTTTAGTAGACACGGGGTTTCACCATATTAGCCAGGCTGGTCTTGAACTCCTGAACTCAGTTGATCCATCCGCCTTGGCCTCCTAAAAGTGCTGGGATTATAGGCATGAGCCACTGTGCATGGCTGAGATTTTTAAAAACTGAGGATAATGGATAGAACACTGCCATTTTCAATTTTCCATCTATTAATTTTTGTTAAACCTTTGAAGTCTATTATTGCTTGGCTATAACAGATACTAACAGAAGCATTCATCTGATTTGCATATAATTATATTTGGCTATTTTATGTTTAATATGTCAAATTTTGACCATGAATTCTAGACTAGAATATTTTCTCTTAGTCACTCTGTATTATTGACACAACCTTGGAATTTAACCACAAACACTGATTCCTTTGAAATATTTAAGTTGGCTTCATCTACAGGCCTTCCTTTTTTATCTTTTTGCCTTTCTATATTGTTTGATACTTTGTTCCATGTGTATGTCATAATTTCTTGAGTGGGTTATATAAATGGTTTATTCTTAGAGCAAGCCACATCTGATTTACACAGAATGTTTACATTCATGTCCTATAATCCCAGAGGCACTTTATTGCCAAAATGGTGGTGGTGGGTGGGGGCTGGGGATAGAGCAATTGTGCTTTATTACTGCGGACTTCACTCTTTTGTTACAGGTTTGTCTGGCTTCAGCTGTATTTTTAATGATAAAACTGTGCCCTGGGGGTCTCAGGTCGCCTTATAAACATCTGCTAAATCTTCAGCTCACCCAAGAGAAATAGAAAATATTTGCTTGCTGAGTCCTGGAAAGGCAGGCTTTTGGAAACTAAATAGATTTTCTCCAGGAAGAGACCTTAAAAAGTCACACAGTACAACTGTCTTTTGGATACCGTGGCCCAGGGGAATCAAGTGACGTGACAAAGTCAGAAGCCAGGTCCCCTCACGTTCTGTGGCTCCCTCCATAGCTTTCTTTAAGTCTCTGCTCAGAGCTCAGTTCACCACTGAGGTATCCTAGGACCCACCAAGCTAAAATATACCACAAACCACATTACTCTCTATCTCCTTCCCCTGAGTGTTTTTAAAAATAATTATATTATTTTTCAATTTATTGTCCTTCTTGTCCTACTACAATGAATATAATTTTGTGGAGTTTTGTTTCCTCATAGTAGATGCTCAATAAATACTTGTTAAATGAATAAACAAAGCCACTGGTGGCAAGCACAGAATCCTGGGGCTTACAGTCCCTCCCACTGAATGTGCATAGTGGCTCCCATGTCTCATAGTCCTCTCCACCAATTCAAATAACATCAATGGAGAGAATTGGTTGATGCTTGCTATGCTCCATGCTCTGACTCAGCATTTTACTTTTATTAACTTGTTTAATCCTAACAATAAACCCTCTGAGGTGGCTGGGTCTATTTCACAGATAAGGTAAACAAGGCATGGAGTGGTTAAACAACTTGCTCAGAGCCACACAGCCTGGAGTTGGTGGTGCTGGCATTTGAGCCAAGGCAGCCTGGTTTCAGAGCCCACACACCCAGCTGGTGTGCTCTATGGGGTGGCCACCATGCCTATGAACGTTACTACACTTTCTTCACTCCTTCCCCAGGTAAATGCTGGGAGTGGTCAGGGAGTAGCTGCTTCCTTCACAGAGGTTAAAAATGGAAGTCCAGCTAGAAGAAAAAAAGGGTGAAGTCAGAGGCTTCACAGCTAAGAGACTCATAGCTTCACAGAGGGGAGGTAGGAGGGAAGTGGGAGACCACTAGCTTCCTATGCAGATGAGTACACAGGTGAGTAAGGGAAAGAGAGAAGGGACAGGAGGAGTGGGCATAGAGTCAAGGGTTGGATGGGAGACAGCCATGGATGTACAAACACAGGTGAGCCATGTGACCACAGTTGGCAAGACAGGAAAAACTACCAATTTAAAATCACTGTAAAAAAACAAAACAAAAAGCCTCACTGAATAATAAAATATGAACGGACAGTAATCCGGGTGGTTCTACAGATGCACAGGTGCAGGTGAGTCACCTGTGTAAAGCGTCTTAATTACAGAGCAGGAGATGGTGCCTACTTGCGTGAAGAAGAAGACCGCTTGCTTCCCGCAGTCGACATATGGACCTCAGGAGCGGAAATGCTGCCTGTGCTGCTCGAGGAGCTAAAATCAGCTTCACTACCTGAAAAACAACAGGGGAGAGAGAAGCGTGAGGGAAAGGAAACTAGAGAACACATTGGCCAGTTCCCTGCCTTCCAGGTCCCTGCTCCCTGCGTTTGCACACTATTGGCAAGTGCCAAGATTCCAGGGCTTCCAGGCTCACAGCATTTTCCTCAAAGCAGTCAAGAGAAGGCCCAGTACAAGAACATCATTTCATAAACACAGCTAAGATGCACAGTAAGGCTGGTTTCATAAAGAGGCCAGTCTTCCTGCAGACACTGTCAACAGTGACCCAAGTGCATCAAGAAATGCACTGTTCTCCCGTATGTGAGGCTCTCACTCCACAACAACGGGCTCACCCTATTTCAAGCAAAAGAAAAATAAAATACTTATCAGTCCAAGAGTAGTTTTTCCAAGAGAGTTTATCTTTGGGCTTCTGTAGTCAGCTACTCATACTTCAATTTGGCAAGTTAGGTTTGGAGACAGTTAACCAATGAGAGGCAGTCAGGAAAGAGCAAAGCCTGGGCTCCCAGACTGCTGCACTGGCACTATCTGAGGTGACTTTCTCTGACTGCAGTTTTGGTTTTTCTTTAAAGAATAGATCCTTAACAGAAAAGCAGAAATTTAACAGTGATAGAACCTGTAAATTACACTGAAATTTGGAATTTTAGCTTCAGGGTGGGATTACAGGTAGGGATGTTCATTAGTTTGCAAAGATCACATGATACTTTGAGTACAGACAACAGGTGGGTGTGTAATTATAATATAAATATGCTGTGCAGTAAAATAATTTATATAAATTCATTCTAACAAAAATATGTAGTTCTGAAAGAGTAATAATGGAAACATTCCCATACACTGCCTGGGGAAGTAAGGGGAGGTGGAAGAGGCAAGCTAGACAATGAGAAGAAGAAAAAGAATTTTTTAAAAACGTGAAGTACCATGTGCTTCTGAAAAATAAGTCTAGGTATACAGTTTAATTTGACCTTGTTGCTCAACTCCTACCACATAATTTGTGCCTTTTCTGGTCTAGAACCCAGAGCCAGCTCACATTTCTGAGCTAAAGAAAATATGAATAGCCTAATCCTTGATTTTCTAACAAGCAGTGAACAATAATTATCATAACAATGGCTATTTATTGAGTGTTTACTAGGTCCCAGGCCCTGTTCACGATACTTTCTATGCTATATATTATTTAATATTGACATCTTTGTAAAATAGACATTAATCTCACTATTTTACTATTGAGAAAACTGAAGCTGTTTGTCTGAAGCTTATAGGTGATAAATCCTGTCCAGGACCAAATCTTCATGCTACTTCTCCCATACTATGCTTTGCCCTCAGAAAGGCAGTAGGAAGAAGCAGGGGAACAGGAGAAGTTCTTAAAGAAACTATACATTACCATCTCCCTAAAAGGTCAACATGAACCATAGGTACAAGATGTGGCCAGACTCTGGCCTACTAGGGAACAGATTTCTCTTTCTGATGGCCTCTGTTAGTTTTGCTAGAGAGGAAGGTAGGTAATCACAAGGCAGAGAGAAGAAAAAATCCTTTCCCTGGTTTCCAGGAGCTCTCAGGAACTCCAGCCTCTAGCAAGTCCAGGTCTCTAGGAAAGAGACCAAGAATGACCCATTAGCCAAATGACAGCAGTGACTCCTGGCTCCCAGTAGAATTCTGGGAAGATTAGCAAGGTAGTTTATCAGAACTGAGACCAGCTATTCCTTCTGGATTGCAGAGACTTTGTCTAATGATGTAATGAGCTCCTAGAAGCTCCCCAAACTTAATCAGTTGACTCTAAGGAATACACTGGTTAAACTGTAGTAGTTTACAATCTGAAGGATTCATGATTGGTAATGCAGTCCAGCAGCATGAGATTCCTGACGGCCTAACTCAACCAGCTTTGTTTGCTAGTAAATTATCAGGTTGGTTATTAAATGATAAAGGTAGGTGATTTTCAAAAATAGATCCTTCAGTTACAGCCATCAGGTTTAAGATACTATTTTCTAATGTGAAATTATTACTCTGAAAAACACTCAGCTTTCATTCCTTTCACAAAAGCCCATCGATTATAATTGAACTGCTTGCCTAAAAGCAGAAATTCTAGAACAGGAACAGATAATTGCGGAAAATCCATTGTTACCCCACGGTGCTTCTGATCTGTGGTAATTATGTTCTCTGAACTGAAAGGACAACTTTGTTCTATATTTTATTGCTACTGGAACTCAATATACTGACTTTTATGTATTTGCAGGGCCTAAGGTCACTTTGTTTCAGCACTTTCCTCTCTTACCTTCTGTACATCTGAAAGAGATTAGAAGGCACATTCGGGTCCCTGCAGCTGCATTCAGGCCTATTTGAATAGTACGATAGTGAAAAATGTATATACTACTTCACAACTATTTCAGTTCATGAATTTAAAGAACGTAACCTGGTTAATGCAGTGTAAAAATCAGTGAACTCTTTTTAAGGGATACACAGGAAAGCTAAATGTAATACATCATCTGATATACTTTCTTCATGTACTAAGCAAAATAACTAAGAGAAAAGCTGGAGACCTAATCACACCCCCCGCCCCCGCCGCCATTTATCTATTAGTTGGCAACAAAGATACAAGGAAGGAGAGGCATTCTTTATTCATTTCCTTTAAACAGTGTATGCAACTAAGGTATTGTTTTCAGTGCTCTTTGGGGTTATTAAAATCACGCACAGAGTACCTAACCTAAAAACATAGAAACTCGGCTGGGCATGGTGGCTCACGCTTGTAATCCCAGCACTTTGGGAGGCCAAGGTGAGTGGATCACCTGAGGTCAGGAGTTCGAAACCAGCCTGGCCAACATGGCAAAACCCTGTCTCTACTAAAAATACAAAAATTAGCTGGGTGTGGTGGTGAGCGCCTGTAATCCTAGCTACTTGGGAAGCTGAGGCAGGAGAATTGCTTGAACCAGGGAGTTGGAGGTTGCAGTGAGCCAAGATCATGCCACTGCACTCCAGCCTGGGTGACAGAGCAAGACTCCATCTCAAAAAATAAAACTAAAACAAAAAACAAAACAAACAAAAAGAAAAAACGTAGGACCTCAGCTAGACAGCCTGGATTCAAAGCCTGCTCCTAACCCATATTAGGTGGAAAGTTTTAGCCAAGTTACTTCACTTCTCTGTGTCCCAGTTTCCTAATTGGTTAAATAAAGATGATACTCATAGCACCTGCTTCATGGGTTGCTTGTAAAGAATGAATGTCATCCTCATCAACAGTCTTTGTTCCTCATCAATATTGTTTTCGATCAGCTGCCAGGTTAGTGGAGTGTTATCCCAGGACTGAACAGACAGGATGAATTTGATGACCTTTAAGATAATGCTCTGATGCCAAACGCTTGGTGACTAAGCATCCTGCTGCAGAAGGCACTTTTCCAACTCTCAAGAACCTATGCCCAGTGGCCTCCAGAAGTTCTGGCAGTTTTTTGTTTTCATAGCACTGCTGAACTCTTTTGAGAGATATTCCTTTTATTTATAACGTTAGGATAATAAGCGTTCTGTGCATGTATGCTAACGCCAGGGAATTAGAAAAGGAAGGAAAAATGAAAACAAAAAGAATACGTGCCCAAACTGATAACTAACTAGACTTATTTTTAAAGCACTGCCTGTAATCTGGTCTCTTAGGACATTATTAATTTTGCCTGTTTTCAAGATATGGAGCAGTCCTCATACATCAGAACATCACAGTATAGAACAATCCTGAGATCTACTAAGCAGTATTAAGCCATTCTAAAACACTGATTTAAGTAACCCCAAGCCCTCTCTTATCTTTTATCACTGCAAAGCTATCAAATTAATTCAGGTTGGACCACCTCAAATAGAGGCAGTAAATTAAAAAAAAAAACCCACCTAGTTCCCACCCTTCTCTCCCATCCTCCTTCTCCACCCATCCCCCCAAAATACACATATTTTTAAATGTACAGGTCTCCAGGGAGGAGAGAGGAACCATTTTCACTGAAGCTAAGCACAGCTATTAAGGAGCAGCAGGAGCAACGGACACACGCAATTATAGAAGACACTATTAAAAGAAGCTGCTCTAAAGTACATTCAGTAGAATGGACTCTTAACTGCTAAGGCTTGGGGGGCCCAGCCAAGGTATCCAAGAAACGCTTCACAGCCTAAAAAGGGTTTTTGTTTTAGTTTTTGCAAATTACTTTCCTGAACCCCGTATAGGTATTTATCTCAGAAAGGGAATATTTGGTTAAATGAGCCATACATTGATAAGATACATATACAGGTGTTTTTTTTTTTGCATTTTGAGAATAAAAGTATTCTTGAAAAATTGTAAATGTAATTTCCATTTATATTATAGTTTCAGAAAATAGTTTTCTTCATTCTGATTGATGTTTAATTGACGGAGCTGCCATATACTTAAAATAACACACACACACACATAAACAGCTAAACACAAAAGAAGAGAAGTTCAAACTTAAAGTATTTAGAAGTGAATAATTTGTATTGATAAATCCAACTATATGAAATGAAACTGCTTATGGGAAAATAGCAAGGTCAAAGACAAATAGATACACTGAAAAAATATTTCTAACACATGATAAAAGGTTAATCTCCTTAATTTACCAGAAGCTCATAAAATTAGAAAAAAAAAAAAACTAACAGAAAAATGGGCCAAGGACATATTAGGCAGATGAAAGAAAAAGAAAAACAAATGGCTGATACTCATGAAAAGCCATATAATTTATCAACACCACTAAAAATATAAATGAAGGTAAGGAGACTGTTTTCATCTATCTGATAGGCAAAAGAGTCTGATAATACCAGCTCCATTAAGGGTTTGTGAAAACAGAGTTAGTAAGAGTGTGAATTATGCTACATGCATAAAAAAGAAAACTGTACTGCTAGGAATTTATTCTGCACATAAGGATCCAAAAAGACAACCTAGTTGTCCATCGACAGTGACTGGTTAAATCAGGTGGTATAGCAGCAGCCTAAGAGAATACTCCGCCATCGTGAAAAGGAGTGACATGATCCTGGGTGTGTCGAAGTGAAAAGATATCAAACACCTGTTACTAGATGAGAAAAACAAGATGCAGAAAAGTGGGTATGGCAAGTCTGCTTTTTTTGTGAATAAATCTTTAGATAATATGTAACCTGCCATATGCACAGAACATTTTTCTTGAGGGATAAAATGATCTGTTAATAGCGGTGTCTCTTGGGAACAGGAAAGTGTGGATATAAAGAGACTCTTATTTTCATTTTATTATCTTTCTGAGCAATTTGGCTTCTCTAACCATGTGCACATTATTCGTATTATAAATTATATATAGGAGTGCACTGATGTATGAACAATCCATTTTTTCCTTTTAAAAAAATGTAAATTTTTTTTTTTTTTTTTTTTTTTGAGACGGAGTCTCGCTCTGTGGCCCAGGTGGGAGTGCAGTGGCGCAATCTCGGCTCACTGCAAGCTCCGCCTCCCAGGTTCACGCCATTCTCCTGCCTCAGCCTCCCGAGTAGCTGGGACTACAGGCGCCCGCCACCACGCCCGGCTAATTTTTTTGTATTTTTAGTAGAGACGGGGTTTCACCGTGTTAGCCAGGATGGTCTCGATCTCCTGACCTCGTGATCCGCCCGCCTCGGCCTCCCAAAGTGCTGGGATTACAAGCGTGAGCCACCGCGCCCGGCCAAAAATGTAAATTTTTAAGGGAAATTTTTTATAATAAGAGTAGTCACACCATATTATGTAGTATTAAAAGAGTTCTGGAGTTAAGACACCTGGGTTTGAATCTTGGCTCCTCTACTTGCTCTCTGTGGTGCCTTGAGGAATGAATTTACCCTCTCTCTGCCTTAGTATCCTCATCCATAAAATAGGGATGAGGTTATTAATATTAAGAATTGCTAAAAGATTATGGAAATTCAGGTGAAACATGCAAAGAAATTAGAACAATGCCTGGCATACAGCAAGCCCTTAATAGTACCAGTTTAGCTGAAACTACTGGTACAGTGGCCCAAAGGCCAGAAGATGGCTTCTCAAAAAAGGTCTTGATTACATCTATCCCTTAAAAAGACCTATAATAGGAAATGCTTTTTTCTACTCATACATTTTTATAATTACTCTTTACAAAAGGTGGTTTTCCTTTTGCCATTGTTCAGCAAAGAGCATGTTTCTGTTTTTTAATTCTCTTTCTGTGTGTGTGTGTGTACAATAAGATGTTTCCAAAGATCCTGATTCTAAAAGAGACTCCCCATGGACGCCTCCAAAAAGTTCTAGAGTCTCTTGTGGTTTAGAACTCTGCCTTCTGAAAGTCCCAGGGGAAATACTAGTAGGTTTACTGCAGCTCTCATCTTTGCAGGGCCCAGTCTCCTGAGCTAGGTAGCTTGGAAGGTCTGAGAAAGGGAGGAGGCCTTAAGGAGGCCAAGAGGGTCAGAGGCAACACCACCCAGTTCACTCCTGTACCTTGGGCTGGCTCAGCTACCTGTCTAAGCAGAAATACAGGTGACCCATCTGCTGAACAAGAAGAGTGAATCAGAGAAATGATAAGCAAAGAGGGTGTAAAGAAACTTCAATAAACAAGGAGAAGTGAAAGTTTCTGACCAGAAGTAGCTATAAAGCCCAGCTCCACCTGTCACTAGTTGTGTATCTTGACCAAGTTTTTTTTAACTTATCTAAGCCTTACTTATATATGTATACACACACATTTTAAAAGGTTAATTTATTATTTATTTAGCAAAAAGTTATTGAGCACCTGCCATGTGTCAAATCCTGTTTTAAGTGCAAAGATAATGATTCCCATCCCATTGGGTTGCTGTGAAAATGAATTGAGTTAATGCATAGAAAGTGCTTGACACACTCATAAATACGAATCTTAAAATTATTATTAATAATGCAGTGGTTCCTAAACCTAACTGTGCATGAAGATTTATCTGGGAAGTTTAATAATAGTGCAGATTTCTGGGAAACTCTCACAAAAATTCCAGTTCAGAAGATCTGGGAGGAGGGTGGCCCAGGCATCTGCATTTTTGATAATTACTATAGCTGATTGTGCAGCAGGTGGTCCATGAACCATATTATGAGGAAGAGAGCTCCAAAGGTAAAAAAGTGCCTGGACTTTCTCTCCAAGTTCTGTCAAATTGCAAGAGCTCTCTTCAGTGCGATGTGAACAATGAGTGAGCAGAAATGAAGACAGACAGGCCAGCAAAAGGAAGAGGAAGAAATTCACGGGCAAAGTGCACTCTGAGAGAAGAATTTAATCTACAGAATGATCTGTACCCCCACGGCTCTCCAGAAACACTTGCCTGGAGTGAATACATTATCAGAGGACTGGAGGGAAAGACAGAATGTACATAAGGCACAGGTTGTTTGAAACTGGGCCAGTTCCAGCCAAACTCATGTACACAAATGTTGGTTTGCAAAGCTAGTAGGACACTTAACAGTTGGTTCATGGTTCAAAGTCCTCATAATCCTGTTGTAAAAGAGAAGGGTCCAACCAGTGTGCTGTTGAACGTGTCAAATGCCATTCAGCAGAGAAATAACATTTCACAATCCAGCATACCCTGCACTGGGGTTATTCCATCAGTGCCAACCTGAATTTTCCATGGCAGACATGCTTCACAGCATCAAAGGAACTACACACAGGCATTCATCATCTCCCACACTGACTCAGCTCAGGAACCACTCCAGTGGCAGGCATGTCCAACGGGCAGCCCTTCCCCCACTGCCTTTCACCCAACAGGTCTGGGAAAGGTTACATCCACCGTGGTCATAAATGTCATCCTAGCTCATTATGTTGGGGACCAAGTAATAACAGAGCAAATCCTCCCTGAAGTATTTTACAGACTTGTACATGGGACTTATCTTTGATTTCTTGTCAAATTTACTGAAGTGAACTGAATTTCTACCCCCTTAAAAGAACTAGCTGGAAAGCCTGCTGCTTCTATTTAAGGAGAAGCATTTATCCAGTGTTTACCAAAATGAGATGCCTGCCCTCCTGTCTGGCAGGAAAACCTACATCAGGAAGAGCAGCACTAATGGTGGTGCTGGGTGCGGAGCAGGGGTGTCATTGCAGGAGGCATTCATAGGGGAGGAAGGAGGTGATGAAGGACTGGGAGAGAAAAATGGGGAGTGAGACACCAGGAAAGACAGAAGGTCAGGACAGGGCTAGGATTTAAGTCTATGACTCAGTCCAGAATATAAGGGAGAAGGAAAAGATGAGAATGTTTTGGAGTCACCTCATTCTCCACTCTTCTTCATCTCAGTGAGGTGGTGCTGTCTGCTTGCAATTCTAGACCACAAATGGAATAAAACACCCACTTACTGGGAAACAGATGACATAATTCACAACTCGTTGCCAAGACATCCAATGGGGCCCTAAAATAATTTTTTTTAAAAAACTCACTTCTGTACTTAAACATGGCTTTTCTTAATTGACTCTAAGACCTAACAACCTTGACCATTCAACCCCCATCTTCATCCTCACTGTGTGACAACTTCCAGGGCACACTATCTTCTCAACCCACAGGTTCCTTTCTTCCCTTGGCAGTGGCACTCAGAGTGTCAGGAAGGTTGCATATGTCTCGCACGTGGCTCACTCCCTGGATTTTCTCAGTAGCACTGACCTCCACCTCCACTGCATTTAAACAGAGCAGAGTTCTGACACTGGACTCAACCATGCTCCCCTTCCAATATCTTGACATGCTTTCACCCTCCTCTCTCTTTCTCACTTGTACTTTCAGTCTCTATGAAGTTATTTCTCTGCCTTTTTAAAAATAATATGGTTTAGTAGTTTCAGTTGCTAGCTGTGTGACCTTGGGAAAGACAAGCTCTCTGAGCTTCATTTTTTTCTATGAAAGGAGAATAATAATAGTATCTATTTCATAGAGTTGTTGTAAGGATGATGTAAGATAATATATGTAAAACATGTAAAAATAGTGCTGGCACTCAGTAAGCACTTTAAAATTTCACTATTATTTTTACTTTTCTTCTTATGATTACCCTCTTTGAACCATATCAAGGTCCCAAAACATGTGAGGCCAAAATCTGGAAGAACTTAGAACAGTGACAAGGAATGAGGCGAGGCTGTTGTGTAGTGTGAGTGGCAAGAAAGGATTCAAAACAAGCATGAAAATAAAAAAAATAAAAGATGGTCCTGGCAGAGGATGGTAAAAATTCTTCTTTTAGATTATAAGTCAGTGAGTAAATCCTCCTTAGCTGTATTGACTGAATATCCCAATTTCACAGGAAGGCCTGCAGCACACTAAACAACAGGGAGCTAATGACCCAACCCTTCTTATAGGGTCTGTGGCTCACGAATAACACATGGTGAGAGCTGTTATCTCCACATCAGTTCATATTTGTGTGTTCTCCAGCTTTTTGCTAGCACACGTGGGCTGAGACCATAGTCCTGCCTTCAGAGAGAGGCAAATGTCTTAGGAGGGACTCAAGTTAGGTGCTAAGAGAGGTCAACAATGGGAAAGACTGTTTCCTGCTGGAAGCATGAAGACTTCATGGAGGAGGCACACTGAACTAGCCAGGTTTTGAAGCCATTTACAACAATTCAGGACTGTAGCATGCAGAGCTGTGGAGACAGCACAGTGTGAAGGGAACAGCACACAGAGATGGTAATGCTGAAAGAATTAGAAGCAACAGCAGGGAATGAGGCAATAAAGGGAACTTGGAGGCAGGCGAATTTAAAACCTTCCTTAGACACAGGTCCCAGTGGTTGCCACTGGTCAGGTTAAGAGTTGCTCATATTTGACACACAGGTCTTTTTCATTTTCTAAAATTCCCACTTTCACTTCTCTAATAAAATATGCAAACATATTACCTTACTCAGAGAGGTGAAAATGAAAGAAAAGGAAGCACATATTTTTCCTATTCTAGGGATCCTACAGCCACAATTCTGTCTGAAGTGATTCCACTGACAACCCTTAATGGTCTACTGATCCGTGCCCTTCTTGATCTCCATTTAGAGGCTGAACCTGCTGACGTGTGAGGTGAGGAAGTGGCAGGTCAGAGAGTGCCATACGAAACTAAGCATGGAACTATTTTTCTATACGTGAATGACATTTCATTATTTTCTCTATGACCTAGAAAGTTGTTCTCTCAATGTATTTTTTAAAAGAGTCTCAGATACAAAGAACTGGATTAATCATAATTCTTGGTTTTTGACATTCTGTCATCATTGGCCCATGCAAGGCTATCTTTAATTTATTTATTTACTGACTGCTCTGTTTAGGTATTTATGTTTTGTTTATGTTTAATATAATAAATGAAGAAACCACCAATCCATCACAAAAACTAGAACAGTGACACTAACTTACATGCATTTATGTGGTCTTCCTTTATCTTATCCCCTGTTCACCATTTCCTTGCGTTCACTTTTACAAAGAATGATCACATCTATGTATTTTTAAAAGGTAGAATTTGAGGATTTTTGTTTTATTTGTTTTTAACTTTTTAAAATAAAACAGGTTATCATGATGTATATACAATCTTTTGGGACAATTTTCATTCAATATTATATTGCGAAAATTCTCCATATAGTTGTAGTGTGTTCATTTGACTGCTACATAATATTAGAGTGTGTGATTTTTATCCATAATTTATACTTCATTCTCCCGATAATGAGAAAATGAGTTGACTTTATTCCAGTTACTCATTTAGCTAGATTTTCCATTCTGATAAACATGTATTTGCATTTCCAGAGTCTAAGAAGAAAAATCAAGAGGAAATCTACTCTTAATAATGTATTCCATAGGCAAAAAGAAATGCTCTGTGGATCACCTGTCCTTACAGATTTGTACTTTTATTTACCCTTCTTCCTATCATTATGAATAATTAAAAGTAGTTATGAAGAGTAAAAGTAAAACTAGAATCTCTGTTTTACCTTATTCCAATTTTAGGGTCCAATATGCCTAAGGTGACCCATTGTCTCATGGTAGCTCTGACCCTGAATAGCCCTCAAAGATCAGGAATTACGTGATGCCCTGTTGAGTTTGGCTTAGGTCACTTCACAACCCTGTACTTAAGACTTGGCAAGGAGATGGGCCCATGAACATGAGAAGCTGACCCAGAGTTGCTGGATTATGCATACAACCTCATCGAGGGAGAAACCTCTTGTCCCAAAGTGGGGAGGAAGAGTGATGGGGGAAAGCTTCCCTGACGGTATGTGCTGGTGTTTAATGCAGCCCAGAACTTGTTCCTAATTCCAAGGCCTAATTCCAAGTTGCAAGCGAAGAAAAGATCATCATTTTAAGGCAAGCCCCACTGTTTTGGAGAAGGAGAAGCCACCAGTTAAGTCTCTATATTAAAGCTGGGTGCAGTGGCTCCCGTCTGTAATCCCAGCACTTTGGGAGGCTGAGATAGGCAGATCAATTGAGCCCAGGGGTTCGAGACCAGCCTGGGTAAAATGGTAAAACCCCATCTCTGAAAAAAAAAAAATTAGCCAGGCATGGTGGCATGCGCTTATAGTCCCACTACTCAGGTGACTGAGGTGGGAAGATCAATTGAGCCCCGGAGGTTGAGGCTGCAGTGAGCCATGAGCATGCCACTGCACTCCAGCCTGGGTGACAGAGTAAGGCCCTGTCTCAAAAAAAAGTTTTTTGAGTCTATATGAGGAAGTAACTGCTATGCTTTTTAGATGTTACAGGCAAAGTAAAAATTTCTATCTTTTGATTTTTATCTAAGCATCTATGTGTTAGAGCTGATGACTTGTCACTTCAAAATGTCTTTGTGAAGTTAAATGTCTGTTGAGCGAGTCAGGCAATTATGGGATAGATTTTAAACCATCCTCAGTGAGTCAGAAACATGTTTCCCAGGTGGTGCTGATGCTGCTGGTTTGGAGCCACTCTTTGAGAGTCACTGTTTCAGAAGAATGAGAAGATGACTAATTTAGGAGCAGAGGTGACATTCTGTAAGATTAAATAACTTATGGGTAGAGGTGAGACCCAGTAATATATGTTTTAATAAGCCCTCCAGGAATATAGATGCTAAAGTTTGAGGACCACTGCCCTAAGACAGGCCTATGCCTGAGATCCCCCAGCAGCTTCCTGAATGGCTGCCTCTGACAAAGTGAGAGCAGCCGGCTTGACTGTAATTTGACATACAGATACACACTGTAGTATATATTTTGGGAACATTTTTACATATTTCACATCCAAAATGAGTGAACTGCTTAATTTACTTGGCATAATACTGAGTGGTACTAACCATGCTGCATGTAATTGACAATATGTTTTTAACAGCTGTGGTTAAGAGCAGGTGCTAGCATCAGCAGATTCAGGGCTCAAATATCCACTCTTTCATTAATGACAGTGTGACCTCAGGCAATCACTTAACCTCTCTATGCCTAAGTTTACTCACTGTAAAAAGGGACTAAAAGAGTACCTATCATATGGAATTTTTGTGAGAATTAAACGCCATAATATGAACTACTGTAAGTGCACAGTAAATACTCATCATCATCATCATCATTAGCCTACTTATCCACGTGTTTGGTATGTGTGCTGCTAAACACTAAATTTTTCTAATAATTCTTCCATATGGGCACTGTAGACTATCTAAGTAATGTGATTTAAGAAGGAAAGGTATTTATTAAGTGACTAAACTCTAAATACAAGTGATAAGTTGTAGATGACCTAGTTTCTCTCGGGAATAGTTAGAAATGGCTTGTTATGTTCACACCCTGTTCAAAGTGCCTTACAGGCATTCTCATTGAATCTTCATATCAAGCATATGAAAGAGGTACAATTATTATTCCTATTTTACAGGTGAGGAAAGTAGACAACAGGTAAGTTGCTGAAGGTCACACAGCCCTTATGTGGGGATCTGAAACATCACAATAAGATTCAAAATGTGCCTTAAACACCAGGAAAGTATACCTGCGTGGAACTTCAAGACTTGGGGCAATTTTGCCACCCTCACCCCCCATCCCACCCAAAGTGTTTGCTTGCACTGAAACCTTTGAAAACACATTTACAAACAATCTGCAATAAAAAGTCTTAACGAAATCATCACTACTCTATTCTGTATCCCCCACCAGAGAGCAAACAATTAGTGAACACAGACTATACTAGCAAGGAGACTGCCCTTGCACAGTAAACCCTGGGGCTGTGTCATTCATCTACTTTCGACAAAGATAATAGGATTGAATCTTCATTCTTAAGCAAAAAGTTAACATAACAGAAATACATTTTAAAGAAGTGTTGCCATTTGAAACATCAAATAGATAGGGTTTTTTATGGTACAGTCTGAGGACCACCTGCATCAGTATCACCTGGCCTCTTTGTTAAAAATACAGATTCTTGACTCATACTCCAGATCTGCTGATTGAAATTTCTTTAAGTCAGCCTCATAATCCATTTTCACAAATTGCCCAGGTGATCTTCTACGCACAGTAATGTTGAGAAATCACTACAACAAATGCTTCTTGTTTTCAAATCTGTCTGTTTAGTAACTGTGTCATCTGTCTGCTCTTTCCCATCCTGAATTCTCCACCTGAGGCCATCATCATTTCTCACCCAGAATTACTGAAACAGCATCACACTGTGCCCAGCTGCTCCTTGTGGCCCTGAGCAGTTTGTCTTCCACACTACTCCAGAGAAGAAACCTCATTAGGCAATTCCCTTGTTGAAACTCCTCAATGGCACCCTGTGTCCATGAAGTCCAAACTCTTTAGCACGATTTACAAACCCTCCATAATCTCTTCAGACTGTCATACCATAACCACTGCCAATGGAACCATTCACAGTTTCCTGAAGGAGGCACGATAGCCTCTAGACTCCCAGCTTTCACACATGCTGTTCCCTCTAGCTGGATTATTTTCCCATCCCTCTGGGCTTGGCTAACTACTACCTGTTCTTCAGGTCTCAGTTTAGCCTTGAGCTTTACTTCCTTCAGGAAGGGGATTAGGTGGCCCTCCTTTATCTGACCCCACCAAGAATTTAACAAGTATTTATCACATTGCACTGCAATTGCCTGTTTGCTTTAACATATTTTCCAGTATGCTTGTCAGCTCCTTGAGGGCGTGTTCTTTTGTATCCCCATGTGTCACACAGGGTTTAGCACAGAGTAGGTGCTGTTGTTTTGAAATGTTATTTCACAGCATTAAAAGTTTCTCCACCATTGGCATTTAGGGATAGCTCCTCTTTCTCCTATTTTGCCCTTTAGGTTGGATTGACAGACTGATGTTATTTCCAATTAGGACAAAAATACTCCCTTCCACTCCTACTTCCAGCCTGTATGCCCAAACCTCTTAAAAGTCAAGTTTTCAGCCCAGGATACCAGCATGCAAAAACCACGCTAACTGCAAAGACCTCTGTCTTGTTCATCACTGCATCCCCAGAGCCAAGAGCACAGAGCCTGGCTTATAGGAGACTCAGAAGAATATTTAATGAATGAGGGAAGAAAGGTACCAAAAGAACTTACATATATGATTGCAGAAATGGTATCATTAACTTTGAGAAACTGGAAAGGATGGGAGGTAGAAGATTGGAAATGGGCAAAAACTCTGCAGGTCATGAACATAGAGAAAAGATAAATTCTGAAAATCACAAACTGCTGTTTGGTGTTGATTTCCAGTAAAATTGTAGAGAAAGTCCTTTAATAAGGCAAGAAGGAGCCAGCAGGAGTTCACTGGCTCAGATGTGAAAAACAATCTGCACATCCTTTTCTGAAGGAGTTAACATGGCCACATACATCACATATTTGGAGTTCAGCAGACGTTTAATGCAAACACTTAGGATACTCTTATGAACAAGGTCGACATGTGTGCATTGGGTGATAGCACAGTCCAGTACCCACGGGATGTTGACAAATGGACTGTCTGTCAACCTCTAGGGAAATCTCTAGTAACACATCACCTGGCCCTGGTGTTGTCCATATCCTATTTAACATGCTTTATTAATGACATGAATGAAATCATGGATGGTGTGGTGTTGGCGGCAGACTCCTGATTACACAAAACCTTGAAGGGATAACTAATGCATCGGATGACAGCATCAGATAATAATGCCACTAGCCACTGTGGACTCAGAGCCTACTCTGCCAAGAACTCTACAGCTGCTATTTCCTTTAATCCTTCCTCCCAAAGACATACAAGTAAAGACCAGGAAACCAAAGTTCTGAGTGATGCTGAGACTCACCCCAAATCACAGAGCTACTAAGCAGCAGAGCTGGCTTGTCTGACATCACTCTGCTTGATCCTTGTGATCAGAATTCACAAAGATCTAAGATCAGGAAACCAAGACAACAATGTTCAATCTAGTCCATCTCAACTATGCGTTAAACACTTCCTAGGCTAAGGCACTGGATGGGGGAGGCATGGAGAAACAGTTCCAATGCTCAAGGGTTTCCTAGGAGGAGTTAGACTATACAGACAAACAACCAGGATATAAGGCAGAATACAATGAGTGCAAACAGAGAGGGCGGGCACCCAGAAAACACAGAGGAGGAAGAAATCTTCTTAGCTAGGGTGAAGGGATGAGGGCAGGGGAATATGTCATGGGAGAGATGACACTTGAGATGGCCCTGATACACCAGGAAGAATATAGTGTTGGGGGCATGGACAGGAGTTGACCTTGGGTGAAAGAGATCACATGAACTAAAACACAGAGGAAGAAAAACACAGGGCATGTTTAGTACATATATGGAGTCCCTTGTATGGCTAGAATATAGTGATCATATGAGAAAATGCAGCCAAAAAGGTGAGTTGTAACCAGAGAGTTGAAAAATGTAAAAATTATGCTATGGGCAAGAGGGAACTATGACATACTGAAGGCAAGAGAGAACCATAATGAGTTTTGTTTGGGGTGGTAACATGAACAGTGATGCTTTATGAAGACAACATGACAGCAATATCTGAAGGAGAGACTGGAGGCTGGTGGGGAATTCAGGTGACTGTTACAGTTTGGAGATGGGTCATAAGGTAAGGGAAAAGGAATGCTGAAAAAGGAGACCCTTTCCAGGTAGCTCTTAGGTTCCACAAAATTAACTGTATGGGTTCAAAATCATTTGACACTCCAGATGGACAAAATGATTAAAAATAGAAAAAGGATAAAGTCAAGTTAAACATTAAAAAACACCTTTATCTTATGCCATATGCTTGACTGCAGTGCTACCCACATAAAAGAACAATTGAGTGGAGATACGTATGTTTGGAAAAGCAAACAAAATGGGAAATATCTCAATCAAATGAAAAGAACAATGTCTCTTATATATTGCCTGAAGAATTTGTGAAGAATTGGATAATCTGATAAGAATGGATTGAGGTACTCCAAGATCAATACTAGATTTAACCTCTGTGTAATTTTTTTTTTTTTTTTTTTTTGAGACAGGGTTTCACTCCCATCGTCCAGGCTGGAGTGTAGTGGCATAAACTCGGCTCTCTACAACCTCTGCCTCCTGGGCTCAGGTGATCCTTCTGCCTCAGCCTCCTGAGTAATTGTGATTACAGGAGCATGCCACCACACCCGGTTAATTTTTGCATTTTTGGTAGAGACAGGTTTCATCATGTTGACCAGGCTGGTCTCGAACTCCTGACCTCAAGCGATCCACCCACTTTGGCCTCCCAAAGTGCTGGGATTACAGGTGTCTGTGTAATCTTTCATGTAAATTTCGTTTGCAAGCACAAACGTCAATACAATAAAACAAATAAGCTGGGTAAATTCTGGCAATTTCTGGCATCTGTAGGGAGTGTGAGAACAAAAGCAAATGGAGAAATGGAAGGCTTAGTGGCGTTGGGGTTGTTTTTAACCCTGACATGTGTTCAAGGAACTCAAATGAGAAAGGGAGAAACAGAATAATGAAGTCACAAGAAAATATTTCCAAGATAAGTCCTGGCAGCACAACAGAGAAATGCCTGGATCAGGTGATGTGGTCACAGGAAAGCAGGTGGAAAGCAGGCGGAACAGTTCCTGCACGCCTGCCTTGGGACACCTGTGCAAGGACCACAGAGCCCAGTGTCCGCCCCAGGAGGGGACATGCACTGGGATGCCTCGCTCCTACTTCTGTCTTCCTTCTCGAGCTGGGGCGGAAGCCGACAAGAGGCAAAGAGCTCTGTCTCCAGCAGCAAGCAACAACATTTCACCTCATACCATTGTCTATCAATTGAAAATTATTCTAACTCTCAAGCTTCTGAACAAAATGTTTTTGAACTCCCACTCATCCTTCCAAAAACATTTTCTACAAATCCTGGTGTGGTTTATAGCACTTAAAATGAATGAAGCATACTCACAATTGGATTTTGCTCTGCTCACAAATTATGCTCTGCATTTCCTTGGACTCCTTTAGTGGAACCTTCCCCAGGATCTCACTCTCAGTGACATCTGGCACAAAGCACATGTTCCCAGGCCAACCCTTTGCTTGCCCAGCTACTCTGCCCCACCCCCCTACACAAGTTAACTTTTAAATTCAAGTGTACTCAGTGTTCTCTACTTTCTCCACCCCTTCCCTCTCCAGCCCACAATGTTCTGTGAAAAACCAAAATAAAATGGAAAAGCAAAGCAGAGTATTACGAAAAATAAATCAAGGCCACTCTTTTTAGGACCATCAAAGAGTGTTTGCATGGCAGTAAAAACAAGGGAATAAGCAGGCTTTGGAAACAGTAGTTTTGAAAATACCCCCCAACATATTGTAAAGGGCACATATCTAAGCTGGTAACATTATTTTTAAAGTGCAAGGAAATGTTAAAACACACATTTCAGTACAGTGGTTACCCCTGGGGTAGTCAGAGAATAGGATCTGGGAGGAGTGTGCAGGCAGCTTCCCTGGTGGTAAATCTTAAAGTGGAAGGTGAAATCACAAGTTTTGCTTTATTATTATTCTACCCAGCTCACGCATATGTCACATACATTCTCTTTATGCATCACATTATATGTAGTATTTATAAAGAAATAAGGGAAGCAGCAAAACTGAATTTAAAACAAATGCTTATCAGAGAGAAATAAAGAAAGAGAGGAGAGAAAGAAGAAAAGAAAGAAAAAAGAAAACGTGATCTTATTCCTAGACAGGTTCACATTCTAGTAGAGAAAGGAGCCATCTAAAAAATTATTATTAAATATAACATGGTTACCATAACAATAGAATTTAAAAAAAAACACTGCCTCTAAGGGCATACATAGTATTTAAGTTAACAACGATTGCATGTGAAGTTCAAATCCCTAAGTGTCTTTGCCTTAAAAATACAGTTTTACCCTTTATAAGTATCAATATTGCATTACTTTTCCTGGGACCCTTCCCAGACCCCAGAGTCTAGGTAACATGGTCATCCTCTGGGCTCCCACTGGACACTACGCTTCCTCCTGAAACATATCACAACATACAGGGATCCCCTAGTTTATTGTTGTACCCAGTGCCTGGTCACTGCCTAGCACATTAATAAACATTCGTTTAAAAAAACAAATGAGTAGCATTACCAGGTTCAGTTCTTTTAAATGGTAGCTGAGACTGAGAAGAAAAGGAAGGGTGGAAATGCTGAGTTGGAGAATCTTATCCAAAACTTGAGAATGACCCAGTGTTGCATGGGAAAAATCCCTTTACTGTCCCTGGTTCTCTGGGCTGGGCAGTATAGGAGGCTATGGAGCAATCTGCAGATTCTAAACCATTGCCCTCTGTGCACTAGTGCTTCTAAGCTCGTGGCTTGGGTCTTTCACTTCTTCCTCTAACGATGAGGGAAAGGGCATTGGATGTCAGGCAGTAACCCAGTATCGGATACAGGCATAGCCTTCATCTTTCAAGAACAGTCAGGCCCGCCAGTAGTCTCGGCAGAAATCAGATCTTCCTGGCAGAGGCTCACAGAGCCTGCCTATCTCAACCTCAGAGGTGAGTACAAGAAGCCAAACACTCAGGAAGATCCAGTTTCCCTGAATAATGTTGCTGCCATGTAAGACAAGGAAGCATCCCTTACTCTGAAAGTGCCACAAACTCTCCTGATGGAAAAGGATGCAACAAATAGAAACGTCAGCTGAGACCTCAGAAAGCTCCCCAGATATGACCCGAATATCATGACAGAAGCACCAGGTACCAGCAAGCAACTGACGAACTGTGCACCATCAGAGCATGTGCATGTGTGACTAATAACAATGGAATAGAAAGTGGGGCATTATTTTGTTCACAGACTAGCAGAATATAAGTAAAAGTCACCATGCTAGTGGGGATATTGCTAAGGATTTAATTGTTCCATTGCAACTTTAAAATAGAAGGCTTATTCTAGCTAGGCCATCTGAGTGATATTGCATCTGAAATTATGTTTAGCTAAACATATTCAGCATGTATGAACATACATTGATTCCAAGTTCCCAGCCTCTCAAGACCTCATTTTAAACCACATCCTACAAATGCTACCCCCCTGCTCCTTTTTTTCATTCAAGTGACTTGGTATAGTCCTTGGTGCACATGCCACGTTCTTTCCAGGGAAAACAGAAGGAAAGAAGAGAATATGCCAGAAGAAGTGGAAATTAAAGTGGCATTAAAATAAATATAAAGCTGCAAAATATAATCTGGGTCAACTCTTCATGCGTTTTAAAATAAGCACCAGCAGGCTCAGCACATATGGCATTGGTTTTATGTATTTTTTTGGCTCAGATGTCACACAGAATTAGTGCAAAAGGAAAAATCCCAGCATGGGGCCTATTTTTATACAGATTAATCAATCATATCCCATCTCCTCCTCTCCCATCATTCCCCAAACTTTGAATCTAATGAAAAATGAAATTGCTTTTTTTCAAACTACATCATGGAAATCCTTTCAGGAAAAAAAAGAACTTAATATTTGAACCTAGATTTTAATCATCACATTTTAAATTCAAGTTGTAAATATTAACTAGACTTATGCTATGGCTCAGACTGTGGTATCTTACCCATTTTGTTAATAGCAAAACAATTTCATATATATACATACATACACATATATATAGCTATTTAGCAAAACAACAAAGTCACACATTTGAAAAGGAAACAAAAACCACTACTGTATATTTCACTTTTTGTTAGGTACATTCTCATGTACATAAAATCCCACAATTCCCATCAAAATGTTAAGCACATAGTAGATTCTTAGTAAGTACTTGATAAGAAATTTGATAGGCTGAATCAAATTGAAACAAAGAATTGTTCAAGCTATTAGCTAATGCCTCCCTTGACTACCAGGCATTGTAAAAATGATGATAACGTTTATAGTAATCACAATACAATAGAAGTTAATTTTTTTGTATGCCATATGCCATTGATTATTTCACTGAATTTTCAAAGCAGCCTTATGTGAGGGGTACTCTTACTATCTCCACTACATAGAGGAAAGAAAAGTTTTAGAGAAAAGAGTCAGATATTTTGAGGTTAAAAATAAATCCCATACTATGCTGGTTTTTAGAGGTGGGCAGGGGACTTCATTGCAGATCCACTGAGAAAGGGATATGGGGCTTTATACTGTTAGTGCAGTAAAAATTTGGAGAAAGTGTCATCCACATGGTTTCCAGGGCTCCAAAATCATGATCTCTATAGAATTTCTCACACACCCATGTTTGTCTGCTATTCCATCTACTGTTAGAAATTATACTTATGAAATATTAAGTTAATCACCTAAAGTTTGACCCCAGTGACAAAGCCAGGGACAGAGTAGTCCTTGGTACATTCACATTCTCAAAGGGTGGTATCTTTTCACTGTTCTGGGCAATTAAAATTGAGCCATGACTAACCGTTGGAAAAGATGACATAAAAACAGTGTGCCCTTTGCCTAAGTAGTCATGAGCATAAAAAAGTAAACAAAGTTAACAATCTAGCATAATGCTGTGTTCACTTTTTTATATGATTAAAGATGAATTTCTCTTATACTAATATAGTATATGTTTTGCTTTTTGTTTAGAGCTGCCAGATGTCAGCTATATATGTGAACAATCTAAATATCTTAATTTTACACAATTTTAAAGTTACCGAACTAAAGTTGGAGTTACCATAAACATAGTATTTCTTTTGTTTCTACTAATTAATTTTACCACCACAGGCATTAATCATTTGCCCAGCAGATGAAAAGTACTTTAAGATGACTCATGTGTTTTACAACACTACAAACCCAACCTTTATGCTCTTGGAATGTACAGTAAAGAGGAAGTGTTAGGTCAAATTAGTTAATAAAAATAAAAATGTTCCACATCCCAATTCCATGAACATTAACTGTTTCAGAATTTCTACTGGATGCCATGTGAGAAAAGTAAATTAAAACTGGCCAGAGAGATGTGTTCTGAGTAATTTTCATGGTAATCAGGCAGACATGGGTATTCCCTTTCCTAATCACACGAACAGGCTCTCTCTTGATAATAAATACATCGTGTTTCAGCCTACACAGAGGCCCACTTCAAACTATGTGCAGTGCCAATTAGCGTTAATTGTGGCTGTGTTCATCTATTCCCTTACCACACCACTGGTAAGGCCAGGCTTTTCATTTACAAATGCAACATGCAATGCTCATGGTTGGAAGAGCATTCTAAATATAATTGCCAATGGTCAGTCTTTTTCATTTTGGCATCAAATTGACTTACAATTGCACAAATAGACTTACAAATGACAAAGAGTATTTAAAATAACACATGTGTATATTTTTAAAAGTTTAGTTATAAGACCATGCATTCAGAGTATCTGAGAGGTGAAGATGAAAACTTGTTTTAGGCTCCATTTTGGCCTACCACAACTAACTCACACACACACACACACACACACACACACACACACACACACACACAGTCTAGCCTCTGTGATCCAATATAATTATTTACTTACTGTGACTAATACTACTTACTTAGAAGGTAAGCTCCATAGACTTTCATGGCAAACATTGCCTCTGCAAACAGCCTCCCAGCACAGGCTGGGGTATGTCTTTTGCAGAAATACAGTGTGTGCAGCTCATATCTCAGTAGAGTACAGTCTCAGAGTGGGGTATCCATGGAGACTGAGCCTTCTGCATGTGCAGGGCAAGGAAGTTACTCTGCTGGCACCATAGCAACAGGAGGCAGAGGGAAAGCCAGCCTATCAGGGAAGAGCACAGGGCCTTCTCCCTGGTGACTGCAGTGTTCCAATGAAACCATCGCCCTCATGAATGGACACAAAGGATTTGAAGAAATACCAAATTGTCAAATAGAAGTAAATGCCTACACAACAGTCAAGATGAATCCTCGGACAATATTGGACCAAAACGTATAGAATCTTTCCACATTGATTATAATATCCCAATGGGCAAGCAAGAAATTATATCAAACCCCACACAGCCCTAAATTTTATGGCAAACACAAATTTTATGGCAAACACCAAGCACTTTGAGAAAAATTCTTGGTGTACTCCATGAATTCCAGCTATTTAAATATGCATGACAATTCACAACACTGCCCAGAAGAAAGGAATAGGGGAGCCTGATTATTCTGAGGACAGAAAATGGAATACAGAGCTCTCTGGAACAATTTAAGGCAGATTCCCTCTAAATAGAAGTTTGCTCAGAAAAAATGTTTAGTAAGCTTCCACCAAAGCTCTCCATTATTTCAGAATAAGTCTTACTAAGAAGGCATCTGTGACAGAATAAGACTAATGCAGATGAGATGCTGAGTGGACATTCAAATGCCTTAAAGTTGTGCTATTCGTAAACTTTTCTTATTTCCCATTTTATAATAATAATAAAAGTGATCATTTATTGAGCACATACTGTATGCCAGGCAAATATTGTCACTACAAACACAGCTCACTGTCAAATGCCAACACCGATTTTTGCTAAGATAGAGGATGTGCATGTTTACCCCTCAGTGTTGTGTAGTATTTAGGTAATGCATACATTCTGCTACATATCTAACACCTTTCATGATTTTCACAATAATGCAAAGAAGCTACATATTAATTATCCCCTCATATTACAGTTAAAGAAAAAGAGAGAATATTTCCTTATGTTACCAAATAAACTCCCCCGACCCGTGCTGCTCTGCAGGTGACCTGGTCCACTCTACCTCAATGTCTAAATATAAGGTGAAGAACCCCTCCTCCTGCAATTACCTCTCAGAAAAGAAGAAATCCCCTTACATTAGAGTCCTTCCAAAGCCTCTTATTACAGGGCTCTCTCCTAATTACCTTCTTTGAACAAAAAGTGCCATTTGCAAAAGACATATCCTTCTGAATTGGCTGCAATCAGTGCTAATTTTGCTTCCCTTTGGAGAGTCAACTGATGGAATTGTTTAAAATGGAAGAGACAAAGAAATTCACAAACAGATTTTGTAATTATTCCTATGGTATGACTCCTTCAGCCTTTTAATGATCACTTTAAATAGAAATACTGTCAGTGGCTAAGTTGTAGCAATCACAAAAACCTATATTCCTTTTTGCTCTCTCAATTCAGTGACTGAATAGCTTTCGATAATGAAGGATACTCATATATGTATACAAGAATATATGAATATACAGAAAAACCAGCTGTCCCATGCTATCCAGTGACAACCTGCTTGCTAGTTGTACACTAATGTCCTTCTCTATTCTCCTTTTCCATAATAAGCACCCATTTGACTCTGATGTCCTGGCTATAACTGGAAATGACATGTGCCATGGAGTTCAAGGCTACATTGAGCTATGATCACACCACTGAACTCCAGCCTGGGGGACAGAGCAAGACACTGTCTCTCTAAAATAATAAATAATTAAAACACCTAAAAATCTCATTAGGAAAATTAGGGGATCTTATATATTTACTGTCTCCCTATGCTTTTCTGTATTTCCACCACCTCCATCCTAGGCTAAGCCATCCAAATTTAGTGTCTTGCTTCCAGTTTCACCTCATGATAATCCAAGCTCTACAGAGTCGTCAGAGGGATCCCAAACATGTAAATCAAATCATTTCTCCCTTCTTAAAACCCTCCAATGTCTTCACATTACTCTAAGGATATAGACTTCAGCTGCTACCACTCTTCTCCTTTCCTAACTCACCGCTCTGCCCACCACCTGCCACCCCATCCCCAACCCTCCTTAAGCACGGAACAATAAGGTTAAAGTCTCAGCTCAAATGTCACCACCCCAGACACTCCCCTGACTATCCCCCATCACTCTCCAGTTACCTTGTTTTACTTGTCACCATCTGAACTTATCTTGTTTGTGTGCAAGCATCAGCCATCTCCCCCACGTTAAAGGTAGGCATCTTGTTTTTTCACTCCTCTATCCTTAATGCCTGGAACAATGGTGTCAGCATAGAGCAAACACTTAATAAATATTCATCAAATGAATGAATGAAAGCTAGTAAATGTACAGCCAGGAGTCAAACCTATGTTTAGCAGAAACCTCTTCTTGATTACGTGGTGAAATGAGGGTTCCCTTTCCTTTAGACTCCTTCAGAGCGTCACCTTCTTGCAATGTTACAAATATGCCAGTCCGTGTATGTTGGAATACAAGCCTATTGCAGCTGTGCTGCTGAAGCATTACTCCACTTGACCGCAGTCGGCATTCATATAGCTTACTTGGCTGCTCTTAGATACAGGCTTAGGTGGTGGAAGAAATTAACCCATCGAATTGCCCAAGTGAACATACTATGCTGTTCAACAGGTAACTTTCTGTAAATAATCCTACAGTTCACCAAAATGCCATGCAACAGATTGTACCAGCAGACAGTGAGGTCCAGGTATTTATCCCTCTGGCCCCTTTTCTGCTGGTGGCTGCATTCCTCTGCTAAAGTCCATAGTTCCTTCACAGGTGGCCTTGAAGTTCTCTCTCTAGGTTGGTAACTCTACCCTCCTCTTGCTCCTTCAGGATGCAGGAATGGCCCCAAGCTGTTGCCAGCACCCAGTATTTTACCATACTTTATCGAATCCCCTTAATCATGCACATACCTTTGCAGTCAGTCTCTTCAATAAATGCTCCTCAATTAGGGAGGTGGGGAAAGCCCAACCTAAAGCATATATCTGCATGATCTACAATGCTTGGTTTAGAAGTCTGTGTGTAAAAGAAGTTTCCAGGTTTATTTCTGTTATGCTGACAGTTGATAAATACGTTGAATGGTGGGTATCTGGTCTGCTGGAGCTTCCACTACTTTTGAGAGACCTATAACGCTTCCTTCTCAACACATTAGAGTACTGAGTAAGCATTTGGCAGGCCCCCAAATCAGTGGCTAAGAACACTGTGCATGCAATAAATCCCAGTAGACCCAGGATTTGGATGGCAATTACCTTTGGAAAGAAGAGGATTATAATTCACTAATTCTTAGGGAAAAACCATTAAAGGGCCATTTGGCACCATTACATCAATTGGGTGCATCATCGAAAACACAGATGGGAGAAAGGCATGAGAGAAAATATGTAACCCTGCCATAAAGATAAACACTAAGTCCACTTATCACATTTAAGCTTTATTTTACTGGTTTGGTCCCTGCTGGGGAGATGTGATAAACTATAAAATGGCCTGCCATAAAACATGATCTGCTGTATCCTAGGGGAGCATTCTTTCTCTCAGGGTGAAAGAAAGTTTTAGAGATCTATTTCAGTATAAATACAAAAGCTCTTGCTTAAGCTGACAAACTCTAATGATTTTCATTTAAGAAAATATTCATGATATGCAGGGTAGCACATAAGACATTTTGACATGTGAAGAAAGGACTAGCTCATGATTAAGTAGAAAACACTGACGACCTTAACATTTTTTGCTATTCATATCTTTATGGTTTATTTTTACTGATTTGCATCCAAATGGCCTTGTATGTCCAACTTTCTGTACTTCATTGCAGTTACATTGAGGCTCACTGATTTTGTTACTGGCAACTGTCAACATAATGTACATATGGACTGTATCAGCTAATTTATAAAAATTAGTAGGAATTTTTAGGGCTCTACCAACATTTTAAAAAATTGTGTTTTATATCAACACGTCTTTCTTAATTTTAACACTCTCCTAGTGCAATTAAAATTACTCCTTTGAAGGTGGACTTTACTACTATGGCCGCGGTTAAGAGTTAGGAGCAAGGCTACCCTGTTTAAAATCCATTTACAAGCTGTGTGACCTTGGATGAGTCACTTAACCTCCTTGTACCCCAGTTTTCCTATCTGTAAAATGAAGGATAATGATATCCCTTTCTTGCATTGATATTAGGATGAAATGAGTTAAGTGCTTGGAATTTTGCTTGGGACAGGCAGTGCTTGATAACTATTCGTTTAAAAAAACTAATCAAATTTCAGAGTGTTATTCAAGCCCACAGTTACATCTAATGTATCCTTCCAAATATTTTCATAAGGCTCATAGTATCTGAAATAGCTTACAGCCTGTATTTGAGGCTCGGGTTTGCTGCCGGAAGACCTTAGCTTATAACTGGCAAGCTATTAGAAAAATTATGCCTTGCCAAAGTATGCAGAATGTTTTCATATAACCAAAATCTTCCCGTTAGCACTAAAATTTTAATTTTTTTCCACTCTATGGAGACACTGTTAAAATGCTTGGCACATTTTTCTGCCTTCATATACATTGTGTTTTCCAACTTCACCATCACATTGATTCAATCTGCTTTTACATCAATTACTGCACTAAGCGCTACAAGTGATAAAAGCTGTCAATGGCCTAAAACACTTAAAAGGCCACCCAGGCGGAGTGCGGTGGCTCACGCCTGTAATCCCAGTACTCTGGGAGGCCAAGGCGGGCAGATCACCTGAGGTCTGGAGTTTGAGACCAGCCTGACCAACATGGTGAAACCCCGTCTCTACTAAAAACACAAAAATTAGCCAGGCGTGGTGGCAGGCACCTGTAATCCCAGCTACTTGGGAGGCTGAGAAGGGAGAATTGCTTGAACCTGGGAGGCGGAGGTTGCAGTGAGCTGAGACTGCGCCACTGCACTCCAGCCTGGGTGACAGAGAAAGACTCTGTTAAAAAAAAAAAAAAAAAAAGAAGAAGAAGAAAAGAAAAAAAAAAGAAAGGAAAAAAAGCACCACCTAGCTTTTTAGTGGTCTCTGTCTGCTCACTTATATTTTTATATTTTCCCATCTCTGTTCATTGTCAGCCATCAGCTGTAAACTCATACTCCTGTCTGTCCTCCTAGAGCAACTATTCCTCTCCTTTTATGTGACATGGGATAACATAACCTGCTAGATTTTTGTTCCAAGTACATGCAAATTGTGTGTGAGAGTTTTTAGGAGTTTTCCTGTACATGAAGTGCACAGAATGTGTGGCATCTATTTTAAGAGCTACAAATGACCATCAGTAACATTTAGTGAGGAATTACTTTCTGCCAGGTCCAACACAGAGCACTTGATATTCATTAATTTCACCTATTTCATATTTTCCATAACCTATTTTACAGATGCAGAACACAGAGTCTCAAGAAGACAACAAGTAGCTAGAGATCACACAGCTACAAAATAGTGGTATAAAGACTTGAACCTAGTATGCTGGACTCTAGAGCCTAGTGGTTAGAAAGTTCTCCTCCCCCCCACCCAATAACACAAAAGTACTTTTTTTCCCCCAAGATAGGACAAGTTAGGTAACCTGGGGAGAGGCTGTGTAAATCTACACTCTCAACTCCCCTCTAGGTTGTTCAAGTTATTACAAGAATGGCCTACTCTAGGTAAGTTGTCTAGCTGTTTTATTTCACAGAACTAACTTTGAAGTGAAAGTGATGCTCATGGTAAGAACAGAAACATCTGTCAGCTTCACTGTGTGTGCATGAACCTCTATTAAGGGAATCAGTGTTGATTAACCACTAACCTTGTTGGTGCCTTTTGAGTTTTCTAGCAAATGCTTCTGAATGTGGGAAATAAGGTTTTCTAAAGTAACCAATCCTCTGCTATTGTCGTAAGGTTATTAGAGTTCAGCTTAGCTAGGTCTCCAATTTCAGTAGCAGGGGTAGTGTCTGATGACAAGGGGATACTAACTTAGTTTGAATGCTAAGGAGATACAGTGACATCTTTCACATGCAGATTTTAACATTTCAGTTTCTAAATGTGGATTCTTGTAAATTTTAGTGACCCTAACCATTTGCTCTTTACCAGTCTCCTTAATAGCCTCCAGTGCTTTTCTCCTTTCTCACTTTCTACTTATTTGTTTAAATTGTGTAATGGTTTTCCCATCTCTCTAACCTTGTGGACAAAAAGATTTAGTACTTCCCTTTGTAAAACAATGACATTAGATCTTTTTCTTCCTTGCTTTAAGATATTCCCCAAGTAGGAAGTCAAGCCTTAAATGAGGCCCAGCACTGTCATTTAATGTTCTAAGGAAGTAATCCAATTAGGTAGGTCTTTCATTTCTGGGTAGAAACAGTTTCATCAGGAAACTGACTGCAAACTAAATACGGGAGGAGCACCTGGGAGCAGGAACACCTCAGATTCCTAAAACATTTCCCAGTTGTAAAGCCTTCATTTATTTTCTTCTAATCTGTACCACAGTCCAAACTTATCATACAGTATTCTGCCTTAAATTACAAGCTCCCTAAAAGCAGGGATGCTGTGGAGGAGGTTCTTTGTCACAACTTCCCCACGCTCCTCCCACACAAAACATAATCTCTTGCACAAAGTATAAGCTCTACTTCTCATTTAAGTATTTATTGGACAGCTTTAATACTTTATGACAGACACAAATTAGGCTCTGCAGATTCAGCCTTGCGTGTTTTGCAGAGTTGTAGATAAAAGAGAAACATGAAAACACAAAGCCACCATCCAACTGGACTGTAGTACTGTTTTCTTTTGCTCCTTGGTGGCAATTTTTAATTAAATCTGCATAGGCATTAAGTGATAGAAGCCAAAATGACAGAAGGCTCACCGCCTCCAAGAAGTTTCCAGAACCAGTTCCTGCCTGGAAACAGGAAGGGCTTTCCTGCTGCGTGTGCTGCCGGGCCCTGTTGGCAAGGTACAGGCTTGCTCGGCTCACCTTTCCAAGCCCTTCCCCGAGGTCCTGTGACATATTTCCCTTCTTCTTCTGCATCATACACTCAGGGAACATTATTAGCTCTTTATCTTAATGACCAAAGGGGCATTTTAATAACTCCTTCCTGAGGTGAACAGCAGTGTTCCAGAATCTAGAGCAAGAGACCTAAAATTAAATGGGCTTAGGTTACTTAATATTAAAGAGTCCCTGAGCCTCCGTATAAGAGCCACTAATTGCTTGCTATTTTAATAAATTGGTATTGTTATTAATGAGTTGACTTATTTTTAAAAAAGTAGAGCATGCATCAAGAGTTGAAGATCCATTTTGGCTGAGAGGAGATGGTCGCTTGGGGCTATGGAGGAGGCAGGACATTTTGACCTGAGAGCAGTATCCTCTTGTGTTTTAACAGATTATGTCTCTGGATTCTATAAATTTTAGAGTCATCCAGGGGCCTCGCTTCCAGGATTTCCTCTCTTCATATTTATGAGACTGACAGGTTTTTTCTGCTAAAAGTTCAGAGAACTATAGGTCACGGTGCAGATTTTTGTCAAAGAACTTACCGTACAGAATTAGGTCGCACTCAAAAAAGCTGTAGCAACGTTTCCAGTGATGACATTAGAAATTTTAGGCAACTAAAAAAATAAGCTTTAGGGACCCCTTTACCTTGGTTAAATATGAATAAATAAAAAGATCACCAGCTAAAAACTGCTCAGGTGATATTTATGCCTCTGAGCAATTACATTAGAAGCAGTTGACAAAGTTAACAAAAGCGGTTGTTTGAGGCTTTGGCTTTGGGGAAGGGTCATTGAACTAGGATTCATAAATGCTAACAAATGAGATCCATGAAACCCCTGAAATGGTATGTGATATTTTGTGCATATGGACACTCTTCTGGAGTATGGGTCCATAGTTTTAATGATTCTCAAGGATCCATGAATCAAAATAGCATTAAGAAAAACTGTTTTTGTTTTCCTTCCTTCCTTCCATCCTTTTATCCTTCCTTTATTCCCTGTAATTTCTTTTCTTTTCTTTTCTTTCTTTTTTTTTTTTTTTTTTTTTTTGAGACAGAGTCTCGCTCTGTCACCCAGGCTGGAGTGCAGTGGCATGATCTCGGCTCATTGCAACCTCCGCCTCCAGGGTTCAAGCAATTCTCCTGCCTCAGCCTCCTGAGTAGCTGGGATTACAGGTACACACCACCACGCCTGGCTAATTTTTGTATTTTTAGTAGAGACGGGGTTTCACCATGTTGGCCAAGCTGGTCTTGAACTCCTGACCTCGTGATCCACCCGCCTCAGCCTCCCAAAGTACTGGGATTACAGGCATGAGCCACCACGCCCGGCCTATTCCCTGTGATTTCCTCATGAAGATGGAGAGCCATAATACTTCTCATCAAGATGAGTGGCTGCTCTTTAGCAAATGAGTATTTTCTACAGGATTAGGGAATTGCTCAGTGTGAATTCTGTATATATACACAGAGTTTTAAGTATTTTGTTAACATATAATTATTATGATTATTGAAACAAGGAAGGGCCATGATAATATTAACGCTCATATAAACTTAGTTTGTTCTTACTGTGCCATACTTGTCTACTGTTTCACTGTTTCCTTGTATTGCCATCACCATAAAATGTTTTGGGAATGAGGTGGTGGGGGTGGGCTGAGGATAACAAAAATAAAATCATTACAGGTTATGTTAAAACCCTACAATAGCTTCATGATGAAACATACTTTTTTTTTTTTTTTCAATCTATGAAGCTGACATTCTTTCCTACATCATTTTATCTTCTGAATCCCATAGCCTACCTTTGCTGTTGAGGTCAACAAATGTTGACTGAGTCTCTAATGTGCACTAGAGCCTGTGTTCTGGGAATGCAAAAAGAGGATGGTAGGGCCAGCACAGTGGCTCATGCCTGTAATCCCAGCACTTTGGGAGGCTGAGGCAGGCAGATCATTTGAGGTCAGGAGTTTGAGACCAGCCTGACCAACATGGTGAAACCCCATTTCTACTAAAAAAAAAAGTAGCCGGGCATGGTGGCGCTTGCCTGTAGTCCCAGCTACTTGGGAGGGTGAGGCTGGAGAATCCATTGAACCTTGGAGGTGGAGGTTGCAGTGAGCCAAGATCGCACCACTGCACTCCAGTCTGGGCGACAGTGAGAATCTGTCTCAAAAAAAAAAATACAATAAAATAAAAACGTATGAAGTACTGATGTACACCACATGGGTGAACATTGTAAACATTATTCTAAGGGAAAGAAGCCATGTACAAAAGCCCACATACTGTATAATTCCATTTGTTTGAGGTGTCGACAATAGGCAAATAGAGGCAGAGAGTAGGTTAGTGCTTTTCAGGGACTGGGGAAAGGGGGAACAGAGTGCTGATGGACTTGGGGTTTCTTTTTGGGAGTGATACAAACTTTTTGGAATTAGTAAATGGTGATGTTTGCACAACAGTTTGAATAGGCTAAAAACTATTGAATTGAACACTTTATAGGGTGAATTTTATGGTATATGAATCATATCTCAATTTTTCAAAAAGGCAGTTGAGCTAAGGGAGACAGTCCTAGCCCTTGGGTACACAAGGTAATTGTTTTATTTCTTGGCTAAAATTTCATGACATTCTTTAACTCATTGTCTCTTTCTTAAATATCAAGGGTGCTCAACACCCTTTGTATCATCCCCATCTTTCTCATTTATAGGCTGTCTTTCCTTCTTCATTGTGTAGCATTCCTTTTCTTTTACATATTATTCCAAAGTGGGAGACTATTAACGAATTCATTATGACTAACATTTATCAGGCACCACTAGGAAATAGAGGATTTCTTTTTCACAGTTTAAGTTTTCCTTGGTGACAAAATGACCTAATCTTTGGTTGACAAGAGCAAGATGAAGAATAATCCATTATGATGTATTGTGTACATCAGTGACTCAGGAAGAACAAAAGCAGAAAGAAATGTTAGCATCCTATGGAAGAGGACACAGGGCTAGGCCTTGGCCCCATCAAAATAAAACCATCTGTAGCTCCTTGCACAATAATGTCATCACCAAACAAAACTTAGAAGACAAATGTAAGAAACAAGGACTCATGCAAGCCAGTAATCTGTCTTTTCAGCTCATAAATATGGATAGCATAACTGTGAATGTTAAAGAGAATAATGCAATGTTAGAGGATACCTCCCAATGACGATGAACACATCCTTTTACTTTAAAGTAAATATACTGCATGTGTATTTCTGAGATACAAAATATTCATTTACATAGTGCAGATTCTGAGAATTGACCTTTTCTGATGCTGCTGGCATTTCATTCACTGCAGTGATGACCTCCATTTCATCTTATAGCTTCTAATATTTTGTAATTATTGAACATTTACATGTGTTTATACATATCATATTCATATTTAAATCTCTAAAAGACTATAACTAAGTTAGCAAGTATGCCCAGCTCTACATATTTGCATCAAGATAACTCCCAGCTCTACAGAGATTTGCATTGAGATAACCTGTTCTCTTCACGGTTTGTGGTCACTTATGATAGTACTAACTAATTGCTTAGTATAATTGAATCTAGAATTACTCATATAGTTTAAATGCTTGTTAAAACATCTGGCTTATATTTCTTCACTTTTGTCTCTTTTTTAAAAAAAGCTCTTTATAATGAATACACATGTCACTATAGGTCACTATAGTTACTCAGTTATTAAAAACCATTTCAGAAAATAGTCCACTTTCCACCCTGCCTCCTTTAAAAATGATGCTTTAGATGCTGGGTACGGTATTTGTGATCCCCGACTCGATATACAGGTGTTTAGTTTTAAACATGAAACTACTCCCATCACATTGTTCTGATGAAAACATGACGAGTAAGTTCACTGACCTGGTTTCACAAGGCCTGACTTTGATTCCTTCTTATATCGAGAGGACTGAATGCTTCCTTCACCAACCATTCCAATCGTGCATTTCTTTCTGGTGAAGCCTTCATCACTTCCAGGGCAAAAGCCAATGGGGCTGTTTCCAGCATCTGAGGGTGTCTTCACAGGAGACACTGACTGGCTGCTAGGACAGCCTGTGTCATCTAGAAGACAGGAATCAATAAGTGTTTAATGATGAGGAGGAAATCAATGATGGTGAGAAGCCATGCGGTGCACCACACACACGCACACGTGCACTCGCACACGTACACTCTGCTTATGAAGCCCAGGTTAACTGCTGTGGACTCTCCTCTCATGACGCTCCTTTCATTTTTCCATATTTTAATGCAAAACCTTTTTTTTTTTTTGAGACAGTCTCACTGTGTCACCCAGGCTGAAGTGCAGCGGCGTGATCTCAGTTCATTGCAACCTCCACATCCCAGGTTCAAGCAATTCTCGTGCCTCAGCCTCCCAAGTAGCTGGGATTACAGACGTATGCCACCAGGCCCGGGTATTTTTTGTGTGTATTTTAGTACAGACAGGGTTTCACCATGTTGGCCAGGCTGGTCTCAAACTCCTGGCCTCAAGCGATCCATCTGCCTCAGCCTCCCAAAGTGCTGGGATTACAATCATGAGCTACCATGCCCGGCCCCTTGTAAGCTTTTTGACACAAATATTTCTGTAACACTCATTTTGTCAAAACATAAAGACATGTCTGTTTCAACACTTTATATAGTGTATTTTTGGGTCATATGTGTCCATAGATTTTTGGATGTGTTTAGTAATAAGAAGTTCACCAGAACAATTCAGGATCTTTAGGGTGAACTCTTCAGAGTTTACATCTGGAAAATAAAATTACTTGAATATTATTGACCACATCCAGTTTTGGATCACTTGACCCATCAATTGGTTAACAGAGTTTGAAAGATAAGTCATCCGACTTTAGGGTTCAAAGAAGCAGTGTGAAGTGATCCTGTTTTATCATACACACACAACCAAAAATACATAAATCAGATATATTGCTATCTGGAGTAAACTGGTAAGATGAAAATGATTTTTAGACTAGAAATGTTCCTTTAACTTTCAAATAACAGATTATTACCAGGGTGATTATATTAAGTTAATATGCACGATATGAAGTGACCTACATAGATGCTTATTATGGAAACAGGAAAGTCATACTGCTGACTCCTATAAATGCGTTCCACATTTATTAAAGTACTTAGGATAGTTGGTTAATTTATTTATATTTTGATGAGCAGAACTGTATTGGACCTCAAAGCCAAATCAGTATTACTTAAAAGTACATCTACTCAAACTGATCAGTTAGTGGTAAATTTACTTTACTAAATAATCTTTATTATATGAAGATGTTTTGATGCCAGAGTTACTTTAGTAACTCATTAGACAAAGAACAAATAAAGACATTCAGTACTAATAACTTTTCAGACATCTTGTGAATATTACGGGAACTAAAATAATGTGCCATCTACCAAAGGCTATCTTAAAACTCTACAGCTTGAATAAAGATAGAAACAGAACTAAGCCTGAATAAAACATGCTGATTGCTAGAATCCATCTAAAGAAAGAATTACCATTGCTTCATTTTTTGGCCTTTATTTCATTTTTCAATTACAAAATATCTCAATTCCTGGAACAGAGTGAACTTGGCACTAATAAAATGACTTATTTCTCTTGATAATCGTGTTTTGACTTTTTGGTCTATCAGCATACGCAGGACCTCTGTGGTCTGTTTCTGGAAGTGAATGGTTTTTAGGGTGCTGCTCATGCCTGCAGTCTTCGGGCTCTTTTAAATACGTTGCGTTCTTCCTGAACTCCTGAAGAAACTCTGGCCCTGAATAACAGGGTGATGAGAACCCTTCTTGGTGGCTGTTGCTCAGCTCTTTCATCATTCACTGCCCTTGCCTTTCCCTTACACTTACACACCCCAGGCTTCAACCCAAAGATATTTGAGCTCCTTTTTAAAGGTGTAAAGTTGCTAATTACTCAGACACAGATTCCAGCAATTTTACAAGGCACAACAGGTCTGCACAATGCCTCAAGAGAGCCTCTCTTAATTCCTATCCCAAAGCAGATAAATGAATGAAATCTAATCATTCAACATTCCATGCTGTCTTTAACATTATTTCCTTATGAGTCAGTTCCATAAATCACTTCTTTTGAAAGAGAGATGTCCCCACAAAATAAAAATCTGTGCTTCAGAGTGTCTAACCTAAAAAACTCAGTTTTCCTGAAAACTCTCAGACTCACAGGGATAAAATTAAACAATTTCCAGCATTGAGAAATGCTATCAAAATCATACCTTGGGTTCTATTACATTTTTCTGAAGTTAAATGAGAAAGAATGTGTGCACACCATGTTTTCAGTGCTAGTCCTTTCAAGGATTAAGTGCTGGGGTCTGGTTAAAATTTGAGAACTGAAATTATTTAGAGTGGTGGCAGTGTGTAAGAGGCAGTAGCAATTTTTAACCTGGAGTGTGATGCCTCACCTGTCATCAGTATTTACAGCCAGGATCTCCAGAAGCAGGGAATGAGAAAATTCAAACCTAAATACATCCTGAACTTTGGATCCATCTTACAGGATTTAAACCACTACAAAAAGATCTCTTAACTCTCTACTCTTGTGCTTCATATGGTGTGTGTTGGGGGGGCAATACTAGGAATATAAGACATGGTCTTTCATTGGTTAAATGAATATGTATCAAGTCCTGGCACTGAACCAGCCCACAGGCATTGTACCCAGGCCCCACCCTGGTGGAGTTTATAAATAAGCCAAAAGGATCTGGGTATATGTCACTTACAATGCATAGTTATTGTAAACTGGCAAGTCTGATAAAGTTAATCCATATCCAAGAAAATCTGTGGGTTATGGAAGAAGCCTGGGGCATTTGCCTGTTTTGTCTAATGCACCCGACACTAACAAAGGAATCTAGAAAGGGCAGGGCCATGAATTTTCCTACTACAGAGGGCACACTTTATCTATGCAAAGTAAGACCCCAGCAAAGGCACAGAGCTTCATGTGCTAGGGAGTAACCTGAGGTATTTTTCTTTGTGCAGCACTGAAGAAGAAGTTATCTTTACAAGTCTTATTTAGGGCTCCTTCTCTGCTCTCCCTCCTCCTTTCTTCCTCTTCATGGCCGGTTGGAAGCTGACCACCAGTTCAAATGAAGATAACACTCCTTTTCAAAATTCTATGAAAAATATTCTTAGTTCCCATTTATCTGAGATTCTTTTTTTTTCAAGACTTAAATGACTTCTGCTTCATTAAACAATAAAATAATATGAGTATCTATCTATCTATCTATCTATCTATCTATCTATCTATCTATCATCTATCTATCTATCTATCTTTTTAAGACAGAGTCTCGCTCTGTCGCCTAGGCTGCAGTGCAGTGGTGTGATCTTGGCTCACTGCAGATGCCACCTCCTGGGTTCAAGTGATTCTCCTGCCTCAGCCTCCTGAGTAGCTGGGATTACAAGCATGTACCACCCAAACTCAGCTAATTTTTGTATTTTTAGTAGAGATGGGGTTTCTCCATGTTGGCCAGGCTCGCCTTGAACTCCTGGCCTCAAGTGATCTGCCTGCCTCAGCCTCTCAAAGTGCTGGGATTATAGGTATGAGCCAGCGTGCCTGGCCACATTTACTCTGAGATTCTGAGAATAGTAAAGCCAAGCTGATGTTCTTTGGTTGTTTATATCTAATCTTACCATACTAAACTACATGTGGACCAAGCACATATTAAAGAGATTTATTTATTAAACCTGCTTCAGTTAAACTATGGGAATGTGCCTTCTGTTTTCTTCTGCTACCTGACTGCTGAATTTTCCTGTACAATCTATAGATTTATATATTTTTAGCTTTTATAAGTTATGTTAATATAAAGAAATTATCAATGACAAAGATTTCTAATATGAGAAAACTGTTTCTGGGCACGAAATTGCAGAAATACTGAATAATGTGCCCCCAAAGTGTGGGATGTTCCACATTTCCAGAAGAAGGCCTGACAAAACTATGAACATTTTAGTCTGGTTTTGCCACAGGGAAGCTTTGCGCCAAGGTTTTAGGGAAGAAGATGTAGAAGACTGTTGGTCCATTACAGAGAGAGGAATTTACATCACAGGAGCGTGCGCGCGCGCACACACACACACACACAAACGCACACCCCTCTTACATAGTTGAGTTTTTACATTTCTTTCTTCATTATTCAAAGTAGGTATAACTTTACCTAAAAAACATGGGATCACTTTACATGCTTTATACAGTGTGATCCACTTGAAAATATGGGACAATTTCCTTCCAGGGGCTGCTATTTTAAATCCTCCTTAGACGGGTCCAAGATAGCCTCTGGTGGAACTCAGGTAAACATTACCCTCCTCAAGGCCACATCTAAATGATCACCTTCTAAGTGAAGGAGACTAATTTACATGTCCTCCTTGATTTTATTAGAAATCAGTTCTTTTGTTGTTGTTCTTGTTCATTTGCTTAAAATTGGTGAACACACAGGATTAAGGGTAGTAGAAAGAATACTCACAGATCCAGGAACCTCAGAGGTTGTGGGCTATCTAAAGTACTGTTAAAAATATATGTCTATGGAATGGAATAGTTTCCAGATTGTCATCAAGAAAATAAAAAACATGCTAAGGTCTATAAAGACAGATGCGAAAAACCAGCAACTATTACAATTTTGTAGCCTAAATGTTGTTAAAAAATGATTTTAAAAATCTATATTTCCTCTCTCTTTACATTATAAGGTCTTTGAAATATAGGATATAGTTAATAATTATGTAATTACTTATAATTCTGAAAAATATGTGCCTAAGTTCTTTAAAAATACTTTGAATCTCATTTTAAATGTACTTGCTAAATTAAATTAAATCTGTTGAGGTTGTTAAAATTTTAGCTTAACTTTTTAATTATAAACCCATAATTCTTATTGTGTGAAATCTGAAATACAGAAGAGTATAAAGAAGTAAAGAATAAAATAAAGACATACTATTCTCCTATAATTGTGTTACCCAGAAAAATATTTTGTGAATACAGTTTGCTTGCCTGTTTGCTTTTTGTTTTATCAAATTTTCAACATATATTTTAGACAGTTTCATTATCTGTCATTGAAAATTTCTCCCTGGAACTTGCTAGGCTAGAAAGAAAGAAGCTATTAAAGACTAATGGGAACCAACACAAAGGAGGCCCCATTGGTCAACAATGAAATAATTTGAGTACCAAAAAGAATAATAAATGCAAGTGACTGATAATCACTGGATATATAAAAAAAACTGAGTTCATGGTCATATAAAAAAACACATTACAGAGATAGAGAAAGGCCCCTTTCACCCCCAAAATGCCCAACTCCCTGGAAATCACTGGAAATTATCCACGAACAATTCTTTATATTGAAAATTGGCAATTAAAAGGAAAGAATTAGCATATATTTTTATTGTAAAAAGTGTTCCTATATAAACTGTATCTCAGTGTAACTGAAATCCCTCATTGTTATTGGAAAGTTTGTCCTTACAAAAGCATTCTGGTTAATGAAAACAGATGGAATAACAGAAATAGAAAATTGCTATTTTGCAACCTCGAATGAAATAATTGATTTAGGCAGCAAATGTAATAGATAAAACCACTAGACAAAGTCTAATGGAGAGTTTACAGTGGAGGGATCAGGCCTTACCCAAATGCACCCATCGAGTCTTCTTCCCATCGCCAACAGTGGGAAAACCCCTCTGATGGGATGTGATATGAGGCATGCAGCACTCCCTATGAAGAATTCTTGCCACACACAAACACACAATTGCCCCCAAATCCAATCAAGGCTTTAAAGCTAATGTTCACCTTATGAAATATATAGAAAATAGAATAATGAGTTAAATTAGAGATTGGCAAACTGCAGCCTGCAGGGCAAATTTGGTCCACTGTTTTTTGTAAATAAATTGTTATTGGAACACAGCCATGCCCAATCCTTTATATATTGTCTATGGTGGCTTTCAAGGCTACAATGGCAGAGAGTTGAGTAATTGCATCAGTGGCCATCTAGCCAATGAAATAAAAAATATTTGCTATCTGGCGCTTTATAGAAAAAGTTTGTTGATTTCTGGGTTAAATGATACCAGGGAAGCAAATAGGCACTTTTGAGAAAATCTGGGATATTTCATCATTCTCTGTCATACCAAGGAATTATGTTAATCATGTTAGAAATGAAAAGGGCACTGTGATTACGTAAGAAAATGTGCTTTTTTTAAAAAAAAAAGTTATGCATGCTGAGGTATGTTGGTAGACAAGAAATGACATGATGTCTGGAGATTTGCTTTAAAATGTTTCCACAAAGAAAAGAGACATAACAAATACAGGAATATCCTGCTATCATTTAATCTAGATAAGTGGGTAATAAGCACATGAGAGTTCACTGCACTATTCTCTGTTTTTGAGTATGCTTTTTAAAAGTTTCAAAGTATTTTATTTGATTTCTTGAAAACATTATTTTAAAGGAGTGCTGATTTAAAATAGATATAAACATCACTTTTAAAATGTGTTTGTTTATTTTCAGACAGAGTCTCGCTCTGTTGCCCAGGCTGGAGTACAGTGGAACAATCATACCTCACTGCAGACTCCAACTCCTGGCTCACGTGATTATTCCACCTCAGCCTCCCTAGCAGCTGGAACTACAGGCTTAGGTCACTGTGTTCAGCTTATTTTTAATTTTTTTTAAGGGACAGAATCTTGCTTTGTTGGCCAGGCTGGTCTCAAACTCCTGAACTTAAGTGGTCCTCCCACCTTGGCTCCCAAAATGCTGGGATTACAGGTGTGAGTCACTGCGCCCAGCCAAACATAGGATTTTTAAAGACCAATCCTTCTTGTAGGAAGAATTAGTTTGTTTTAATTTTTCTCACTGTTATTAAAATTGCTTTACTACACATTTTATAGATACATCCTTGGTCAAATCTTTGATGAGCTCATAAAATGTATGTGTAGTGGAATTACTAAAACTTCCAAGAAGTTTGAGACAACTTATATTCCTATTATTGTATGAACATACTCCACTTATTAAATACCTGCCAGTACTAAATATTATTTGGTTTACATTTCTTAAAGTTAATTAAAAACAAATTTTGATGTCTTAATTTACATGTATTTAATTGTTTGTGAAGCTCAATGTCTTTGTATGTTCATTGACCTTTTAAATTTATTCTATGAATTGTTCAAGTCCTTGATAATTTTTCTGTTTGGAAGTTCAGGTTTTCTTACTGATCTGTAAGAACTCTTTATATGTTAAAAGCATCAACCCTTTTGTTTGCTTTTGACTTGATAATGTTTTTGACATTCAAACCTTGCTCTATTCTGTCAAATCTCTCCATACGTTCCTTTGTGATTTCTTCCAATACTTTTATGCTTAGAATGTTTTTATTATTCAAAGATCAACTAAATATTTGCCTGTACTTTCTCCTAGATATTTATAGTTTCACTTTCATTTAAATTAAATCTATCTGGAATCCATTTTAAAATATGGCATGAGGGTTAGATGCTAACTTTATTATTAATATTGCAATTTTAAGGAAGTCTACCACATTACTTTGCAATGCTTTTATGATGAAAATTTGAAAGCAATAAATACTTTTTGCATAATTCATTTATATATTTCAAAATATTAGATTGCCCAAAGTGTGCATGTGCGTATCATAAACTTTCTTGATAATTAAACAAAAATGCCTAAAAACCAGTGCCATCAAACAAATTTGGTGGCAATTATGATGACCAAGTCCCTACTAAAATCTTCTAGCTGAGGCTGGCAGATCCCTTGAACCCAGGAGTTTGAGACCAGCCTAGGAAACATGGTGAAACCTAGTCTCTACAAAAACTACAAAAATTAGCTGGGCATGATAGTGCATACCTGTAGTCCCAGCGGAGGTTGCAGTGAGCCACGATTGCACCACTGCACTCCAGCCTGGGTGTCTGAATAAGACCCTGTCTCAAAAATAATCTTCTTACACCGATTACAGGTAAGAATAAAACACCAAGCTCTAAAAATTACAACCATTAATAAAATATTTCTTCAAAGTCCAAGAAGCATCTCTAAAACTGCTGGCTCCTTTTTGAATTTAGATCTCAGAGCCCACTGGCTTTCAAAAATGTTGAACTAAACAATTCCAGAAGACACTTAAAAACATTAATGGAGGAAAATATGATTTTGTGCCATAATGTCTTGAAACATTCAGTTATGGTTTGATTCTGTTCGATGTTCAGTTGTATAATTTTTGTGGGGGGGAAGTTATTGCTAGTTTAAAGAAACATTATTTTAAACTATATGGAAATCTAGTTGATTCTCATGAACAATGGAAGCATTTACTGACTACTTATTCATCTGTTCAACAAATATTTATTGAATATCTACTATGTGTCAGACACTAATATAGCTCTTATTATGCTTATTGCTCCAGATACTGGCATTTTTGAAGATAGTTTAATGGAGACAGATAAAGTGTCACAGCTTAAACTCATGATAAATATAAACCAGGTGAAATTCTTACCACATACCTTTCGGTGCATTTATAAGGCAAGAAAACTAACATTTATTAAGTACTTATCATGTGGCAAACACATTAATTATTATCATATAATTTTAATAATATGTTACTGTTGGGAAAATGGAGGCTCAGAGAGGTTAAAAATTTCATGGGCACAGAGCTGCTGGGCAATTGACTCAGGATTCAAAGTAAGGTTTGTCTGACAAACTGCCTGTTTTACTCACCACCATAAGCTAGCTGTTTTCTAAAATTTTCAAGTTATGTTTGTTCCAAGAGGAAACATCAGCAATTCTGGGAATGCCCAAATTAAAAACAGACAAAGGAAGCTGTTAGAAAGAAGCCATCCCATAATAAACAGACCACAGAAATTGGAGGCAAGAAACTCTTTCTAGTTGTTTCCAGTATTCCTGCCTCAACACATGTAGCCATATAAAACGTGTGCCATTCTGATAATTTTGAATTCTAGGTTTTCAACAGCAAACCTTGCATTTCTATTCCTTCACCCAATTTTAGCATCTTTTTGTAGTGGGAACTCAGAGATGTACAGAGCTCTAAAATATGCTTCAGTATTATACAATATGTCACTAACCAGTGGCTGATGTTGAAGTGTATAAATCTCATCCATTCATCCACTTATTTTTCTCTACAAATAATTATTGATTTCCTACATGTGTCAGGTATTGTTCTAGATATTAGGGAGGTAATGATGAGTGAGACACTAAGATCCTTGTTCTTAACAAGTTCACATTCTAGTGATGAGGAGAAACAGTTAATAAGTTAAAAAATACATAAAAAGATGTTTTGGGGCCAGGTGTGGTAGTGACAGCTCATGTAATCCCAGCACTTTTGGGAGGCCAAGGTGAGAGGATAGCTTGAGGACAGGAGTTTGAGACCAGCCTGGGAAATGTGGGGAAACCACATCTCTTTTTTTTTTTTTTGAGACAGGGTCTCACTCTGTCACCCAGGCTGAAGTGTAGCAATCAGGATCACTGCAGCCCCCACCTCCTGGGCTCAGGTGATTCTCCCACCTCAGGCTCCCATTTAACTGGGACCAAAGATGTGTGCCACAACAGCTGGCTAATTTTTTCTTTTTCTTTTTCTTTTTTTGTAAATAGGATCTCACTATGTTGCCCAGGCTGGTCTCCAACTCCTGGGCTCAAGTGATCCTTCCACCTCAGCCTTTCAAAGTCCTGGGATAATAGGCATGAGCGGCTGCACCCAGCCAGAGACCCTCATATCTACAAAAAGATTTTTTTTTTTAAAGTTAGCTGGTCATGTCTATAGTCCCGGCTATGCAGGAGCCTGAAGTGGGAGGATTGCTCACACCCAGGAGGTCAAGGCTGCAGTGAGCTGAGGTCGTGCCACTGCACTCCAGTCTGGGTGACAGAGTGACATCCGTCTCAAAAAAAAAAGATATTTGGGATTTACTGTTAATGAAGTATACTCGATGATATTATGTAGACTAGGTGGGAGGTGGGAAGCTACTTCATTAGATATATTGTCATAGAAGGCTCCTGAAGAGGTCTTTTGACCCTAAACCAAAAAAAAATGAGAAGGAAATAATCACACAAAAGGCAGGAAAAACAAGGAAAAGAATTCCAGATACAGAGAAATAAGTACAAAAAGCTCTGAGATAGGCAGGAATATGGTGCATTATGGAAACCAAAGAGAGGAAGGGTGATGGGGAGAGAATGATGATGAGGGCAAAGGGATGCAGAAGCCCAAGTAGTGAAGAATTTTAGGTCAGGAATCTTGACGTTTATTGGAAGTGCAACAGAAACTGCAGTGTGCACTATGCATGAGATAACAAAAATTTAGCCTGTGCTTATAATGGAGAACAGACCAAATCAGTGATAATATATCTAGCTAATATTTACTGAGTGCCTATTAACTACCAAGCACTGTTCTAAACACTTCACTTCACTTCTAAACACTGTTCTTAAACACAAATCTTAACTAACTTAATCTAATATCCCTCTGAGATAAGCACTGTTGTCATCCTGATTGGCAGGGGTCATACAAAACTGGCACTAGTGTTTACGCCACCTGTTCAAGCTTGTAATCAGTAAGTGGCAGAGTGTAGTATGAATCCAGACAAGCTAACACCAGAGCCTCTTTGTTAACCACTATGTTGCATGGCTCCTTTAAGAATGAAAGGATATTGTGAATAATGCCGCAATAAACATACGTGTGCATGTGTCTTTATAGCAGCATGATTTATAGTCCTTTGGGTATATACCCAGTAATGGGATGGCTGGGTCAAATGGTATTTCTAGTTCTAGATCCCTGAGGAATCGCCACACTGACTTCCACAATGGTTGAACTAGTTTACAGTCCCACCAACAGTGTAAAAGTGTTCCTATTTCTCCACATCCTCTCCAGCACCTGTGGTTTCCTGACTTTTTAATGATTGCCATTCTAACTGGTGTGAGATGGTATCTCACTGTGGTTTTGATTTGCATTTCTCTGATGGCCGGTGATGATGAGCATTTTTTCATGTGTTTTTTGGCTGCATAAATGTCTTCTTTTGAGAAGTGTCTGTTCATGTCCTTTGCCCACTTTTTGATGGGGTTGTTTGTTTTTTTCTTGTAACTTGAACCAACCCAAATGTCCAACAATGATAGACTGGATTAAGAAAATGTGGCACATATACACCATGGAATACTATGCAGCCATAAAAAATGATGAGTTCATGTCCTTTGTAGGGACATGGATGAAATTGGAAATCATCATTCTCTGGAAACTATCGCAAGAACAAAAAACCAAACACCGCATATTCTCACTCATAGGTGGGAATTGAACAATGAGATCACATGGACACAGGAAGGGGAATATCACACTCTGGGGACTGTCGTGGGGTGGGGGGAGGGGGGAGGGATAGCATTGGGAGATATACCTAATGCTAGATGACGAGTTAGTGGGTGCAGCGCACCAGCATGGCACATGTATACATATGTAACTAACCTGCACAATGTGCACATGTACCCTAAAACTTGAAGTATAATAATAAAAAAAAAAAGAATGAAAGGATAGAAGCAAATAAACCCATTTGGAGGCCACTACCGTAATAGAAATGAGAGGTAACAGTGGTTTGACCCAAGTGGTAGTAGTGAACATTAAGAAAAGTACATATATTTGAGATAAATTTGGAAAAATAACTGAAAGCATTTATTTACAGTAACGAAAAATGGGAAAGGATCAATAATGCCTTCTGAGTTCTTTTCTTAAACAAGTGGGTATATGGCACTCATTTCTGAATTGGAGAAAAATGGGTTTATGATTGTGTAGGGGGTGAAATCAAGAATTCTGGTTTTGCTATGCTACATTTGAGACACAAATTAAACATGACCTTGGAGATAGCAAGTAGGCACTTGGATAAGTGAGCCTGGGGCCCAGGGGGGATGTCTGGAGCATCATCACCCTACAGGTGAGACATTGAAAGACACAGGCCTGGATACAAGCCCTTGGGGAGGACAGGAGAAGAGGCCAACAAGGTGACTTGAAAGGCAGGAGGAACGCTCAGCGGGGCGGTTCACAGAAGCCACGGAGGAAAATCTTTCCTAGGAGTGGGGCTTGTTCAATTATGTTGAATGCTGCTGAGAGGTCAAGGAAAATGAAGGCAGACAAGGGGAATATTAGATTTGCCAATGTGGTCACTCATGTGCTCGCCAGGACGCATTACGGAGCCAGGATTTTGGAGAGGTTTTGCCATGAAGAGGAGCAGAGAAACAGGATGGCAGTTGCAAAGAAATGGGGGGTCTTTTGCAAATGAAGGTAGTTGTAAAGAAGGAAGGGAGCTCTTTTTTCTTTATAGATGGGGAGTGAGTATGTGCTAATGAAAATTAGCTTGTCAGAGTGACTGAAATGAACACCTCACACTAAGACATGTAACTTACATCTACAAAAGCAAAGTGGAGAGTGGAGTAATTATTTACTGAGTGCCTTCCTTGTTTCTTGGAGACAAAATAATCACTTCACGGATAAACATTCCCAGGATTTCTGAGCTATTTTGGAGCTTCGAGTGCTCCCATAAAAGTCACTCTGGCGAAGCCCTGGGCAGTAAAGGAGGATGCAGGGCCAGGTGAGGTAAGCTCCATTTCTGCAGAAGACTCCGTGCTCTCTCTCTGGAACACGGGCCGAGTACTTGGTTTCTACCAAGCATCAAGTTGTTTGATTTGCACTAGCAGCCCCTGAAGCAGGAATTTGGAGGAGAAAATATTTGGTCCAAATATTTAATGTAGAATGAGTAATGAATCTACCTAGAGGTTTTGGCGAGGGAGGAGTTGGTGTTGAAATTGGGAAACAGAGGCTGACTCTATCACTGACAGAAGAAAGGTGAGCCCTGGCACGGGGGTGGTGAATTTGTCTTTCAAGAGAACTTTATCTTATTTTTTCTTTCATACGGTTATGATCTTTCCAAAATAGGCATGTTACAAATCTTTCTGACCTTCCCTCTCCTTAGCATTATGGGTTTGTTTGCAGTTTCTAGGCCATGCCTTTTTAAAGGCTCAGTTTTTTTTTTTAAGTTTCTTTGGTAGGAGAAGATAAAGGAAAGGGAGAAGAAAGAGAACTAAAAAGACAAGAAGGGAAGAAGAGAGGAGGAGAGACAGAGAGACAGAGCCCAAGAAGATATTTCTTTTATTTTTTTGAGACAGAGTTTCGCTCTTGTCGCCCAGGCTGGAGAACAGTGGCACGATCTCAGCTCACTGTAACCTCTCCCTCCAGGGTTCAAGCGATTCTCCTGCCTAAGCCTCCTGAATAGCTGGAATTACAGGCGCCCGCCACCATGCCTGGTTAATTTTAGTAAAGTCGGGGTTTTGTCCTGTTGGCCAGGCTGGTCTCGAACTCCTGACCTCAGATGACCTGCCCGCCTTGGCCTCCCAAAGTGCTGGGATTACAGGCATGAGCCACCGTGCCCAGCCCCAAGAAGCTAGTTCTTATTCTCTTGAAAAACTTATAATAAAATAACTACAAATCACTTTAAGGACATCTGAATTAAAGTGAGTTGTCTTGTAGCAATGTATCTTTTCCTTTCCTTTCCATTTTTCTTCACAATAAGAATCTGAACATGGTAATGGTCAAGATAGAGTAAGGGATAAAAATGGAAAAAAATAAAGAAAAAGCAATGTTCATCATACTGTTTATGTAATTGTTACATCTGAGTTTTTTCTATTTTGAAAAAAGGAATTGTTTTAGATAACATTTATATCATGGAATTTACTTCTTTTTTAAAAAAAAGAACAAAAGAAGAAAATAGAGTCAAAGAAAAAATATAGTCTAATTCCAGTGACATTCATAATACAAAATTCTAAATTATGAAATTTAGTCTCATAGACAAAATGTCCATCCACAGAAGAATGTTTGAATAAATTATGGTCCTCTGTAGAGTGACACGCCACGCTGTCATTACCATGAATGAGGGGGACTTCCTTGTGCTGACAAGCAATGACAGGTACAGGTACTGCCTGGAATATGCATTCCTTGAGGGCAGGAATAGCCATGCCGGTAGTGTTTATTGCTCTAGCTCAGCAACTAGAAAACTGCCTTGCACACAATAAGTATTCAATAAATATTTGCTTCATGAACAGAAAGGATCACAGATCAATATAGCATGATTTCACTTTGGCAAAAAGCAAAACAAAATACATCATATAAATGTGATTAGCTCCGGTCTGATATATGTGTTTGTATATTTTATAACAGATAAGTTTTTGTTACTTCTGAATTTAAAAATAAAAATATAATTAGCATTAAAGAAAATATAATCCTCATAAACACTCCAGAATCAATAGAAGGGTAGCCTAAGATCCAGAGGGTCTTAAGAATTCTGAGAGTCACGTCAGTCTCTAACCGTGATCCTAACTGCCTGGTCACCCACACACAAAAAGAATAAAGGCTGAGCCAGCTGGTAAAGAGGCAGAGCTCAGAGAAAATCCACACTGAGCAGGGAAAAGTTGAAGGATATGACTTCTAGTGGGATGGGTGAATGCTGTGTGATCTCAACGATAGCATAGCTGTACATTTGAAAACTTGGTTTGGGTTCCCTAAAAAGAGGGGACAGTCAACCTGAAATAACAGGTCTCCTGCTGGAGCCAGAGGAGCCTAGCAGCTGGCAGGGAAGCTTCAGAGCATGAAGACTGTATCCAGCAGTGGCCGGGGCACCAGGTTAGGAGGCACTTTCTGCTCTAGTCAGTGGGAAGAGACTGGGGCTTTCTCAGAATAAAAACCACCTGGAGGGTGGGGTAGGGTGGTGACTAGTGTCAAATCAGACTCCTGGGAAACATGAAAATGTGGCCTGTACTAATTATCTTTTTTATTATTATTATTATTTTTGAGACAAAGTCTTGCTCTGTCACCCAGGCTGGAGTGCAGTGGCGCAATCTTGGCTCACTGCAGCCTCCACCTCCCGGGCTCAAGTGATTCTCATGCCTCAGCCTCCCAAGTAGCTGGAATTACAGGTGTGTGCCACCACACCCAGCTAATTTTTGCATTTTTTGTAGAGATGGAGTTTCATGATGTTGGCCAGGGTGATCTCTAACTCCTGGCCTCAAGTGACCTGCCAGCCTCGGCTTCCCAAAGTGCTGGGATTACAGGTGTGAGCCACTGCAACTGGATATAATTACCTTTTAGATTGTAATCTAGGCTGCTCGTTTTTATGATGGTTTTTGTGACTGAAAAATAACAATTAGAGAAGACAGCACTCCTCACTGCTCCCTAAATATTCCCTGAGCTTTTAAGACTCTGCTTTTACCCACAGTGATCTCTCTTTTTGCCATTTTATGCTTTGCTTCTCAAACTCCTACACAACCTTCAAAACCTTGCTTATGTGCCAGCTCTTGAGTGGGGCATTTTCTGGTTTTCTTAGCAAAAAGATCTCTCTTCTAGATGCCCACAACACTGGAGTCATGGTTCTATTGTGGAGCTTACTCTTTTTGACATTTAGAGATGCTAAACTCCTCAGGACAGGAATGTTTTCTTCATCTAACCAAGCTATTTAATAGAGTACTGAGTACTTTTCTAGTTGCTTTATTTCCCCAACTACTAAGATAGTGCCATGCTCTCAATATATTTCATAAATGAGAGAATTATTCACTTGTTCTGTTCTCATAATTTCTACCAAATTCCAACAAATGCTTACTAAGCAAATGCTAGGAGTGCAGGGGACTATATTGTTCCTGCCTTCATAGGGTTTACAGTCTTGGGGAATCAGGTAACCAAATAAGAAATTTTAAAACTAGGCTAGGCATGGTGGCTCGTGACTGTAATCCCAGCACTTTGGGAGGCCAAAGCAAGCAAGAAATTTTAAAACCAGATAATGTGGAAAGCATAAAGATGGGGGCACCTAACCTGGACATTGAAATTAATCCTTCAGCTTCTTACTCTGATCTATAAATATACTTATTTGTAGTCACATCCAGTCTTATTTCTTTTCTTCTAATTTATGTATCTTTTTTGGTCTACCTCAGTCTTGTTAATACTTCTGCACTATTGTTATTATCTTTCTCTCCCTCAGTCTCTCTGTTTTATTCTTTGCTGTTTACTTCTCAGTTCAAAAACTTTATCAAATACCTGCCACTTGATAAACACCTGATTTTCACTGTAAATGCAATATTTGTTTTTATTCTATTATCTGTTCCCCATCCCAGTTAAACCCTTTAAAAAAGTTGTCTATACTTTGTTACCTCTCACTCATGTCCCAGTTGATGAGAGGTTGATACATCCCATCTCTTGCTCACCACCAATTTGCTGCAATTGTTTCTGCTGCAGCTGTTTCTGCTGAAGATGACTGATAACCTAATGGTCTGATCCTTGAGCACTGTTTAATGCACATTTTACTTAATCTTGCGGTGATACCTAAACCTCTTGGCTACCTACTTCTTGAAACTCTTTTCCTTTGGAAGTGGAGACATTGTCACACCTGGGTCTCATGCTTTATTCCTGAATGCTCATTCTCAGGTGTCTTCATTTCCTTTTCCTGCCTCCTCTTGCTATACCTCAGAGTCCTTCTCCTAGTCCTCTAATTTTCTTCCCCATGCACTCCCCACTAGTAATATTATCAAAACCCTCCACTTCTGCTGGTCACCATCTTAGAATTTTCTTTAGGGCTCCAGACTTTTGTCTAAAATTCAACAAAGCTTAAAATGAACTAATTAACTTGACCCCCTGCCCTTCTCCCCAATCCTGCTATTCCATATTATTCATTCAGTGGAGATTTAGACACAATCCTTCCCCTTCACCTTCCATTTATAGTTGGTGTCTAGACCCATCTGTTCTAGCCCCAAATCTCACACATGTCATTTATCAGTTCTTCACTTAGACTGCAGCAGTGTCCTTCAAAGCAGGCAGACTCCAGTCACTCCTGCCCCCTCCCTGTCCAACACAGAAATAGGAAGACTTTCTAAATTATAAATTTGATCATAACACTTCCTTGCTGAAAACCCTCCACTGGCTCTGCAAGATCTTTAGAAATTGCAAAATGGTAGCCCATGATCCATATTCACCTATGTACACATGCTATTTGTCCCACAGAATTTAAAAGCTGAATTTTTAAAATTCAGAATATGTTTCGTGATGGCACACATATCCAGTTCTAGAGTTCCCTCTGTTGTCTTCTATCCAGGTGGTCTCACTCTTTACATTACTTGCCTAGTTCCTGTATGGACCCTTGAGCTCATGGAAGAAGTTCTGAGCATGGCATAGGAAGTCTTGCATAACCTGACCTGCCTGCCTTTCTGTCTCATTTCATGCTTTTAACTCAAATTTGCTGATGCCAAGGCTCATGTTTATCTACTACACCGCACTAATTAATGTTACTTCTTTTCTTCCTTGGGCTTATGAAATGTGAGAAGCCAATGCAAATAAGACATGGAACAACAAACTCAAATTACAAGGTAGGAGTGTATGTGGGGTGGGTGTGAATGAAAGGGACTGGGACACAGGTGAGTAAAAGTAGTACTGTGGAAATCCCATCCAGATGGGATAATTTATTACCCCATTTATTTCAGTGTCAGGGTTAAGGCAGTAAAACAATTGATTTTTCTAATCCCTGTGTATCATTCATTTTTGTAGCCTAAGCACAATTCCTGATCCTTTGTAGGCATTTAAAGATGCTTACTGAATAAACATGTTTTGGCGAAGGCTTGCAAAAGGCTGAATGTCCTATCACTTCCAGGCCTCAGCTTCTTTTCTTTCTGCCTCCTTCAGTGAATCTACTGGATGTTCAGGGTATACTCTTGGTATCAGTATATCCCCTTTTGGCGTAACCCCAAATCATCCCAATATCACAAAAAGAATATGCAAAATAGTAAAAAGTATAGATATAGTAAATTCAGAAAGAGGATAAATAGGAAAATAAAAAAGGAAATTCTTTCTCCTCCTCCTTACTTTGCTACCATCTGAACACAAGTTAAACCTATTATGTAGACATAAATAATATTATGGCTAAGACTAATGACATGGGACCAGTAAATATAGAGTCAGCAACTACAATTTCCAGGGACTGTGGAGGCATCATTCCACATCCACCTTGCCCCATGGTCACTGGTTTAAACAGCCTGGCTGGCCACCGTTTCTACCATCTTTGATCCTTATTCATCTTGTGATGCTACTTTGGGCATACCCCTCATACTCCTCATACCAAATCCCCAAATACACACAGACCACAAAGAAGTGAGGCTCAGCCTTCAGTGTGCACAAGAGTTATCTGGAAAGCCTGTAAAATGCAGATTCCTGAGCCCTTTCATTTCAAGACAATAGTTTTGGGGTAAGGCCATTGTATCTGAATTTTAAACAAGTTTTACTGAGGATTCAAAAGCAGGCAAACACCATACTCTAAAATTGGAAAACATTCTCATAAAGACAGGTGTTTTAGAACCTGAAAGATTTTCAGGTTAAGTACCTTAATTTGCTTTCAGACATAGTCCAATTCCATCATGTTTACTTTTCACCATTCCTACTGCTAAGAATTGTTGATTAAATGGCAAAAATTTTGCTCTTGGCAAATTGCAGTTACCACATTCTCAAAGAAATACTGCCTATATGCCTTTCGTTTATAATCTATTTCATTAGGTACATGCTTCTGTGGTGAGGCTGCTAAGCATTTGAAATATTTATTATACTACATTTCCTAGGTCTCATTAAAGTGATACTAAATTGATAGGGTCTTTTTTTTTAAATTCACAGGAGGGTAGCAGTCATTCAACTGTAGTATAATTTGGAATTGCAGCTCACTTCACTTTAAGCAGTTCATCTCAGTTCTAATCATTATGTTCAAAGCTTCACTCTATCCAGATGCCAAGTTTCCCCAACTGTACAAAAGCACAGGAGAAATATTTCTGTTTGGCAAGGCCTGGCAAATTTTTGGAGGCGTTGTCATGCCTCAACAGGGCACCAGTCAGGTTATAATTTGCCTTAATTGCTTGTGCCACAAACAGCAACAATGATTACCTCTAGGTCATTGGCACTCAAAGAAAGATTTCTTCCCAGCTACTGTAAATAACAAAATACTTTCTGCAAACACCTTACTTGGGATTAGACTGCAAAGAATCTCAGATTTTGACCATTTAAAAAAATTGACCTGGTACATGTATTTAATGCGTTAAGTCGCACACTTGCCTGTGTATCTGTGTGTGCACATTAGAAACATGAAAATAACTCAGATAAATTACTGTTCTCCCATAAAACAACTAGTCTTCTATCTGCATAATTTGTTCCACCTGCCATGTTTACAAGGCGCCCCAAGGAGAACTAGCTTAAAAGCCAGCAATCCATCTGCCTCTCAGTTCTAAGGGGGTAATTATTGCCTCAACTAAGCAAAGAGGAATGCACGGCATGCTGCTAACCATGTCAGGTGACTGATGTATGTGCCTGACACACTCACCTAGGTCATCGGCTTTTCTAACAGTGGCTAGGGTCATGGTACAGTAACAAACACAATTCACTACTTACAGAAAAGGGGGAGAAAAATGGATAGAGGCTACATTCAATGGGCCAAACCCAGAACACAAACCAACAATGTGGGCTTTATCACTTCTTGTGTTAAAAACAAGAAACATGGGGGAGAAAAGACAGGTTGACTTTATGCCAAAACGCTGGTTTAAACAAACAAACAAACAAACAAAAAACTTTTTTTTTAAAAGGGGACAGGAAAGGAGGTGTTTTGTTTCTATTAACTTCCTATTAACTGTACTTCCTTACGTATTTTTAAAATAAAGCATTAATTAATATTTATTAATAATGTACAATGTTCTACTTGCTGTGCACATAAAATAGGGCCTGACCTCTAATACTGTATAAACTTAACTGTCTCCAACTAAGGTCATAGCGACCAAGACTGAGTACAAACTGTGAGGAATACTGTTTGAAGACTAGAATGATGTCCAAGCACAAAAACACTCATGTGCTGATGAAATGCACAAAACACATGCAGATCTTCAAAGAAATTTCGCTAAGAAGAAGCGATTAAAAAAAACAAAGCTCTTTGGGGACACACCCCAAATGAATTGCAAAAGGTCACACACAACTTCTTCCCTCTGAAATGAGGCAGAGACAACATACAAATTAGCATATAGAATATCAAGTCATTAAATGTTCCTTGCCAAAGCTCCCATGGGAAAGCAAGAGGGAGGCAGTGGAGTGCGGAGGGAAAACAGAAAGTGGGTAAAAATGGACAGATCACTTTGGAAATAGTTCTATTCTTTTCATTTCACAGGCCGGTAAAATTATAAGAAAAACTTGAGGGTGGAGTAGAGAAAACATCAACATTGAGTTGACATTTGTTTTGCTGAAGTATAGCTACCATCCACTATCATGAATTTTTGTTTCATTACAAATGATAGAAAAGCCAGATTCTCAAAATAAAGTATAATTCTTTGTATTAAATAAATGTTTATAAATGTTTATGAAGCTCATTACATTATCTTTTTTAAAAAAGTAAAAATTTTAGAACATATGACGCTTTTCATAATTAATGCTTTTGATATAGATTTGAGGAAAGAGTCTCCAGTTTGCAGTTCTGAAAATGTAATTTTCAAATTAAATTTCATTGCATTTGAGGTGACACCTTCCTCTATAATTTCATTACCAGATTGTAAGAATTCCCTTAACTAGGCATGGCCCCTTTTACATGAGTGAATGTGATGATTTATAAAGAAGAGAAGCTAATACAGGAGGATTACTGGAAGGTTGCGAAGCTATGATGACAATAGATCCCTTTAAATTATTTTAGCTTTGTTCTAGTAAAGGATGGTATTTTTTAATATTTGTATGCACCTTGTTCTCTGACTTAACTGCCGTGATTAAACAACGAACACACCTTCTGGCCTCAGTGTTGGAGTGGCTGGATTAAAACGAGCGATTTCCCCCTGCTGGTTGGACATGTCTTACATTCTCTATCTCACTGCCTCCAGCGTTAACACTCCCTGTAGTACCAAACCCATTTATTTTCCACCCACCAACCGGCCTCCTAAAGCATCATTAACATGCCCCCAAAGGCCTTGCTGCTGTCAATTTTAGCCTACACAGCACTCAAAAGCCTTTGTGGGGTTTATCAGAGTTCTGTAGGAAAGGAAGAGAAAGGCATTAGACTCAAACCTTGGGGAACTGACAGCACAGGAAGATGAAGAGAGATGAGGGAGAGGCCCAGGAATGGAGGAAATCCTATCTGCAGGCAGGGTGCAAGGCTCAAGATTGAAAGGTTGTTCAGAGACACCCATAATTATATGCTTCTGCCACTCAATTTTCATCTAGTTAATAGCAAAAAGATCAATATCTACTTTCGATTTTCATGTACAGCATTATAGCCTTAGCCAGAGACAGGTCTCCTAGGAAGGAGGATGATTCAGGAAGTGGGTCCGGGGAAGAATGATTCATAACCAAAATCAATAATCATATTGGTTTGCCTTCATATATTCTAAAATATATTTGGGGTTTTCCTTTTTTTTGTTGTTGTTTTGAACAACTTTTTCTTTTTTTCTGATAACACTACTCACCCTGAAATCCCTCACAGAGGAATTGATTACAGGGAGAGAATACCAGGAATAAATGTGGAACTGAGTTATGTACACAAAGCTCTGTCAGTTTGAAATGACGTGCCCAGAGTTCATCCACACTCACCAGGGTGAGCTCTGGGCTCCAAAACAGAGTTAAAGTAAACAGCATTACATTCTGCAAATATGACTCTAGATTCTAGGAATACTAACTGTGATAGCTTCTCAGTTATCCTTTTGTTTTCTTCTTGGGGGAATAGTAGGCAAAGCAGCAGTGGGTTTCCATCTTAAACTAGATTCATGTGATTCAAATATAAAGAAATAAGTTTTAAAACATAATATTTTGATAGGGTTTTTTTTTTCAGAATCAAGCAGACAATTTGATTAGCAAATTGTTAGCAAAAAATTAGTTAGCAAAAAAAAAAAAAAAAAAAGTAGGCAGTGCAGAATTTCCAACATACAACTTATGCAGAGGACAGAATAACTTTGTGGAAGTATGTAATAAATCCAAAGCTGCATTTATAAAATCCTTGAAAAATGTAGCTGTGAGCCCTAAATGCAGTGGAATGTTAGGTCCTGCTAAATTAGAGCATTAATCATAGCATCCTGATTCATGTGTTTCTTCTCATACATGTGTTAATCTTCAAGTTCCATGTTCCCTAAATAAGTTCTAAAACATTATCCACTGTGAAACATTCTTCACTAGTCATAAGACAGTCACTCCTTTAAATTTTACCCAAATTCCTAATACTTCTCAAGTAACTCCTTCTAAGTCATGTGCTTCAATGGGAATAAAAAGCTCTGTCAAATGATAATGGTGGCACCTTCAGGAACTATCAAGAGATTTGTGCCCTTACCAAACATGCTCACAACTTTAAGGAAACTTTCTTAATCACGTGCCCAAACAGACATCCATAGTTCCTTGTATTAAGAACCATCATTTATTAAGCACTTCTGTAAGCCAGGTACCGTGTAAGGTGAACATTTAGGTACTGGTCTCATTCAACTTCACAGCCACTCTACAAGGCAAGTATTATAATCTCATTTTATGGATGTAACAACTAAGGCTTAAGGAGGTTAAGCAACTTGCTGAAGGTCACACAGTATGTAAGTGGTGAAAGGGCCAGGGATTCCAGCCCTTCAGGCTTGACAGATCACAAAGCCTGGGCTCTTCCCTACTAAACCATAAGGCCAGGCCAGCCTTAGGCTATAACTCTCCTTGATCTTGACCTCATTTATTAGGAATTGCTTTATCTTTGGGGAATTTTATAATTAGAGGTACACAGGCTTCTAGAAGTTGCTAGTATAAAATTCAATCCAATATTTTTTCTACATTTAACAAAGGAATGCATCTTTAAAAACAGTCATAGAATGGCAGTAATTAAAAGATCAGGAATGGACAGATGCTGGAGAGGATGTGGAGAAATAGGAACGTTTTTACACTGTTGGTGGGAGTGTAAATTAGTTCAACCATTGTGGAAGACAGTGTGGCGATTCCTCAAGGATCTAGAACCAGAAATACCATTTGACCTAGCAATCCCATTACTGGGTATGTATCCAAAGAATTATAAATCATTCCACTATAAAGACACATGGACACGTATGTTTATTGCAGCACTGTTCACAATAGCAAAGACTTGGAACCAACCCAAATGCCCATCAATGATAGACTGGATAAAGAAAATGTGGCACATATACACCAAGGAATACTATGCAGCCACAGAAAAGGATGAATTCATGTCCTTTGCAGGGACATGGATGAAGCTGGAAACCATCATTCTCAGCAAACTAAACAGAGGAACAGAAAACCAAATACCGCATGTTCTCACTCATAAGTGGAAGTTGAACACATGGACACAGGGAGGGGAACATCACATACCAGGGCCTGTCAGGGGGTGGGGGCTAGGAGAGGGATAGCATTAGGAGAAATACCTAATGTAGATGATGGGTTGATGGGTGCAGCAAACCACCATGGCATGTGTATACTTATGTAACAAACCTGCATGTTCTGCACGTGTATCCCAGAAATTAAAGTATAATAAAACAAAGGAAAAAAGTCATAGAAACAAGAAGTTAGATTTTACATTCGAAATTATAAGCTAGAATAACATATGAAAATTCAGGTGTGAGATTCCAATAAACTGAACTATATGAAACTGCTGTGTTTGTAGGTCACAACAGCCAGAAATGTACCACCTTCTACAATTCATCCTAATAGTAGAAGTGTAGTTCTAGGCTATAAGGGACCCAGTATGGGCCCATTCACAATGCACCTGCAGTGCACACGCTTCACGCCTCTGGTGGCCTCCCGAGGGTACTGTACCTGAGCAGAAGCTGTTGCTGCTAACGGTCCTCGCTGAGCGCCCAGAGCTGCTGGGGTTGAACTCTCTGCTCTCTTCCTCAGAGAAAGGAGACTCAGAGGCTGGGGACACTTTGTGCTGTTGTTGGGGCATATGGGGCCGAAGAATCAACCGGGGAATTCGGCTTCGAGAAATCTCCTTGTCATGATGCTGCACTCTGTGCTCCTTCTCAAAATTGGACATCAAAAAAGAAAACAAAAGGAAACGCGTTTCCCTCTCTTAACTCCTGTCGGTTCCTTCAAGGATCAATTTCTAAGAAATCACATTTCTGAGTATTGAGTCTTCACAGAGTAGTCCTTCTTATCTCAGTTGCTGAAATGAGCTTCAAAACTCTTCCAATGAGTTAACCTTTCTAATCTACTGAATAGCACATGTCTGTGTGGCACACACACACACACACACACACACATATACACACCTCCACTCACTAGCTGGAAGGCCATCCTACTTCCCTATGCTGGTCCTGACTCACCTTCCCACCCTGACTTCTATCACATTCAAGCTTCTGCCTCCCAAAGGCTCTTTATTAACACCACACTCTGGCTTACTTGATAGCCTTCAGACTTCCATTTTGCTTTCCCTAAATTAGCTGTGACAGTCTGACTTGTTTTCTTGTCTCCTCACAAAGTTGAACCCTATACCTGGAACAGTTATTTCCTGATAGCTCACACACAATTATCTTTAAAATCCCTCCTCTTCTGGACAGGATCTTAATTATTCGTTAATATCCTGGTACACAAGGCTTGTTGCCAACAGAAAAGCAAACACAAATCCGATACTCGGGAAGATGGCTCCACCTTTTACATCATCTTTAATTTTTGTTTTCCTTACAGGACATCCATAAGAAGAGATTTTTCTTTCTCCTTAAAAACGCAGCATGAAGTACCCTGCCATTTCGTGGTTTTAAAAATGCGTAACAGTAATATTTTCACAATGTTTTCCAACTTATAAAGTGCTTTTCCAACCATTTTCTCATTTGATCTTTACACACCAGACTGTACATAGAGAGCACACCAATGAATGTCCCTATTTTCAGATGAGGAAACAGGCTAAATGGGGTAGAGATGCTTAGGCAATTCTGCACACCATGCCAGAAGTAGAACGAAATTCAAATCCAGTGCTTTGCAGGGTCACCACCACCCTGCCTTATGAAAATGGATTCCTAGGAGGAGCGTTTTGCAAAAATTCCACTGCTTCCTCCAACCTCTGCCACTGAAAGGGACTCTTTGGCTTAGGTAACAAACACCCTTTCGAAACATGACCTACTGTTCCTTCCACCGGCTTACCAGGAAGGGTCACGGCCAAAATAAACACCTCTGGGAGGCCGGCACATGGCATAAATTGAAGGGTAAACCTCAGCAATGGGGAACTTCGGAGGGCCCTCAGGCATCCACTCTACCCGGGGGCCGCCAGCCGCACGCAGCCTCGGATTCGCCCTGCACATCTGCCGCCCAGCAGGTACCATGCGCCAGCCACTCCGCCGGGCACACCGCAGACCCTGAGCTAAGGCAGGGTCACTGACACGCGGGAGTCCTCTTTTCCCAGTCGCGGATGCATCAAATTCCTTTCATTCACATCACACACACAGGATATCAACTGAAAGCTACACCCCACAGTCCCAGTTTCAGGAGGTGGGATTAACCCTCCAATCATGTCATTCTCCAAAATCTATTCCTCCAGTACCACCTCCCCATCTCCTGGATCTCAACTCCTAAGCAATGCCTCCTGCCTTCTCCAGACCCCACCACCACCTCCTTCCACCTTTCCCCAGACTCTAAATGTCACCCCTCCAGCTCTCATCCCGCCGCTTCTCGCCCCGCAGTGCCCGCCTTCCCCGCCCTCCAGTGCCCGCACTGCCCCGCGCTCCTTACCTTGCTCTCGCGGAGGGGCCCCATCGCGCCGCTGCCCGCCGGCTCCTCGCGCCGCCGCTGCCGCCGTCCAGGAGGAGGCACCTGCGAGCACGGAGCGAGGAGACTGCGCTGAGCCGGCGCGGGCTGCGGGCGGCGGCTCTTGGTGAGGCTCCAACGCGCCGCCGCCGCCACTGCCGCCGATTGCTCTGGGCTCCGAGGGCACGCCCGACCCCGCCCCGGCCGGACACGTGGTGCCGCACTCGCTAGAGGCAGCTCCTGGGGCGCCTCCCACGCCCTCCCTCACCTGCGGCCTTCGGGGCAACTCGACCGCGCCTGGGCGCGCCCCACCCGCCCGATTTCCCCACGGCACTCCGCGCCCCCCCAGCCAGAGCCGGTGTCCCTCCCTCTCCAAGGAGCTCGGCCCGGTGTAGGCAGGCTGCGGCTAGCGGCATCTCCAGCCCAGGGGTGACCCCACCCTCTTTTTTTTTTGCACTTGATCTCAGGTTTGAAGTGGGTGGCGTTGGATGGAGTGACTGAGAAAAGCTGCGACATCACAGAGAGACAAAATAGAGAAAGTTTTCCCCTGGCCACCCCTCCTTGGCCTCCAGGTCTTAAGTCAGCCTACAGCTCCCCACAACTGCCTCGCCCGAGAGCTGCAGAGATCCCTCTCGTACCGGAGCCCAGCCAAGCCAGTGCGTCAGGACCGACACAGCCTCTGGGTTCCGGGATCTGAAAGGCTGCGATGGATTCTACTTGGAAGGGGTTGCATCAGAAAGGCCTTCAGTGGTCAGCGCAGCTCCCTCCGGCTTGGAGAAGCCAGGCTGCTATGTAGCCAGAGAACAGTCTTTTCCCCAGCGCTGCCCTGCAGCTGCCCGGCTCCAGGAAGTAGCTCCAGCACACTGCTAAGGGAAGAGCACTGGAATTGAACTCAGAAAAACGAGTTCAAGCCAGCACTCCAATCGGTCCCTTCAGCCTGAGTGCCTTTATGCCTAAAGTTTTTGTTGTTGTTTCGTTTTTTGTTTTTTTTTTTTTCCGTTGCTGTTGAAACGGCATCTCGTTCTGTGGCCCAGGCTGTAGTACAGTGGCGCGATCAGGGCTCACTGCAACCTCTAACTCCTGGGATCAAGGGATCATCCCGTCCAGGCCTCTCAAAGTGCTCGAATTACATGCGGATGCCATTGCATGCGTGGCCTACGCCTACGGTTCTTGACCCTTCTGAACTTCAAATTTACCCTTGTTAAATTGAGGGATAATAATAGTGATACCTACCTCTAGGATAGCTGTGAGGGTTAGGTGAGGAAAACAAACAGCTCTATCCAGCTGATTGAACAGAACTTTCCAAAGGGCAGCTAAGTCAGGTCCAGATGATCCAGTCAATATTTGTTGATGCCTTTTACATGACAGGCAGAAAAAGCATTTGTGATGCACACAAATTTGTTTAAGAAAGCTCGAAAATCTGTCCAACTGGGGACTTAGAATAGGGTACATCAGCTGGGCCAAGGGCCTTGATTTATTACAATTGCTACCCTTAAATCTTATCTGGTGGTGGAATTCACCATGTATAATGACTTATATACCCTTTATTCAGAATTGGAGAATATTCCAAGCAGTGCGACACTCTGATCCTTATGCACCAGTGTCCTACATAGGAGGACTGTGCTCCTCGAAAACTGAGGGTCATTGTCCCCTTTCATCCATCCTCCAAACAGCATTTCTGAGTCCTCAACTCTCAAGCCTAAGAATATATGTTGTGAGTCTAGAGAGAGCCTGAAGCCAGAGGATTAGTGGAATCAATTTCCCTTCTTCCTATAACTCCAAAAGAGAGCTTCCTCCATAAATCTTCATGCCTTTTCAATCTACTTAGCTCTCTCAAGCAGTGAGGTTGGTAATTTTAAGATTCTTTATTTGGGAAGAAGAGGTGATTAATTCATACTTTCTACACCCACAGCTGTTTCAAATATGGACCTCAGGAAAGTGATGGTCCAGGATGATTCATACAACTTATTATTCCTAAAATTATGAGCCTGGGATCATATACTGTGAGATAAGAACAAACTTTTAAAGTTAATGGATGCTTCTGAGTTCCCTACTTAGAATTGAGAATTGACACTGGGGACCTAATAGCAGAAACACCCTCCACTGAGTTAGCCAAGTCAGAACCTCAGTGTCATCGTGGACTTTTTTCTCTCATTCACCTGACCCACACATAGCATAAACCACCAAGTGATCTCTATGCCACCCAAGTAATAACGGTCTTGAATCTGATTACTTCTGTCCACTATTTGTCTCCATTATCTTCGTGTAGAGTGTAAACCACAGTCACCCTAGATTATTGCAATAGTGGTCTAACTCAAGGTCTCTTGCTTTCAGCCTTGCCTCTTATTCCTTTCTCTCCGATCAGTGTCTCCATTTTTCCACAAGCCTTTATGAAAAGCTAAATCAAGTCATGCTTCTCCGTGAAAACTCATTAATGATTTCCTGATTGTCCTCCAGGTAATACTGAAACTCCTTAATGTGGCACACAAGGCTTTCCTGATCTGGCCGCCTTGTTTACCTCTCCGATCTCATTTCTTGCCACTCCTCTCTTTTGTAGATACTCCCTCCCCTCCCTAACCTGTCCCTTTGGTCCCTGCCACTCTTCCCTTACATACAAATGGATACTGCTCAAACTGTAGCACTTTCAGTTCTCGGAGGTGGAGGTTTTGTATTCTCTTTTTCGTCGAGACTGCTGCACCTGCCTCTGTTTAGAACATTTCTTGCACTACATCCACCTATCCTCCTCAACTCTTAAAGATACATTGTTTCATTTTAGACAGCTTCTTCCAGGAAACCTCCCCTGATGATTCCAGGACACTTATTTTTACCCCCAAGAGAGCTGTTATGATCTCCTCAGAATTCCCCATTTACTTGTTTGTTTTCACCAAAGCTTGTAGGCAGTGCCTAGTACAATTCCTGTTATACAGTTGACACTCAATACATAACTGTCAAATGAATTAATGCCTGAATGAGTGAATTCTATAACCCCATAAGGGGCCCATCAGTGCAAGATAAAGAACATAGATACAACTTGTTTTGAAAATGATTCAGATAAAGCTGCCTCCACAATGTATTTGTATCTGATGATTGGGTGTGTGCCTAAAAAATCCAACATGTGTTCAGTGACAGCTTTTACTGCAGAAGTGCAGGCACTGAGAGGCTGTGCAGTAGCCTTGCTGTCGCCATAGCAACCTAGCAGAGGGAAAGGCTGATGATTTAGTGTTCAGATGCCTCTTAGCTCTGTACTTTTGGAACCCAAGCCTGTTTTTCCACTGTTCTAAAAGGCAAGTTTTACCGATGATAATATCTATGCCGCCTTAATTTCATTCAAGTGTTTCTCATGTCATTAGAAGAAATGTCTTGTAACATTTGGATTATACCATCAAAGAGATATAATCTAATACAGCATAATATGGTCTTCTTTCCCCTGCTTTAAAATAGTCTTATGCATCATTTTCATTTTTTACTTAAAGACTTACTTTATGGTCTTGTTTTATCACCTTTTGGCTTCTTTAAAAATTAATGTATTTCTGGCTTTTAGAAAATATCAATTGCTTTAGGATTTAACCTTGAAATATTATAAATAATATATAATAATATATATATACAATAATATATATATATAATATATATATATATCTCCTGGCAAAGCACAGGAGAGATAGGGTATTGTAGACTGGGAAGGAAGGTAATGTCTTTATATAATTATTCCCTCAAATCTGGGATAAGTTACTTGATTGTTTATGTGAAATTTGTAATTAAATGATTCCTACCTTTCGTATGCACAAAACTTTATATTTTCAGAACTCTTTCACATATATAATTTTATTTGAGCCTCACAAAAATCCCGTGAGGTACATGTGGCCAATCTCTGAGACCAGATAACTGAAAAAGCATAGATTTTTATTAATAGGAATCCCCTAGACTGCAAACTTCACAGAGAAGACAATACAAATGCACTGCTGAAAAGAAAACGCCTGCACCAAACAACCCAGACACATCACGGTCCCTCACATTCACTCTTCCTCACATCTCACCTGTGTATGCAGGGGGTTTTCTTGGGCTCAATCAGGGCTGACAAAGCACCATCTCCTAATCCTATCAGCTGTGTGAGCAAGAGCTGCTGTCTCTCTCGGTGACCTAATGTTGGGTGATCTGCACAGCAACAAGGAGCAGCTGACGTGCTTCACAACACGTCACGAAGGAAAGAAACTGCATTCTGGGGCATCGTGAGATTTTTTTGTGTGTGTGGTGGGGTGGGGTGGAGACCCATATTTTTCTTACCAGGGAGAGAGCTGCCTGTTTTCCCATAAGAGCATGTGTGATTGATCAACCCTCCTCCTTTTTTTTTTTTTTTTTTTTTTTTTTGGAGACAGAGTCTCACTCTGTCGCCAGGCTGGAGTGCAGTGTGGTGCGATCTCAGGTCACTGCAACCTCCGCCTCCTGGGTTCAAGCTATTCTCCTGCCTTAGCCTCCTGAGTAGCTGGGACTACAGGCGCGCACCACCACACCAGCTAATTTTCGTTATTTTAAGTAGAGATGGGGGTTTCACCATGTTGGCCAGGATGGTCTCCATCTCCTGACCTCGTGATCTGCCCGCCTCGGCCTCCCAAAGTGCCAGGGTTACAGGCATTAGCCACCGTGCCCAGCCCAACCCTTGTCTTAATGTATGTGTGTTATCATTACTATAGGTTGAGGTACTTTGATGCTGTAAAACTGAAATGACTAGAATTGCACAAGATCACTCCCCCAGGAGGTGGCATAGAGGTGCTTGGGGCAGAGAGGGCAGTGGGTAACCTGAGGCAGGCCATGCTTGAACATTCACTGGGCTCAGAATGTGTCAATTATCTCTGCCCGACAAACGAGTGTTCAGTCAGAGTATTCTCTCAGTGAATAACAGAAATTAAGGGCAAGTCCAGGGGAAGAGGCAGAGGTTGGGGGCTTGGAACGTTGAAGGATGGTAAGGGTCTAATCCTCTGATGCCTTATGGGAGAGCAGACATGAGATAGCCTCCCCCAAAATGGCTTTTTGTTTGTGGCCTTTGGTTCATCTTTGAAAATAGGGTAGGATATTTGTCAAAAACATAGGCACGGTGATTGCATTAAACAAAATGGGGACACATTGTTGGACAAGTAGGTGTACACTTATTAGGAAAATGAATCAGAATGATTGAAATTAAGACGCTCTGGAAAGTATGCGTGTAAAGGTTGCCATCTAAGTAGGGGAAACTGAGACTTGACATTTACCTAGTGAAATGCTTCATGTGATTAGACAATCTGTTGGTCTCACAGGTGTACAGAAAAGGCAAAGGATGTTATCTGTAAGACATGAAAAGGAAAGCCTAAATCCAGTAGATGAATTCTGGGGCTAATAGAGAAGCACCTTCCTTCCCCAAGAAACCAGAAAGTGTGGGAAAAGCAGCTGAAAGTTGCCTGAACCCAGGAGGGCAGCTATAGAGAGAGGATGCTTCTCAGACATGCCAGACACAGAGCAGATACACAGGCTGGAGGCTCTGAGGGGTTCACTCAGCATCCATAGCAGTCTAGGCTTAGAAAAAAAATTGTAATCTGGGTTCCTGGAAAGCAGAACAATGGTAGATTTGAGTTACATTAAAAACAATATGTTCTCCATAATGCACTTTATTTCCATGATTTTATATTTTTTGCTTCCACTTTCTAGTAAACATCTTAAAAAATAACTTTGTCTTTATTTCTGCTGAGAAAATGAGAGCAGGTGCAAAAGAGGAAGACTTTGAGTGTCTCTTCTCAAAGAGCAAGAACACTATTGCCAAATGGAGCTGAGCACCCCCAGAGGCCAACCAACTACTATGATGGCAGCTACAGCAGGGAATGGTTGGGCTGTTGGTGTGGGGGTCACTGGTGCAGTTGTAGAGCTGAGGATAGTTTTGATTGCTGCTTTATTCCCACTTCCTAGGTTATTCCTGTGAACCACTGTCCTTTATACCTGAAATCTTGTGACCTTGTGAGTAAAGCTAGCCTTTGCTGTGTACTCCCAGCTCCTCTCTAACGCACTGCAGAAGAATTTGTAGGAAAATAAAACTAGAATTTGGGAATCTGGCCTATGTAGTTTCATCTGCCCATGTGTCCTTTTTAGCTACTTCTGCTTATCAAGAGAAAAAATATGCCTTTTTAAAATGATAACTATTTTTTTCTTAAAAAAGGATACTAAACCATGTTATAAAAATTTTAGAAAAGAAAAAAGATACTCATTATCTCATTGCCTTAACATCAATTATCCCTATTCCTTCTGTTAGCAGTTTCATGTATTTACTTTCAGGCTTATCTACTGTGCATCAAAACCAGCATGTTAAAATAAGAATGAAATTCTAAGTGGCATATGGCAAGTGAAGTTACTACTCCCTTCTGTCTTTTCTCAGATTATCAGGGACTGATCTGAGATACAGGGATCTCGGGCCTCCTTATCACTACTGACAAACAGCTGAGGCTGCTGCTGGAAGCCTAGAAGTTTCAGGATGGCTTCCTAGATATCTGGTCCTGGTGGAGACCGGACCCATCTGAAGCTTCAGAAAAAGTTGCTGGTGGGGAATTAGCAAAGCTAAGGCTGGAGAAATGACCTTAACTCAGAGGCTGGTAGAAAAGTACCTGTGCCCCTTTCTAATCAGAAGCCCAGCTACCAGCTTGCCATAATGTGAACCTAATTCAGGGAAGCACTGGAAAGTGAAATGAGTTTCCCAAGTCTGGAAAAACATCTGTGATGAGAAAATGTAGTTTAATAAAGGACATGAATTCTTGAGTCTCATAGGCCTGAAATTGAGACTTTTTTTTTTTTTTTTTTTTTTTTTTTGCTCTGACAGTGCTACTCCAGTCAAGTTATTTAACCCCTGTAGGACTCAACATTCAGTATGTGCACATTAGCTAAAAAGGAAAGAAGAACCAGTTGCACTAGTTAATGTCTTTGGGCAAATTAACTTTTCTGTGCCTCATTTTCACATCTAGAAAATAAACTTAATAACAGTAATTAGTTCATAATACAGTTATAGGGATTAGATAAGAACAGACGCAAAGCCTAGCATTTATATCTGGCACATGGTTAGAGCTTAATAGATATCCTCTGTCCCTCAGGATCAAATGGCTCCAACCACCATTGCTGTGTCTTGCTTGCTTGTTTCACATTCACCTCATCCTAAAAAGTTTCATCTTAATTTTTATTAAAGGGAAGCAATAAGTTTTCTCTCGATGACTTATGGCATATAAAGGAGGACACTGAATTTCTCATTAGAAAAGATATTGCCAGGACTTTTCCTCCAGAAGGTAGAGTAGAAGGCATGATGAATGCACAGACACCTATCACTCATTCATTCATTCATTCATTCATCCATCCATCACTTCTTACTTCATTCCTATTCTGAGCCATGCACTGCCTCAGCCACTAGTTCCGAAGTATTCAAAGATGAACAATGATTGCTGCCTCAAGTGTCCCAAGGTCTAATAGAGACACGGACATGACCATCAGCTGATAAACTATTCAGTGTGTTTGCATGAGATCTGGACACCCAGAGGGCTTGCCAGTATCTAAATTAGACTGGGGTCTGAGATGTTCAGGGGTGAGTTTTAAGATGAATTTTGAAGCATTGAATACATCCTATTATAATCTGGTTTCTTCAGAGTTCCTTTCTCTTTATTGTTCCTCTCCTCTCTTCCTCCTCTTCTTCTTCCTTTTTCTCCTCCTCCTCCTTCTTTTTCTACTCTCTCTCTCTCTCCCTTTTTTTTCCCTACTTTGAGATACTTCTGCCACCGTCCAGGCCCCAAGGATTGATGCGGAGGAAAACAGCTTTTGGGCTTCCCCTTGAATCTTTACTGCCTGGATGTAACCTTCTAGAAGAAAGGGATTTTTCTCAAATCTTGATCACCTAGGACGGCATCAAGACAATACCTGGTGTTTTGTTAATTAGCAATAGTTGACATTTTAAGAACACCATGTTATACTGCCACCTATGGATTTGTTCATGAAATTTTTTTTTGACAGGTAAAGTCTCTTGGCCTGAAACGTAATAAGGGTTAATAATGCCTTTATTCTAACTCTCAGGGCAATTTCAGAAAACTTTCAAAATATACGGCTATACGAAACTGGATGTCAATAAATGGAACATTATTTGGTGGTTGTGAAATAATGAGCAGGTGCTTTGATAGACAATGGTTCCAAACTCCTTTCTTCTGTTTACCTGCTGAACCACTTTAGGCAAGCTAGGTAACATCTCTGTATCTTGGTATTCTTATTTGTAAAATACATGCGTGGTTCTACTTCATAGGTCTATTTTGAGGATTAAATTCTATAACACTTGTAATAAGCCCAGCATAGTCCCTTGTACAAACTGGGGATTTAACAATAGATTTCTTGGTCTCCTTTCTTCTCCCCTTCCTCAATTCACAATGACCCAGAGGAGGATAAACTATGTAATTCCATTTTAGCTGAACAGTCAGGTAAATCTCTCTAAAACAATAATGATAAATGATGTTCATATGGTCACTACATTATGTATTCCTAGGCATCTATTTTATTTTTTAAAAAAATACTAATCTTTATATTTTTGAGCAGTTTTAGGTTTACAAAAAAAATTAAAAGGTATAGAGAGTTCCCATATATCCCCTTACTGAGATCTATCCCAATCTACCTGATTAGTTAGGTATAATTATACTATGGCTTTTGAAGAAAGTGTAAATAAGTGCCCATCAAATGGATCTATATCTCCCATCTTCCCCTGCCCTTTGCCTGCCTATTACCTTTGGATTTGCCTCCAAGGTCTTCTCTGTCTCCCATGGTGGATTCAATGCCAAGACTCCTAGAAGTTTCCCAAAAGTCTTAACAGCACTGCCTCTCCTATGACCCGAAGCTGAGCATGGTGGGAAAACCCCACAACCCTGTGGATGAATGACACTGCATGCTCTTGCTTTTCACCTGCAGTGGGCCTCAGTGCTGCCTGGCAATCATTTTGGGCTTCTAGTGCATGTTCTCTCCTATTCTCCACAATGTCTATTTTAAATCTCCTCCATACTTCAAATCTACCAGCCTACCACCCCTGCCCTCATGTTGTACAGATGGCCATTTCTCCTGATTGACAGACAAAAATAGGAGGTATTAAGAGAACTCTCTCAATCTCCTGCCTCCAAACCTATAAATTCACCTGCCTCCACCCCATCCTTCCCATTTCTGGTTCTTTAGGATGGAAGTTGTGTTTCTTCCTATACAAGAAAAATTCGTTTACCTGAACTCTGGATCCCATTCTTTCCCATCTCTTAAGGCATATTATCCTATCAGTTAGTCTCTCATAGGATTATTGAGAGTATCAGAGGAGTTAATAACCATAAAGAACATGGAAGAGCACCCTGCACACACTAAGCACTCAATGAACGTTAGCTATTTTTTTTTATAACTTTAATCCATTTTTTTTACTGGACATTTCACATCAGCATTTAAACATGCCAAAAACTTTTCCAGTGAAATAAATGACCATCCAAAGCTCTCATATATTTCTAGTACAACCTGATTTCTTATCCCCATTCATCACCAAACGTCTGAAAAAGTTACTTGTCTAGAGTATATGTCTCACACTTCCCTGCTCCTTGAACCAATCCCTACTCCACTCATGTACTCACAGCTCTACCAAATAGCTCTTGCTCAAAGTCACAAATTCTTCCATTTGGTTTAATCTGATGGCTAGTTTTGATCTTAGTCTTGGCTTCTCATCAGCCTTTGCATAGTGAAATACTCGCACATTTTTGAAAAGCACTTTCATTTTTTCTGGAACATTGCCCTCCTGATCTTCCCCTACTTCTTGGTATCCTTTTAGCTCATTTCTTAAATGTTGCTTTTGCTCACTTTCAAGCCCTCACCCTTTTATTCTTTCATCCATCCTTCCCTCTTGGGGCAATATCTTTCTTTCCAATTGCTTCAATTGCTATTTACAGGCAGATCTTATAGAAATTATATAACTGCTTACCTCTATTCCATGATTATCCCATAGTTAATTTGGATATCTCAACTTTATATCTCACAGGGTCCACAAACTCACTACATTCCAAATTGAATTCATCATACTTCCTCTAAAAGCTGATTTTACTTCTGTGTTCCCTAAGTTGATAAACAATATCATCATGAAGACCCTGACACCTGGGTGACATTCTTAACTTTTCTGTCTCCCCTTAACCATTACAACTAATTGGAACCTAAGTCCTATCTGTTCTACTTCCTAATTATCTTTAAAATGTGTTCATTTCTCTACCACCTCTTCCTGCCTAGATTTCTAACCTGTCCCCCACACTTGTCCCGTTCAGTTCATTTTTGAACAGTGGCCACAATAGTCTCTTTAAAGTGCAGATCTGATCATTCCTTCCCCATCCTATCTCTCTAGCCTCAAATGAAATCTTTCAATGCTCACTACCAGTCTCAAGATAAACTTCATCCACTAATGCATAGCTTACAAGATCCCTCATGATTTAATCCTTGCATTCCGCCTTTGACGTTCACAAATGTTCCCTCTACCTTGAACACACCTCCCAATCTTCAACCTCCATCTCCCAGCACCGTCCAGTTCCTTTTGCCTTTCGGGTATATTCACTGGATAATTTGATTTGCCAGAGTCATGGCATTTGCTCCTGTCTTGAGTGTGAAATAGGATAAAATGATTTTCGGCTTCGAAAATACTTTTTAGGGAACTATAATGGAAAGATAAAGTTACATTAAAGCTATGATGAACATAGAAGCTGTGTTTGCTTTTGGGCTTGTAACATGAGTTGAATAGCAATTCAAAAGAATTTTTAAGTGACCAAGTGAAATAATGACTTCCAAATTGGTATAACTTGAAAGGCTTCTGCCAAAGAAAATACATACATTTCATCCTATGTATTATAAAATATTAATCTTAGCTTCATTATTTTAGTGGACTCATTTCTCTTGAGTGAGAATTCAAAGAATACTCTTTGAAAAAGTATCCCCATGATTCCTTGTTATAGTTTTTCCTCCTGCTTTCTTCTACCACTTATTGGATTTTTAGTATTAAAATAGAAAACAATTCTAAGTGAGAATTTATTTTACAAGACACTGTCATTTATATTTTTCACATATTCATATAGTTGCGTTGCTGTATTTTTCTTGTTATAACAAACTCAGGATAATGTGTAGTTTCAAATTTACATATGATCTAGACCAGGCGTGGTGGCTCACGCCTGTAATCCCAGCACTTTGGGAGGCCGAGGTGGGCAGATCATTTGAGGTCAGGAGTTTGAGACCAGCCTGGCCAACATGGGGAAACCCCATCTCTACTAAAAATATAAAAAATTAGCCAGGCGTGGTGACATGTGCCTGTAATCTCAGCTACTCCGGAGGCTGAGGCAGGAGAATCGCTTGAACCCAGGAAGCGGAGGTTGCAGTGAGATGAAATCATGCCACTGCACTCCAGACTGGACAACAGAGCGAGACTCCGTCTCAAAAAAAAAAAAAATTACACACCATCTAGGTAGACCTATTTTTAAACTTGAAAATGGTTACTTTGGCAAGAGAGTATTAGAAAACTTCATACTGCAAACCTGCTTTAAATATACTTTGAGAGTAGCCAATTTCCTAATGCTTGAGACACTAAGTATAGAACCGTAAGTTTGTTAAAACCAATGTGCTTATATTTCCCTTAGTGAACACCTGGAATTTTTGCATATATTTTTTTCTGTGTACACTAATGTCAGCAGTCCTCTCTGCAGAGTTCTAAATTCAGAAATACCTCTATAGGAATGGAAATGTTGAGTATGGGGAATAAATATAGAATTAAGAATCTTCTGTTTGTCATTTTTCTCTTTTAATTATGTAATGTGTATCTGAAAATATTATTTTAAAATGTGAAGATTATTCGTTGCTAAAAACCAGGAAATGAACCAAACAATAATTGGGCAGGTTTCCTAATGCTCACTTAAGAATTGCCTTACAGACTTACGCTTTTACTAATTGTAAATCCTACCCCTTGAATTCAGGCTTTTTATACATAAGTGATGTTATTTATTCAACAAATATTAATTGAGCCCTTGCTGTGTACCAAGAACTCTGGTGAATGTTGGGAGACATTTAAGTACTTTACCTTGGTAGTACAGATAGGTGTGATGTCTTATCTTGGAATAAGCAATGTTTGAACTGCTATATGGCCATGGAGAATAAAGGTAGAATAATGAGCTTCACCCAAATACTATTATTTATTTTAAATATTAAAATCAAATATTATTTTGACACTTAAGGTAAACCCATGACTCATTTAATATTAATATAGAGAAATTATATTTCTAGCTTTTAACTATATTTTAAGATAAACCAAGAATAAAAACACATAAAGACATGGCAAAAGAATCCTATTTATTAATACAGGACAAGATACAGGTGTATCTTTTTCTTTATAATTAAGAAATACGGTTAAATGAAAATTAAGCATCTCTTTTTTTCTCCCTTGGTTGAATCCTTTGAATCTTTTCCACAGAGTACTGCTGTTTTTATAAACATTAAAAACTAAGTAGACGTATAAACTTTTCTTAACGGTAGAAAATGTACTCATTTCTTCACTTCATTTTGCCACAGTGGCTCTATTATTGCCCTTTATTGTAGACCAGTCACTGTCCCATAATTTAAAAATATAGCAAAAGATCATTTACAGAGGAGGTTTGAGCAGAAAATTCTAAGTTTCTTTTTCCCTTCCTTTTAAATCAGAAAGAATATGACACCCCTTTAACACCAAGGTTTTCTGGTAGTCTTTTGCCCAAAGGAAATTTGTTTGTTCTATAGAGCTTTAATTTAAAAAGGCTGACAGCAGGTCTGTAGTTATATACTTCTGGCATTGGGCCTTCCATAGAAATGCACATTAGATATTCAACTCCTTTCTTAAGCATTCTATTCCTGTAACCTGACTTCATCCTTTTCTTTCCACTGTTGCCACTGAAACTGGAAATGACTGCAGAATACAAATCATATGATAAATATTTGGGAATTTGTCTTTGTAGTTTTTCAGAATCACTGCCAAACTTCTTGCCTAGAGAGCTGTGTGAGGCTTTTCAATCTGAAACCTTTGAGCAATCCCCTTGTCTAGCCAACTGGGAAGCAACCACATGATTTAATTGTAGCAGCCCTTCAAAGTGTTTAATAAACATTTCATGTTCTTTGACTCCATATTTTTCTAAGGGTACTCATTTGTTGGCCATATATTTATACTCAATAATTTCAAACACTGGGATGCATCTTCTTTATGGAGATGCTCAAAGGTGGTGCACATGATTTGAATAGCATTAGCATAAATACTCTTTTCCTAAAATTTTTATCACAATACTGTCCTCCAATTAGTCTGATCCTACTGAAAGACACTATCTGTGGGTTTCTTTCTTCATTCACCAGTAAGCTACTAAGTGCACCATACAAAATCCCTTTCTTGATCCTCTTAAAGGTACTGTAGCAAACACATTGTCCTTCTGGAAGACAGTGCCAGATCTAATATCTTAACTATGAGTAGGATGGGTAGGACAAGTTTTAGGTTAATTAAGCATGTTCAGGTGGCTCTGGATTCTCACTTTTAGGCCTTTTGTGATTTTCTAACTGACTACTTTTAAGCTGAGGCACTAATATATATAAAGGAGGAAATATATAAAGGAGGGTTTTGCCTGTCCTATTTTTCTGCTATAATGAATGCATTCCATCTGCTTTCTTTGGTGTTGTTAAAGTTTCTTCTACAAACTTCTCAATTCACGAAGACAAACTGGGGATGTTCAATATAAGTTATAAGGAGAAATAAATGTGGCAAAAATGTAAACAAAGCCAGTGTTTTAAATGTGTTCATAGTTGGTAGCTCTAGAAATGATGACTAAGACAAGGTATGTGAATGAAGGACCTTTCCTGCTTGAGTAGGTCAGAAGCTTCTCTCTTCATTTAGATATTGGGGCCAATGCTCTCATCCATTAAGCCAATATGCTTGTTATTTACATCCACGCTAAGCTCTGAGACTCTATTAATAATTATATTCATGGCCGGCATGGTGGCTCATGCCTGTAATCCCAGCATTTTAGAAGGCCAAGGTGGGCAGATCACCTGAGGTCAGGAGTTTGAGACTAGCTTGACCAACAGGGTGAAACCCCATCTCTATGAAAAATACAAAAATTAGCTGGGCGTGGTGGCGCACGCCTGTAATCCCAGCTACCCAGGAGACTGAGGCAGGAGAATCGCTTGAACCGGAAAGGCGGAGGTTGCAGTGAGCAGAGATTGCGCCACACTGCACTCAAGCCTGGGAGACAGAGCGAGACTCTGCCTAAAAAAAAAAAGAAAGAAAGCAACAACAACAAAAAAAACCTTCTGCATTCACCTGCTTGGCCTCTTTAAAACTCAATAATTTATCATTTTTAAAAGCGATCTCACTCATGTAGAACTTACATATCATTTCAAGGACATTAGCATTTGTGGTTTTGGACCCTTGTGTTTTCCAGTAACGATGAAAAAGAACTGGGCTTGCTGAACAGTAGCCATTAGAAGATGTGTGATGACTTTTCCAGTAATGTGGCTCAGCTTACATTTACTTTCAGAAAGACAGTCTTGCTCCAATTCCATTCTAAGATGAGCTTCTAGTGTGGCAATGTGAGAAAATTAGCCAAAGGGAATTTCTGGTTTAGCCAATGTGTAGGCAATATCAAACAATTTGACAATCTGATGCTCCTTCTTGGCCTCAGCACCTACAAAACTTCTATTCATGATGATCAAATTGAAGTTCTCCAGTGTTGCAGGGGTAGGGATTTTTCAAAGCTGATGGCTTTTTGTTGCATTTCACTGCCTAAATGTTTATTTACATTGTTCATTTTTAATGAGAAGCCCATGATGCCATTGACAAAAGCATTATATTTCACATTGGTCCAATTTGAAGTTTTTCTTTTGTACATAGAGAACAATAAATTTTACTCATCACAACTCCCTCACCACATTCATAAGAGCACTTCAATTCTGCCTGCCATTTAAAACTCTCCCACACTAAGAACAATTCGGTTGTTCCCTTCTACTACTGTTTTTCCACTTAGTCTTTTTGTGTGCCTTTCCCCCCAAATCTTATAGGTCTTTTGCAGTTTTCTGTAAATAGGCACACTTTAATGAATTGAGTATTAGTAGGGGAAAATATATATTTACTATTATTAATTAGTTTTAGAAATAGAGGTAGGTATTTTTGTAAAATTGTTGCTTAAGGCAGTTTTTTTAATTTATTGACCAGATCCTAAGTAAATTTATTATGTGCAAATATAAATGTTTCATAAAAAAGAACAAAAATGTTTGCCTTTATATCAACCTTAACATTTATGAGTCAAGCAGCCAATTAGCCAAATAGCACTAATGAAATGACTCTAAAATGTTTCTAATTTTGAGCCATCTTCTGACAGTGTCTATTTAGCTTAATTTATTTTAATAGGAAATATCTAGAAAGACATCTTTCCACATTGATTTCAAATTTAAAATAAAACTAGAACCATAGTTTTTGTTTATAAATCAAAAGTAAAAGTCTTTTTACTTGTTACCCTAGGAAGGAAGTTGGTTCACAGCTATTCATAAGTTCTTTAAATTGTTTACATTTACAGTTTTAACCAATGGCTTCCATCAGTACTATGTTGACAAGTTACAAGTTATTTTAACATTTATTTCATTATTTATACATATTGGAGAGTTAAAACTTTTGAACTGTGTATTTACGTTAGTATTGTATCTTATCTCACATAATAAAAATTGGAGTTCATGGCTGTTGTCTGATATCTTAATATTCACACTGGCCATTTTTCAAAGCTAAGGTTTATTTTCTGTGGCTCACATGAAAATATATTTCCAAGTATAGTGTAGCTAGCCTGCCTGTTTACCAGATTACTATCTATCCAAACATAGGGAAACCTTTAATTCAGGCTAAGGAAAAGAATAAAGTGGTTAACAAGAAAATATGGGAGCTGAAAGAAGTAAATGGCAATATTCTAAATAAAAAACAAACACATCTATTAATTAATACTATTTTCTACTCATTTGACAATTATAAATAAATATTTTTGACATTTCTCTTTGACTTTACTGTCTACATTATTTCTCACTAAGCAAATATTTATTGGGTATTTATTCTGACTCTGGTACCTTTTTTTACTTATGACAAATAAAAAGGAGGTCCTCATTCCACAGTGAGTGGAGCTGGAAAATACATGAATTGCTGAATATTATCCAAAAAGATTTTGGAAACATGAATTTGTCCACCTACAAATCCATAGTTGCTTACTCTGGAAACACTAAGAAATTCTCAGTGTCATACCCAAGAATTATAAGATAAGCAGGAGAAGGTTGAGGCCACAGTGATTAAAAGGAACAAGGGAAACTAAAATGATCAAAAAGAAGAGAGGTCCTGAGAAGTCTAAAATTGTAAGGATTCAAATCTGGAAAGGCAAAGGCTGAATAGATTTTGGACAGAAGTGTGTGCACCATACAGTGTGTAAATACAGTAATCTCACACTTGCCCACTCAGCAAATGCTGGAATATGAGCATGAGAGAGTGCCTTCTGACTCCTGAGAAACTTAAGATGAAGTCTGTGGTCTCCAAAGTTCAGAGAAGCTCCCTATCAGGGTGAGGAGCAGCTAAAGAAACTATTGGACATGTAAAAGAAATGCTAGGATTGAACTTTGTAAATAAAAAAATTATGATGTTTAATATGTGGAATGATACCTGTAACCTCATTTAGCTTCTAACTGGAGATACCTAGTGTCATCTATGTAAATGCAATGAGAATGAGAGATCCCTTATGCAGGCTTAGACAGGGATGTCCCTCTTTCATTCACAGGGTATTGTAGCAGAGTGCAGTTTGCATGTGCCTGGACCACACAGAATACTTTTAACTCAACAAAATGGAGAAATGGCTTTAAAAAGTGCTCAGCAAAAGAAATGCAGATTGAAGTTAATGTGAATAGTGCAAGAAGAAGCAAACCAGAAAATTATGGAGCTGCCTCTTTACCCAGTATGAACTCTTCATTAGCAAGATTATCAAGTAGAAACAATGGAGAATAAGCCACATGTATTAAATATTAAGGGTGTGCACTCAACAGTTCTGTTATTATAGAGATGTGTGATCAAAGAAGTTGGTAGAGCACCGGTCTAGGGTCACATAACATGAAATATCAACATGCATGTTTACCAACTTTATTACCCCAAGAAATATTTAAAATTGACATTTCTGTACCTCTGTTAGGTTCTCTTTCCTTCAGTGCTTTTAACTTCATTCTCATGCTTACTGTGGAATTTAGATCTCCAGCTTGTCCAAGCCGAGGTCTTTTATTTTCAAATCTCACCTGGGTGCTGTTATCCCAAACCCAAACTATATTTCAAATTATATGTCATTTTTAAAATTCTCCCCCAATTAGCTCATCATCCCAAATTTATCCATGTTACCATTATTCCTTTAGGAAGTGAGAAAGAGAATAGCATAGATGTTAAGACCATTGGATCTAGACTGCCTAAATTAAAATTTCTGCTCAGCTGTGACTTTGGAAAATTTACATTTCCTCCATGAATTTTAGTTTTCTTATAAAATGGGGGCACTATTGTTACTTACATCAATAAATGCAACCTGAAACTTGGGAAAATCCAGTAAAAGCACACAAAACACTGCACAGAGCAAATGTTCAAAATAATTAGCTATTGTTACTTTTTCATCAGTGCTCAAAACCCTGGGGTCATTTTTGATCATCTCATCCATACTTTTTTACCTGCTGTTTCCAGTAAGTCACCAGGTCCTCTCTGCTCCTCTCAAAAACTACTCCTGGTCTAGTCCCATGGCCACTGCTCTAGTCCCAGGGCCACCACCCACTCATCTTTCCAATGTAGGCTAAAGCCAAGAATCTCTGACATGGTTCTCTGCAGACTCTCCCAGAGTCTAACCTATTTCCACACTGGACCATATGAATCTAACATTAGTGTAGGATTTATCTTGTAGACCCTCTCCTCAAAAATTTTCATGGGTTCTGTAGTATCTATCAGGACATAATGTAAACCATGCCTTGGGCTTCAATAGCTTTTCAAAATTGGCTTTCTTTTACAAACTTTCTTGGTTATTCCAGCTTGCCTTCTGTTGCACTTTTCTGAACCAGAGTATAGGTTCCACAAAATTTAGCATTCACTCTCCATTTATTTTCAAATTATATGTTTGTCTTTTATTCCCAACCAGATCATGAACCTGAAGGCAAAGAAAGTATATGTCTCACTTTCTTTTTGTTCTCCCTAAGACCTGGCCCCAAACACAGTAAACATATTGTAGATGCACACCGTTGATCAATTGATTAAGACATTTTATGATGTCACAAAGTCATGAATGATATTTAAATGGGTCATTAAGAGAAACCTGGATCCTAAGATATACTCTTGATTTTTGAGGTGGAAATCAGGAAGATAGCTACTTCTTTCTTCAATATGATGTTTAGTTTAATGCCATTGTCAGAGATTCCACAAATATCGAATGAATTATATCAAGCACAAGAAACATAAAGAGACATAAAACATAGGCTCTCTCAGTCATATCTTATGTGTGTGGAAGGGTCAGTTTAATAAAAATACATACAGATAGATAGATAGATAGATAGATAGATAGATAGATAGATAGGTAGATAGATACCAATAGAATAAAGGCAGCAGTAGGACTGATTTTGATCAGGACAATAAAAGATACAATGGGTCAATACAAGATAGTTTCTGGGTCAGAATTCACATATTTCCTAGGTAATATCTTTCACTTTTATCTCATAACTTGCATAAATATTCCAATTTTGGTTAGTCAGTGCAGTGTGTATAATGGTAATGAATCAATTAGGCTTTGGAAACTGGTCGGTAAGTGCATATTTTTGAAAAAATAAATCATAGTTAACATACAACCATGCCAATATTTGATAGAAGTGGCATTTTTTATTTCACAATGAAAATATTTCTGGTGGTACTTTATTATTCCTTTTAGTCTTTCCTTACCCCTAGTACATTTTTTAAAATGTTCTCTTTTTTTTCATTTTCTAATTTTCTAATAATCTATTTGACCCTAACCTGTATTTTACAGTGATTTTACTCCTTTTGCCCACAAAAAACATGCCAGTGGTATTTTTTGGCTTTGCTTATTGTTTCTGATGCTATTTCATACTAAACAAGTTACAGGTTGTCCTATACTTCTGATTTAAAATTTAAATCAGTGTTAAAACTTAAAAGTATTGTGCAACAGCAAGAACCATAGGTTCAGCTTACTGTATATGTCCAATTAGTGTTGCTATTACTATTAACAGGACTAATACAAATATGGTATGATCATTTGACACATTAAGCTAAATAAACAGGTAATGACTAATTTTGCACAATGCTAATTATGATAATTTCTGGCTTCAGTAAATCACATACAATGTATTTAGGAAACAAGAAAAAAATTGAAAGTTTAAGTAAATGAGTAAGATTTATATAATGGCTCCAATTGAGAGGGAAAAAAGGTCACAAAAGAAGTACGTACTGATTAATGGCCCATGACATGATTTCTCTAAGTGTGTTGCCAGAAACTCAGTCCCGTAACATGCTTGGAGAAACAAATGTGCTCTATTATGTGGGGGAGGGTGTAGGTCATTTTATGAGGTAGGGAAGAATGAGCCTGGGATATATAGAAGAATGAGAGTGTTTTTAAATGAATAAACACACAAATAAATAAATGGAACAAAAACAACAAGAAAAGACTAAGAAATGCTCTATACCATATGGCTGAATTCAGATTAAGCTAGTAAGGGCCCTAAGAAATCCTCCAGTAGAGACCAATTTGACTACATTTAACTCAGTATTTATCTAACTCATTTAACCACAAAGCTACTTTTTTTTCTCAGAAAATGTAACACCTGGCAGTCCCAGTGTTAGAAGAAACACACTTTGAGAAAAGCAGGTGTTGTTTAAGTACTAAAGAGATTAGAAGAGGGAGAGTCCACTTGCAATTGGAAAAAACCATTCTGAAGAAGGAAAAATTTGAGTGAGACCTTGAAGCTTGAAGAAAGATGAGCAGGTGAGGCTTCCCAAACAGGGAACACTGTGACCGAAAACATAGAAAAGAGAATACTGGGTGTTGGGAGGAATGGTTTGGAAGAACCTGCTAGGGAAGTAGAAGGTTGCTGGAGGGCAGAATAACCATTCTGATAATAAAACCCTCCTTCTGGGGAAGCAGAAGTTTCCTATAGGGCATAAATGGGGAAATGGGGCTTTAACACTGTGAAATCCATGCCACCAGTGAAATGATTAGCAAATGATATATTCTAATTTCCCTTCATTGATATCCTTTTTTAAATGCTTATTTGATCAGGAAAGTTATTGGTTAATTAACACTTGAATGGTCTAGGCCAATGCTGTCCAACAGAAATGTAATGAGCCAACTATAAGTCTATAATATAATATATAATTCACTTTTAAACTTCCTACCAGTAACATCAAAAAAGTAAAAAGCAACAAGTAAAATTAATTTAACAATGTATTTTATTTAACTTAATATATTCAAAATATTATTTCGGTATGTAACAATATAAAAATTAAAATTAGTTGGCTTTTTTTGGCCAAGCCTTCAACCTCCAGTTTGTATTTTACACTTACAACACATCTCAGTTTAGGCTAGCCATAATTCAAGTGCTTGATAACCGTGTGCCTCATACTACCACATTGGACAGCACAGGTCTACCAGTTAGCATAAATCAGCTGGCTAAAGCAGAGTTGATTTGGGTAGTTTTCTAATAGCTTTCACCATGATCAAAAGTTTTAAATTATTTAAAATTAAGTGGGTAAGGCATACTTGCTTTGCCAGTTTCTGAAATTTATGTTTCCATTTTTTTGGTTGGATTAAAAATAGGCAAATTATAGGGTAAAGGTGAAAAGCTTCACTTTTGACTTCAAATCAGCTAATTAATTTAAATGAATGACCATGAAGCTCTCTTTGGCCTATTAATGAGTTAACGGTCAGTGCATTTGTGACATTGAAACAAGAAGGCTCTATTGCAGATTTCAGTTGACTGGTAACCATGTACATATTCTAAGAAACTATTTTTTAGATCTTTAAAATTTTAAATGATTCCTCCTGCTGGTACAGTCTCTTCACACTTCATCACATTTCTAAATAAGCAATCATATAACAAGTGAAGATTTCATGTCCTGAAGGCATTATACCAATACTTACCAAATGCTTCTATTTAAAATACAAAGCAGTTTTATTCACACTTCCCATTTTTGAATCCACTAAGGCCATTTTGGGAGAGGAGAAACTAGATGCCTGCTGTTCAGTTTTTGTTTTCTACAACTTTTCTTTACTGAGAGCTTGCACGTTTCTTGTTAAGTTTCCAAAGCATATTTAATATACATTAGAATCTGAGTAAATATGGCACATTCTGTAAATGGACGCTGCGGAAAATTGCTGCTTTCAGATGGAAGAGAACACCATGGCAACTGCTGTGCTTCTGAGTAGGAAGCTCTACTTGACCAACGTGGATGTGGATTAGGAATGGAAAATATCGAACAACACAACATATTCTTTGAAAGTTAATGGCTTTATTCCTGAGTTTCTGAACCTCGACACTATTAACTTATTGGGCTGGATAATTCTTGTGGTAGGGGCTGTCCTTTGCATTGTAGGATGTTTAGCAGCTTCTCCAGCCTCCACCCACTAGATGCCAGTAGCAGCTCCCCCTACCCCCGACCCAGGTCATTACAAATAAAAAACGTCTCCCAGACATTGCCAGACATCTCCTAGGAGACAAGATCATCCTCAATTAAGAACCACTGCTCATGCCTGTAATCCCAGAACTTTGACAGGCCAAGGCGGGAGGATCACTTGAGGTCAGGAGTTTGAGACCAACCTGGCTAACATGGTGAAACCCTGTCTCTACTAATAATACAAAAATTAGCCAGGCATGGTGATGCATGCCTGTAATCCTTGCTATTTGGGAGACCAAGGCTTGATCACTTGCATGCTAGTGGTGGGGGTTGGCAGAGGTTGCAGTGAATGGAAATCACACCATTGCACGCCAGCCTAGGCAACAGAGACTCCATTTCAGAAAAAAAAGAGATCTGGAAAATATATATTTAAAATTATAGTAAGAGCTTTAATCTCAGAGTACAAATGTATTAATAATAAACTATACTACATTTATTTTTTAAAAGAACTTATAGCCTTAGGAAAATGTATTACATTCATATGAGATTCTCTTGTATCCCACCTTCTCCATCTTAATGATCTTGTTTTAGCTTATCCTCTAATTTAAATATCCCATCTGATTTTTACATGGAATTGGCATACCACAATAAAATGCCAACTTTCATACAAAATTAATTATTACATACAACAGAGTGAAAAGATGTAGCAGCTTGAACTAACTTAGATATATTTCAAGGATGTTTACTAAAATTATTGTTATTACTATTGTTATTATTATTTCCTTTTTTTGAGACAGAGTCTGGCTCTGTCGCCCAGGCTGGAGTGCAGTGGTGTGATCTCGGCTCACTGAAACCTCCACCTCCCGGGTTCAGGCCATTCTCCTGCCTCAGCCTCCCGAGTAGCTGGGACTACAGGTGCCCACCACTACGCCTGGCTAATTTTTTGTATTTTTAGTAGAGACGGGGTTTCACAGTGTTAGCCAGGATGGTCTCGATCTCCTCGTGATCCGCCCACCTCGGCCTCCTAAAGTGCTGGGATTACCAATGTGAGCCACCGTGCCTGGCCCCTACTAAAATTATTTTTATAATGACTGTACTCCCTAGAAATAAACAAGAATATTAAAACACCATTGCCATCAATTTGGTATTTTTCAGTAGTGCCACAAAAAAAAAAAGACGCAGTAATTTGTGTTTTAAATAGTATCTAAAACCTCTCCTACCACATAAAATACTGTGCATAAATAAAATGCTTCAAAGCAAATTTTACATTTCTTGTTTTTTATTGTTCTGTTGTTGGTGGTTGTTTGAGACAGAGTCTTGCTCTGTTGCCCAGAGTGCAGTGGCACGATCACAGTTCATTTCAGCCTTGACCTCCTGGTCTCAAGCAATCCTCCCACCTCAGCATCCCAAAGTGTTGGGATTACAGGCTTTTTTGTTGTTGTTGTTTATGTGTTTTGTTTTTTAAAACCAGACCAGATTTTAAAAACCTTAGCCCAGCCTATTCATTGTCATGTGAAAAATTTGAACAGTTTAAGTAGAAGCATATTCCATATTTTAAAGCTTATTAGCTTATTTTAAAATGACAGAAGTCAAGTTCATTCTGTATGTTTTACTGCTTCCTGGGCAACTCTTAGTGAGAGCTGGCGTGACACCACCACAAAGCTTGTAATTACAGGAGGCTAATGGACTTTTTGGCAAAAAAGTAGAGTCTTGTCATATTTTCCTTTAAATTAAGCAAACACAAGTCACAAGTATTCAAGTTTAGAATAAGGGAATAAGGGAGGGAGGGGGGAAGGAAGAAGAGGCAGAGGGGGAGAGGGGGAGAGAGAGAGAGAGAGAGAGAGAGAGAGAGAGAGAGACTTTTAATAGCGTAGGCATTTCCAGTTAAGGCCTGAGATTTAAAGTGAAATGCGAGGTGTAGATTTGCTGTCTCCTTGGTTCTCACATCTTACTGAACCATTTTGTTGCTAGTGTTTTAAGATCCAACTATTTTTACATTAAGATTCTAATTATACACCAACAACTTCATCTGGTATTTTAAAAAAATTGACCTGTTCTGATGCTAGAAGGAAACTGGCTAGGTAACTTAGTAGGCAATTTAAAATATTTCAAAGGTAATTTAACTATATTACTATGACTTGCTTTCCTTAAAACCTAAACCAACACGTAATATGATTCTTCCACCTTTGTCTGTCTGTATGTATGTGTGCTATGGAGAGTAGGGGGTAAGGAATGATTTTGAGGGGATGTCACCACACAATTTTCCAACAAGAAAAATGAAACCTGAAAACATATTATTCATGGTATTACTAAAAATAGCAAAATAGTATCCTGCTATTTCAGATCGTTGCTGTCAAAGATAAACACATTTCAGAGCATCTGAGGGTGAACACTGGATGGCAAATGTTTTATTTTCAAACTTGACAGTCCTTCAAACGAGTCTCAGTGAAAAAGATTGGGCTAGTAATTCAAGCTTAATAACTTATAACTTAAAATTCCTCTTAATTTGTATGATGAATATTTTATGAAAATTAGTGAACACAAGTATTTAATTCAATCATGTTAAATTTTACATACAAATAGATTGAAATTCATTCACATGTCAAATTTTTAAGTGCCTATGAAAGGGGAGACATTGAAAGCAGCAAAAATTTTACTAGACTGAAAATTTAGGTTTATTTCTCTGACACTGAATTACTTTAAAAAGCAACTGATCGGCTGGGCGTGGTGGCTCACACCTGTAATCCCAGCACTTTGGGAGGCTGAGGCAGGTGGATCACGAGGTCAGGAGAACGAGACCATCCTGGCTAACACGGTGAAACCCCGTCTCTACTAAAAATACAAAAAATTAGCTGGGCGTGGTGGCAGGCACCTGTAGTCCCAGCTACTCGGGAGGCTGAGGCAGGAGAATGGCGTGAGCCCAGGAGGCGGAGCTTGCAGTGAGCCGAGATCACGCCACTGCACTCCAGCCTGGGCGACAGAGTGAGACTCCGTCAAAAAAAAAAAAAAAAAAAAAAAAAAAAACAACTGATCTATGAGTTTGAAGATATTTGTTGTCTCTGTCACAAATACTTGTAAAATCTGACTGAATAGATTACATGTATGAGGTATTATAATATAAAACATATCAACGTGTTGAAGTTTAGCTGGTAAAGCATCTTTTTGTCATTTCTGATTTAGTCCTATGTCAGGTTTGGTTCAAACACTATATGTTTTAATATCTGGAGTGCAAGTAAGAAAAATGTAAATTCACTTATACCAATTAAATGCTTCTTTGGGTTGATTCTTTCCTTTCCCCACGTCTCTTCTCCAACTTGTCCAAGGAAAATGTGATGCAGCCAGAGGCTACTATTTCATAATAGAGAAGAATGTGTTCATTGATTTTATAATTCCCATACAATGAACATTTATTTGTGAGTTTAAATAAATGTTTATTCCTTGATTACAATTGTCTTTGTTCAAGCGATATTGACATAACCTGGATCCTAGCTACCTATGTAAAATAAAAAATCCATACATGTGTGAGCAATCGAGGCACTTTAATCTTTCAAAAACTGATGAATGCTCATCATAGTCACATTTATTTTCAGTATAAATGTAGAGGTTTTAGCAGGCTTAGGTCAAACAAAAAAGGTCAGTAATGGTAACAGAATTATGAGCAGAACTCTAATAAATTCATTTTCATGATGTAGAAATTAACTTCTGTTTTATTATTCTGTTATTAGCTGTCAGTAATGGTAACAGAATTATGAGCAGAACTCTAATAAATTCATTTTCATGATGTAGAAATTAGCTTCTGTTTTATTATTCTGTTATTAGCTGTTTCCAACACATATATGTATGCATCCACATACCAAGCTGAATACTAAGCAGTTTAAATTCTACTTTAAAACTTTTTTTAAATTTTTTTTTATTATTATACTTTTAAGTTCTAGGGTACCTGTGCACAACGTGCAGTTTTGTTACATATGTATACATGCGCCATGTTGGTGTGCTGCACCCATTAACTCATCATTTACATTAGGTATATCTAAAAAAAAATAAAAAAATAAAAAATAAAATTTTAACAATTAGACTTTTCTTATTTATAAAAAAGTTTAGAAAAATAAATTTTTAATACTATTACCTTATATATTTTAGTTTTACAAATAATTTTCATGTATACTAGCTCATTGAATTTCTAAATACCTCCTGACCTTTACTGTGACGTTTTTCCTATAGGACTATTTTGATAAGGCTATTGTGTAATAATTTATGTTTTTGTGAATACTACTGAATGAAGATATAAATGGTCATTCACTTCTATAATTTATCTTTCATTATTGTTTAAACATAAGATCTTTAAATAAAATTTTAAATTAAAGAGGATTTGCTTTATTTCTGCCAGCATATCAGTTTTTACCAAACAATCCTGATTCCTTCCTTTCTTTTCTTCCCTCTCCATCTCCCTTCATTTCTTCCATTTATAATAGAATTCTAGGAGTATAATTTAATTGTTTTCTCTAAAGAAACAAGAGGGAAGGAGGGAGGGAGGGAGAGGTAGAAATAGAGTTAGAATGGAAGAGAGAGAGAGACTTTGCTTTATGTGGACATCAAAGGGAACCTTAATATAGAATTTTTCCTGTTTGTGCTAAACAGATAAAAAATTGGTTCTTTTTAAAAGACAGAGTCAACAGCTCTCAAATTATGTATCTTCTAGATGAAGTTACTTGTTTTTTCTAATTTATAGCATAGTAATTGGGTATGAAAATGCTGATTTCAAATGTGTAATGTTGGTTCCCTACCCCCATAATAATTCTTTCAGAAAGAATGAATTCAAATTTCCATGCAAAAAAAATATTTATGTCAAAATCATTAAATTCAAGACAAATCTTATTTCAGCATTTCCAGTTTTTTTTTCTTACTATAGGTGTGGCATAGTGTTTTCTTAAAAAGAGAGGAAGGCTATTTGAGTGCATATTTCATAAGCTTCTTATTCATTATTCATGCCATTAGAGATAGAAGGAGTATACACACATGGGGCATTTTCTCAGATGTGTCCTCTGAGAAGTACACTCAGCCTAAACCTCAAAGAGCCTTTTTCAGTGGGGGCTGGAGGGAAGCTCATTGAGGATGGCAGATGGCCCTCCTCAGATATATTCCTATAGTAATGCTCTTGTGGGTTCTAAGTTCCACTGCAATTTAATTTTTGGCCACATGAATTAGGCCAACAGCACCTTACCCTAAAATACTTTGAGCGATTAAAGCATTTGAAATGTTTCAAACTAGTTTTGTTCAATGTGTTTCAGAAATATTATTTTCTGAAATATGAAAATAAGCCAATCTCTAATTCAATTTTGGTAGGGTTCATATCATTTATTTAAATTGGATTTAGGCTTCTTGCAAGAAGGTACAACTGATTTAGGCCTATGACTTAATATGCACAAAAGATGCTATGGGTACTTTATAAATATTTAGTTATAAAAATGAGGATGGCATGTTTCTCTCTACTTGAATTAAAAATGAGTTATTAGTGTAAACCTTTTTGAAAAACTCATTTATGAAGTCAAAATGAATTTTTTTTGTTTTGTTTTTGAGATGGAGTTTCGCTCTTGTTGCCCAGGCTGGAGTGCAATGGCATGATCTCAGCTCATTGCAATCTCTGCCTCCCAGTTTCAAGCGATTCTCCTGCCTCAGCCTCCTGAGTAACTAGGATTATATGCATGTGCCACCATGCCCAGCTAATTTTGTATTTTTAGTAGAGATGGAGTTTCTCCATGTTTCTCAGACTGGTCTTGAAATCCCGACCTCAGGTGATCCACCTGGTTTGGCCTCCCGAAGTGCTGGGATTACAGGTGTGAGCCACCAAGCCCAGCCAAAATACATTATGTAATTTAAAAGCTGGGGGTGGCTGGCAAGATGACGGAATAGGAACAGCTCCGGTCTGCAGCTCCCAGCGAGATCAACACAGAAGGTGGGTGATTTCTGCATTTCCAACTGAGGTACCCAGCTCATCTCATTGGGGCTGGTTAGACAGTGGGTGCAGCCCACAGAGGGCAAGCTAAAGCAAGGTGGAGCATTGCCTCACCTGGGAAGCGCAATGGGTTGGGGAACTCCCTGCCCTAGCTAAGGGAAGCTGTGAGGGACTGTGCCATAAGGAATGGTGCATTGAGGCCCAGATACTATGCTTTTCCCATGGTCTTCACAACCCACAGACCAGGAGATTCCCTTGGAAGCCTACACCACCAGGGCTTTAGGTTTCAAGCACAAAACTAGATGGCTGTTTGGGGAGACAGCGAGCTAGCTGAAGGAGTCATTTTTTCAAACCCAGTGGCTCCTGGAATGCCAGCGAGACAGAACCGTTCCCTCCCCTGGAAAGGGGGCTGAAGCCAGGGACCCAAGTGGTCTAGCTCAGCAGATCCCACCGCCACAGAGCCCAGCAAGCTAAGATCCACTGGCTTTAAATTCTCGCTGCCAGCACAGCAGTCTGAAGTCAACCTAGGATGCTGGAGCTTGGTGGGGGGAGGGGCATCTGCCATTACTGAGGCTTGAGTAGGTGATTTTCCCCACACAGTGTAAACAAAGCCACTGGGAAGTTTGGACTGGGTGGAGCCCACCACAGCACCACAAAGCTGTTGTAGCCAGACTGCCTCTTTGGGTTCCTCCTCTCTGGACAGGGCATCTCTGAAAGAAAAGCAGCAGCCCCACTCAGGGGCTTATATATAAAATGCCCAACTCTCTCGGACAGAGCACCTGGGGGAAGGGGCGGCTGTGGACACAGCTTCAGCAGACTTAAACGTTCCTGCCTGCTGGCTCTGAAGAGAGCAATGGATCTCCCAGCACAGCACTCGAGCTCTGCTAAGGGACAGACTGCCTCCTCAAGTGAGTTCCTGACCCCCGTGCCTCCTGACTGGGAGACACCTCCCAGCAAGTGTGAACAGACACCTCATACAGGTGAGCTCCGGCTGGCATTTGGCGGGTGCCCCTCTGGGATGAAGCTCCCAGGGGAAGGAACAGGCAGCAATCTTTGCTGTTCTGCAGCCTCCGCTGGTGATACCCAGGCAAACAGAGTCTGGAGTGGACCTCCAGCCAACTCCGGCAGACCTGCAACAGAGGGGCCTGACTGTTAGAAGGAAAACTAACAAGCAGAAAGAAATAGCATCAACATCAACATAAAGAACATCCACACAAAAACACCATACAAGAATCACCAGCATCAAAGACCAAAGGTAGATAAATCTACCAAGATGAGGAAAAAGTGCAAAAAGGCTGAAAATTCCAAAAACCAGATTGCCTTTTCTTCTCCAAAGGATCACAACTCCTCGCCAGCAAGGGAACAAAACCGAACAGGGAATATATTTGACGAATTGACAGAAATAGGCTTCAGAAGGTGGGTAATGAGAAACTCCTCCGAGCTAAAGGAGCATGTTCTAACCCAATGCAAGGAAGCTAAGAACCTTGAAAAAACGTTAGAGGAATTGCTAACTAGAATAACCAGTTTAGAGAAGAACATGAAAGACCTGATGGAGCTGAAAAACACATCACAAGAACTTTGTGAAGCATACACAAGTATCAATAGCCAAATTGATATAGCAGAAGATATATCAGAGATTGAAGATCAACTTAATGAAATAAAGCATGAAGACAAGATTAGAGAAAAAAGAATGAAAAGGAACAAACAAAGCCTCCAAGAAATATGGGACTATGTGAAAAGATCAAACCTACTTTTGATTGGTGTACCTGAAACTGATGGGGATAATGGAACCAAGTTGGAAAACACTCTTCAGGATATTATCCAGGAGAACTTCCCCAACCTAGCAAGACAGGCAAACATTCAAATTCAGGAAATACAGAGAACACCACAAAGATACTCCTCGAGAAGAGCAACCCCAAGACACATAATCATCAGATTCACCAAGGTTGAAATGAAAAAAAAAAAAAATTTTAAGGGCAGCCCAAGAGAAAGGTCAGGTTACTCACAAAGGGAAGCCCATCAGACTAACAGCGGATCTCTCTGCAGAAACCCTACAAGCCAGAAGAGAGTGGGGGCCAATATTCAACATTCTTAAAGAAACGATTTTTCAACCCAGAATTTCATATCCAGCCAAACTAAGCTTCATAAGCAAAGGAGAAATAAAATCCTTTACAGACAAGCAAATGCTGAGATTTTGTCACCACCAGTCCTGCCTTACAAGAGCTCCTGAAGGAAGCACTAAATATGGAAAGGAAAAACCAGTACCAGCCACTATAAAAACATACCAAATTGTAAAGAACATTGACACTGTGAAGAAACTGCATCAACTAATGAGCAAAATAAAGCAAGTTCTTAGAGACCTACAAAAGGACTTAGACTCCCACACAATAATAGTGGGAGACTTTAACACTCCACTCTCAATATTATAGAGATCAACAAGACACAAAATTAACACGGATATTCAGGACTTGAACTCAGCTCTGGACCAAGCAGACATAATAGACATCTACAGAACTCTCTACACCAAGTCAACGGAATATACATTCTTCTCAGCACCATATCACACTTATTCTAATATAGACCATGTAATTGGAAGTAAAACACTCCTCAGCAAATGCAAAATAACTGAAATCATAACAGTCTCTCAGACCACAGTGCAATCAAATTAGACCTCAGGATTAAGAAACTCACTAAAAACTGCACAACTACATGGAAACTGAACAACCTGCTCCTGAATGACCACTGGGTAAATAACGAAATTAAGGCAGAAATAAATAAGTTATTTGAAACCAACGAGAACAAAGACACAATGTATCAGAATCTCTGGGACATAGCTAAAGCAGTGTGTAGAGGGAAATTTGTAGCACTAAATGCCCACAGGAGAAAGCAGGACAGATCTAAAATTGACACCCTAACATCACAATGAAAAGAACTAGAGGAGCAAGAGCAAACAAATTCAAAAGCTAGCAGAAGACAAGAAATAACTAAGATCAGAGCAGAACCGAAGTAGATAGAGACAAGAAAAGCCCTTCAAAAAATCAATGAATTCCGGAGCTGGTTTTTTGAAAAGATTAACAAAATAGATAGACTGCTAGCCAGACTAATAAAGAATAAAAGAGAGGAATCAAATAGACACAATAAAAAATGATAAAGGGGAGATCACCACTGATCCCACAGAATTACAGACTACCATCAGAGAATACTATAAACACCTCTACACATATAAACTAGAAAATACAGAAGAAATGGATAAATTCCTGGACACATACACCCTCCCAAGACTAAGCCAGGAAGAATTTGAATCCTTGAATAGACCAATAACAAGTTCTGAAATTGAGGCAGTAATTAATAGCCTAAAACAAACAAAAAAGCCCAGGACCAGAAGGATTCACAGCTGAATTCTACCAGAGGTACAAAGAGGAGCTGGTACTGTTCCTTCTGAAATCATTCCAAACAATAGAAAAACAGGGACTCCTCCCTAACTCATTTTATGAGGTCAGCATAATCCTGATACCAAAACCTGGCAGAGACACAACAAAAAAAGAAAATTTCAGGCCAATATCCCTGATGAACACTGATGCAAAAATCCTCAATAAAATACTGTCAAACCAAATCCAGCAGCACATTGAAAAGCTTATCCACCATGATCAAGTTGGTTTCATCCCTGGGATGCAAGGCTGGTTTAACATATGCAAATCAATAAACGTAATCCATCACATAAACAGAGCCAACGACAAAAACCACTTGATTATCTCAACAGATGCAGAAAAGGCCTTCGATAAAATTCAACACCCCTTCATGATAAAAACTCTCAATAAACTTGGTAGTGAGGGAACATATCTCAAAATAATAAGAGCTATTTATGACAAACCCACAGCCAATATACTGAATGGGGAAAAGCTGGAAGCATTTCGTTTGAAAACTAGCACAAGACAAGGATACCCTCCGTCATCACTCCTATTCAACATAGTGTTGGAAGTTATGGCTGGGGCAATCAGGCAAGAGAAAGAAATAAAGGGTATTCAAATAGGAAGAGAGGAAGTCAAATTGTCTCTGTTTGCAGGTGACTTGACTGTATATTTAGAAAACCCCATTGTCTCAGCCCAAAATCTCCTTAAGCTGATAAGCAACTTCCTCAAAGTCTTAGGATACAATATCAATGTGCAAAAATCACAAGCATTCTTATCTCAGGAAAACACTGTCATTATCAAATTAAGTTATCATGTAGTTGGTTACCATTATTAGAAAGAATATAGCAAATGTAAGTCATTTGAAGGCTGCTGTGCATTTAATCAACTGTAGTCAAGCAACTTGGAATCCAGGGTTTCATTATAAATCGCAGTTGCTTAACTCCAATTTCACAGTATAGCATCAGGTTTCTTGTATACAAATATAAATGATTGAGAATTCAACTGGAATAGAAAAAGTATTAGAAATTTCTGGATTGAGATTCAGAGTCTGATGTCCAGAAGTTGTATGATTAAAAATGACTTAAATATTGTCTTCAGAAATTGAGCTATGGACATGGCACCCAAGAGGGAATGGGATTCTCTGCATAATGAAGAACATGTCACTTTGGTATTTATTGGATTGCTTTGGCAGTAGTCAGTTGTGATCAACATTTATGTTGGTTAAGATCTTGGAATATATGTTGTGGAAAAATCTCTCACTCGCTCTTTGTCTTTTTGTCTCTGAGTCTCCATTTCTCTCTCTTTTCTCTGTCTTTCAGGGTGTTCATGTGTGTGTGTGTGTGTGTGTGAAGGAAGATATAGGAAAAAAAGAGCTAGAAATCTGTAGTTGGTTTGTTGGATAGAGGCGAGTGTTATGCACATGGGTTAAGATTTGTGAGAGACCTTTAAAGAACTTGTGCCAATAAGTGACAATAGTCATTTACAAAACTGAAAAAAAATGTAAGATACTCTAAAAGTAATACATACAAGTTAACCCCTGGTACCTTTTCAATTAAAAAATATGAACACACACAAATAATTTGAAATGCATTCTGTGGTATATTTTCCAATGACCAAAATAAGGACATATTTTAGTTATTTCTTTTCTTTAACAATTAGACAAATTAATAAACTTCACATTTTCTGCATGACTTTTTAATGACTTTGAATTTCTTCAATTATTTGAAGTAAATTGCAAAAAAATACACCTCATGTTCCAGGCAAAGGTTTGAATTAATCCTCTTTGAAAAACAACAGATGAACCATCATAATATATGGGAAATAATAGTTTTTCTCTACTCATTGCCTTAAGGTTAACTTGAGACACTTTAATGTTAAAATTAATAAGCTGAGGAAGGAAGGTGAAAACTAACATATTAAATACCCACTGTATGTGAGGCACTGTGCTAGACTTTTATCATGCATTATATCTTCAATTCTTTCAGCAACCCTATAAATGCAGTATTCTAGTCACTTTTTCTACCTGAGCAAACTGGCTGGAGTGAGTGTTTTCCAAACTTCAGACTAAGATGGGTCTCAGACACAGAAATGTGATAAACATTGCTGAATAACTCAAACACAACTTTATTACATTTAGATATGGAAAAGTAAGTCCGGGAGCTCACACCTGTAATCCCAGCACTTTGGCAGGGCGAGGTGGGTGGATCACCTGAGGTCAGGAATTCGAGACCAGCCTTACCAACATGGAAAAACCCCATCTCTACTAAAAAGACAAAATTAGCCAGGTGTGGTGGTGCATGCCTGTAATCCCAGCTATTTGGGAGGCTGAGGCAGGAGAATCACTTGAACCCGGGAGGTGGGGGTCGCGGTGAGCTGAGATCGCGCCATTGCACTCCAGCCTGGGCAAGAAGAGCGAAACTCCACCTCAAAAAAAAAAAAAAAAAAAAAAAAAGGAAAAGGAAAAGTAACATTTAAAGTAAAAAGAGTAAAAGTAAACTTTAAAAGTCACACTCTTTTAAAGTTTACTTTTCCAGAGTTGACCTCAAGTATATTAGCATTTAGATGAAGCATCACATTTGCACCCCTATGAATTTTATGTCATGTCCCATAACTTAAGATTGTTAGGTTAAGCTTGAGACTCCAGTTCTCACTTTGTCTTATAAGTAGATAATGTACTACTTGATATTGCTGTCTGGGGGTGGGGTGGAAGAGCAGTTTCAAATAACCTTTTTTTTTTTTTTTTTTTTTTTTGAGACAGAGTCTTGCTCTGTAGCCCAAGCTGGAATGCAGTGGCGTGATCTCTGCTCACTGCAACCTTCACCTCCAGAGTTCAAGCATTTCTCCTGACTCAGCCTCTGGAGTAGCTGGGACTACAGGTGTGCGCCACCATGCCCAGCTAATTTTTGTATTTTTAGTAGAGACAGGGTTTCACCATGTTGGCCAGGATGGTCTCGATCTCCTGACATCGTGATCCACCCGCCTCGGCCTCCCAAAGTGCTGGGATTATAGGAGTGAGCTAGCATGCCCAGCTTCAAATAACTTTTAAAATCATGCAGGAAGACAATTCTTACTAAGGCAGAGGTTCTCAACCTTGATAAATCTTAGAATTACAAGAAGACCTTTAAAAAATACTGATGCATGGAGCCCACCATGTGATTCTGTCAGAGGCGTTTGAACTAGAGCAACTCCATTTTGAACAGGGGCTGCGTAAAATAAGGCTGAGACCTATTGGGCTGTATTCCCAGGAGGTTAGACATTCTAAGTGACAGGATGGAGGTTGGCACAAGGTACAGGTCAAAAAGACCTTGCTGATAAAACAGGATGCGGTAAAGAAGCTGGCCTAAACCCACCAAAACCAAGATGGCCATGAAAGTGACTTCTGGTCATCCTTACTGCTCATTATATGCTAATTATAATTCATTAGCATGTTAAAAGACACTCCTACCAGCGCCATGACAGTTTATAAATGCCATGGCAATATAAGGAAATCAACCTACATGGTCTAAAAAGAGGGAGGAACCCTAAATTCCGGGAATTGCCCATCCCTTTCCCAGAAAACTCATGAATAATCTACCCCTTGTTTAGCATGTAATCAAGAAATAGCCATAAAAATAGCCAACGAGTAGCTCATGCTGCTGCTCTGCCTATGGAGTAGCCATTCCTTTGTTTCTTTACTTGTCTAATAAACTTGCTTTCATGTTACTCTATGAATTTGCCTTGAATTCTTTCTTGTGCAAGATCCAAGAACTCTCCCTTGGGGTCTGGATCGGGACCCCTTTCTGGTAACATCTTCCAATGTGCAGTTAAGGTTGGAAAACATTGCTCTTAGTTTGTCCGCACAATAATGGCACTATTCTTATGTAATTGCTTTGCTATTACACCTAAGTGACCTCAAACAAGGTGAGGTTTGGGACATCAGGTAGGTGTGAGGAATTAAGGACAGCACAAGTAAGACAGCTCTCTATGTTATTAGGAACGAGATGACTCTGACAGTAACAATAATTACCTCTATTTCAGGATAGATTTCTGAATGCCTGCAAAAATATTATAAGTCTTGCTAGAGATAAAACTGCCTTTAGAGCACTGGCCAACAACCTTTCCCCTCTTGCTGAGGTGGGAGTTTAACTGGTACCCACTTAATGCCAAATGGTATTGGAGCCAATAAGAAAAATAGCTGTATTTAAATCCAGTTTCACCTGCAAGAGTCTCCAAGTTTTAAACTAAACCATTACCTTCATGGTAGCTGTTTTTGAAAATGTATATACTTGATAGTTTAGCAATAAATAATACAACACATTTACTTAAGAGCAGATATGGCACTTCAACCCTAACCTGTGAAAGCTCCCAACCAGGAGAACACGTATACACTCTCATATACTACAGACGTATTCAATTTGTACAACTACAAAACAACTAGCATATCACATTCAAATTAATTCAATTTAAAATGTTTCTAGATCAAGAGCATTAATTTTCACTTACATTCTAGAGCAAAGCCTGCAGTACAAAATTATTATATAATCTGGGATAAACTCTAAATAGAAACTAATTTAAACTCCTTCGCTCAACTACTGTCAACCTGCCAAGTGCAGGAATGGCAGCATGCTACTATAGTTAGCAGCTCTCTCCTGGTCAATCGGATCAGAGAGACTCAGAGTGAAGAACCGAAAGAAATTAGTTTTGTACAGTTTGATAAAAGGAAAACAGCTTTAAATGACAAATTAGGAACAATTTTATAATACATGATTTACAATTTCTTTGCAGGAAATTGTACAGTCAGACTGTACAAATTCTTTGCTATTTAAATGCTCCCTTGAAAACTTAAATTTTCTCCCGATCATTTCTAACTCCAAAACTAGGCTTATTTGGAATATCAGCAACATTTTATGAAATGTGATTTAGTTAACCACATCTTCCTTAATATTTTTACGACAAATCTTTGACAAGAATATAACCCCTTAGCAAAACAAATATACCTCCCTTACCACAGCAAGCAAACTTACCTCTTGGGAAGAAGAAGCAATCAAAAATTACTGGCTCAGCCAAATAGAAAGAACATATAAAGCTTCAGTTCTGGAGTCAAGGACTGGTGACTTGTTTAAATAAGCTCAAGAGTCAAATGGCTGTGCCTTCTCTTTAAAGGGAAACCAGAAAACTCTGCACTAATGTGTACTGCTTCCGGGCACCTCCCTTTGTTCTAAGTAGAATGCTAATGCTAAAATTGCAGTTTGCATTCCTGCTTACTCAGGGAACACTGACGCAGCCTGACAAAGCTTCCAGCTTAAATATCCTGATGGGAAGAAAAGTCCCAGAAGATGGTATTTCCCTTGTGCACTAGTAAAACGAGCAACACGATGAATGTGTAAATTTGAACAGCTGGAAGTTTGTGGTCACATTAATGTTAACCTGATCTCATTTGTAACATATATTAGAGACACTGAGAAAAGAAATGTTTCACTTCTTATGAATGTCCATTAAGGAAGTCAAGAGTGTGTGTCTGAATGTTTTCACCTCTTCTCCTTGGCGTGCAAAATTTTCATTAATGTACATAAAAGCAGTTAGTATAAAAGGAGAAAGAAATACCTTAGGGGAGTGAAATATAGATTAAGCTTAGTATAATGGGATGAAAAATAATGTGAAAAAGTTAAGGCTATAAAGAGTAAAAGAAAACCTAGCAGTGCAACTTATTCATGTGTTAACATGATATATTTTAAAGTATAGGAAAAATTTAATTTCAAATTATGTTTAATATTGTTTTTCATTGTACAGAGGGAATGTAAAGCAGGGATTGCTATGTAATGTCAAATTTTTAAGAAGAAATTTAAGATGTGTTATGTGCTATCTCATCCCTTCTCCTAGGGTCTTTAAAAATGATGAAGTTTCTTTTCTTCTTTTTATATACAATAATTGGATAACAGCATACGTAATTCAATAACTGGGAAAAAATATTCTGGAGCAAACGATCACACATTTAATTTACAAGCCTCTAGATATTTACTGATATATACAGGACTGGAAAGCATATCAATAATATGTCAGTCACTTCATGATATGGTTTGGGTGTGTCCCTACCCAAATCTCATCTTGAATTGTAGTTCCCATAAACTGCACGTGTCATGGGAGGGGCCTGGTGGGAGGTAATTGAATCATGGTGTCTGTTACCTCCATGCTGTTCTTGTGATAGTGAGTGAGTTCTCATGAGATCTGATGTTTTATAAGGGGTTTCTCCCCTTTTTGCTTGGCACTTCTTACTGCTGCTACGTGAAGAAGGACATGTTTACTTCCCCTTCCATAATGATTGTAAGTTTCCTGAGGTTTCCCAAGCCATCCAAAACTGTGAGTCAATTAAACCTCTTTCCTTTATAAATTACCTAGTGTCAGATATGTCTTTATTAGCAGCACGAGAATAGACTAATACAGTAAATTGGTACCTGGAGTGGGGTGCTGCTATGAGGATACCTGAAAATGTGAAAGCAACTTTGGAAATTGGTAGCAGGCAGAGGTTAAAACAGTTTGGAGGGCTCAGAAGAAGACAGGAAAATGTGGAAAAGTTTGGAACTTTCTAGAGACTTGGAGGGCTCAGAAGACAGGAAGATGTGGGAAAGTTTGCAACTTCCTAGAGACTTGTTGAATGGCTTTGGCCAAAATGCTGATAGTGATATAGACAATTAAGTGCAGGCTGAGGTGGTTTCAGATGGAGATGAGGAACTTGTTGGGGCCTAGAGTAAAGGTCACTCTTGCTATGTTTTAGCAAAGAGACTGGTGGGATTTTCTCCCTGCCCTAGAGATCTGTGAAACTTTGAACTTGAGAGTGATGATTTAGGGTATCTGGTGGAAGAAATTTCTAAGTGGCAAAGCATTCAAGGGGAAGCAGAGCATAAAAGTTTTGAACATTTGCAGTCTAATGATGCAATAGAAAAGAAAAACCCATTTTCTGGGGAGATATTCAAGCCAGCTGCAGAAATTTGCACAAGTAACAAGGAGCCCAGTGTTAATCACCAAGACAATGGGGAAAATGTCTCCAGGGCATATCAAAGATCTTTGCAGCAGTCCCTCCCATCACAGACCCAGAGGCCTAGTAGGAAAAAAAGGTTTCATGGGCCAGGCCCAGGGCTCCCCTGCTGTGTTCAGCCTCAGGACATGGTGCTCTGCATCCCAGCTGTTCTAAGCCATGGCTAAAAGGGGCTAAGGTACAGCTCTGGACATGACTTCAGAAGGTGCAAGCCCCAAGCCTTGGCACTTTCCATGTGGTGTTGAGCCTGTGGGTGCATAGAAGTCAAGAACTGAGGTTTGGGAATCTCCACATAGATTTCAGAGGATGTATGGAATCACCTGGATGTCCAGGGAGAAGTTTGCTGCTAGGGCAGAACATTCATGGAAAACCTCTGTTAGGGCAGTGTTGAAGAGAAATGTGGGGTTGGGGGCACTGCCTAGTAGAGCTGTGAGAAGAGGGCCACTGTCCTCAGATCACAGAATGGTAGATCCACTGACAGCTTGTACTGTGTGCCTGGAAAAGCCACAGACAACACCAGCCTGTGAAAGCAGCCAGGAGTTGGGCTGTCTCATGCAAAGCCACAGGGGCAGAGCTGCCCAAGGTCATGGGAGCCCACCTCTTGCATCAACATCACCTGGATGTGAGACATGAAGTCAAAAGAGAGCATTTTGGAACTTTAAGGTTTAATGACTGCCATATTGGATTTTGAACTTGGATGGGACTTGTAACCCCTTTGTTTTGGCCAATTTCTCCCATTTGTAATGGGTCTATTTGTCCAATGCCTGTACCCCCATTGTATCTGGGAAGTAACTTACTTGCTTTTAATTTTGCAGGCTCATAGGCAGAAGGGACTTGCTTTGTTTCAGATGAGACTTTGGACTTGGACTTTTGGGTTAATGCTGGAATGAGTTAAGACTTTGGGGGACTGTTGGAAAGGCATGATTGTGTTTTGAAATATGAGGACATGAGATTTGGGAGGGGCCAGGGGCAGAATGATAGGGTTTGGTTCTGTGTCCGTCGCTCAAATCCTAACTTAAATTGTAGTTCCCATAATCTCAACGTGTCATGGGAGTTACCTGGTGGGAGGTAATTGAATCATGGGAGCAGTTACCTCCATACTGTTCTCATGATAGTGAGTGTGTTCTCACAAGATCTGATGGTTTTATAAGGAGCTTCCCCCCTTTTTCTTTGCACTTCTCCTTACTGCCACCATGTGAAGAAGGATGTGTTTGCCTTCTCTTCCACTATGATTATAAGTTTCCTGATGCCTCCCCAGCCATGTGTAACTGTGAGTCAATTAAACCTCTTTCCTTTATAAATTACCCAGTCTCAGATATGTCTTTATTACTAGTGTGAGAACAAACTAATACACTTCACCTAATGCATAACTTTATTATTATTTCAGCAAGGAAAATCAGATTGTCTTTGGTGTTTTCCAATAAGGAAAATAAGTGTTTAGGTATTGTCAGTATGTGGAATGTTTTCAGAACTATTGGGCTTAGTTAACTTTCATTTTTAAGTTTCTAGCTGGATGTCCAGATGCAAATTTAAGAATGATAAGAATTTTATGTGATTAACACAGCTAAGCTACTAAATCTGTTCTTTTTGTACTTCTTTATGAAAAGTGATCATAAGTGAGTTAAGTTCAGGATGATTGATAAGTTTTCTGGACAAACTTCATTAGTGGTAAGAGCTGAATAATAGATGCTGGATTTAAAAGTTTTGGTTTAAAAATGTGGCATAAACATAAGAAATATCAGACTGGGAAATACTGTAAGGAAATTATATAATGGGCTTATTAAACATCTGTATGTAAGTTTAATATAATTGTATAAACATTATCAATCTAGCTCAGGGTGTTTGATATTGGTCTTGTTGGAAACTGAAAAATAAGCCTCTGTCTGGAACATTGTTTCAAAAGTCTTTGGCTGAACTTCATGCCACAGCTACTTCACTTCAAAAAGAAGTAGGAGAGAACATTCTAGTTGTTAGAGAATAATCACTGGAGTCCCCACAAAACCTTTCCAACTTAGGGTAGAGGGTAGAGAGGACTATCTATTCTTTTCCCACTCTGTCATTTTTCTTCCTCTTCTTTCTACATAAACCCAAAGGATGGCTCTGGCTCTTGGATTTTATGCTTTTCCCCATGAATAAATTTTCCTTTTGCCTGCTATGAAGAGGGAGGAAAATGACTTCTCTACTGTTAATTAGAAAAGCAAGGTTGCCTAGGTAACAGATCTTCCATAAACAGATCAAGAGAAAGATTTCTAAAGAGCTAGAATTCACATGATGTCATGAAAATTACAAAAGCTCTTTAATGCTGAAGGATAGTTTGGGGGTTTGGCATAGTAATAGTTAAAAACTCAGCATTAGACAGGCTGAGTTTCATTCTGAATTTCTAATTACCGACTGGGTTACTTAAGACAGTCTCTTAACTTTCGTCATTTGTAAAGAGGAAATTGTAATAATTGTAGTGAGCAATAAGTGAAGTGGCATGTGTAAAACACTTAAAAAATACCTAACATTTAATATACACGAAAACATGTTAGACTTATTTTTGCTTTTCATAATTTAATGCATGGAGGAAAACAGATAAATGTATATCAATTTCTGTAACATAATAATTAGACAATGCATACCTCTTCTTAAGTGGGTAGCTGTAAATCAACATCATCTGATTTGTGCCACCAATTCTAGCTCTTTTTGCACTTATTCATTCACTAACGTTCTATGGCATTTAACAAATACTTTTTGTGCACTCACTATGAGTTAGGAACTGTGTTACATACTTGAGATAAAGCTATAAAAAATCAAACAGGTCCGGTCCCTCAATGACCTTAAATTCTAGTAATATACACTGCTTTGTGTTGTTGTTATTTTATTTTTTATGCAAATGCAGTAATTATTATATTTAAGGTTTCTCAGGGGCAAGGGCCATATATAAAAATTCTTCATAATTCTCACAATTATATGCATTAAGTATTTCTTGACAATTTGTTATGGATAATAAGTATTCTACAAACATATAAATAGTAATGGAAATAATGGCTCATTATTTGAGGAGGCATAATTTTTATTTAAAATTATATGAAAAATGTCCAAAGTATCTATTGTAATAAAAGTCAGAGACAAAGCAATACTATGGGACTAAAAAATTACGAAATGAAGAGTTTTTAGAAAAGAAATAGAAATTGACAACCTTTAAATATTATTAACTTAATGAATCAAGAAATTGTAGGAGTAAAGTGATAAAAATTTCCAAGCTGTACTTCAGATAGGTTAAAAACAAATATTTGTCAATTCGTCCTACAAGCACATCACTCAAATATACAAGCTAGTAATGTCTGCAAATTCTATTTCCATGCTGGTTATAAAACTGAAGAATACATAATTTTTAAAGTCAATATTTGTATTCTTGTAAGTCATTAACTGGAAGAAATGCCTTTTTTTTTTTTCTTTCTGTACCTAATTCTGTAGTGAGGTCACTGAGGAAGAGCCCGTTTCAGCACCATGGACAAAGCACCCCCCGACAGCCTTACTCTTGGGAGCGACAGGAAATGTTCCCCTTTGATTAAAATTTAAAAACAACTTTATTATAGCCACCTTCCATTTTAATATGTTTTAAGAACCAAATGGATACTAAAGAATGTTCATATAGATAATATAAAGTTTACGCTTTCAAACCCCTTCTCTCTTGTGGAAAAACATAATGGCCCTTTAAAAGACACGCATCAATGTGATGAATACATTTAAGTGTCATTAGGTTTAATGGCTCCTACTCACTTAGACTATCATTCCATACCATTTAAAGTTAATTTGGTGTGTATTAATGGTGCAAAATTGATGAAATTATGAACTGAGTTTCCCCAGGCACAGGTTAAATCAAGAAAGAAGGAAGAGAACAGGTTAATATTACCTTCCACCCATTCTTCATTTATACTACCAAAGACATCAGTTCTGCCCTTGGGAAGAACATTCTCACAGTTAATAAGTTGAACCTAAATTGATTTTTAAGGTTTTTAAGTCAGAAAACTGTCTTTAGTTGGGTCACCAAAGGTTCACAGTTTTCTTTAGGGAATAAGAAAATATGTACTCTTCTGAGATTAAATTCATATTTCATTCCTTATTTTCAGAGAAATAGATAATTTCTTACTTCTTTCTCTTTCTGTATTCAACTTGCACATCTTTACTTAGAAGGTCATTTGGAATATTCTTATTTTGTAATCTCTCTCACATCCCACCATTTTCAGATAAAATAATGATGTTTGGTTAATTTAAAAGCTGAATTAAATATTATGATAATAAATACCACTACTATTAATGCAAAAAACGGAAAAATCTAAGGTTCTGGTCCCAAGAACATTTGATATGGTAAAACTTCAGTTCACAGTTTCAAGAAGACTGGACTCTAATTTTGAACTATGGCTTACCATAAGAAATAGAAAAATATTCACTTTATATTTTAAGTAAGAAGCAAAAGAAAAGTATAAACTCACTACTTGTTACAGTTCATTTAATACTGATGAAAAACTAAGAGAACACATAACTTTCTAGTGACTCGTTTGCTTCTCTGTCAAGTAAAAATTATTTCCAAACTAAAAAGGAAAAAATAAAACTTGGCAAAAGAGAATAAAGCTCAGGTCAAGTCATGTCACTAGCTTCTCTTAAGACATTTAACAAGTTATGAACTGGGCTTTACAATCTCATCTCATACAAATAGAATTATGGCACCACTGTTAATGTCTATGAAGCACCCTGAGCATGGGATTCCAAGATATTAGAAATATAGAAGCCAAGCATATAGTTCTGATTTTCAAAAGCCAGAGAGAAGGGAAAGCCTGTAAAACACTGATTGATGAGGCTGAAATGAAATATTGGGCAATATTTTGGCACAAGTTAATAAAATGTTGGTTTCTGGGTGCTTAGAAAAGAAAAAAGTGACAGAGATCATCCTGGGCTTCTAAGAATTACTTGGACCAAGTCTAGATTTTTTTTCTCTTATTACAGATAGTGTTAGAACTGGCAAAGCATATGGACTTTGATGAGGCATCTGGCAAAATGTCACATGGTATTATTATAGAGAATTTTTGGTTGGGTGACAGTAGAGATACAGTAGAGGTAATTAGGTGAGTTCACATCTACTCTCAATATAAGGATAAATGGATCTTCCCAATAATTAAATGGACTGCTCTAACAATAGAAGTACTCATTCTAACCACATTTTGACAATTCACAAGACCATATAGGAAAAATAATCTAGAGGTACATTTTTAATTTAATATTTTCTCTACTTACTCTGTATAGCTAGGCTTCTCCTCATCATCAGGTCCTGGAGCACCTCCCAAGGTTGTGTCATTGTACAGTGTTTCCTGATACATTAGGTGGTACACAGATAATTTTAGGTGGTTCATGGATGTCTTTTATAAAGCTATAATATATATTTATTTGTACATATTAGGAGAAATGTAACTAACAGATGAAACATTATTTCATAGGTGGGCATTATTCCTTTGATAAATCTGAGTAAAAAAACAATGTGTTAATTTAAGTAAGAATAAGTAAATAGTATGATTCATATTCAGAGATGATAAAAATTGTGAAGTATACTAGAAAAACTGAAGTTCTGGAAAGTTCTGAAGTACTGGAAATACAAAACATTTCTTTTGTCAGAAGTGTGTACACAGGAACCTTTCTTTCCTTTGCCAGTACCTGCTGTCGGTCTACAAGACCACAGAAGCTTTAGTCTCTGTTTTCTTTGGGGATATATTTAGGTATTCTGGGACTTCTGCCATTGGTGGCCAACCCCAAAGAAAAAACACCCTGATGTTGGTGAGGGTGGCTCTGAACATCCATAAAAGACTTTTCAGATATTTCAAATAACTTAATTTACTTTCCTAATTTCTTTCAGTGAGGTATCTTTATGAACATCAGTTTTGTTCTTTTTTTTTCTATCCTATCCCGTCTATCATGTCTGCTTGGTGATATCTCTGGGTTCTGTCACCTGAACCACAGAAAACATCCTGCTAAGAAGAAGGATGCAGACTCAAAACCTCAGTATTTTTACACAGATAAAAAAAAAAAGAGAGAGAAGAAAATAAAAACACCAGCTGTTATTTTCACACAAGTACTATTTAAATAAAACACTTTCTCTTTGTTTTCCAAAATTTTAAATAAACAGAAATTGACTAAAATGAAATTAATACCTATTGCTAAGATGCTATTTGATACTCCAGCATGATTAGTTACATCTTAACGGTGTGTATGGTCTTTTAAATATCAATAAAGTTATATGCAGGTGTTAGTTTGTACCATAACTATTTTAAGTATGTATTACATACTTAGAATATATAGTAAAATGAAATATTTTGTATACATTCAGATTTAGAAAAATGGCCAATGTTGGAATTTGATGTACTTACAAAATGACTGTAAAAACAGTTTCTTTATTTTGAAATTATTATAGACTCACAGGAAGTTGTAAAGATAGTACAGAGAGATCCCATGTACCCTTCACCGGGTCTTCCCCAACGGTTATATCATATAACTACAGTATCATATCAAAGCCAGAAAACTGACATTGGTGCAATGCCTGTTTACAGCTCTATGATTTTTTAAAATTTTCTTTAATTAATTTATTAATTTATTTTTGAGACAAGGTTTTGATCTGTCACCCAGGCTGGAGTGCAGTGGTGCTATCACAGCTCCCTGCACCCTGGGCTCAAGCAATCCTCCTGCTTCAGCCTCCTCAGTAGCTGGAACTACAGGCACCTACTGCCATGTCCACCTATTTTTTTTATATTTGGTATTTTTAGTGGAGATGGGGTCCCACCATGTTGTCCAGGCTGGTCTCAAACTACTGGACTCAAGCAACCCATCCTTCTCAGGCTCCCAAAGTTCTGGGATTACAGGCGCAAGCCACCATGCCAGGCCTGTCATTTTATCTTATATGTAGATTCGTGTAACCACAATAATCAAGATACACATCTATGCCATCCTCACAAAGATCTCCTTCATGCTACACTTTTAGTGTCACATTCTTCTCACCCTCATCCCATCTCCAAACCTTGTCAACTACTAGTTTGTAGTATTACTCTTTTGTGCTTATCTTTTACCTACTGTTACTACAATATGAAAAAAAAAAAAAAAAAAAAAAACCATGACTATTAGAGACAGCTGGTTCTAAGTGTGCCACTGGCTAAATTACTCACTTACTCTCTGCAAGCCTCAGTAGATCATCTGTAAAAATAAAGTTTTGGACCCATTTTTTGTTTTTTTGTTCAGTGCATCAGCATTTATGAATGCATACAATTACTTAGTTTCAATTATGATATCACCTTAAAGACTATTAAATACAAATAAAGTGAATAAAATATTATTTAAATATGTACAGATCATTATGAATTGAAGAGCGTATTTTAAATATATTCTGCATTAAAATAGTACTATTGTAAAATAAATTAAGCAATCAAAATCTGCACTATGATAATGTATTGCTGCTTTAAAATCTGAAGCATATAAAAAAAAATGATTTCACCTGGGCTCATCTCTCAGCGACAGGTGCTACTGCTCTCCAAATGTACAAGTGGAGAAAACTTGGCATAGAGAATACCTGACTCCTTTTGCCCCAAGGGCGCCCTATGGGGAGGAAAAGGCAAACATTCCTAACATGTGCCTACTGAAGAATCTGATCTGGCAGAAACTTTAAGTTGAAGATTCTGATCTGTAGGGTTCAAATGTGGCCCTTTTCTGAGAAGAGATATCCAGATGTTATAGCTGCCCTTTGCTTCTGCTGCACAGGCTCTGGGGTCAGGGCCAGAGGACGCAAGAGGAACCTAGCAGTGGAGTCTCCTGTTTTCCTTGATAGCACTACCTGCTGGACACTGGGGAAGATAAAAGCAACGATTTTCCGATTTTCCCCAGTAGCTTCTTTCATTTAAAAAGCTTTCAGAATCTCTTTCCACATACTAAATTAAGCTCACAGATATCTTTTACTGTACAATTTACCTCTATTTTAAATCCAAACCTGTTGATACCACCCACCATGAGGAGGTTTTGAGCTCATCAACGTAGCCCTTCAACAGCACATTAATGGAAAATGGCTCATCCTTTCTCACCTGGAATAGTCTTTAAGAAAGTTTCTCCAGGAAGCAGAAACTTGAAAAGTGTCCTCTGGGGACTTGGGACTGTCTCCCTCTTTGGAGAGCTCAATGGAGGCTTCCTGGAGAACACCTATTCTTAATGAACCTTCCTTATCAAAAGCCACCATTTCCAAACCCACTCCTGAGAACAACCAGTAAAGGGAGATTCAAAACCGACGGCCTATACATTAGCCTGGCTAATCTTGCTCGTTGCAACAAGGAGTCCAGCCCGACCGTCTCAACAACCAATCAAACCAATCAAACAGGAGGGCCTTTCCCTTGGCCTCCATGTGCTGAGAGTGCCCTTGATTCCCCATTTTCCACGACCTTCTTCTGTGCATCGCCGAGCACCCTGGATACCTCCCGCATTGGAAAGGGTGGTCCTGGGGTCCGGAGCGCCCCATCACTGCCCTCATTGTACCGAAGACCATCAGTTGCCCTCCCGTGTCCGCGGGCACTGACAGCAGAGACCGCATAGGCGCCCCGGTCTTACCCTTTCTCGCCCAGAAGGGCCCCATCGCGCTGTCCAGGAGGAGGCACCTACGTGCGCCCGGGAGACCGGGCCCCGGCTGGGCCGGGTGCCGGTGCGGACGGGACCCCGCGTCGCTGCTGGTTTGCGCTCAGGCCCGGGGAGCCGGGCCCGGCCCGCTCCGCCCGCCTTAGCCCGGCTTGGACACGTGGTGCCGCGGAATCCCTTGCGCTCCGGTGCCCTCGGCCCCTCGGCCTCTGCAGCCAGCCGGGCGGCTGCTGGGGCTGAGGACAAAATGGAGAGAAGGGCGGGGGACCAAAGGGCAGGCACCGCTGGGTGGGGCGCAGCGGCGTGAGCACGCTGAGGGCCGCGCGCCGGGGGCGCCAGGATTCTGCTCCCTGGGCTCGCTGCCTGAAGGACCGGTTCCTGTTGCCAGGGCCCTGGCAGATTATGCTGCAGGATCTGTTTCTTGAAGAAGCCGCTCTCAGCGTGGGTGGCGCGCTGCAGAGACTCTGGGCTCCTGCCAGATGAGGGAGCCCCGGCGGAGGCCAGGAGGGCTTGCGTTGCACAATCTGGAGCGGATCCCCGGGGGCGGCTGAGGGCCTGGGACCCCAGTCTCCCTCGAGGTCTTCACTCACCCCTCTGCTAAGGAGCACCCTTGTCCTCACGCTGGAGAGGAAGAGCCCTGAACACTGACTTCAGCGTGAACCTAAGGTGCCCTTTAGGACAGTCTCCCTGGGAAAATTTATCTCGCGACCACAGCCTGCCTGTCTGGGGACAGCTAAGGAGGCGCGGCTCAAAACTAGGGGGCGAAGACTTACCTGCAGCTTCAAGCTCTTTCTAACTTCACCAGTGACCTTGGGCGCCTCATCTGAACAGTGTGTCTCTGTCTAAGTTTCCTGATCTTTGATCTGGGGATAAATGTGGCTGTTCACTTTCTAGTTCTCAGGAGATAGCAGCAATTGGGTTTAACAAAAATTCTCCAGACTTCTTTAATAGCAAGTGCAATAGAGATATAATTTGTTTTGACTTTAGGTAGGGCTGACGGGAACCCCAGACTGGAAAGGATAATGTGTTCTAATTTCTTAGTCCAAATGCAAACTTAATAATCAATCCCACTACCTGCTTTTCTCGGAAAATAGGTTTCTAAAGAGACTGTTGCAAAGGGGCTTTCTCCCTCAGAATTGCCAGAGTCCCAGCCAGGTAGCCCCATAAAGAACGCCTAGCTTTCCTAAGGCTCTTCATGATGAATCCAGTTACATCGTCCTATCATAGCTAAGGGTGAAAGAGTCACTACCACAGTTTGGCTAAAGACTCTTCTAGGTGAGATTCTTTTGATGTTGTTTGCTTACTCTGAGATTACTCTTCATTTTCACCCCTGAAGGAAGTTTCTGCACAAAAGGAAGGGATGCTTCTGCATCCTACCCCTTCTCCTTTCGCTGCCTCCCTTCCTTACTGTATTCACTAGCCTTTAGCACACAGTTAGCTTAAAGTCCAACCTACTTACATTCATGTGTGAGGAAACTTGGCAGCGCAAGTTTATGCAATGGAAACCCGACAATCTCATATTCCTACTTAACTTGGCACATGTTAAATGCATTAAGCGTTTCATTTTTAGTTCCAGTTCATTTTTGCTATCTGGTCATCTCTTCTACTTCTCACTGTAAGGCTTAGACGTGAAGATTTCTTCTCTGTAGTGTTTTCTAAGCCCTAGAAATCCCTCCCCCACTGAAAATACATATCATAACACAATGCAACCCATCCCAACAATTTCTTTTTCTTTTCTCCTTTCTTTCCCCTTCCCTCCCCTCCCCTTCCCTCCCCTCCCCTCCCCTTCCCTCCCCTCCCCTCCCCTTCCCTCCCCTTCCCTTCCCTTCCCTCTTTGCCAAACTGTGACATAGGAGGTCTTAGTATGTTCCTTCCCTCCCTCCCCACCCCTCCCCTTCTACCTCTATTCAAAGTCCAACCATTGAGTTTAATCCTCCTTTGGCCTTAAAGGGATATAAGTGCCCTCCTTTGGCTTTGGTCAAAACTGCTCTCTGCTCAATATTTCCTTCACCAGATTAGCTTATGTTCTCTTCGAACTATGCTCTAGGAACTCGGCTTTCTGTCTTCCTTCTATCCATAATCCAGGCTTCCAGGACCTCTGCATCAGGTATTCCTGGATTGTTTTTATTGAATTCCAACTAGTTATTTATAAGATCATTTGTGAAGCTAAAAAAAAAAGTGTACACAAAGTGCTATGAAAATGTAAGACTATTAGGTTAAAGATAACCAGTCTCATGCCCTTGCACGTAAACAGTTTCCTTTAGAATGGGGATTGCTACCTATCTGGAAGGAAATGTCATTCTATTTTTATTCTGAAGACTTAAGGGCACCGAGAGTGTATATGTGAGAGAGGTGGGAGGGGTAGGGGTGAGGGTGGTAAAATAGGGAAGAGGAAAGGGCAGACATGGAGTTCCTGAGCGGGAATGGTCAAGTGGACTAGAAGATAGAAAGAGGAAAGGGAAAAATCTTGTTTTTGGTTTTCATCAGACTGGCCACAGTCCTGACTGTACTGTGGAATAAAAGGAGGAGGCTCATATGTAGGCGCTTTCTTCCTTGCTCTTTGTCTACATACTTCCTCCACGATGTATCTTCTATAAGAGGACCTTCTGAAACTGAGAATATAGTAAATACCTCTCGATGAATATCAAAGCACAAATAATCGAACTCAAATTTTGCTGGAATTCCAAGAATACAATGTAATTGTAGAAACAGTTGTAGAAATCATTTAGGAGGAAGGTTTAAATTGGGGAGTTTATGCAATTGCAGATTGCAGAGTGGAGTGGAGATTGCGGGACTTTAAAAGATGATCTAATCCAGGTTTTTAGATGTTATATCAGTCATGCTTCCTTAGTTTTGGGTTTCAGTTTTTTCTCCTTTTTGACTCCCAACTTCTTCCCAAAACCCATATGTTTCCAAACCAGGACTTATTCCTCATGGCTATCAATACAACACAACACAACACAACACAACACAACACAACACAACACAACAACAACAACTACAAACCTTCCCTATTCCTACTTGTTTTCCCCTAGATTTTAGATTTGAATTAGACTAAAGAAAATTCCTTCTTTTAACTTCCTAAGACCTGAGAAGGGTGCTAAATAAGCAGCTCACAAGTTGGAGGGGTCAAATGATGCCCAGAAGCCACATGCTCATATAAGAAATCCAAAGTTAAAGGAAAACAAATTCAGTTAAAGTGATTGCAAAGAAATGCTAGTCTTTCTTATCTAGAGTTAAGGTGTAATTTTCTTGTTCTAAAAATACTTAAAGTTCAGTTTTCATTGCTTCTATCAAAAATATGAATAATATTAATAATTATTGATTTTATTAGCCATATATAATTAATATAATAAATAATAATATTGTTAATATTTTATTAATAATTAATAGAATTAATATTTAAGATCTATCTATAATTTACTTATTCAGTAATCTATATCCAGTACCATATTCCAAGCCTATCTTATCTTTCCTTTCTCTCTCTGTATTTCCTTAAGACTTGTTCACTAAAGTGTGAATAGATTGATATGTTACTCCTCCAAGGTAACAGAATGGGGAGGAATTCACATTTGCTGAGTATATACTGTAAACTAAGCACGAATTTATGTTGTCTAATTTAATTATTACATTTTTCTTAAGAAAGTAGTTATTCCTATACACTTTGCTGATGCAAAAAAGGAGACCATGACTTGTTGACAATCACAAAGCTATTAAATTGTCCAATGGGGATTTGAAGCTAAATACTTATGATTATTTTGTATTCCTACCCACTGTAGAGGCTTTCTGGAGGCAATGCTTTCACTCAAAGGAATAAGTCCAATGGGAGAAATATTAGATGCTACTGCAGGATGTAGGGGGAGTAGATTTGGTCATGTGCTGGGAATACAGTAGGTCTTTTGTGTATTAAATATGCAGTAGTGTTAGACTCCCTTAAACCACACATATGCTGACTAATATTTATTGAAAACTTATTTTGAAAAAAGATTATTTATTAAAATTCCTGGGTCTACATCATGATTTTACAAGTATTAAAATATTAGCCAACAACTTTTTTATTTTTTCTTTTCTGAGACGGAGTCTCGCGCTTTGGCCAGGCTGGGGTGCAGTGGCACGATCTTGGCTCACTGCAACCTCCACCTCCCGGGTTCGAGCAATTCTCCTGCCTCGGCCTCTGGGTAGCTGGGATTACAGGCTCGCACCACCACGCCCAGCTAATTTTTGTATTTTTAGTAGAGACAAGGTTTCACCATGTTGGCCAGGATGGTCTCGATCTCCTGACCTTGATATCCACCCGCCTCAGCCTCCCAAAGTGCTGAGATTACAGGCGTGAGCCACTGCGCCCCACCCGAACAACTTTTATTCATAACAGACACATTTAGTGAAATGAGATGCACGCTGAAGTCGTATACCCTCTCTGAGCTTATAATCCTTATCCGGAAAACAGAAATAGTAAGTACTATCATTCTTCGGGAATTTGAAGTAAGTGTCAAAGGAAATAGTGGAAACAAAAGTGCTTTGTGAGCTGTAACTATGTATACATTATTGTACATGAAAATAAGAAAAGAACTCATTAGAAACACAGTGAATGAAGTGGAAAATGAATATTTTATAATTCAGGTAAGCTTTGCACACATAAGAGTCATGAAATTTTAGCATAGATAAGAAATGTATAGATTAGTTAATTTCCCCTGTTTTGTAAATGAGGAAACAAATGCCCAGAGAAAGTAAACTGTCTACAATCACATTACATTCTTAAGAATATTGTTGAAAATTCTAAAATAAGAAAGTGGAGCTGGGGATGTTGGCTCATGCCTGTGATTTCGGCCCTTCGGGAGGCCGAGGCGGGCAGATCATCTGAGGTAGGGAATTCGAGACCAGCTGGACCAACATGGAGAAACCCCGTCTCTACTAAAAATACAAAAAATTAGCTGGGCGTGGAGGTGCATGCCTGTAGTCCCAGCTACTCCGGAGGCTGAGGCAGGAGAATCGCTTGAACCCGGGAGGCGAAGGTTGCAGTGAGCCAAGATTACGCCACTGCACTCCAGCCTGGTCGACAAGAGTGAAACTCTGTCTCAAAAAAAAAAAAAAAAAAAAAAAATGGTATCATGAGAACAGGCAGCGTCAGTCAATTAAAATTTATTGAGTGGCTATTATATGTCAGGCACAGTTTTAGATGCTAGGACTATAGTGATGAACAAAATAGTATATTTGCCTTCAAATAAATGATATTCTAATAGACAGAGTTAGATAAAAGGAGTGCGAGAAAACAAGGTCATTTCAGGCACTAATCACTGTTTTAAAGAAGTTAAAATGGGAGATGGAGTTGTTGAGTGGAAGCCTGGAGCTCAGAAATTTCCACACTGGAGGTAAACATTTCAGTCTTCATCACATAGAAAATTTTACAGCAATGGAATTTTTAAGTGAATAATTCATTCCTAAATGTAAGCGATTTTCTGTTGTCCGGTTGCTGTGTAAGCAAGGTGGTTCAAACATGACCTAGCTTGTCTTCCAAAACTGAAGCCACCTGAAGGCGCTCCGCCAGGGCCGAGCAGACCATCACCATAGCAACGGATCTTGTCAAAGAGGAGAGTGAATCTTTTCCCGTTTTGAGGCTTTAATCATATGTCTGCCATCATAAAATGAAGGTGTTTATGGCCACACTTCTATTCCTTGTGTTAAGGCCCACAAATGTGCCTCAAATCCATTTCAGTGATTGCTGATGAGATGCGACTTGCGGCTCCTCTGGAGGAACATGCTTTTATTAGTGTGTTATGTGTCCAAATAACCCCAACTTCTGAGCTGAACTTGATAATGGCTTCTTCATATGTCTGTTTTTTAAGATATGTGTGCAAACCATCACTCAATTTAGATTTTCTCATCAAAATTATCTAGAGTGCCTGTTTTTGCTTATCGTGTAATTTTTTATGGCATGTTAGAAAATATAACTCCCATAATCTTTATTTAGTGCTGTGGTAGCAGTTACTGTAAGTTCTTCTCAGGTAAAACAAACTTTGAATTTAGAGAGGAAATAATGAAGCCAAATATTACAGATTTTCAGTATAGTCTTCCTCAAGGTCTATGATCAAAAAGGCCCTCTAATGCCCCGGAACACCCAGGTTTCACGGTGACTTTATGTTCTACCTTTAAAGAATAATTTCTATCAATTGGCACTGAGTTTGCCTTATAGTTGTATTTGATTTTTCTAAAGTAAAGAAAAACAAGTACATTATGGAAAGTTTTAAAATGCAGAAAAGCATAAAGAAGAAAAAATCCTTTGTAATCTCTCACTCAAAGATAAATACTAATAATATGTATCTTTTCCATGTAACTTTTTTTGGGGGGTGGTGCGGGTAGGGAAGTCTCACTCTATCACCCAGGCTGGAGCACGGTGGCCATTCTCAGCTCACTGCAACCTCTTCCTCCTGGGCTCAAGGGATTTTCCTGCCTCAGCCTCCCAAGTAGCTGGGATTACAGGTGCCCACCACTACGCCTGGCTAATTTTTGTATTTTTAGTAGAGACGGGGTTTTACCATGTTAGCCAGGCTGGTCTTGAACTCCTAACCTCAAGTGATCTGCCCACCTCTGCCTCCCAAAGGGCTGGGATTACAGGTGTGAGCCACCGTGCCCAGCCTTTTTCATACAACTTTTAAAGTAAAATGGAAAGTTACTGAATATACTATGGTAAATAATATTTTTTGTCACAAGACTATATACATTATAGAAAGCATAGAAAATGTAAGATAAAAAATAGAAAATAAAAATCACATTCTCTGCCGTAACCATAATTATAATTTTTTCTATATTTTTCTATGAATATAAATTTTATCTATATGACATATGTATATATTCTAATGACATACATATATTTTTAAATGAGATTCCCTGTTTTGCAGCTTAATTTTCCCACCAAACATTACATGTAATTATACCTATTAGTGGCTATTCCGCTACACGTTATTTTAACAGCTTCATAATAACAAGGCCATACTATACAGCTTCTGTCACAATGTAGATGCGCTTAGACAGTGTCGTGTCTTCATGCAAAGGAGTAAGTTCATATCAAATTGAAATGAATGTCTTTAACAATTTTATGCACAGCAAATCAAGATAACAATGCACAATAAATCAAGGCTATTAAGGCAATTGTTAAGGGAAAACTCAGTAGCAAATTAGTGAGTTTGAAAGTTATGGATATGAAAGGCTTAGGGCAGCCCCCCACCCCCAGTTTGTTGATGATGCATATATGTGTGTAGACCTGTGATCAGGGCATTATATGGTAGGTCATCTATAGTTATAAAGGTTATGCAAAAGGTATTGAACAATGTTAAAGCACCAATGTATTTTTTCACAGTGTGATTATACACATATACATAAAGAAAGATATAGAAGATATAAATATTATAGGTAAAGATACAGAGAGCTGAATGGCAACCACGAAAAGAAGGCCAGCTGCGGCTTTTCTTTAACTCGGTATAACCATGTTAAACTTGGTGGCCCTCCTAGCTACCTGGTTCCAAAATGTGCCTGGTGATTTGATTTTTATAATTGTAAAAGTTACCACTGTAGAACAGCATCACAAATGGTTGAGTTTTATGAGACTAATGCTTTGAGTTTACACACTGGCACTGAATTTTGAGGACTAGACTGGAGACCAGCAAATCAGGAACCAGTAAACCAGTTCCTACATTTTATCCAACCAGTGTGGCTCTTTGAATGAGTTCATAATGTATTTTACAGTGAGGGTCATAGAACAATACCACATGCATTAGATAAATTTTGGAGCCTACCCTCCATCAAATAAATCAAATCCTCAATTTCAACACACTTCCCAGGTGATTGTATGGACATCAAATTATTGAAAAGACTGAGAATTAAGGTAATTAATTCAGAGAATTAAGAAAAAATTTCTGTGAGCTCCTTAGCATTAGGCATTTTGTTTTTTTCTTATTTATGTCTCTGTCACTGCCTGGCCCATGGAAAGTGATGGTTATATTTGTTATTGACTGTTTGTTTTGATATTTCTAATGTTTTAATAAGTTCTTGTCTTGTATTTTTCCCCAAAACATCTTGTAAAAACTTTGAAACAAGTCTCATAATCTCTGTGATTATTCCTTGCATACAGTAGGCACTTAATGAATGTAGTAGGCACTCAATGAATATTGACTGCATGAATGTGTTAAAAAATATGTGATGAAACATAATCACTCTCATCTCAGAGCAGTGAGCTACCTCCAATTCCTGGGAGACTGTCTTCTGTCCCTTAAGGTCAGGAGTCACATTTAGGAGTCAGAACCTGTGTTTTATCTCTGTCAAGAATTCCACATAATCACAGATGAGTTACTAAGCCCCACTGACTTCACTAAGCCCTACTGACTTCAGCTTTGTAATCTGTAGAATAGAGAAAGTTGCAGAGATTCAGTGAGATGAAACCCATAAGGATACCTTGAAATTAATGAAGTGCTTTTCAAACCTAAGTTATTATTACTCTTACTTATCCTCTTCATCAAGGTGGTAAACATCACAAACTTTTTCACCTGCCTCAGTTCTTAGGAGAGCTAATCACTGTCTTGTGATAAGCTTGGGGCAAGAGTACATTACATTTAAGAAATCTGTCAATGTGTGATATCCTTAAGGAATGAGATGGCAAATAAGTTGACTGATGTCCACCATTTCACCTCTGGTATCCAAAGCAAACAGCAATAGTGAATTATAGTTCTAGTTCTTATGCAGTCAAAGGTGGCCTCACAAGCTTTCTCAACACAGCACCACAGGCAACCCCTGTAACTAACTGGCATTGACCCTTCTATGAAACCCTATCTGCCATCTCTGATGAATAAAACTAGAAGTTTGCATGTATTAGATTTGAGTTATATACATATTTCTTAAAAATATGAGATTACAGATGACTCTCGAACGACATGGGTTTGAACTGTGCAGGTCCACTTATACATGTTTTTCTTCTGCCTCTGCCACCCCTGAGATAGCAAGACCAATCCCTCCTCCTCCTTCTCAGCCAACTAAGTGTGAAGATGATGAAGATGAAGACCTTTGTAATGATCTACTTCTACATAATGAATAGTAAATGTATTTTCTCTTCTTTATGATTTTACTAATAACATTTTCTTTTCTCTAGCTTACTTCATTGTAAAATACAGTATGGAATACATATTACACAAAAAATATGTGTTAATCAACTATTTAGGTTACTTATAAGGCTCCTAACCAACAGTAGGCTATTAGTAGTTAAGTCTAGGGGAGCCAAAAGTTATACATACATTTTTGACTGCACGGGGGGCTGGCACCCTTAACTTCCTAGTTGTTGAAGGATCAACTGTATAGTATATGTGTGAAGGAAATATGGGATGTGTATATATATAGATGTACATGTTATATGTTAGATGATATAGGCCATAAAATGTGTGTGTGGAGATGGGTGGGTAGATGTATTTGTAAAATAAAGAGAAACCAAGGGGGTTTCAAGGTCACATTTTTAGGATACACTTTAACATAAAAATTCACAATAAAAGCTTCTCAAAGGATTTTAAAGAACAATATGAAGATTATGTAGGTCTTCCAGCTGTCAACAAGTGTTAAAGTTGCCCTCTCTGGTCCAGGCACCAGAACCAGAGTTCCCACTGGGAGACCCAAGATGGGTCTTATTTATTTGGAACAGCACACAAACTTAAAATATCTGGATGACTTAGCTTTACAATGAACTGTTTGTTATAACTAAATGAGATCCTAATTTAGTTCCCTTGTGGTAGAAATACTAACAGTTTTTTGGAATGGTGTCTCATCATCTCCCTTAGCATCTTAGTCAAGTATTTCATGTCCTAAGTGAACTTTCCCATTTGAAAAAAGTTGGTCCACTTATAGAGCATCTAGTAATATGCTAGACAGTGCTAGATGCTAGGAACACATCTGATATCCCAAAGTGTAGATTAAGTTCTTCTCTTATATGCTACCATAGCACTTTATTTTCCACTACCAAAATACATATCATGTTATGTTATAACTGCTGGTGGTTTTTTTTGAGTCATTATTATATCTTTATTGGTTAAACCGTGAATTGTCAAACTTTTTCTGTAAAGGGTCAGATGGTAAACATTTTAGGATCTGAGTACACAGTCTCTGTAACAAATACTCACCTCATAATTGCAGGGTAAAAGTAGCCATAGACAATATGAAAGTGAATAGGTGTGACTGTGTTCCACTGAAACTTTATTTATAAAAACAGGTCATCGGTTGAAATTTTCCCACCATTGCTTGGCATATGATAAATGCTCAATAGGTTTTTATAATTAGGAATAGTGATACATCAGTTTTGTTAAATGAATAAACGAAAACATAATGAAACACAGCACAGTATTCACTTTCATGAATCTTAGATTCCAGTGGAGATGGAAACAATTAAAATATAGTATGAAAAGTCCTGTGATGGACCATGTGCAATGTATTCTGAAAGCCCAGAGAACAGGCATCCTAATTAAGCTGGGAGAGAGAATTAGAAAGGCTTCCTGGAAGAGGTAGATTCTGAGTTCTATTTTGAAGAAAGAGTAGGAGTTATATGGTGACATGACAGGGAGAAAGGTGTCCTAGATAGAGGATATAGCACCATGTACAAAGGCAGAGCGGCAGGCATAGGACCCCATGATACATTTGGAGGGCTGCAGGTAGTTTGGTATGGGAATTTTAACTATGGAAGATGGTTTTGCAGTTTAGTTCTTCTATCGGTGCTGTAACTTCTTTGTCTATTTTCCTCTGGGGCCTACTCAATTATTCTTTTTCTCTATTCTGTCTCTCTTACTGGCTTTTTTACCTTAGTGGCTAAACATACTCAAGAGTTTCCTATATTTTAAACTACTATTTTCATTTCTACTATCATTACTACCATCACCACCACTACCACCATCACCTCCGCCTTTACTATTTCCATTACCTTTGGCTTAACTGTCATCACTTTGACCACCTTCATCATCATTTAAACCATCACCACCCCGTGACCACTGTACCTCCACCACCTCCACCATGTTCATTCCCACTACCTTTATCACCTCCAAGACCACCACTGCTGCTACCATCTCCACCTATATCACCTCCACTATCACCTCCAACATCAACTCTGCTATCTACTTCACCAGCTTTACCACAATCACCACCATTGCCATATCCATAACCTTCCTTTAGTTCTCCATTCCTCTCATCAGTCATGACATCACCTTGTTTCACAACAACCTTCTTGAAAGAGTAGTATCACGTTGCCTTTCCTCTTTTGTTACCCTTATTTGTTGCTTAGCCAATTAAAAACTGGTTTCTATTCTTATCACTCAGTTGAAAGTATTTAAAATAAATTCACTACTTTCTGTGATCACAACATTGCCACATTCGGTGAACACTTTCGGCCCTTAACTCACTTAATCTCATTGCAGCCTTTGGTTCTGCTTTCTACTTCTTTCTTAAAAATATTTTTTTCCTTTGGTTTTGTAATAATAAAACTTCTGGTTACCTTCTAATTTTCTATCCTCTCCTTTTTCAGTCTTTTCTAAGGGCAAATCACCATCCACTTATTCCTTAAATGTGGTTTTCCCTGGCTGTCTGCTATTCTTGCAGTCTTTAGGTGACTGCAAATGTAACCTCTCACACTCATTTCCTACATCCAGTGAATAAGAGCAAGGCAATTTGATGCAAATGAATAAAAAGACTTGGGTAAAGAGGTGAAAGTTTGGCAAAGCTGCTGAGGGAAGTAAGAAAAGGAGCTGACTAAGGCATTCTGGTCAGGGCATGGAGCCTAGGCCAGCTGAGGCTGCATATCGTAAATGTGTGGTGTTTTGAAACCACTCAGTTGTAGATTTTTTTCCAGCATCCTAAGAGTATGAAAGAAATTAAATATGTGGAAATGTGGCTAGAAAAAGGGATAGAATATTTAAATGTTTTTCCTTACAATCTTCACTATGACTATTCCCTTAACCAGGAATCATATAATCAAATAGTTAGAGGGCATGGTTATTAAAAGATAGTCATCCCTAACTATTTTGTAGTGAAAGCAAAATACTGTTCCTGTTGAGTGTGGTAATTCTTTATTTTACTCATCCATGATTTTAAAAGATTTATAGGTTTTACTTGTATTGTTTTAAATTAATGTGGTATAGAGTTAGATTTGTCTAAATCCCTTAATGTCATCTTCGTAGACTTTCTTGAGATGATTTATCAAAAACAACTCCTGCAACAGACAAAATAAATTTGATGTAAATATTTGGAGTTACATCTGCCCGATCAGTAAGAGGTCTCCTATATTTTTAGGATTGGGTCTAAACCAGTTTATTTTTAACCAGAATCTTTGATCATATATGGGCAAACATGAGGCTGAATTCATATGGGTTATTTGGCATTCTACGTCATCTTGCATTTTCTGCTGCAGATTCTTGGATGCAGCACTTGAAATTATTTGAAGTCAGAGAAATTTATATTTTGAATAAAATCCAGACATTTTAACATGGATTTTCATTAGTTTTCTTGTCTATCTCACCAGGCTCAACGTTCCACTCTTTCTAACCTCACAATATACACTCCAGCCATATTGAATTACTTCCAAATTCTCAGCCATGCCACATCTTCTCTCACAAAACGGTGAGAGAACTCTTATGAATTCTTCAAGACGTCCTCTTCTTTAGGAAGTCTTCCTTGACACCCTGATGTTAACTGTATCATAGGACTTAGTGCATCATATTGCAGTAATTCTATCTTTGCCACCTCTGCTAGACAATAAGATTTTTGGGGACTTTGTTTTTATCCTGGTATACCCACTGTCTAGCACAAGGCTTGACAATCAAAGATATTCAAACATTGTTATTCGGTTGAGTGAATCAACGAGTGGATGAAATTACTCTCCAAGTTTCATTATTCTTTTAAAATCATATTATCTGACATATTTTTCAGTCATGTTTCAGTTTCCGTAGTCCCTGTTGATGATCTGAAACAGGAGCTTCCAAAGAGAGAGTGGATAACTTCCCCTACACTTTTCATATGCAGTTTTCTCTGCCGTGAATGGCCTTGTCTGCCTTCACCAACAGTTCTAGTATTGCTTCTTGGAAATCTTTCTGATTTCTATTATACCTTTTTAATAATATTTTTAAATAATATACTTATCCCACACATATTCATGCATTTGTATGCCACTCACTTCCAGTGACTGTGAGCTTTTCTGAAGCAGGACCCCTCAGTTTTTGTATTCCTGTACTAAGCACAGTGCATGGAACTTTGTGTTCTTGCCTCTCAGGCCTTAAGAGTGCCCCTCCAAGTCATGATGGCTCCAAGTTTCCCTGCCCCTATAGAAGGTACCTACAGCTATTCAGTGGCTTTATCTGTGACTAGCACAGTGCCTGAAACATCACATAATAAAATCCGAGTAAATGATGTAGTTACAGCAGATGACTTCATATGATGTTTATAGACTACCATTTTGTTTCAAGGTATTGGACTAAACTCACAGTAGAAAATATATACTTTAAGAATGGACCAAACATGGGTAAAATCAATGAAATGTTACCAACAGAACAAATAGAACCACTCAAATATCCAGTAAAAGGTACAGAATTGGGAATCTGAAATTCCATGGGTTTTACAGGATTTATCTTGTAAAATATATTCATATACTTTTGAAAGTGTCATTTAAAATGCTATAAAACTTGCAAATTGTCACATTTTTTGAAACCCACTCAGGGGAGATTTATGCATTTGTTAAACCCACTTTTTATTAAATGGAAGACTTATACTTTTCTTCAAAATACTTATACCATACTATCATCTTCACAGTCATGTTTTACAGCTTTCCTCATATTTCTTTTTTTCTGCCATTTTTTTTCAACTTTTATTTTAGATCTGGGGGTGTATGTGCAGGTTTATTACCTGAGTATATTGCATGATGCTGAGATTTGTGGTGTGATTGATCCTGTCACCAAGGTATTGACCATAGTACCCAAGAGTTAGTTTTTCAACCCTTGCTCCCTTCCATTCCTCCCCCATCTAGTAGTCCACAGTGTCTATTTTTCCATTTTTATGTATGTGAGAACCCAAGATTTAGCTCCCACTTATAAGTGAGAACATGCTTACTTGCTTCTTCATTTCTGCATTAATTCACTTATTTCCTCATATTTCTTTCAGCATGATATTTTATTTGAAAAGTTGAAATTCGTTGAATTTTGGGAAATAAGCTTTGACTAGTACACTGTTCCTTTTAGGTGTTGTGACATGAAATAATCAAATTAAAACAAATATTGGAATGGAATTTACAGTTATATAATATTCCTGTGTCTGTAAGTCAATTTAATTCATCATCTGATCCCCTGAACTAGTTAATGGAATCACTGAAGATAGAAGGCTGTTGTGTTGCATTTTACATTTGCATTTCACATTGCCCCTCAGGAGGCAAATTTCTTTTCTTTTCTCCAGTAAATTTTATTATATTTTCCTTCATATAACATTAAATGTTTTAAGGAGAAAGTAAGCATGACATTAAAAATATATTTTTCTTGAAGTTATTAAATATGAGAGACTGCCAGTAATGTACATATTAAGGTACAATGCCCAGTACCCAGGCGACACAATAAATTATCATTGTTTTAAACAATAAATTATTGTAGCTGCACTACAGACATGTCTTCAAATTTTTAGTTCTATAAGCTCTTAGAGGCTAATAACCATGTATTATTAACCTTTGAGTTGCTTGCATCACCTAGAACAATTCCCTGCATATATAAGATACTAAATTTTGGGATATGAATGAGTGAATTAATAAATTAAAGAGATAACTGAATGGGATGGCATGTATGAAAACAGCTTGTAAATATAAAATGCTGCCCTAATAACAGATTAATATTACATTTACTGTCATGAATAATTTAAAAAATGTTTTTGAAGTATGACTACATTCAGAAAAGTACAATATCATAAGTGCGATTAAACTCATGTAACCAGCCCCCAAATCAAAGACAAAATATTACCACATCCTAGAAGTCCCACTTATGCCCCTTTCAGTCACTGCTTCTCCCAAAGTTAACCACTATTCTGACTTCCAACACTGTGGATTCATTTTGCCTGTTTTTGAATTTCATAAAATGGACTCATACAGAATGTACTTTTTGTGTCTCACTATTTCTGCTCAATATCAAGTTTGTGCAATCCATTCATGTTTTAGGATGTAGCTATCACTTGTTCATTCTCATTGCTGTATAGTATCCCACTGTATGAATATACCAAAGTGTATTTATCCTTTCTACTACTGAGGGACATTTGGGTTGCTTCCAGTTTTGGGCTATGATGAAAGTAAAATGAATATTCTTCTACATGTCTTTTGGTGAACATATGCACATATTTCCAATGCAGACATACCTAGGAGGGAGATTGCTGATGACTATAGATATATTCAGCTTTAATTAGTATACTGCCAATCTTCCCAAAAATTTATACTTAGTTTTATTATCATCGGCAGCATATGAGAGTTCAGTTGCTCTTCATTCTAGACAACACTTGGTTTCATTTTAGCCGTTCTGGATGGGTATGGTGGTGTTACAGTGTGTTTTAATTTGCATTCCTATGATGACTACTGAAAAAGAGCTTTTTTGTCTTGTTTTGTTTTTACTGGTCATTGCTTTTATGAAGTGCCTGTCCAAGATTTTGCACTTTTAGGGGGTGGGTAGATTTATTTCCTTTTATGTTGTAAGAGTTCTTTATATATTCTGGATATGGCTTCTTTGTCAAGTATATGTATTACAAATATTCTCTGTGTGAATAATTTTAACCTGCAGTCCATTCAGAGTACAGATACTCCACGTGGGCCAACTACCGGTTGTGTCAAGCTAGTGTACTATAGAATGCCGAGGTGATTTTCAAAAACACCAATGTCAGTGCATCGTTCCTGAACAATTGAATCTGAATCTCTGGGGATTGGGACTGGTGCTACATATTGTTCATTATTGGATCCCAGTGCCTAGTAAGTAGTATTCTTGACATTAAAACAGGTATTTAAAATTTAATCTTTAGCTCACGATCCATTCTTTCATCAAACCATATATAATATAATTTGAATATATTCTCTTACATGATTAAACACATTTAATAGAACTTGATAAATGAAGAAAACAATTTATCTTCAGATATTTGCTCTGTATTCACAATTATAACAAAATAAACGTTCTAATAGAATGCTTAATAATGTCCTTATATAAAATGAAAAAATCATTTAAAAATTTTTAAATCTTAATCCTCACAAAACGATGACATTATTTAAACATTTTTAAGGGAGATTTTTGAGATTTTATATTTTAGTGGAAGAGGTTTACTGTTCAAAATCAGCTGGAGTATATTGCTCTGGGAGGAGAGTGGGGGATGAAATTAAAAGGCTGCAGGTTGTGGCTCATGACTAAGAAGAATATGGGAAGAGAGTTATCCAACAATGCAAAGACTTGCTTCTTGAGGCTGCAAGCGACCCATTATTAAGGGTAATCACATGGAGTTTGAATTTCCATCTGGATGGAAATTTCCACAGTAGGTCAGATTTTCTGACTTCTAACAGTGTCTTACAGCTTTAAATTCTATACCTTTTCTGCAATGTAAGGCGTTTCATGTAGTGCAGACACAATTCTTCCCCTGGAAGTGAAATCCTCCTACCCCTACTCCTCTTGATATTCTTGCCATGGATACAGAGCAAAAATTCACCTTAGGGTTTTAGAAGTCACTCTTTGAAGGAGTATTGCCAAAAGGATACCTTCCTGTCGTTGATTTAGCAGAAAGGTTCTTACTAGTCTTCCCTCTTCCTTTTGGACTTATTCTTGCTCTGTATTTTTAGGGACCACTACCTCCCTCAGCTAAATTCAAGATGTTCTGTGAAATGGAAATGTAGCTGAGTACAAGGCAAGATTGACAGTGAGAGTCTTCAGTTTTCCATTTACAAAAGATAATCTCTTCAATATTAAATATGAAAAGCTCTGCCTGATGGTCGCATTATAACCAGTGGGGTATCTTGTCAACCAGCATGCTGGGAAACTGGTTTATACAGCTAACTCTTTTTGGTAATTATTGCCTTTAAGGGACAGCATCCAACCATATTAAATGAGACAGTTCATAATTGTCAGATATTAGTATAATGGATTCAGCTAAAAGGATTTTAGACATTTGGGCCAATTAGGCCCTCTGTTCTAGAAGGTGCACGTGGCATGGAATGAACCTACCCCTTGAAATTGGAGAGAGGATGTTGTGAATAACCAGATGCCTGGCTTTAGTTACTAACATTTCCTGACACATGTGCCACCCTAGACATTGCTAGTTGTTGTGTGCAGGACTTAGGTCAGGTCTACCTCTAACAAACAAAATGATCTGTAGGAAGTTACTGACTCCAGGGAGCACTAAATCCAGAGCTTAATTGTCAGGCTGAAAATCCGCAATCAAGACTATTTTCATTTGGTTTCTTAGTTCACATTTCCAAATGCTGTCATTTCCAAGTAAGATTTGTTAGGCAGTTTTTAGTCTTATGTTAGGAAGTGAGCTGTGCCTGAATTCCCACATGTCCTCAACTGTTCAGCATATTGTGTTAGTACAGGATTGTAAAAGTTTCAGTATAAGAAACATGACATTTCTGAGTTCCTTTTTCCTAAAGTCTCTAATGCAGAGAGTGTATATGCACAACAGGGAAATTACACCAATTCTACTAGTAACTTAAGCAGCATGTCAAGTTTGGGCCACAATTTTCACAGCTTGCTAGGGTTGGCATATTATTTGAGGATCTCTTTTAGTATGGCCTCCAGAACATTTTGGGAGATTCCAGGGGAAAAATGATTGTTTTGATAAAACAAGTGGTCTTTATGCACTATAGGCCTTACCTTACTGACCCTTTGGAGGAGACACATCCCTCACTGGTGAGTTTTTATTTTAGATTTCCCCTCGATTATAGCTGTATCAGGAGCCCCTGAGTCTAGGATGCAATTTTATTCCACAGCCAATCCCAGTACGGTCATGAACTAACCACGGTTTTTCATCTTTTAAAAAGTACTCATTAGCTTATACAGGCAACACATGAATACATGCTTGTGGAAACTTTTCCAACAACAAAATATTTTTGGAAAGTGATATTTGGGATTAAAGAGTTAGCCATCCTTCATTCCTGTCTGTAACCCCACTCCAGATGATTCAACTGTAAAAGTAGCCATTATTCGTAGCAGAAAAATTTTTTTCTGATCTTTTTAATGCATTTATATTCATATGTATATGAATGTATACAAATATATAGTTTAGCAAATATTAAATAAATCATAGAGTATGCATTTTTTGCTATTTGCGCTTTTATTTAAAAATATAAATTAACTATATTTAAGTCAGAAATTATCAGGGTTTGGGAATGCATCCCTGTCTGCAAACCCAGATTTGAAGAAGTTTTCTAAAGGCCTCCCTCAGACTCTCTCCTTTCTATACTATTTGATTTCACTCCCACTACCATTCCCATTGTCTCACAGTTCAGCTGCATCAAGCAGAAAGACATTCTAATCAGTGCAACAATTTAGAAAGCCTTGCTTGTGTCTTCAGATTAAAGTATACATGCAACTTTTGAACCAACAGGGTGAGAAAATGGAAATGCTAACAAAGATTTTAATTAAGAGCTAAATACTCTATATAGATTGGCTGCATAGACAGCAAGGAAGTATTTCTCATAGCCTCAGAGATGGAAATGGGATAATTGCTGAGAAAAATAGATCCCTCTGACCTATTATCCCTTATTTATACCAAATTCTAGCAGCTTTCCTAACCTTTCCTTTATGACCACTTGACAAGGAGCAGAGGGCAGTGGCTCTTCCCTGCAACAGTTGAGCTTGATTGCTTACAGTCTTCCACACCCAGGGGTTTGCATCCCCCCTTGATTAGGAGAAATGGCCCCCTGCTCATCCTGTCAAGACTGCCAGGCTGCACAGTGAATAGGGGAGAAATCTCATTTTGGAGACAAGCATTTTCTGTGAACTCTATTAAGCAACAAAGAAGCAAGGCTTTCATGAGGTCACATTTCCAGGATATAATCACCAACTTCTTGGGTGCAATATAAGGCCCTGCCAGAGTCCACTCTTTCCATATTCGTCAATGTGATTATTTCATGATAACAGCTTTCTCGAGGGAGTCGGGAATGCTTTCTGCACATTTTAATGAGCCTGTCATCCTGTCTCAATTTTTTCCCATAGTCTTTATTTCATTTCTGATTCCTTTTTTCATGTTGTGAGCCACATTTATTTGGAAGGCAGAGAGGACACAGAGATTTTAAATGTCATCCAATGTAGATGAAAATTCATTGTCTTCCCTTCCTGAAATTTGGCGATATTGCACTTTTTGGTTTAGTTGGGTTAAAAATATTCTGTATCTGTGTTCTCAGAAAAAAATATATAATTGGACATGGAATTCAATATGTTCCTGGATTTAAAAAAAAAATCTTTCTTTTCATGAAGATTTGAAACATGAGTTAAGTGCAGTTATAATAAGGAGCAATACAACGAACATCCCTATGTAATAAAAGATTTCAGGGTCCTATCCAATGACCCAGAAACTACAAGATTCCATAGTTCTGGTTTTACTAGACTCTATTCAAAGAGGCCAGATGATTTATGAATAAACATAGTTCTAACATTAACATTTTTATATTTAGGTATTACTTAATTTAAAAGCAAATACTAAAATTGAGATTCATTAAAAAAGTGGTTTTTATTTTTAGAAATAGAAAAAAACAGACAGAATATTTGATTTTATTTCTGTTACCTATTCTACTTTATTTTTACTAAATTTAACCTTAATTTTAAATATGTTTAATATTTTTTCTCCTACTAGAGTTTGATTTTATAACTAAATTTACCCTGGGATTTAGTATAAAAGGATAGTAGCACAGGATTTGATTTCATAAATAAATTTACCTTGGGATTTATTATGTAAGGACTGTAGATTAGGGTATATTTTAATGAATTTCAACTACCCCTCGACAACGGTTTATTCTAATTTTTCAGATGGCTTTTGTTAATGAATGATGTCTGTGACTAATGCTCCCTATAGCTTCACCTATTTAAATTAATCTGGCTCTTTATCCTTTGTAAACATATGTATGATCTGCTTCAATCAGATTTTCTGAAAACAAAGAAAACTACTCCCCGTCCTTTCCCAGGAGGTTTACAAATGATATGCATTGAACTAATCCAATTGGACTAATATGATTATTTTTTGTGTGTATGCAAAAGTGCATAGATTGTTCAATAATATATGAGAAAAGAGAGGTGACTATTCTCCTGCCAGCTTCTTTACATATACATCTGGAGGAGAAAGTGTCTCTGGGCTAAAAACCCATGTGGCTGCTAAGACTTCCTTGCAAACAGTGCTCCTGCTTTCTCTGGAAACAAGGATGCATTCTCCAACACAAAGAGGACACATCAGTTCACTTTCACTCACAACTCTTTTTCCAGTAGTGATGAGGGGCTTGTAGGCACAGATTCAGACTCCCATCTGGCCACTGCTGTGACAGAGCTGAGGCCTGGGTATCCAGACCAGCTGGCAGAGGGGGAGACAGGCCCTCTGTCTGAGCCTGGGTGTGCATCCACAAGGCTGCCCCTCAAACTCTTTCTTGGTGTGCTTCCTTCCTCTGCTCTCCTTTTACATGCTGGTGTTCCCAAAGCTCTTCCTTTGTTCTTTTCTCTTTTTATGCTACATACTCCCTGGTAATTTTACCAAATCCATGATTCTCATCATCTCCTAACGACTCTGAAAATATATTATCAGCCCAGACCCTCTCCTGAGACCCAGATCCAAATATTCACCTTATTCAGCACCTTGCTGAATATCTTAATTTGGATATATCTTTGGTTCCTCAAACCCATCAGCTCCCAAAATGAACTATTATATTTATTCCCAAATATGTCTTCTTTTGTGTTTCTGATCTATGAGAATGACACATCCAATTGCCAAAAATGAAGTCATAACGACTTCTTCCCTCTTGTCACCTCTCGCATTCCAGGTCACTAAATTCTACAAATTTTATCTTCTAAATACGTCTCAGATTTTTCCACTCTTTTCCATGACTACTTCCACAACATCAGTTAAGGTAGGGTATTTCTTTAATATTTTGTACAAGAGGGAAGTGAGTGGACAGGGAGATAAGTGTTCTCATTGATGTGGTGCACACTCTGTCAGGATAGGATGGAAACTGAATGTATTAACATCCCAAGTATTTTCCTTCCTATATTGCTTTGTGAATATAATTTTAAAAGGTTGTAAATTAGTTCAAGTTTAAAGACAAGCCATAATGATGGTTTACCTGATGATGACATGTCCTTTGCATCAATTTGTAATTCCACTAGTTTATACTTCCATGAACATTATATGAAAGTCCTTTCATACACATTCTTGCCAACTCTAAATATTACCTGTTTTTAACAATCTGATGGGCAAAAGGTGTATTTTATTCTCTTTTAAGTTATATTTTTATGACTATTAACATGTTTGAGCATTTTTGTATCTTTATCTTTTTGTAAATGTGAATTACCTATTAGTCTCATGAATTTTCATAATCATCATCATCATAAACTTCAAATAACATTTCTATTGACTCGGAGGACCTCTTTATGCAATAAGCATATTAACCTTTCTGGGATATGGGTGCATGTGCAGTACTTTTTCCCTTTCACTCTGCTACTTGCCTTTTGATAATGTTTATGTTACTTTTTGTGATTCAGAAATATTTTTCATGTAGTCTCAACTCCTGGTCTTTTCCTGTATGTCTCTGCAACATAGTTCTTACTAGTCTCTCTCCCATGGTCTCCTCACTTTTCCTCTGCACTCCAATTTGTCACAGAGTTATATTTTCACAACATAAATCAGCTCTGTTTCTTCCTGCTTCCAACCTTTCCGTGTCTTCCCATTGTCTACATTGATTCCAGCATGGCAAAGGTTTTTAGAGATCTAGTACCTTGATGCCAATCCAACACATAGTCTAACATTTGCCCCCACCATCTAATTATCCAGCTGTGTATTATCCCAACAGGGCTCAGATACACCATGGGTGCAATTCATGTTAGAGTTTTTGTATGTGGTCCCCCTTTGTCTGGAATGACTTTCCTCTTTCCTTGACCTGTTAGGAATTTCAATTTATTTTTCTAGGCTTGGGTGCATTGATTATTCTTTGTTTAAAATATGATGACACAGTAAATATTCCTCTTTTGCGCTGTGTTACCAATTTTTGATGTACCAGTGTTCCTGTAGTCTTATTTACATAAAGGCTCTTTTAAATACATACCATTCTTAATTTAAATATAACTACTAAAATTGTATATCTCTACTGCAAATGGAGATACCATGTTACTTGCAATAGATAGGAGAAAACCATTAAAATGGAAACAGAGTGTGGAATGATAGACAATGGAGACCTGGAAGGTTGCAGGGGTGGGAAGGGAGTGGGAGATAAGAAATCACTTACTGGGTACAATGTACGTTATTCAGGTGATGGATGCAGAAAAACCCTGTCTTCGCCACTATACAGTAATATATGCATGTAGCAAAATAACACCTGGACTCCAAAATTTATACCAAAAGCCCCCACAAAAGCATAACTACTACAAAAATCTACCTGTGCTCCACCCAAAATCATCTTGCACATCAACACTTATGCATCTGCTACCTTTTGCAAAGCACTACTCAATTTTACCATTTATTAAATTATCAAAAGACAGACTTTTAAGAGAGAGATTTTCTGTGGTATATTTATAGATCATTGTACAATCATAGCTTATAAAAAGACATACATTGGTAAGAGTTTGAACAGATCTTTGGATACTCACATTTATTTCTAGTTATTTATCATCCTAAAAGGTGTTAATCTTTACCATGTGCAAATGGAGCAAGTCTTGGTTCACCATGCACTGACTGAATTACAAACAAACGGACTGTGATGGAAAGCTTTAAAAGTGTTTCTCAGTCCATCTATTCAATGGCATTTGTCTTAATTCAAGAGAGAAAGTATTAAATGCAGATAAAGGAAAATGAAATCAGCAGGGCAATGAAAACAGGATGTTGGGTCTCAGGGGGCAGATGTTGTTACAGAAAACTCTGTCCGTCAGGCTTAATTTGTTAGATTCTGTGGTAGAATGAATGTGACTTAGAAGAAAACAAAATATTATATTTAGATTTGGGAATGGTTAAGGACTATTGCCAGACTAGATTTAATTACATCTGTCATTTGACTCTGTGGTACTCTATATTCTTAAAAATCTCAAAAGGATCCGTTATTTTTCCTAAAAGTTTAAATATGCAATTCATATTACTTTCTATTATACTCTCTTTATTTTTTTTAATCTCTAGGTACTGATTTGTGCATTTGATAGAGGTGCAATAGAAACAGCCTGCTTCCAAATGTTTCCTATTATTTTATTTTCTAAGAATGAGTCAGCATAGAAGCTGAACATTTAATAAGGTGAAAGCTAAAAAAAGGTATTATTTTAAACTTTACAAATTTGTTACACCTCTCATCCCAGGATTATAAAGTACCAATTTCTACAAAATGCACAAAAATGCTGCCAATCTTTAACCTTTCCAAGAGAATGGTAAACATTAAATAGTGGTATAAAAATAGAACGTTGTACCCAGTAATGAAGTGGTGTTTATTTCTTACATTACTCTGAAATGTATAATTTTAGTTGTTCCTTTTCAAATTACAACCGAATACAAAAACCTCTTTTCACCCAGAAAGGATGTTATTAACCTTTCCTTAAAAAAAGAAAAAAAAAATACAGCTGTTTGCAGGCAGGTCTCAAAAATAGCCCCAAAGTTGAAAGCAATAGCTTATTAACAAGGTTCAGTATTTTAATGAGATGAAGTCATATCGTTTAATTCCTTATCCTTCATGTTAACTTTATTATCATTCACCGTTTGTGATCTCAGGCTGCAAGAAAGGCATTCAGCTTAAGCAAAGCTGAAATTGCATCCATGAGTTCATAAGTGTTTGGCCTGATAATGGTTGTCTTATTTGCTCTACTATCTAACTTGGGATTTTAGTGTTTCTCTGGGCCTTTAGCTACAGTTGGAAATCGTATGCAACGGAGATTCTCCTTCCTTTGATGAGAGCACCCTGACATCCTCAACAGCTGGCCAAAGACTTGACTCTCACAATACCACTGCTCTTTGAATCAGAGGTCAATGGGGAGGCTTCAGAGTGCCACAATCCCTGTCCTCCTGTTTGTAACAACATTGTACATGATTATGGGTTATCTCCTTTCACTTTGAGAGAGATTCCATAGCTTCCAGAAAATTCCTTAAGGATCCATTAATTTTTTAAAAAAGGTTTTTGCGGTACCTCATTGTGTCGTAATATATAGTCCTAGAGCAACTGAGAACACCTTACATAAACTCCAGATATTTTTAGGGTGAAACCTGAAAGACTTCTTTTAAAAAAATATTGTGGTAGAATATACATCATATTTATCGTTCCAACCATTTGTAAGTGTACAATTCTGTGGTATTAAATACATTCACAACATTATGTAACCATTACCAGTATGTATGTCTACAACTTTTCATCATCCCCAACAAAGACGCTGTAGCCATTGAATAATAATCCCCCTTTCTCTCCTCCACCCCATCCTCTCAGCCCCTGATAACTGCTATTTTATTTTCTGACTCTGAATTTGCCTAGGTGTATATGATTCCACTTATATGGAATACATATTTGTCTTGTGTCTGGCTTATTTCACTAAGCATAATAGTTACAAGGACCATTCATGTTGTAGACATGTCAAAATTTTATTCCCTTTCATGGCTAAATGATAATCTATTGCATGTATATTCCACATTGTGTTCATCCACTCATTTGTGGATAGACACTTGATTGTTTCCACATTTTGGCTACTGTGAATAATGCTGCTATGAACATGGGCTGACAAATATCTGTTTGAATCCCTGCTTTCAATTATTTTGGATATACATCCAGGAGTGAAATTGCTGGGCAAGATTTATCTTTATTAGATTAAAAATTTTAAATCAGTTTCTTCTTTTCATCACCAAGAAAAGTTTTTGCCATAGAACTATTCAAGTTGGTCCCTAGTCAGTTTGATGTATGTAATTCCTCTGATACGAATCCACCTAAGTGGTCTCTGTAATTACCCTGTTTCCATATTGTAAGAACTTTTCTCATATTATTGCCTTGCAAAGCACTTGGAAACAAAATCCATCTAAGAACAATATAGATATTTGCAGTTGATCTTAAGTATAGATCCTGCTCTCTTCTTTTTCAACACTCATGCCACATAAAGAATGTTTTACTTCATGAAAAATACATTCTAGGTATTATTCCCATGCAATCTTCAGAATTTATTTGGCAAATTGCTTGAAATGGCACTTGTCACCAGTGAACAGGGATGGAAAATAAGGACATGTCATTCTCCTTGTAGAAATGATTATTCTGGACACGGTGCTAATTTGCCAACCCTTGAAAAGTCAGTTTTGTTTATAAAGACGTTGACATATTCACAGAATTGAGAATTTTAAGTAAATATCATGAGCTTGTGTTTGCCAATCCCTGGGGTAATTGCTTAATACAAGTTCCTCAGAGCTCTTTATCCCCAGAAATCATATTAAAACGATGACATTATCAAGGTGTTGGAAGATAGGAGAGAAAAAAAATAAGATGGGTTTACAGTGGGAGCTCAGACTTAAGGGTTCATTTTCATAGAGATATTTTGTCATTTCTCCTAAAGTCATTTTTATGTCCATCAGGGAGACAGGAGAGAGGGAATGGGCATATTTCTTTGAGACTCATAGATAATTATCCTAAATAATGTGGTAGATGCTGCCAGTTAATGGGAATGGAAATAAAGTAATGTCAGGAACCTGCAGTGCCCACAACACTGCTTTCACTCCCTGCTGTCAGGTTTGGTCTGGATTAGCTTTGGTTCTGTAGGTTTGCCTCCATTTTGAAGAACAATGGAATCATAAAATTGAAAGCTTTGATGGTGTTTGTACTCATCTGTCTGAATTTCATCTGTGTCTCTGCTAAGTGGATTTCTGAATCTCAAATGAATTGTTCAGAGACAGTGAACAATATGGTGTGATGGTTCAGAGAGCTCTGATTTGGGGATCAGACCAATTTGTATCTGATTTCAGACTCTGCCACTTACTAGCTGTGAGTCCTTCGATAAGTCACTTAACTCCCTGAGCCTCAGTGTCCTCATCAATAATCTAAGCTTAACAATACTTCACATAACTTTTATGAGAACAAAATAGAATAAGGTTTGTACACTGTGATCATTATTGAGCGGCTTCTTTGTTCTTACCACAATAGAAAATGCTTTACATACATTTGTCTCTAGTTGGTGCAATGGGAGTGTCAGGTGAGTATTACCTATGCCTCCAGTTATCATAACAGCATCAAATCTCACCCTACCAGTACCTTCAATTTATTCTCCAGAATATGATTGTGGTAATCACCATCAAATGGAAATTTGATCATATTATTTCCCTACTGGAAATATGTAAGTCTCATTTTATCACCATCCAGACTATGTTTAGATTTCTTAGTATGATATTCTGGTGAGTTTTGACTTCTGCTAGCTTTTAGTCTTTTCTCTGCTCCTCCCATGTATTTGTCCTTGGGCACAATTAAATAGCCAAAGTTTCACTCATGCCCCATTCTCTTTCACAATCTTCCCCCTTTCCTTTTGCAGAATAACACATACCCTGCTTTGCTGGCCACTCGCAAATGTCATTTCTTCTAGAAGCCTTTCTTGGTACCTCACATAATATCACTGTAAGTTTACTTGACTGCAGTGGGCACAAAGTTCTGGCTTCCTGAGAGCAAGAACTGTCTTTCATTTCCTGTATGAAAATATTAAGCATCATTTCTGGCGTTTTGTAGGTCTTAACTAATGTTTACTGCATTGATGAATAAATGAACACCAATCCTTTGAAGATAATTAGCCTTGTGTTCTGATTTTTTCTTCTTGACACTAAACCAGCGATGCAAATCTAGTTACCCTTATTAATATCCCTCAGTGGACTCAGTTGCCCAGAGGGTAAGTTCAAGCTTGGCTGATGTTTTAGGTAGAGATTAACACGTTGGTTTTCTTCTCCTCTCTCCCAAAACCTCCCTGAAATGATGGTAGAAAAACACAAAGAGTAATGCAGGCTCATGAATATAGAGAGATAGAGTAGGGATATAAACACAACAAATATAAATATATTTACTAATACATTAGTATAAAATATGTGAGATTCGGCATTTTTGCATTTGCTCCATTCACCATGCACCTACTTGAATCACATTTATTTTTAGTTATTTTAATGCTTACATTTATGTTTTTAAATAATACGCTTATATATAACCCATAATTTATTTTCTTACTACCATATTAGATATTTAAATGTTGTCATTTTTGTTAAAACAAGGCTGTATGAAAAATTATTTTACAAAATAATTGTGTGTTTGTGTAACCATTTACTTAGGAATGGAGTTCTAAAAGTGGCATACTCTTTTCACTGTACAAAAAACAAGAAAAATGGGCTACAAACTAGATTTAAATCAGGGGCGCTCTGAGATCTTAAACGTTTTAAAATTGGTAGCCTCAGTTCATCCTATGGTATAAATAATGAAATAAATGATATATATCATGTACTTCATCAAATAATAAATACGATGTACTCTTTGAAGGAAGTCTCTAGAATTACCCTTCCAATCCTTCACACATGCCCACTGCAGCCCTTCAAGCTGATTGTGGAACTCTTCATGTTACAAAAATATGGGATAACTTCATATTTTCGTTGTTTCCCTTCATGGTATATCAGATAAAAAGTTATTGACTGTATGTAGCACTCTCAACAAAATTTACCCAAATAAATTAAATTTTCTTACAAAACAAGCTCAGAGGCCATCTGTCCAGAGCAGACATGACAAGCTCCATGACACCACTAGGGGTCTGGGGTCCTTCTATCTTCCTGTTCTGACATCCTTTTCATGTCTTTTTCATCCTCATGGCTGGAAAATGTCTGCTCTGCCTACAGGCATGACATCTACACACTAGACCAAAAGGGAGAGAGTTTGGCCAAAGGACAAAAGACCTTTTCCCAAACCAGCCACTCAAAGCCATCACTTTTTAAAGAGATTTCCCAGAAACCTCAACCTGTGACCTCCAGTTAACATCTCATTTTCCAGAACTAGGATACATGGTCATTCCTAGTTGCAAGAAGACAGAAAATGAGCATACTATACAATGCCCTTTGAGACTAGATTATCAGTTTGGTCAATAAAGATGGAGGGAAAAATGGAGACTGAGAGATTGAGCAGAAACCAGTTGCGTCTGCTATACTTGGCAACTCAGGTGATAATGTATTAAAGAAGGCCCTAAAAATGTGGACGATTTATCCTTGATTCTGTTATAGGCAAAGGGATTAAAATGCATGGTGTATACAACACTGTACAAAAATACTGTAAATAAGGAATTGCCTATCAATATACCTTCCTTTAAAAAGTACTGTTTTTGTTTTTCTGTGTCTCTTTCTGGTCCCACTGAATATGCAATTATGACTTTTACATATCTTTAATCCGGAATAGATTACATTATATAATCTTTTGCAGTTTTGCTTAATAAATCATGTGCATTTTAATCTCTTTCTACCAAATCTTCTAAATATTCATTTAAAAGAGTTGCAGTATAAGCCACCAGATTTATATAATATTTATTTATTTAAATCTACAATGTTAGACATCTAGATTATTTCCGCTTTGAAGAGAAAATTTAGAAAGTATTACAAGGATTATTCTCATATTTACAGCTTTTTAGTTCTTTAGGGCTTATTATTTATGGAAATATTTCAATATGTTGAACTACAAGTCAAAGCATGTGATAATTTTTATGATTCTTTTGAAAAGGATCAGTCTATTTTGGGGATTTTATTTTTTTATTTTTTATTTTTTTACTGATTTATAGTCCCATCTACACTATATCTATGTATTCAATACCTTTAAAAAGAAAGAAAAAGAAAAGGATGAAGTCCAGAACTGAATCAACCCTGCCCTCATGTGGTAAATCTTAAAGTTACAGGGCAAGCTTTTTCTCCTAGGACTTATTTGTGTTTTAGTTTGTTGCAAAGTGACAAATTATACTTGTATATATTTTGCAGGAACAGTGTTATATTACGAAAAAGGTATTTTCAGATTTTTTGGATGTTGTGAGCCTGGCGTAATGCTATTCTCATTAGCCACTTTTCTTTTCAAACAGAATGTACAGACCTCAGTATTAGTTGTTATTAGACTCATAGGAATTATTACATCAAATATACAAAACTATATCTAATATTATCAGATGCATAGAAATAGTTTGGGCTTGAATTCCACAGCAACCACAAAGAAATTACTTTACAATAGATCCATATAGGTGTAGGTAAATTCTTGTTCTAGTTGATGAGAGAAATGGTGATATTACTTGAGAAGCAATCTTCAGACGAGGATGGCCTTTAAATGATGATTTAAAGGATAGATAATATGGTTGAAGACTGATGAGTTTTTGCATTTTTGATCCAGAGAAAACAATAAGGATTGTCCAGCTCAATTATTCTATGTTACAAGTGTGGAGACTGAAGATCAGAGAAATTAAGTGACTTTCCCAAGCAAAAATGCCAATAAATCATAACAAACTTGTGAGTGTCTGGCCAGCCCTTTATCCATTCTACTCCATGGCCTTTCTGTTAGATTGCTTCTTAAAGAGTTGTTGTGAGCACCAAAGAAGATAAGGCACAGGAAGTGCTTTAAGTAATATTCAGTACAAACACAAGGCAGTGGAATTATTAAGTGATATAGCAGAGAGGCAATGCACATTGAGTCGAGAGTACCAACTTGCACACAAAACCTCTGGGTCTGGGGTTTGGTTTTATTGCTTGGTGTTCAACAAGACACTTAGTTCCTCAGAGAGTCAATTTTCTCCCCTGCAGACTAGAGATAACGTATTATTCCATTTGCCTCGCTTTATAGCAAGATATTCCTTTTATAAAGGAATATCTGAAGCTGAGTAATTTATAAGGAAAATAACTTTTTTGGGTTCACAGTTCTGTAGGCTGTACAAGCATGGTACCAACATTTGCTTGGATTCTGGTGAGGCCTCAGGAAGCTTTTACTCATGGCAGAAGGCAGAGGGGAAGCAGACGTGTTACAAAGCAAAAGAGGGAGCAAGAAAGCTGCCAGCCTCTTTTATCATGGTAACTAATTGAGCAAGAACTCACTTATTACCATGGGGAGGGCACCAAGCCATTCATGAGGGATCCACCCCCATAACCCAAACACGTCCCACCAGGCCCCACCTTCAACATTGGGGATCACATTTTAACATGAGATAGTTTAGTGTCTAATAATAGCTCTTGTGATTTTATTGTCATCTGTTATCATTTGGATGTTGTAGCTCCTATGATGTTATTGTCATCTGATATAGTTTGAACTATGATTATTAGGCATGGCATAAATTAGTTTGCCTAAAATCACTGAAATGGTGAAACTCAAAAGGATCTTTAAAAAACCCATTCTACTTCCTGGTGGAATAAATGCGTCTGAACTAATACACACAATAATGGTCCAGAAAATGTTAAATAATAACTGTTACCTGTTTTAAGTGTTTTACATAGATCTCTCCTTTAACACTCACAACCACCCAATGAAGCAGTCCTAATTGAATTCCACATATAGATGAGGAAGTTGAGGAGTAGAGAGATTAACTTGCTGTGATCATACAAATGTTAAGTGGCAGTCCAGAATTTGACCTTAGCAGCCTGGTTCTGTCATTTGAGTCCTTCCTTCTTCACTAAACTACCTTTAGGGGTGCATCTAGTGCTCAGGCTGAAGCCCATTCTCTGACTATGACACAACACACCATATCTTCTCTGTTACGCAAGTCTCTATCTTATGCAAGAAAATAGATGGTTTCTCCATTTCTTTTTAGACTTACAATGTAATTTTATTAAGAGTCCTTATATTATCAAAATGAAGTTATTATTGCAGCAGATGAGTATTTAATTTGTTTTCTACTTTGTCATAATAGTGGAGAAACAGGTATGCTAAGACATTTGTTCTCTCTTCTCAACAGCAGAGAGAGGACAATGTGAAGACACTCCTTTTTTATTCAAAAGTCAACTAATATTACTGAATGTCTTTTTAGTAAAATAACTGAGGGACTGAGGTTACCTTGATGTGCAAGAGAGACGTGATCCCTGCACTCATGGTGCTTGCATTCTTAAGGAGAACATGAGTATTAATTAATTGATCACAAAGGCAAATGTGATAATTGCTATACAAAAAGGATATGAGAGAGTCTAACAGTGGGGCCCATCTTCGTATGGATGAAGGTTTCTTGAGACCTCCACACTCCCTGCCCTGCAGAAGGCAGTGATCCTGCTAATATGCCTAGTACATTGCTACTAAAACCAGCATTTGAGAAAGCCATTGCACAAAGGCTGTCTATAACCAAGGAACTCATACAGAGTCTTTGCCACTGAAAGCACTCAGAATTGAAGTCAAATGATTACACAACATACATTATAGTCATACCTCAAGCGGGAAAATATTTCATTCAAATGAAAGTAAATTAGAAAAATAATGAGAGGTTATTCAGATGAGAGGAAATCAGAGAAATGATTTTGTTAAAAACAAAACAGAGTGTTGTAACACCCCCAAAGGATCACACTAACTCTCCAGCAAAGAATTCTAATTAAAATAAAATCTTTGAAATGCCAGATAAACAGTTAAAAATATTTACTTTAAAGAAGTTCAATGAAATCCAACAGAAAGTTGAAAACCAAAACAAAGAAATCAAGAAACAATTCAGGATATGAATGAAAAATTCATTACAGAGATAGATTTTAAAAAGCAACCAAACATAACTTCTGACATGAAAAATTTATGGAAGGAATTATAAAACACAGCTGAAAGCTTTAGTAATAGACTAGCCCAAGCAGAGGAAGGAATTTCAGAGCTTGAAGGCAGGTTTTTCAAATTAACACCAGACAAAAATAAAGAAAAAAAATTAAAAAACAAAGCCTCTGAGAAACATGGGATTATGTAAAATATCCAAACCTACAAGTCAGAAGAAAAAATAAAAAGTTTGGAAAACCTATTTGAGGGAGTAACTGAGGAAAACTTTCCTAGTCTAGAGATTTAGATATGTAGATGCAAGATTCTCAGATATCTCCAGGAAGGTATGTTACAAGATGGATATCACCAAGACATGTAGACATCAGACTATCTAAAGTGAATGTGAGGGAAAACATCCTAAAAGCATCAGAAGAAAAGCATCCAATCGCCTGTAAAGGAAATCCTATCAGACTCACCATGGACTTCTCAGTAAAAACTCTACAGGCCAGAAGAAATTGGGATCCTACTTTTAGTCTTAAAGGAAAAAAAAAAAAACTGTGAGCCAAGAATTTTGCATCCTACTAAACCAAGTTTCCTAAATGAAGGAGAAATAATTTATTTCCCAGACAAGAAAACTCTGAGGGAATTTGGCAACACTAAACTAGCCCTACAAAAATGCTCAAAGGAATTCTAAACATGAAAATGAAAGGTCAATATTCACCATTATAAAAGTATACAAAAGTATATAACTCAGAGGTATTATAAAACAATTACACAATTGAGAGAAAAAAGCAACTAGGTAACTATAAATATTATGACAGAAACAAAATCTCATATATTAATATTAACCTTAAATGTAAATGGATTAAATACTCCACTTAAAAGATATAGATTTGCAAAATGAATAAAAAACAAGATCCAATCATATGCTGCTTAGAAGGAACACACCTAACTGGCTGTGACAGAGTCAATCAAGGTAAAGAGGTGGAAAAAGATGTTCTACACAAACAGAAACAAAAAATGAACAGGTGGTGCTACACTGATATCAGATAAAACAGACTTTAAATTAAAAACAGTAGGAAAGAACAGTCATATAATGATAAAGGGTTTGATTCAACAAGAAGATATAACAATCCTAAATATGTATGTACCCAACACCAGAGCACCCAGATTCATTAAACAAATACTTCTGGACCTAAGAAAAGAGAGAGATGGCAACACAATAATAATGAGGGACTTCAGCACCTCAGGGACAGCACTAGACAGATTATCGATGTAGAAAGTCAACAAGGAAACACTAAGACTTCAGTTGGATTCTAGACCAAATGGACATAACAGATATTTATGGAACATTGTATCCAGAACTGAAGAATATACATTATTTTCATCAGTGCATGAAGTATTTTGCAAAATAGACCATCTATCAGGCCACAAATCAAGTCTCAATAAAATTTAAAAAATCAAAATGAGATGAAGTATTTTTTGGACCACAGTCAATTAAAATTAGAAATCAATACCAAGGGGGAACTCTCAAAACTATGCAAATACATGGAAATTAAACAACATGCTCCTACATGACCTCTGGGTCAATGATGAAATTAAGATGGAAATCAGAAAAATTTTTGAAATGAATGAATATAAAGACAGAACATAGCAACATTTCTGGTATACAGCAAAAGCAGTGCTAAGAGGAAAGTTTATAGTGTTAAATGCCTATATCAAGGATATAGAAAGATCACAAATTAATAGCCTAATGTCACACCTCAAGGAATTAGAAAAACAAGTATAAACCAAGCTTAAAACTCCAGGAGAAAAAAAATAACAAAGACCAGACCACAACTAAATGAAATTGAGAAAAAAATACAAAGAATCAATGAAACAAAAAGTTGACTCCTTGAAAACATAAACAAAATTGACAGACCCCTAGCTAGGTTAACCAAGAAAAAAAGAAAGAATATTCAAATAAGCACCATCAGAAATGAAAAGGGAAATATTCCAACTACTAACACAGAAATACAGAAACTCACCAGAGACTACTACGAACACCTCTACGCTCAAGCAAGAAAATCTAGAGAAAATGGATAAATTATTGGAAACATACAACCTCCCTAGATTGAGCTAGGAAGAAATTGAAATCCTGAACAGACCAATAATGGGTAACGAGATTGAATCTGTATAAAAAATCCATCCCCCCAACAAAAGAAAGCCTAGGACCAGATGTGTTCACAGCTGAATTCTACCAGATGTGTAAAGAAGAACTGGTACCAATCATACTGACAAACCAAGGCAAAAAACTGAGGCATAGAGAATCCTCCCTAACTCATTCTACAAAGTCAGTACCACCCTAATTCCAAAGTCAGTCAAGGACACACACGCGCACACACACACACACACACACACACACACAGACATGCATAAGAAAATCAGAGGTCGATATCTCTTATGAATGCAGATGCAAAAATCAACAAAATGCTAGCAAACTGAATCAATCAGCACATAAAAAAGATAATACACCACAATCAGGTGGGTTTCATTTTAAGAATATAAGAATGGTTCAATAAATGCAAATCAATAAATGTTATTTACCACATAAACAGAAATAAAAGCAAAAACCATATGATCATATCCATATATGCAGAAAAAGAATTTGATATAGTTAAGCATCACTTCATGATAAAAACCCTCAACAAACAAAGCATATACATAACATACCTCAAAATAATAAAAGTCATATGTGACAAACCCACAGCTGACATCATACTGAATGGGGAAAAGTTGAAATCATTTCCCCTAAGAACTAGAACAAAACAAGGATGCCCACTTTTACCACTACCATTCCAGATAATGCTGAAAGTCCTAGCTAGAGCAATCAGACAAGAGAAAGTGATAAAAAGCATCCAAATTGGAAAAGAGGATGTCAAATTATCTCTGTTTGCTGATTATACAATCTTATACCAAGAAAACCTTAAAAACTCCTGCAATAGACTCCTAGATTTGATAAATGACTTCAGTAGAGTCTTAGGATACAAAAATCAATGTACAAAAGTTAGTAACATTTCTATACACCAATAGCAATCAAGCTGAGAACAAAATCAAGAACTTAATCCCATTTACAATAACCACTAAAAATAAAAATAAAATACCTAGGAATACTTTTAACCAAGGAGGTGAAAGATCTCTACAAGGAGAACTACAAAATGCTGATGAAAGAAATCATAGGTGACACAAACAAAGAAATATCCCATGCTCATATATTGGAAGAATCAATGTCATTGAAAAGACCATACTGCCCAAAGTAATCTACAGATTCAATGCAATCCGTATCAAAATACCAACATCATTTATCACAGAATTAGAAAAAACAATCTTACAATTCATATGGAACCAAAAAAAAAAAAGTCCAAATAGTCAAAGCAATCCTAAGCAAAAAGACAAAGCTGGAGGCATCACATTACTTGACTTCAAATTATACTACAAGGCTATAGTAACCAAAACAGCCTGGTACTGGTATAAAAATAGAAACACAAACAAATGGAATAGGATAGAGAATCAGAAAGGCTATATACCTGTAACCAACTTGTCTCCAACAAAGTTGACAAAAAATATACACTGAGAAAAGGATACCCTATTCAATAAAGGGTACTGGGAAAACTGGATAACTATATGCAGAAGAATGAAACTGGACACTCATCTCTCACCATACACAAAAATTAACCCAAGATGGATTAAAGACTTAAAACATGAGACCTTAATCTATAAAATTCTAGGAGAAAACCTAAGAAAAACTCTTTTGGAGAGTAGTATAGGCAAAGAATTTATGACTAAGACATCAAAAGCAAATGCAACAAAACTAAAAATAGACAAATGAGATTTAATTAAACTAAAAAGCTTCTGCACAGCACAAGAAACAATCAACAGAGTAAACAGACAACATACAGAATGGGAGAAAATATTTGCAAACTATCCATCTGACAGAAGACTAACATCCAGAATCTACCAAGAATTCAAAAAATTCAACAAGAAAAAAACCAAATCATCCCATTAAAAAATGAACAAAGGACATGAACAGACATTTTTCAAAAGAAGACATACAAGTAGCCAACGAACTTATGAAAAAATGCTCAACAGCACTAATCATCAGATAAATGCAAATCAAAACCACAATGAGATACCATTTCACACCAGTCAGAATGGCTACTATTAGAAAGTCAAAAACCAACAGATATTGGCAATGATGCAGAGAATAGGGAATGCTTACATGCTGTTAGTAGGAATGTAAATGGAAAACAGTATGGAGATGTCTCAAATAAACCATTTGATCCAGCCACGTCACTACTGGGTATCTACCCAAAAGAAAATAAGTTATTATATAAAATGACATCTGAACTTGCAGGTTTATAGCAACACTATGCACAATAGCAAAGTCATGGAACCAACCTAAGTGTCCATCAATGGACAATTGATGGATAATTAACGAAACTGTGGTATATATATAATCACATATACCATCATGTGTATGTGTATATGTGTGTGTGTGTATAATATATATATATATATATAATCTCCCATGAAATACTACTCAGCTAGAATAAGTATGAAATCATGTATTTTGCAGAAACTTGGATGGAACTGGAGGCCATTATTTTAAGTGAAATAACTCAGAAACAGAAAGTCAAATATCACCTATTCTCACTTACAAGTGGGAGATAAACAATGGCTTCATATGGACATAAAGAGTGAAATAATAGACATTGGAGACTCCAGAAGGTGGGAAGGTGGGAGGTGTGTGAGGAATAAGAAACTATCTATTGGGTACAATGTATACTATTTTGGTGATGGTTACATTAAAAGCCCAGAGTTTACCACTACATAATATGTTTATGTAATAGAACTGTACTTGTACTCCCTAAATCTATAAAAATAAAAAAAGTAGAGAGATGTGCATTTGAGGGACTTATATATATATATATATATATATATATATATATATATATATATATATATATATATATCTCAATTGCAGAGAATTATAAACATTTTAAAGAAGATCAAACATTAAAGCAATAATAAATGTAATATTATAAAGTCTTCGGAAGGTCGGAGAGGATTAGATTTTTGATTTTCCTTCTTCATCTTTCTATCAAATCTCAATTTATAGCCAATGGGAAGATCTAGGACCTTTATTCTACTAAACATTATTTTCACTGTTTCAGAATTTTCATCATCACTATCATTAGCATCATCGAGAAACATTTATAAATCTCCAAGTAGCATGAGGTGCTCTAAAAAATATATCATTTTTGTCTCTTCTGATATCTCAAAACCTGCCTGGAAGGGATGCCTGAGCCAGTCTGCCCTATATACTTTGTACATAGCTGAAAGAAGTGCAGAGTTTTTTGCTTATCTGGGAAAATTTGTTTTTATTCTATTTACCAAGCTGACACCACATTCAGAAATAATGAAGATCATATAACTCCATTTTGAAGATGTTACAGTTTAAAATATGAAGGCTTGAACTACTAGAGTTTTATAAACCTTTGTGTCCAATATGAAAAGTATGCATAAGTGGTAAAATTTGCTCTCATGTTGTTTAATTTCTTTGCTTTCAACTTGTATTGAAAACATATTTATGGAGCATCTAGTAAGTGCTAGCATTGGGCTGGTACTAGGAACAGAACCATGAAAGATGCTTCCTGCTTTCAAAGAATTTGCAGTCTGGTATGACCAAGAAAAATACAGAAAAGAAAATAAGTCACTTGCAAGTAACTAGGCATTATTCATGTTGAGCACATCATGATATGTGAGCACATATAAGGGACTCTGGCTTGGAGGATCTAGGAAGGATTTTTTTTTTTTTTTTTTTAAGATGCAAGATGTAATTTGGAAGTTGAGACCTGAGAATGACTAGGACCTAGGTGAAGGAAGCAGGGAGAGCAAATACCTTTTTTACAGAGGGAACAATCTAAGCAAGGAGTCAAGGTCGAGATAAATCTTGGTTACGTTTAGGGTGACCTCAAGTTGCTCTTCATGGCTATAGCATAGAGTGCAAACGAGAAATAGCAAGAGACGGGACTGAAGAAGTAAGCAGCAGATAGCTTGGGAAGGTACAGGCAACAATAATAGCAAATACTTCTCTAGTGATTATTGGAGCCAGGATTTATGCACAATAATGCATTTATAAAAGCTGTCTAAGGTCTCTATCATTGTAGAGACCAGGTAGTTGAGAAAGTGCACTGAGGTTAAACAACTTTTCTAAAGTTGCACCAGTGACTAGTCAGGCTGGTAAGGAGAGAGATGTCAACTGCTCTGTCCACAGGATGCAGGCTCTGTGCACTACCAAACAGCCTCTCCAGGACCAAGCAATCTGAAGATTCAGATTGTGTCCTGAGCACAGCAGTGACACGTGCTTCCTTCCAGCTCTGCTGATGTGCATTCCACTTCCCAGAATGCACTCTGGGTATCTTTGCCTAAACTTTTAGAACTCTTTTGCCCCATTCTACTGCCTTGAATTGGTAATGCTTGGGGGAAGAAAGGAAGAAAGAGAAGGAGGAAGAGGGGGAGGAGGGAAAAGCTAGTCTGAGGAATCAGCCCCTAGAGTGGTGAATATGGCTCTGGCAGTAGGTAAAGGAGAGCTATAAGGCACAGTGACTCAGGAGTGCATACGGGTCATATACACTAGATGAAGGTGGGCTTTGAAAGATGGAGAGGCAGACACTTGGATAACTTATGCAATAACAATACAAGCTGATAGTTATTCTAGTAGGGGAAGTGAGAATTACTTTGGCAGAACATAGCAGAAGCATATCAATTATTTTAGGCCACAGTTTTTTTTGTTGTTGTCGTTGTTAAAATAATGTACACTGGCTTAAAAAGCATTATAGTTTAATGAGAGAGGAAGGGCAAAAACCAATGAAAATATGAGAATAAATATCAAATAGGCACACAAACAATAGTAGTGATGAGGTGCTGGAACAACTTGAATGAAAAAAGCTATAGGTGCGATGAAGGACTTCCTTGGGAATTAAGGGCATGGTGTTCTGCTCGATTTGGTGGTTTCATGTTTTATTGAAGCTTTGATCTTCCTTCCACATTCCTGCTCTAGGGCTCTCCTTGTTTATGACTTTTGCTCCTATGCTCCTATTTGCAAAGCCCCAAAGGTTGCCCAGGGTTAGGGGAAGATGAGTCTTCCAGGTACCAATAGCCCTGCACCTTAAGAATCTTGGAGAAAGTAGGATATAAGCAATGATATGGAAGAGCAAATGGTGAGAGAAGAGGGAGCAAAGCATTGCGAGTGGAAGGATAGGCTGCTTGTTGTAGTCCTAGAGAAGCCACAAGGAGGAAGTGTGGCTTCCTATTCCAAGTGTGCAGAGAGCAGTACCCAGCTTATATGCTCTGAGGGCCTATGAGATGCCACACTCTGAACTACACATTTTATACATATTCTCTCATTCTCTTCTCTCAGTCACCCAGTGAATCAAGTACTATGATTATCCTCTTTTTACAGATGCAGAAATTGAGGCTGAGGGGGTGACTAATAAGTAATTTTCCAAAACCACATAGCTGGTAACTGGTAGAGAATGTTTTAAACATCAAACTTTGCTCAACTCCAGATCCCATTTTTAGAGCCATCCTGCTAGATAGACGAGCCTCCCTAGGACAGAGAAACAACAATTGTTCTAATATAAACAAACAGAAGGCATGTTTCAATCTACATGGCTCAGGATTGATTCTGGTAAGTTCTGCTTGAGGCACAGAACACAGAGGTAAATCAAGCCCTTCTTAGTAGATTGGAAGGCTGAGGCACAAAAGGCTCCGCCTGTATCATAAAGAAAATGAGCAGCCAAGTCAGTATAGGGTTTTGCTCACTTATGAGGTAGATTATTTAATTCTCTTGCATATGCTGCAGAATTAAGTTTCTGTCCACTTGATTGTTTTTGGTCTCAGAAAAAAGTTGTTTATGAATGACAACTACAGAACACAACTTGTGAATAATAAGGTGAGAGGATTCTTCTTCTGGTTGTTCTATTCCATTGCTGAAGGATTTCAGATTAATTGCGATAGAGCACACTGAATAATGCAGATTAGTGGCTGCATTGCTTACGGGGAAATACTTTCACTGGATCCTTTGAAAAGTAGATTTTAAACAATGTCCTTAAGGATTCAACTCCCAACTTTAAAAAATGCATTTTAATAATACCGTTTTGGAAGGTCAAATATGGTGTGTTCTCACTTATAAGTCGGAGCTAAACAATGAGTACATGCTGAAAAACAGAGGGGAATACTAGACATTGGCGATTCCAGAAAGGGGGAGGGTAGGAGGAAGTTGAGGGTTGAACAAGTATCTATTGGGTACAATGTTCACTGTTCAGGTGATCGGCACACGAACAGCCAGGACTTTACCACCATGCAATATATCCATGTAACAAAATTGCAATTGTACCACCGTTTTTTTCATCACCAGTATTAGCCACATAAATGGCTTTCACTGATGGCTGAACATTTAAGTGTCTTGGCCGGGTGTGTGGCTCACACCTGTAATCCCAGCACTTTGGGAGTCCGACGTGGGTGGATCACCTGAGGTCAGGTGACCAGCCTCGCCAACATGGCAAAACCACGTCTCTACTAAAAATACAAAAATTAGCCGAGCCTGGTAGTGGGCACCCTGTAATCCCAGCTACTAAGGAGGCTGAGGCAGGAGAATCACTTGAACCCAGGAGGTCGAGGTTGCAGTGAGCTGAGATCGCACCACTGCACTCCAGCCTGGGCAATGGAGCAAGACTCAGTCTCAAAACAAACAAACAAACAAACAAAAACAAAAACAAAGAAAATTTAAGTGTTGTATTTACCCACAAGCCTGGTGCAGTAAAATCTAAATCTGGCCCTGAAGATCTGCTGCAAGATGTTTGAGACTGACTGAGGCACCTCTAAAGACCATATTTTAATTGTAGCTAAGAACATGGCTCATTGCCATTGCTTTAAAAATCTCCAGGAATACTGTACCTCTGATAACTTTTCATTCTTGTCTCCCATCTCATTAAGGTTTTCTGGCACTGACTGTACCTTGGCTTTATTATGTCTGCCAAGAGGCAGGCAGGAGAGGTGAAACTCATCTATAAAGGCTAACCACTTTTATTCCTAGTAAATATGTTACATTCCTTCTACAACTAGCATGTGAAAAATAACATTGTGATTTTAGGGTAAAATAACGAGTAAAGAGATTAAATACATTAACAGAAGGTGAATGAATATAAGTAGTTAAAAATTAGCAGTCTGTTTCATCAGTCAACTCCTGCTAGTTCAGAATTCCACTATCTGGAGAGATTTAATATTTGAGAAGTGAAAGCTCTGTTTTCTTCCTATTTCATGGGAATTGCTATCACTTGGAATTGCCTTTTTTGTACCTTACTTTCTCTTCCCAGGCTAAGATTTAGGTGGTAGGAAGAAGAGCAATAGTTTTAGAGGTGCTTTGATCATTTACATGTCATCTCCCTAGGCTGTGTGTTATTCAGACGGACTATGCAGATCCTTGACGTTTTCTTCTGTTATGTTGTCTTGTTATTTCATTTTTATTTCACCTACTAATACACCTGGGACAAAGACTCCCGCAGAAACAGGCAATTTTTGCAATAGAGTAACAATTTATCAAAACTCTTGGTCAGATTAGCTCATCAAATTCCCTCAGACTCATCTCCCACACCTCTTAGAGGATTTTTTTTTCCCCAAAAGATTCTTTTCCCTTTCTCTGAATTTGTGTTTCACCCCTGATAGCTGTATGACCTTGGGCAAGACATTTAATTTGCTAAGGCAAATTTTCCTTGTCTCTAAAATGAGGACATTACTTGCTATCTGCCTGAAGACTTTGAGATTTGAATGAGATAGGATATGTGGAGCTCTCTGTGAACTGTGGAGCCTACTGAAAGGGCTTATAAAGCATTAATGAACGCCTATACTACTCTCTAATGTATGTACTTCTTCAAATTTTGAAGTCCCACAATCTGATGTCTCGAAAAGCTTTCCATCATCTCTGTAATGCACTTCACAACTAAACACTTGTCCTTGGCATACCAGTTAGTCTGGCGCCTTCCTGCCTTGCTGAGAAGTAGAAGTGGGTCTCTTTAGCCTGTTGGTGGCTGAAGGCAATCTTCAGGGAAAATCACTTGCTCTTTCTAAAGTCAAAGGTCATTCAGTTTTGAATTTCTAGTCCTTATGCTATTCATGGATTACAGACATAAGTATTAAGCATAAGCACACACTAGTATAAGCCTCAGTAGGCAATGTGAGAGATGAAGGGGAAGGAAATTGAGACATTGATTTTCCCAGCTCTCTTTGAAGGGGGGCCACAGACTGATTGTGTCTCTCCACTGCAGGTCTCTTTTCTTATTAGGTGTCCCGGTAATGCACCTACCTCGGTCTTCAGGGCTACTAGTGGCTATAGCCTGCCCCACTGTTAGTAGCACCAAAATATTGCACTGCCGAGAGGAGCAATGAAACAGTCGCTTCCTAAACAGTCCCTTACTAAGCATCTCCTAATTACTCATCTGTTTCCTGTTGGGGCCCTTACTGATTTAAGCAATAAACAAGATATGAAAGACTTTGCTCATATGGAGCTTAGATTCTACAGGGGAAAGAGATGATTAACAATTAAACAAAAATAAGAAAGATAGGAATAGAGAAATTATCTTTGTGAAAAAAATTAAAGTTTATTTGATAGAAAGAAACTAGGGTGTTGGGTGGGGTGCAGCATTAGAGAGGATAGCAGAGAAAACATTTTAAAGGAGGTGATATTTGAGGCCTGACTGCCAAAATGAAGAGGGAAAATAATGTGCAGGTGGAAGATAATCACTGGCACAAAGGTCCTGAGGTAGGAATGAGAAAGAACAAAGACACAGAAGGCCGGGATGGCTGGACACAGTGAGTTCAGGGCATAAGAACAGGAAGTAAGGAGCACATGAAAGGGACCAAGTGTCACAATGGCCAGCCTAGCACTAGTGAAGACAGCCCTGGTGGAGATCTGGTTAGTCATGTACATGCACCAAGATTGCTTCGTTATATATACCAGATTTTTCTCCCTCCCTACCTAGAGACTCCAGAAAGACAATGGATCAGTAATAATTTCCTTCTTACTGGAAAAAAAAGCTGTATTTAAAAAAATTTCATTGTGTTTTTTGAAAGTGTAAGTCAAACATCCCCTCACCTCCAAATTATCTTTTTAAAAATATGCCTTGAGTTTCTCTCTTCCAGCCTGCCACTTTCCATCTCTGTGCTTGTCATCCACACATCTAGACCTGGGAATGTTTTATGCCATTGCAAAACTCTCTTCCAGAAAGCCAGTCATGCTTGCAGCTCATTACTTCTCAGACAGATCTTCCCTTGTGTTTTTTCCACCTTAAAAAATGTAGAACCACTGCCTTTGATATGATTGCCAAGATCAGACCTCTCACTGCAGGTTTCCAACCCTTAAAAAACTTTCTTATCTCACAGCCGGCTTTGTTCTTGACCTCTTTAGCCACTTGGCAGTGCACTACCTTTTTTTACAGTGCTACTGGGAACCCCCAGCACAGCAACCAAGTCTGAGCTGCTGAGTTTGCAATGGAACCTCCTACCCCATACCGATAATCAGAGAAATGGAAAAGGCTTGCGTTTGGGAAAAAAGTTTTGAACCATATTCTTCTAAAAGCAACTTACAACATTAAAACTAGAGACCACATAATACACATTTGAGTTTCTCTTTATATCAAGGTTTTTAAAAAGGCAAGGGATCTTTTTGATGATTGGATCACTATTTAGAGACTACGGTTCTATTTCATTAGTATATTTAGCTCTTTAGTTTAAGAGTGTCTTGCAAGACACAGTTATATTGGGTCATCCAATATTTAGAACAAAAGAAACTTGTTAAAATGCTGGAATTTCAGAATGGAACAGTTTTTTTTGCGGGGAGACGACTTGCCCAAAGTGGGATACTGAGTGAGTGAGGGGAGATCTTGGAACTTTTCACATTCATTCTAGGTTAGTAGCCTTGGCTTCTTATTGAAATGCTATGGACATTAACAGATGTTGAACATTCACAATTATGTTCATACCAGAGAGGAACGCAGGGGACTTGTCGCGGAAGTAAACACTCAGGGGACTGTTGTATCTTTTAGTTTGGTAACTTCAGACTGAACTGGCTTTAGCATTACTACATAATAACCACTAGATGGCAGGAGTGAACAACATAAAATACAAAATGTAGCCTCTAATGGTAAAAAACTAGTTTTTCTGTTTCTCCTTTCCTTTCCCCAGTCTTCCCACTTCTTAGAAGTGCTTATCTTCTCTCATTCTACCACGTCTCTTCTCTCAGTTCCACACTGTATTTGTGTTTTTAGTTATAATTTTAAATAACTCTATCTGATTCTTCAGAATTGGATCGGAAAACCCGTCACACATACTTGAAATTTGAATACTAAAAATGCACAAAGTACTTTCTCGAATTCAAGAGGTCTTTCATAACTGCTTTATTCTTGAGCTGGGATAAATCTTCAGAGGATCTCAAGGCTCAGAAAGCCTTATGCTTTCAGCCCTGCACTCTCATGCTCTGGCAGGTGGCAGGGGAGGGCGGGTGTGGGGAAGAGCAGGACAGAAAAGAAGAAATAGGCTCAAAGATGTTTGCAGCTCTGTCTAAATCCATCAGCCGTACTCACGTTTCTGTGACATTATCACAGGGGTGATTTGATAATGATTAAGGTGCTGTGCTGAAGTCATTCTTAAAACAAAGAAATAAACAATATCAACAACATAACTTGGCTGTAGACAGCACTTGAAAAATGAGCTACCATTTTACTAACCCATTCTGTAGAGGAGTCGTCATCGTTTGAATAACAGCCGTGCCATTGAGCCTCATACTTGAGGGTGTGATTTAGGCTTCCTGATCTCTCTCCTTCTTGGAGTCGTTGTTCTCTGCCAAGTAAATCTTCCTTTCTTTTTTAAAAATTTTTCCATTCTCCAAGGCTTCTCCTTTTGAAGACTGGGTTCTGGTTTCTTAAGCACAGAAGTAGAATTTTGTCCCCAAATCCCTCAATCATTCAAAGGCAGGCTTCATAGAGCTTCTCAGGGGTTAGCAGTGCCATTTGGGGGGACTTCTTGGGCACTGCTGGTAAGCCATGGGTTTTGAGAGATCCAGTTGTCAATTAAGGCATCAAGGAAGAGGTGTTTTCCTCCCTCCCTCGCCCTCTCTCTCTTTCACACACACACACACACACACACACACACACACACGCTATTCCACAAACATGCAAATAAAAGAACACACACTTATGCTAGTTTAAAATTAAACCTGTCCATACTAAATGAGATTATGAAAATCCCCTCTGATGTGCTGACTCACTTTTACCCTGATATATTTAATAGAAGTTAAATACCAGTTCTTGTCAGGAGACTAAAAGCAAAGAACAGACTACAAAGTGATGCAATTTCTGGGACCACAAACTCACTGGTAAGAGGTATATTTGCCCTAAAAAAACTCAGAGAATTCAGAGTATAGTAGTTTATTCCAATAGTTCTATGTAGGTCGGAATTGTGAAGTGGCATATGCACAGTAAGTGTGGTTGTTTTAGCTGAGTTGACTAGCTAATACTCTGATATGGTCACTTACTAGATGTAGATTTTTATCCAAGGTACTTAACCATTCTAAGCGACAGTTTTCTCATTTGTAAAATAAATTTGGTAACATCCACCCCACAGTGTTGTTCTGGAGTAAACTGAGATACCATATGTAAAGTGTTTGGCATTGTGCCTAGCTCATAGTAAGTGCTTAATAAATAGAAGGTATTAATTTGGAAACAATGGTAGAGAAGAGTAGAATGTGGACAGTGGAGTTCAAGAGGCCTTGGTTTAAATCCTACACTTCCTCTCTTACAGGCTGCAAGATTTTGGGTGAGCTACTCAATTCTCAGCTGTAAAATGATGATAATATCACATTGTTTACTGGGTTACTGTTCTGGCACTTGGTAATAATTCTGCAAGTGTCAACTATTATTATTGACATTGCCTGTTCATTTCTTAAACTATTTATTGAAATCAAACCATGTTATGTGTTTAGCGCTACATTGAGTGCTAACAAGGAATATACACAAAAGTCATGTGATAGCACTTGTTTTCAAGAGGTTTACAGCTTTGTTGAGGAGGAAAAAAAGACAGGTGAAAACATGGTTGCCTAAAGTAACCATGTAAAATAACCAAGTGTCAGTAATAAATGACATGCTGCATAATCAAGTCTGGTAGATTTCAGAAAAGGTAGAGAATATTGGGGGCCACCATTGTTGGGATGGGCCTGGAGGAATGGTAAAGTCCTGGAAGGTTTTGAAGGATAAGTAAGATTTGCAGATGTGGGAACTTGGATGGAAATAGTAACTTGCTATGGAGGAAAATAACAAGGGTGGAGGAAAGGCAGTCCTGGGGCAGATTACAATTTTAAATAGGGTGGACAGGGAACACCTCACTGAGAAGCCCTCAGGGGAAGTTGTTAGCTGAGAAAAGTAGATGAGGGAGTGACTCACAGGGATATCCAGAGAAATAACATTCAAGCCTGAGGGAACTGCAGATGCAAAGGCTCTCAGGCAGAAGCATGCTTGGAATGTTGGAGAAATAGCAAGGAGGCCAGAGTGGCTGGCATTGAGACAGCAGTGGGAAAAGTTGGAAAAGATGAGGTTGGAGAGAGATCATTAAGGGATTGAGTGTTGAGGGGAGCAGGCAGCTCATGCAGGGCCATGTGTGCCATTTTAAAGACTTTGGTTTAACTTTGAGTAAAATGGGAAACCCATTGAAAAAAATTGAGCAGAGGAACAGCAAGACCTGATTTCTATTTACAAAGGGTCAATCTGGCTGCTGTTTTGAGAAATAGGCTATAGGAAGCCAAGGGTAGAAGCAGGGAAATCATTGAAGAGAAAGTTGTAATAATACAGGTGAGAGCTGATCACACGTTGGACTAAAATGCCGGAAGTTCGGATAGTGAGAGGTGGTTGGATTCTGGAATCCTAAATATATTTTGAACTAGCAGGATGAATCATACAAAAATAATGATCCCATGAGGTGCTTTTGAAACTATTAACCTTTGAACTCTTTCTTTAGATTTATTACATTTTAGAGATGCAGAGGAACATTGTGTATTTTAAAATCCTCTCTTTAACTCTGTAGCACTTTTATGGTTTGAGTCACCTCTTTCAACCTCCACTCTGTCTCTTTCACTGTATATCCATCCCTCATCCATCCATCCATCCATCCATCCATCCACCCATCCATCCATCCCTCATCCATACGTCCAATCCCTCCATTCATTGGAAACCCAAAGTTGCTCTAAGTTTGGGTTTAGGGACTAGTGCTAGTGATAGAGATGAATATAGTTCATGACTCAATTATTAAAAAGCTCATAGTCTTAATAATAGAGGCAGGCATTTAACAAGAAAAATAAAACAGTTTGAAAGGACCTGTGTTAGGTAGATTAAAGACACGATGGGGCACAAAGAAGAAGGTGTTTAACACGATCTGCATCTTAGAAAATTCTTCACAGTTGAGGTGATAGTAAGTATCCTTTGCCCTCTGTCTCTTTAAATGTAAGTATTTACAATAATTGTCGTTTAACCTTTGTGTTCTGTCTCCTTTGGAGATCTCATCCATTCTCACAACTTTATCACCTCTACTAGCATGTCTTCCAAATCTTTATCTTTAACCCTATGTCATCCAGGGCTTTAATTTTAACCCTGACCTTTCTTTGAAAGCCCTCAATTAAGTTTCACATGGTATCTTCCTGGAATATTTGGGCCCTCACCATGATGGCCCCCGTTCTTCTAGTGTACCAGTTTGAAACTTTTGTTATCCGTGACTCTTCTCTGTTTCCTATACGTAAGCAATGACCAAATCTCGTAGAATCTACCTCTGCAGTGTCTCTCTCACCCATTTGCTCTTGCTCCTTCCTATTGCCATCATACATCACTTCTTTGCTCCACTGTTGTAGTAGCCACATGTTATGGCTATGTCTTGCCTCTTGAGTCTGTCCTACACTTAGCCACCAGATGTATTTTCGTGTCCCTCTTATTATATTACAGCTCTACTCAACTGCTACCCATTCCCTATGTGAGCGTGAATGTGAACTCTGGCAAAATGTGGCACCCAACCAAACCTTATTTCCCATGATGTCCTTCTGCTCCTCCAAACTGAGAGTCTCTTGCTTTCTTGCCATTATGCTATTTGCCATATTTTTCTGAATGTATGGAACAATCTCCCTTACCATCACTACCTTTTAAAATTCTGCCCCTACTTCTAAGATCATTTCAAAATTGTTCCTCTAAAGGTTGCCTTTTCTATTCTCTAAACCAAATAAAAATACTTATATACAATTATTTACTATGTAAATTAATCATACAATTGTAATGTTTATGTATAAATTCAGCAAACATATCTACTATGTGTTTGGTAGTATGTGAGGTTAATTATGTTGGAACTATAACTAAAGGTATAGCTATTTCTTTCCAGAAGTTTATGGTTCAATGGGAGATGGTTTAAGTAAACACGGATATACTATGGTACAGGTAAGTTCTATGATACTGATAGGTATATGTTATTAATCTGGTAAACCTGTGCAACTATGGGAGTACATTGGAAGGCCTCTGACCTGGTCTGGGTAAAGGTTGAAAGGATCAAACTTCCCAAAGCAGGGCAGAATTGGGTCCCTAGAACTCTTTTTCCTCTTTTTTTAAAATATTTTTTTTTATTTTTAATTTTTGTGGATACTCTTATTTTGGGGCTCAAATAATATATCAGAAAGCTTTGATGAGATCAGCTTTCTATATTTTTCCAGCATCATGTTTTCATACGAGTTGTCTGCAAGTTCTTTACTCTTGAATGAAGTCCCCAGTTTCACCCTAGAAATTTTCTGTGATGAATCCTGCTGTGATTCCCTCTGTCTCTGTGCTTCTTCTTGGGGAGGTGGAGTTCTGGGAATGTACATTTCTCACACATGGCAATCATTGCAGACGATGAGAGTGTGTGAGTGAACTCTTACAAAACTGTCTACATTGCCCCTATCTCTTGTATCTTATTCTGTCTTATTGAATTACCTCATCTCCTCTAGTGGAAAGGACATGCATGAGCTAGGCTCAACTTAAAATTTTTCAGGATTATTGTGATATTACATGAAGTTCTCTTTGCAATGTACTTAACATAATACCTAGTCCATAGCAGGCTCTAAATGTGATATCTCCTGTCTGTCACCCAGGTCTTCACCCTCCACTGTTGTAAGCCTCTTGACAGCAAGAGTTGGGCTTGACATCTTATCTCTGTTATCACTTCGCATGAAATAAGTTGCATAGTAGATGCTCAATAACCAGTATTATTTAATTTGAACTCTTTTATCTTTAGGAAAGTGTGATAAAATTCCAAACATGTTGGCTTTCAAATTTGGCATTCATAAGAATATCAAAGAAAGTTTGTAATAAATTCAGATTTATGGGGGCTCTGATGCAGTTATTTTAATTCTGTAAAAGTGGGGTGGAGCCCATTAATCTTCATTTTTAAATAAGCATTCTAGATGATTCAGTTGCATTTGGTCTGAAATCGGAAAACAATGCCCAAAGATATGAGATGATTTGTCTGAGCTCATCTAAAACAGCCAGAAGTCCAGCTTAAGTCTGACTTTTTTCGAAGATGATGGACATCTGGTTGAAACATCTGTAAGTAATGATGCTGGGTACATGAATTTTCCTCCCTTCTCTTACTTTTTGAGGATTCACACACCTGGGAGTTTTCGGTTTCTTGTTTTTGTTACTCATCTTAGCTCAGAGACCTCCTATCCTGAATATACTTTCTTTGTCTTTAAGCAGAGTTTATTTTGTTTGATGTACCCCAGTTCCATTTGGGGTACATCAATTTTGAAAGGAAGTAGAGCTACCTAATGACTTCAATATATTCTTTTTGATCCCTATACTTTTCAGAGCATTATCATAAAGTAGAAATTTTGTTTTGAAAATGAAGTATATTGGCACAATATTTTTTGAGCTGTTAATTTTTCAAATGAATATGTATTAATGCTTCTGTCTACAGAGTTCTATCAGACAGAAATGATTCTGTTTTCATTTTTTACTTTTTGTAAATAGCAATAACATTTCTAAAAAGGGGAAATGATGAGACTAGAACCAATTTTAATTATTTCAAAAGGAATACCCCCCACCTGCTGCCAATTAGTGGAAGTAGTTCTTAATTTAGAGGTTCCCATTTGATGTACAGGATATTCTCTCTCTCTCTCCCTCTCCCTCTCCCTCTCTCTCTCTATCTTTGTGTCGTGTGTGTGTGTGTGTGTGTGTGGGTGGGTGTGTGTTTGTGAGAGAGAGAGAGGAAGACTCCTTTCAAGTGTGTATGATTCATACCTTGAGGAATTGACTTTACAATGTGTTTTTTCTTTCCCCCAGTAAAGTTTCTGTTGCTTGTATTTGAGTTCAGTAACTTTTTTAGGCACCAATGTTTATCTAGCCTAATAACTAATAACTAAAACATCCCAAATGTATATTAGATGGAGAATATAACCATTTTAATTTTATCTTATCTCTCACCTCTCCTCTGGCCACTGGCCTAATTGGTACCCAATATGAGAATACAAAATTACTTTTTTTTGAATATATATATTTTTCAAACCTCTTTTCACATACAGTTCCTCTTATCTGAGATACACTTCCCTTTCTTTTGGTTAGGTAAAATCTCATAACTTCTTCAGAGTCGAGAACTACTTCTATAGTACTAATACCCACAGTACTAACAACAATAAAAACCACAACCAGAAAAACAATTGTTTACAGAGCAATTACTTTGTGCCAGGAAATCCTTCATCATCAAAACAACCCTACAAGATAGGTGTTCTTAAATCCTTATCTTTTGGGTGAAGAAACTCAGTAGACCAGAGAGATTAAGTGCCTTGCCTAGGTCCCACAGGTAGTAAAAGTAAGAATCAGCTTTTGAACTCCTTATAACTGAGTACAGAGTTGATGCTTTTAATTATAGTGCTCTGATGTATAGATATTCCCAGTGGGCCAAAAGCTCATTGTTCAAATATGACCACCGTCACTATCTCATTAGTCTATACTTATCACACTGAATAGTAAGCTCTTTGAAAATGGAAACTATATTTTAGTGTCGTGCTTGGACATCATAGACGTTAAATAAATATTTGCTAAATCAATTGGATTGATAAACATCTTTCACAGCTTTTAGAAACTCACAAATAAGAATATTTTGGACTTCTGGTGGTGTTCAGTTCAGCAGTGTTTATAGTTTGAAAACAGATTTATATATCCAGAGATTTTCTTACAGCCTGCAAAGAGCTATGAAAGCCACAGCTTCAAAAATGAAGCTGGTTGCTAGGAAAATAATTGGTATCACTAGTACTTCTTAATAATAACTCCTGGTACCACTGTATACAATTTGTAACTGTTGTACAGTTCTTAATTATTCCTGCAATGTACACTCATTTTATTTCACTTAGAAATAAGTCTGCAAACAATAATTGGTACAAGTAAAGAAAATATACTAAGTTTTTCTTTGGTGTTTAATGTAGCTGATATCCTTTGCTAATAAATGTTTGTTTTAGAATTCTGAGTAATTCAATATTGAAAATTCTCTTGCTTGTTGAGTAGGTTATAAAGGTCTTTATTTTTGACAATTGTAATTTTTACACTTGTTACAAAAGATTTCAAAGTTTACAAATAATGATGCCTGATATAATATATCATGTTGTGAAATTATAGGAATATTTTTCCTCTATCCCTGTCTTTAAATTTCCATTTAAATGGAAATAGATTTTCATTTTTATTGGTTCACAGTCAGTTTCCAGGATAAAAGCAATTTCAATTTTCTAACATTTCTGTATATTTGATAAATAAAATCCTCTTCACAATGACTTTTCCATAGCATCGTATTAGGTAAAAAATTAAGTTAAAAAGGGAAGAGACATATACATAGAGGCATAATGGAATAAATACAAAAGTGCCATTTATCTATAAAGGAATTCAGAGTAGATCCCCTTTAAATCAAATGACATTAATAACTGTAAGATGTGATTTTACTGATGAAAACTTAAAGTATATATAAGTTCTTAAGAATACTGACGTGTAGCATAGCTCTTTGCTAGTAGTAGGTACTGGGTAAATTTTTGTTGCTCAAGAAATAAAATGGGTAAAGCCAGATGTATCTAAGAATACTGTTCACATTGCTTGGAGTCTGTACACTTTCTAGAGCAGCTCTAAGTTGAGGGCAAAAATGTTCCTGTCTTTTTCATTTCCTTTAGTTTCCCTGCTTTTTCTGCATCACAGAGGGGGCTTAGATATGAGTGCTTAGCATTACTTTTGCCTCTGCAGTTCAAACTGATGGAATTAAGATTCTGAAACTTATTTATAAAAGTAGTAAGTCCCCATTTTCCTATGAGAGGCTTTCCTTCTTAAACAGAAATGGTTGTTTAAAATTTTTTTTTAGTGACATACTTGTCAAAACTTCTGACAATTTGTAGTGAGACTGGAAAAGATAGAGAATTTTCCTCTCAACAATTGTATTGTGCATTTAATTGTTGTCATTTTGTGTGCCCAGGGGAATATGCATTGTGTCTAAAAACAGAATTTAGAACTGCTTCCTGTTGCTAGTAGCCCTCAAGAAATGCTTACTGAAGTCCTGAAATCAAATCACCAATTCCCTTCAAATTGCCTGTTTTCTTAAATTGTATTTTTGGTTAATAATACGACTTATTTCTTCATTTAGTTTTGAGTCTTCACTTTCTCTCAATTCTCATATTTAGGTGACAGTTCTTTTGGTTTTCTTTTACACCCATTCCTTCCTATTGTTGTCTCTACCATACTTAAAAACAAAATATATGCAATGCCCACTGGGGGATGAATGAAAAAATAGGAAATTCAATATTTTGAGTCTCTGCAAAATCCTTTTTATTCATTCACTCATGCAAAAATATTGGAGCAAACTGTGTGCAAGATATCACACTAGGTGCTTAAGGATGCTACAGAGATGGTCGCATCATAGTCTCTTCCCCTTATGGGTTGGTGGGTTAGACAAGGCATTCCTAATAATTAATTTTAACAGTGTATGCTATAAACATAATGGGAAGGTTACCAACAAATTATGGTTTCAAATAGGGAAAGATTATTTTTTGGCTGGTGTCACAAGGGAAATGGTGCCTGAACCAACATTTCAATGATAAAAAGGAGAGAAGGAAGCTCTTTTGAGAAGAGAAAAATAATGGAGAAATAGATATCCAAGGACATGTTTGCAGACGGATGCAATCAGTGCCTATCTATGTCTGGAAGAACATTAGTTGAACAGTGGAAGGGAGCTGAAACATGAAATTTGGCTGGATGGGCGAATTCATTTATGGGTGAATGCATTTGTCAAAGAATGAAGAACTATGCACGGCTTCCTTGTAGGGGATTAGCATAATTAAAGCAATATTACAGCAACTTGAACTCAGTGTCAGTATATAGTACTGAGGATAGGAAAACTCTGGGCATCCAAGTAGAGGACAGTTGCAATAGTCTAATTGAGGAATAAACTAGAATGAAAGTTGACATTCTTGGCTCTAAGATTACAAAAATTAAAAAGAGATACTTAAAGTAATATAAGAAAAATACTTGCATGCATTTATTTATTCCCATGTATTCCTTGAACAGTTTTTGAATATTTACCATGTGCCAGACCATATGACTACCAGAGTTTGGGAGAGAAATGACATGGTGATTTTGCCTCCAAGGAGCTCGTGGTCTAAGAAGGGAGACTGAAAAATAACCCGACAGTTACATACTTTCAGAGGATCTTTCTTTTTTTTTCCAGTAGAGACATACATTTTCTGTAACAATTCTCAATTTTTTTTCACCCTTGGGGCTGTGCTTAATAGTGTTTAGTTATCAACTGACCGGTCAGGATCAGGGTAAAGTCTGTGATGTGCTATCTATGTAAAGGAGTTGTGTCCCTTAGTCAATTTAACCTGTATTTTTCAGATCCTATTTACTGCCTCAGGCTTATCAGCTGCTGTTTAGCTAAAGATAAAAGAATCCAGAAAGCCAAGGATAAAAGAAAGTGAAAAAGTAAGCAGGACACCTTGCAGGCACACCTAATTGGCTAACTTCCAACATATCCTCAGGCTTCTCAAGCTTTGATGAATCTAAGATCTTGTTTTCAGGGACTGAATGTCTTTCAGATGGATGATAGATCATCTTGCCAGAATGAGAGAGAGAGAGAGAATGAATAGAATGAGCCCCCTTAGCCTGCTCCTGCCATCATTTCACTTTATTTGAACAGCGATCAACTGATGAAGAGGGCTTAGGCTTCTAAAAAAGAAGGAAGAAATGTTTCCTTATTACTTAGTCATCTTTGGGCATGTCAGCAACACCGAGAGCAGTTGCCAAATAAGATGATTTAGCAGGTGCAAAGGAGTTTATAACTGCAATTTCCACCCTTTCCCCCAAAAAGTAAATGATGACTCAGACACCAGCAGTATCTCAGCATAAATGAGATTCTCTGGGTACTTCTTCCTGTTTGCTCATTGGTAGAAGATGGAGCTGAGTGTTGCATTGGCTGTGTTTATGAGATGTGCTGAAGTATGTAAAAAGGGCATAAATAAATGCCAGGCACATAGTAGGTGCTCAGTTAGCTTTTATGGAAGGTGTAGTGTGTATTCTTCATTCATATGCCTTGAAGCTTTTCAACTGCCTTCTCAACCATTGCAGATACACAAAAGAACAAAAGAGATATTGTAATGAAAAGAAAGCAAAATTGAAAAAGGCCCCAATAATTATGCGGGGTCACAGTTGTTAAGACTGCAACCTTGTAAAATAAGTCATGAAATATCTATATGTATCTATATATTACATGTGACATACACATGTGATATAAATTTGCCTTTTTATGAAAACATTTTATGCTGAAAAAATATTGAATCACTTTTCCCCAAATTCAAGTGCATTCCTAACATAGTAGTCACTGGGTAAGATCAATCTCATAAATGAATTCATTTCCTTTTTCTTTCTTTTTGCTATTGGACCAAATATTAGATAAATTCAATAGGTCAATTTTGGACTTTTTTTTACATGTTAACTCAAGTGATACATCTTACTAATTTTTTTCTTTATAAAAAACAGATTAGTGTTTTGAAAATTTAATGCCTTCTCTAATTATTAATATTTGACTTTTGGTTTCAATTCTTTAGACATACTTTTTTGCCCAGATATTTTTTTAGCCTGATCTTTAAAGTTAAAGCAATTGTAAATTAATTTAAGTGAGAATATAAAATCACAAGACTTAAAAAGGACCTTCAGAAGTTGTTTAATCCCAATTCTATTTATCCAAAAGGATCACAGAATTGGATATGCAGGTTATATAGCTCTTCAGCAGTGTGTAGGATATTCTGACTTTCTAATTATAATTGAAACCACTGTCAGTATTCCTGTTTCAAAACAAAACAACAAAAAAGGACACAATGATATCTGCTTATAAGGGGTTTCTTCTTATTTTGCTGCAGAACTCCTATGGCCAGAACATTTAATTTATACAGATATTACAGCAAACCTATGAGCCTTCAATTAGATTCAGCATTTGTATTCCCCTTAAGTTTTAGTAGGGAGGAGATTTTGTGAGAAATACATTAAAAATGCAGATTCCACTACTGTCCACAGAGATTTTGATTTTGTAGGTTTGGTGAGGAGTTCTGGAGTCTTCAATTTTAGACAACCCTCTCTGGTGCTTCTGAGAAGACTCCTAACACCCGCTGAGAAACAGGGTTTCAAACCTGCTCTTAAGGCAAATCTCACTCAACAGTCATCTTTCCAATGTGCCCTCCTACCTCTCATATTATTAATTTATCTCTGTACAAACATAAACCTCATCAAACTGCATTCTTGTTCAAAAATAAAGGGATACATTTTTGTGGTTTTCGTATTATGTAGCTCCTTCTGAATTTAGAAACTGAATCACTTTGTTTAAAATTTGCATATGGGTGAAGGAATTTCTCATGGAAAATTCAACATTTAGATAAAATAATAAATAATCACCTACTATTCACACTTGACCACCATATTTTAGAAATGGAAGAAGAATCTACAGTTTCTTTAGAAAAGGAGAGTTTTTGGAATAATCTAAAATTTGTGCTGAACTATTTTTAGGTTATTCAAAATATTTAAAACTGATTAAAATCAGCAATATGTCTTTATTGTTTTTGACCTTTCAAAAATCAAATTAGCCTTATTTGAATGAAAATCAATGGGAAGTTGAAATATATGAAGTAAAAGTTGGAAAGATATTTCTTTTTGCCAAAGAACATATAGGGGTGTGTGTAGTTGAAACAAGCCACCACCTGCTATTTGAGAGAATTATAACTGAGCCTTGTCAAACTTCCTGAAAGAAGTATCTCCTGAGTTTTAGAATGTGCTGGACTGGAACTATCCAATGAATGTTGTGCAATGGTAAAACTATTCTCTATCTACGCTGTCCAATATGGGGGGCACTAACCACATATAGCTATGTGGCACTTGAAATATGGCTAGTAAAATAGAAGCACTGACTTTTTAGTTTTATTAAATTTTAATGATTTAAATATGCCCATGTGGCTAGCAGCTTTAGTATTGAATAGCACAGGTCTAGACAATATATTCAGACTTCATTCATAGCCATCTACATAAAACTTACCTATATTAAGCCCATATAAAATTCAAAGTCCTTAAAAATATTCCTGTTTCTTTAAACCATATAACTCAAATTATTTCAGACAATTGGTAGTGGTGAAAAAAAATACCGTAATTGGAATCAGTCTCTACTGGCATTTAGCAGACTTGTCTTTGGGAGAGGCACTTAACCTTTAGGCCTTTATTTTCCTTAGTGGAATAAAGAGGGTCCCCCAAGGTTTCCTCTAACTCCAACACTTTATGATTTACATTAAGAGTGTTTCTAGGTACTAAAAGTGAAGAACACACTTAGTGAGAAATCAAGAACACATTCATTGTTTGAGTGGTGGGGGTTTGTTCCTTTTTCTCTGTACAGATTTTCTTTTCACGGACTTTTCCACTTTCATAATTTCAGTTATTATCTCCATGCAGACACACCCCAGATCTAAATCTCTGCATGTAACCTCTTAAACATACTCTTGTCTTACAGTTACAGTCATCTAAGTTTCTTTTCAGATATTCTACTCTTTAGCTCAATGTAAGCATATCTGTTAGCCTCAATTGTTTCCATCTGCTGAGATGGGGCAGGTGGGGAGCCACAGGTTTATCAGGAAGAATGAGTTCAGTAAATGCCTAGTAGACAGTTTTCAAGCAGAAAAACTGAGAAGGCAGATAAACATGAGACACAGTCAGAGAGGTAGGGGTTAGAGACATACATTAGAATTTCATCAATATACAGAAGGTGTACGTGGGTCTAGAGTGAGTGTAGACAGAAAAGTAGCTTGAAGCAGGAGCCCAGAGGCATTCCAGCATTCAGGTGTGAGCAACTGGAGAAAGTTCCATAGAGTATACTTGGAATGAGCAACCTCTGATCTGAGGAAAATCAGGAGGTATGTTTTTCAGAGGTCAAGTTAAAACAGCTGTCCGTTGTTATCAATTCTCTAGTTTAATGGTTCTCAAACTTGAGTGTATATCACAATCACCTGGAGGGCTTGTTAAACCACAAATTGCTGGGAGCCCACCTACAGAGTTTCTGACTCAGTAGCTCTAGAGTTTGACCCAAGAAATTGCACTTTGATCAGGCTCCAAGTTTGTTCATGCTGGTGCTCATGCTGCTTGTTCAGAGGCTAAAATATGAGAACCACTGTTATCAATCAAAGGTTATCTAACTGTGGTCCACAGAATATTTGTGAGCACCTAATCCATTCTTTAATTTTTATCTATTCAGTAATTTATTGACATGTTATAAAGTTATAGGCATTGTGCTAGGCATGAGGGATGCAGTATCTAGTAGAAGATTTGCATGTAAACATATTATTTATAGTCCAAAGTGTAAGTACAATAGCAGAGGCATGGACAAGGCAAAGCGGCAACATGGGGATGTAAAAGAGGTAAGAGGGGTTTTGAATGGGGACTTTTGAAAAACAGGTGGTGTTTAACTTAGTTATGAGTCAGGATTCTTTAGCTGGTCAAAAGGGGGAAATGCGTTCCAGGGATGAATATGTGCAAAGACATGGAGGGGTGAACACACTAAGCATATTCATGAGATTCAGGGCATTGCAAGGAATTTGACTTATTGGATTATAGAGTTTAAAAAGTAGGGGAAGGAGATGAGGCTAGACTTAGACATGTGTCATTTGCCTTATTGTTTAGCTTTTTCTTAATAGCTCATTGAGTTTAACTTGTTTACAGGTATGAACAATAATATTTATTTGAAAAGCAATATAGATTAAATCATTAGGCCTGTCCTAATCAGAAATTTTAATGACTAATGTATTAAAATCATTTCCCTTAGAAGTGATATAAAAGATAATATGAAAATATATTGTATAATTATATTTATATGAAACATCAAGAAAAGCTAAATCTGTAGAGACAGAAAGCAGATTAGTGGTTGCCAAGGGCAGAGACGAAGGGGAATAGGAGTGACTGCTTAATGGACCTGAGATCTTTATGAGGGGCAGTGAAGATGTTTTGAAACCAGACAGAGGTGATGTTTGCACACCATTGTAAATGAACTAAATGCCTCCCAACTGTGCATTTTAAACTGGTTAATTTTGTGTTATGTGAATTTCTTCTCAATTAAAATATATTAGAATGATTCAAGTTATAATTAAAATGCTCAAAAATTATGTGTCCTGTTAAGAATGCAGATTAGGGCTATTCTAATTTTCATGTATGTCTAGAAAGAAATATCAGGCAATTTAATCTCACAATATAAAGGTTGTTTGTTATTAACCTGGTTGAACACTACAATAGGAATTTTTAATAAATAAAACACAACTGACACTAAATTCAAGAAGCTTAGTATTTTAATGAAGATAAGCTGTTTTTGATGACATTTACTGACTGAAAGGTTATGTATTTTCATCTTGAGCATTCATATCTTAAAATGGCATTGCATTGTTGAATGTAACACTTTTCATGTGACTCACAACCAAAATAAAACGAGTCTAATATTGCAAATGTATAAATTGATTAGGGTCAGATTATCTCAGTACTTAAACTACTTCTAAGAGGAAAGCATTCATTTTTTATTTAAATATTATTATATAAAAATTACAGTAAATTTTAAAATTATGGAAAAGCATACTCATAAATTTATCCAATATGAACACAGCTATTGTTATTTTGTATATTCCCTTCCTTACAGTTTCTTTTTAAATAGCTAGCCTTCTTTTAAAAAGAATCTTATTTTTGGTTCTCTGAGGCAGAAAATTGAGTTTATCATATTCTTTCTCATAGCAGAACATATCAATGTTCTATTCAAGGCCTTTTTTTCTCCTTCATTTCAACCCCACTCTAATTTCACGCCCCCCCACCCCCCTAACTAGCCACTCTTTTTTTTGATATTCATCGAGATGCATACATATACACATTCTGGAAAGATATACAGTGTTGTTTCGTTAATCCATGCTTTTAATTTATATAAATGATATCATACAGATCTCCTTTCACTCCACCCCATGTTCTTTTTTTTTTCTTTTTCTTTTTTTGAGACGGAGTGTCGCTCTGTTGCCCAGGCTGGAGTGCAATGGCGTGATCTCATTTCACTGCAACCTCCACCTCCCGGGTTCAAGTCATTCTCCTGCCTCAGCTTCCCTAGTAGCTGGGATTACAGGCATACGCCACCACACCTGGCTAATTTTTGTATTTTTAGTAGAGATGGGGTTTCGCCATGTTGGCCGGGCTGGTCTCAAACTCCTGACCTCAGGTGATCCACCCACCTCGGCCTCCCCAAGTGCTGGGATTACAGGTGTGAGCCACTGCGCCCGGTCCTTACCCTATATTTTTAAAGTAATTTCTTCATAGCTATCCTTTCTGTTCTTCGATGGCCATTTTGTGTGTTTAATTTCGACTGTTACATTTTTCATGCTGGTTATCTCCAGATACTACCTCCTTATGTCTATTCCTGCTTCATGTTTGGAAGCAGGACTCTCCCTTGTTTCTTTGAGAATATTTATTTTAAATTTTTTACTTAAAATTCTTATTTAATTCAGTCCATTAATTTAGCTTCCTCCATTGCAGAGTATTGAGTTTGTTGTCTTCCTCCTATAGGGCTTCTGCTTCTGCTGAATTTAGGGAGTAGATTTAGGGATGGCACCTTAGGGTGGTGAGCCTCTGATGTTACCACTTGGGCTAGACTACTGCCTCTTCCCATCCTTTCCTCTCTCACTTTTAATGCCCTTGGTGCTATTTCTCATTAATCCACTCCATATCTTTCCCAGGGAATGGTTTTATTCTAAGAGCTGCTTTCTTTGGATTAAATCACCTGGACCAGTGGTTCTATAATGTTTGCACACATTAAAATCATCAGACATGCTTTTTAAAGCACATAAGTTTGGGCCCCAGAGTTTCAATAAGTCTGGGGAGGAGAAAAGTATTTGAATGTCTAACAATGTATGAGATGATGCTGATACTGCTAATCAGGAACCACACTTTGAGAGCTACTGACTTAGACAATGGGATTAAAGAGAGGGAAGAAAACAAATAATTAGGTGTTGGCCCACCTACCTGGCACGTACTCTTTCTTGCTTCCTTTTTTACTGGTTCCGTGATCTATCTCAACTTGGATGTTGCCCTGAGGTCTCTGGTTAGCTCTGGTTAGTCCTCCTGCTGTTATACTGCTAGGAGCTGGCAATTGGTTGGGCTGTGATGCAGGACCACATGAGCTAGGATAAAAGGTATAAGAAGGACATTTTAGTCTATTCATGTTTTTGTACCCCCTTCTACTCCTACAGAACTTTTCCCTTTCCCTCACTGTCCTGCCTGACTTGGGCCTAACCAACTTCTGTTTCCTCAGAGCTTGTTATAGTTTTATGACCTGAAATTAATCAGTCTTCCTCTAATTTGTGCAGATCATTTGTCCAGCACAAGGCAGATCCAACATCTTTTGGTAATTTGATATCTTGTCAGGCATCCTACAATTTCTACATAATTTTTAAAGTATTGCACACTTAGAGTTTTGCAATTTGTTTTTTTGTCTACCTAGCACCTGTCATTGTACCTTATGGTTTATAATTAGGATGCATAATGAGCATAATGATAGAAGAATATAATAATAATACATTACTTGGGTAAACTATAATTCATCTAGTTATCCCCTACTGTTGGACACTTGAGATTCTTTCCGTTGTCTCAACATTATTAATAGCATTAAGTGGATAAATTTTTTTAAGTACAAATGTACATTACTGTGCACTTTCCTTGTTTTGTTGTTTCTCAGTATTCTGAAAGAGTTAGGGCAGCTTCTGAAAGTGCTGTAAGTTATAGGAGAATCTGGTTCTTTGTGTCTGATTCATTTTCTATGTGGGTGGTGTACTGCCTTAACCTTGTCACTGACAGAAAAGTTCAGATTTCATTCTCATACTGTAAAGAGAAAAGAAGTTTGTCCTTGAAGTTCTCTCTGACTGAAGTATTTGCCTTTAGACAATGATTGTCTACACTCTTCCATCAACACTCTGGTACTTGTTCGTGTCAGTTCTCCTTTGAATTGAAATTGTAATTTCCTTTGTTCATCTGGGCTATTTTTAAACTATGGCAGATCTTATCTGAAAGGCAAAAGTTATGCTCCAGATTAATCCTGTCCAGATTTGATAGTGATCATTATACTGTTCAGTGCAACTGAAGCAATCAAATGAAGAAAGAACACTTCTTTTCTAACTTATTTGGCCAAAATGAATGTTCAGATAACATAATTTTAGTTTTTATATAGACCCATAGTATTTTGGAAAGCAGCATCTGAAAATAGTTAATGAATCATCATGGGAGCTTGAGAATTGTTGATTTAAAAAAGGATGTGAGCAGTCCTTAAGTCAATCTCCTACCCCAAAGCAAAACTTATCTATAGTGTGCTAATGGTCTATCAGTTTTGATCAGAGCCCTTTCATGGCTGGAAGATCCCCACCTTGTTAGACAGCCCATTATTTTTGGACAGCTGAAATTAAAAGTTCTCTATTTTTTTAAAATTAATGCCTGTCCTTTTAAAATCTACTTAAAGATACACTGGCTTCCTTTTGAAGTGATACAGAAAAAAGTATATTTCTCCTCATCATAGTCCTTCGAATACTTGAAGACGTCTATTTGGTCTTCTTTTAGTGTTTTCTCTCCTCTTTGAGATAAACATCTTTAGGCCATCCAGGAATTTTTTTTTTCTGTTTCCTTTTTTCTTTTGTTTTTAAAAAAACATTATGATGCTTATACCCCTAATCATCTCAAATGCTTTCCTGGATATTTTCCAATTTGTCCATATTCTTAAAATAATGGTGCTAGGGAGAACATAGTGGCTGCAAGACACAGTGGAACCACTTTCTGTTCCTGTGGCCTTGACTTGAGATATGTTGCTTTACAAGTATCTTAGAGGCATTGTCCAAAATTATTATCATGTGGTATTTCTCTGTGATATATCTAGAGGTATATATTATTTCTGGTGGTCTTATGTCAGAACACAGTTGCTGAGAGATGGCACATTTATTGTGAGATAACATTTAAATTGATCATAACTGTTTTATGAGGGCATATTAATAAAGCCATAGTGATTTCGATAGGAATACAGTTTATAATGATAGATGAAAAGATAATCATTTATACCTGAGAGCTAATCTTTAATTGCAGCTTCAATTTAATGGCCAATAATGGGAGAAAAATCAAATAGAAAAATTAATTTTTAAATATGCTACAACTAGAAAAATAGCCAGTGTTGTCTTTCTAAAATATTTGTAAAGAATCTGACTTACTCTGACAGAATCTTACACATCATACCCTCCTAAACCATACAGGTGACTGACCTCCTAATTCGTCCCACCTACCTGGGAATCACTTGTAATTTGAAGTATTAGTTGAGAGGTGATTCTACTTTTTTTTAAACTTATTTATTTCTTTTTTTCCTAGTTCCTACGCTACACAGATAATCATTTTGATAATTTTAAACATCTTGATTAGATTCAGTCTATTTAAAAGAAAATAAAAGTAGTTAATGACATTTATTATTCAAATTAGTCACAAGAGTCAATCTACTATCCTTTGAAGATATAAAAATAAAAATTATGGTATACTAAGTGGCTAGTATTTTTAATATAAATAATTATATCTTAAGATTTTTTAATTGTTAAATTTACATACAAAACTATATAACTACCTTTTTGTGGTTTTGCTAAGCATAAACAATGCATTGCTCAGTTTTTCCTATTTTGGACCTTGGTATAAATACCATGATGTTTTATATATTTTTCTATTTTCTAGCTGCTTTTGTTCAATAGTATGTTCATGTGATAGAGCCACATGGATGTGCATGGTGTAGTTCATTTATTTTTATTTTTATTTCTATTCTTTTTTTCTTTTTGACGGAGTCTCACTCTGTCACCCAGGCTGGAGGGCAGTGGTGTGATCTTGGCTCACGGCAAGCTCCGCCTCCCGGGTTCACGCCATTCTCCCGTGTTCACGCCATTCTCCCGCCTCAGCCTCCCGAGTAGCTGGGACTACAGGCGTCCGCCATCACACCCAGCTAATTTTTCGTATTTTTAGTAGAGACGTGTTAGCCAGGATGGTCTCTATCTCTTGACCTCGTGATCCGTCCGCCTCGGCCTCCCAAAGTGCTGGGATTACAGGCGTGAGCCACCGCGCCTGGCCTTTTATTTCTATTCTTTTAGTAGTCTAGAAGAGGACTGCCATTTATTTTTAATGCTGTGTCGGTATGTTACAATTTATTTATTCAACTTGCTGTTGATGTATAATTAGCTTATTCATAATTTTTGCTTTTTTATTTGTTTTTTAATCTATTATAGGTAATGCTGCTAGAAATATTCTTCACGTGTCAAATGGTGCACCGATGCAAGAGATTTCTACCACGTAAACCCAAAACTGAAGTTGCTGTATTGTAAGGTATGTGAATGTTTTACATTAGTAGATTTGCCTAAACCATTTTAAAGTAATTATATCAGGAATATGTGAAAGATCTTCTTACTCTTTGCAAATACTAGGTTTCATCAGGCTTTAGGTATTTTTGCCAACTGAAGGATGTCCCGTACTTCATTCTGATTTTAATTTGTAAATCTCTGATTACTGAGATTCAGCATATTTTCAAATGTTTATTGGTCATTTGATTGTCCTTTTTTTTTTCTTTCCAACTTTTAGTTTAGGTTCAGGGTCCATGTGCAGGTTTGCTATATGGGTCAATTTTGTGTCATGGGGGTTTAGTGTTCAGATTATTTCACCACCCAGCTAATAAGCATAGTACCCAATAGGTAGTTTTTCGATCCTCACACTCCTCCCCCCTTCTCAAGTAGGCTGTGGTGTCTGTTGTCCCCTTCTTTGTGTCCACGTGTACTCAATATTTAGCTCCCACATATAAGTGAGAATGTGTAGTGTTTGGTTGTCTGTTCCTGCATTGATTTGCTTAGGATAATGGCCTCTAGCTCCATCCATTTTGCTGAAAAGGATATAATCTCATTCTTTTTTATGGCTGCATTTATTCCATGGAGTATATGTACCAGATATATACATTTTATGTATTTTATTCAGTCTACCATTGATGGGAATTTATGTTGATTCCATGTCTTTGCTGTGGTGAATAGTGCTGTGAGAAACATATACATGCATGTGTCTTTATGATGGACCATTTTATATTTCTTGGGGTATATACCCAGTAATGGGATTGCTGGGTCAAATGGTAGTTTGTGTTCTTTGAGAAATCTCCAAACTGCTTTTCACAGTGGCTGAACTAATTTAAATTCCCACCAGCAGTGTATAAACATTCCCTTTTCTTTGCAACCTCACCAGCATGTTATTTTTTGTGATTGTCCTTTCTTTAAAGTTCTTGATTAGATTTTCTTTTCTCTTTATAATTCATAGACTTAAAAATAATATTCTTGATATTAATTCTTTATTGTTATGAATGTCACACATATACATTGCTAATAAAATATTTACTACATTAAAGATTTTTGAATTTAAGATCATAATTTTAATGCAATTGAATTACTTCAATCTTTTCTCTTTTGGTCAGTGCATTTTGAATATTGAGTCCTTTTCAAAATTTATTCTTTACCCTGAGGGTGTGAAAATAATCTCTATTTATTATATTCTAAAAGCTTTATTGCTTTGCCTTCAATTGCTACATGTTTTTGAATGCCAGGTATTATATCCATCTATGTTATATGTGGACAAATTAAAACAAGAAAATATTCCCATTTATTTGTTCTAAACATAGAACATTTTGTATTTTTGAAAAAGATCTACTGTTCTTTTTAGTGTTTAAAAACACAATTTATAATTGTAATCTGTTTCTGAGGTGTTTCTAACTTTTCTGTATGTGGGTTTTAACTGCTTAGAAAAGAATTCAAATAAATACTTAATTCTCTTAATACCTATTGTTCTATTTCACAGCACCCAAAAATTTCTGGATTGTGCTAGGACACAGTATCTCCACATCGAACAGAACACTTTCTTCCCTGAATATTTCAGGACATTAAAGTATCGTTCTGTCAGGTACACACAAACACTTTCTAGAATCACATTGACAGCCAGAACATCTGACAACTGGTGTCCCTACTGGAGGAGAACTTCTCATTATTTTAATCTTTATATTCAGGTGATGATGAATAATATTCTCTTATTCTGTAAATATAGAATAATATTCTCTATACAGAATTAGAATTAGCATTTAAGTTCATGAAAACATATCTCATAAGAGGTAAACAACAGGTTTAGTATGGTCTTTTAAATTTTGGTATTGTGTCTAATAATACTTTGCCTTACTGAAGGTCACAAGCATTTTTTCCTAGTTTTTTTTTTTTATAGAATTTTAAAGTTTCAGTTGTTACATTTAGTCGGTGATCCATTTTGAGTTCATTTCTTTTGTGTATGGTATAGGAAGGGGTCCAACTTTATTCTTTCACATATGAATATTCATTTGTTCCAGCATAATTTGTTGAAAAGACAATTCCCCATTACATTGTTTGGGTACCCTTATTGAAAATTAACTATAAATTTAAGAGTTTATTTCTGAACTCTTCTATTTCACTGATCTATATGTCTATTTTTATTATCATACTATCTGAATACTTTGGTTTTGCTCTAAGTGTGAAATCAGTCAATGTGAGTCTTCCACTTTTGTTCTTCTTTTTCAAGAGTGTTCTAGTTATTCTTGATCTGTTGTGTTTCCATTTTAATTTAAGGATAGGCTTATAAATTCTCAAAGGAAATTAGCTGGGATTGTGATAGAGATTGTATTGAATCTATAGATCAAATTGGGACTATTGTCATCTTACAATATTAAGCTGTCTGATTCATAAACGTGGATGTCTTAATTCGAGCACTGTTTTATAGTTTTCAGAGTACAAATGTGTACTTCTGTTAAATTTGTTCCTAGGTATTTTATTTTTTTTGATGCTACTGTAAATAAAATTGTTTTATTAATTTCACTTTCAGATTGTCCATTGCTAGTGTATAAGAGCAATTGATTTTGTGTTATGACACTGCTGAACTCATTTATTAGTTCTAATCATTTTTGTGGGTTCCTTTGTGTTTTCTATATACAAAATTATGCCATCTACAAATAGAGATAGTTTTAACCTTTCTTTTCCTACCTGGATGCCTTTTATTTTTTCTTGCCCTATTGTCCTGGCTAGAATTTCCAGTACAATATCGAATAGACGTGGCAAAAGTAGACATCTTGTGTTGTTCCCGCTCTTAGAAGGAAAGCATTGTCCTTCATTATTAAGCATGCTGTTAGCTATGGGTTTTTTCTAGATGCTGTTTATCAGATTGATGAAGTGTCCATCTATCCTCCTTCACTGAGTGTTAAAACATCATGAAACGGTGTTGAATTTTGTCAAATGCTTTTTCATACTATGAAATAAGAATATTTTCCCCTTTATTATATTGATGTGGTATGTGACATTAATTGATATTCAGATGTTACAGCAACCTTGAATTATTGTGGCAAATGCCACTTAGTCATGCTATATGTTTCTTTTTAATGTTGTTAGATTCAGTTTGCTAGTGTTTTTTTGAGGAGTTTTACATATATATTCATAAAAGATATTGGTTGGTAGTTTAAAAATATTTTTAATTTTTGTGGATCCATAGTAGGTGCATGTATTTATGAGGTACATGAGATATTTTGATATAGGCATGCAATACATAATAATTGCATTATGGAAAATGGGGTATCCATCCCCTCCAATTTTTATTTTTTGTGTTACACCATATCCAGTTGTACTCTTTTAGTTATTTTTAAAATAACTATTTTAAATAGTTTTTTAAAATAACTATTTAAAATAGTTATTTTTATATTTTTATAAAATATAAAATAATTTATATAAATTAATTTATAAAATATAAAATAATTTATATAAATTAATTTATAAAATATAAAATAATTTATATAAAATATAATTTATATAAAATAATTTTAAATAATAAATTATTATTGACAATAGCCACCCTATTGTGCTATCAAATAGAAGGTCTTATTCATTCTTCTATTTTTTTGTACCCATTAACCATCCCAACCTTTCAACCACTCCATTACCACCCTACCAGTGTCTGGTAATCATCCTTCTACTCTCTATCTCCATGAAATCAATTGTTTAGATTTTTAGATCTCAAGAACATGTGATTTTGGTCTTTCTGTGCCTAGCTTATGTCACTTAACATAAAGGCTTCCAGTTCCATCCGTGTTGTTGCAAATGACAGGATCTCATTCTTTTAATGGCTGAATAGTACTCCATTGTATATAAGTACCACATTTTTCTTATCCATTCATTTGTTGATGAACACTTAGACTGCTTTCAAATCTTGGCTATTGTAAACAGTGCTGCAGCAAACATGAGAGTGCAGATATCTCTTCGATATATTGATTTCCTTTCTTTCAGGTATATACACAGCAGTGGGATTTTTGGATTGTATGGTACTCCTATTTTTGGTCTCTTGAGGAACCTCCAAACTGTTCTCCATATTCATTGTACTAATTTACATTCCCATCAACAGTGTACAAGTGTTCCCTTTTCTTCACATCTTTGCCAGCATTCGTTATTGCCTGTCTTTTGGATATAAGCCATTTTAACTGAGGTGAGATGATATCTCATTGTAGTTTTGATGTGCATTTCTTTGATGATCATTGATATTGAGCAGCTTTTCATATGCCTGTTTGCCTTTTGTATGTCTTCTTTTGAGATATGTCTATTCAAATCTTTTACCCATTTTTGATTGGATTATTACATTTTTCTCTGTAGAGTTGTTCGAGCTCCTTACATATTATGGTTATTAATCCCTTGTCAGATGGGGTAGTTTGCAAATATTTTCTCCCATTCTGTGGGTTGTCTCTTAACTTTTTTCATTATGCAGACACTTTTTAACTTGGTGTTATCCCATTTGTCCATTTCTGCTTTGGTTGCCTGTGCTTGTGGAGTATTACTCAAAAAATGTTTGCTGAGACTAAAATCCTGGAGAGTTTCCCCAATATTTTCTGGTATTGGTTTCATAGTTTGAGAGATTTAAGTTTTTAATCCATTTTGATTTGATTTTTGTATATGGCAAGAGATAGGAGTCTAGTTTCATTTTTCTGCATTGGTTATCCAGTTTTTCCAGGACCATTTATTGAAGAGACTGTCTTTTCTCCAACATACATTCTTGGCACTTTTGTTGAAAATAAGTTCACTGTAGTTGTGTGGATTTGTTTTTGGGTTCTCTCTTCTGTTCCATTGGCCTGTGTGCCTGTTTTTATGCCAGTACCATATTGTTTTGGTTACTAGGCTCTGCAGTATAATTTGAAGTCAGGTAATATGATTCCTCAAGTTTTGTTCTTTTTGCTTAGAATAGCTTTGGCTATCCTGGATCTTTTTGTAATTCCATATAAATTTTAGGACTCTTTTTTCTATTTCATTGAAGAATGTTATTGGCATTTTGATAGGAATTGCATTGAATCTGTAGATTACTTTGGGTAGTATGGACATTTTAATACTATTGATTCTTCTAATCCGTGAACCTGGAATATCTCTCCATTTTTTGGTGTCCTCTTTAATTTCTTTCATCAGTGTTTTATAGTTTTTATTATATAGATCTTTCATTTCTATAGTTAATTCCTAGGTATTTAATTTTATTTGTGGCTATTGTCAATAGAATGACTTTTTAAATTTCTCTTTCAAATTGTTCACTTTTGGCATACAGAGATGATACTGATTTTTGTATGTTGATTTTGTATCCTGCAACTTTACAGGATACAAAATCAACAGGATACATTTGTTTATAAGTTCTAATAGTTTTTTTGGTGAAGTTTTTAGGTTTTTCCAAATATGAGATTATATCATCAGCAAACAAGGATAATCTGACTTCTTCCTTTCCAGTTTGTATGCCTTTTATTTCTTTCTCCTGTTTGCCCTAGCTAGGAACTCCAGTACTACGTTGAATAACAGTGGTGAAAGTGGGCCTCCTTTTCGTGTTCCATATATTAGAGGAAAGGCTTTTAGCCTTTCCCAATTCAGTAAACTAGTTGTGGGTCTATTATATACGACTTTTATTATGTTGAGGTGTGTTCTTTCTATACTAAGTTGTTTTTAGGGTTTTTATTAGGAAGGGATGTTGAATTTTATCAAATGCTTTTCAGCATAAGTTGAACCGAAGGATCTATGTTCTTCATTCTGTTGATATGATATATCACATTGATTAATTTGCATAGGTTGAACCATTCTTGCATTTCAGGGATAAATCCCACTTGGTCATGATGGATGATCTTTTTTTAATGTATTGTTGAATTCAGCTTGCTAGTATTATGTTAAGGATTTTTGCATCAATATTCATCAGAAATACTGGCCTGTAGGTTTCTTTTTTGATGTGTCTTTGTCTGGTTTTGGTATCAGGGTAAAATTGGCCTTGTAGGATGAGTTTGGAAGTAGTCCCTGTTTTTCAGAATAGTCTGAGTACAAATAGTTTGTTATTAGTTCTTCTTTAAATGTTTGGTAGAATTCCATAGTTGAAGCCATTAGATACAAAGATTTTCTTTACTGGGAGATTTTTTTATGACAGCTTCCATCTCATTACTTGCTATAGGTTTGTTTAGGTTTTGGGTGTCTTCACAGTTAATTCTTGGTAGGTTTTATGTGTCTAGGAATTTATCCATTTCCTCTAGATTTCCCAGTTTATTGACATATAATTGCTTGAAGTAGCCAATAATGATCCTTTGAATTTCTGAAGCATCAATTGTAATGTTTCCTTTTTCATCTTTGATTTTATTTATTTTGATCATCTTTCTTTTTTTTTCTTCATTAGTCTGGCTAAAGGTTTGTCAAATTTGCCTCACTTTAAAAAAACAATTTTTTGTTTCAATGATCTCTTGCATTTTTTTCAGTTCAATTTCAGATTTTTTTCTGCTCTGGTTTTATTATTTCTTTTCTCTCACTAATTTTGAGTTTGGTTTGCTCTTGTTTTTCCAGTTCTTTAAGATGCATTGTTAGGTTGTTTATTTGAAGTTTTTCTTATTTTTTGATGTAAGCTCTTATAGCTACAAACTTTCCTTATAGTACTGCTTTTGCTGTATCTCACAGGTTTTGGTTTGTTGTGTTTCCATTATTATTTGTTTCAAAAAATTTTCAATTCCCTTCTTAATTTCTTCACTGGCCATTCAGGAGCATATTGTTTAATTTCCATGTGTTTGTATAGTTTCTAAAACTCCTCTTGTTATTGATTTGTAGTTTTATGCCGTTGTGGTCAGTGAAGATGCTTGATATTATTTCAACTTTTAAATGTTTTAAGACTTGTTTTGTGATCTACCATGTGGTCTATCCTTGAGAATGATCCATGTACAGTGGAAAAGAATATGTATTCTGTAGTCATTAGATAAAACATTCTGTAAATATCTATTAGGTCCATTTTGTCTACAGTGCAGATTAAGTCCAATGTTTCTTTGTTGATTTTCAGTCTGGGACATCTATTCAACGCTGAAAGTGGGGTGTTGAAGTCTCCAGCTATTATTGTGTTGAGGTCTATCTCTCTGTGTATCTCTAATGATATTTGCTTTATATATATGGGTGCTCCAGTGTTGGGTGCATATATATTTAATATCGTTAGGTCCTCTTGCTGAATGGACTTCTTTATCATTACATAATGTCCCTCTTCGTCTCTTCTTAAAGTTTTTGTCTCAAAAGCTTTTTTTTTTCTCATATATGTACAGCAACTATTTCTATTTTTTGGTTTCCTTTGGCATGGAATATCTTTTTCCCTCCTTTTATTTTCAAACTACGTGTCTGTATAGGTGAAGTGTGTTTCTTGTAGGCCACAGGTCAATGGGTCTTATTTTTTCATTCATTCAGTCACTCTATGACTTTTGATTGGATAATTTCATCCATTAAATTCAGTATTATTATTGATAAGTAGAGTATTACTCTTGTCATTTTGTTATTTGTTTTCTGGTTGTTTTGCGGTCTTCTCTTCCTTCATTTTCTTCCCTCCTGTCTTCTTTTAGGGAAGGTGACTTTCTCTGGTGGTATAATTTAATTTCTCACTTTTGTGTTTTGTGTATCCATTGTATGTTTTTTGATTTGGGGTTCCTATGAGGCTTTCAAATACTATCTTATAACCCGTTATTTTAAACGGATGAGAAGTTAACACTGATTACATAAGCAAATACACACACCCACACACATGCTTACATACAAACACACACACACACACATGCACAAGAAACCAATAAAAACTCCACACTTTAACCTTGTCTCCCTATTTTTAAACTTTGTGTTGTTTCTCTTTGTTTTATTGTACTGTCTATGTCTTGAACAATTATAGTTATTATTTTTATTGGTTCCCTAATCCCTAACCCTGTAAGTCTTTCTACTTAAAATAAAAGTAGTTTACACGCCACAATTACAGTGTTATAATATTCTGCGTTTTTCTGTTTGTTTACTTTTACCAGCAAATTTTTTACCTTCTGATGATTTATTCCTGCTTATTAACATCCTTTTTCTTCAAAATGAATAACTCTCTTTAGCATTTCTTATAAGACTGGTCTGGTGTTAATGAAATCTCTCAGCTTTTGTTTGTCTGGGTGGGTCTTTATTTCTCCTTCATGCTTGAAGGATATTTTCACTGGATGTACTATTATAGGATAAAAGTTTTTTCCTTCAGAACTTTAAATATGTCATGTCACTCTCTCCTTGCCTGTAAAGTTTCCACTGAAAACTCTGCAGCAAGACATATTAGAGCTCCCTTGTATGTTATTTGTTTCTTTTCTCTTGCTGGTTTTAGGGTTCTTTCTTTATCTGTAAACTTTGAGAGCTTGATTATGAAATGTCTTGAAGTAGTCTTCTTTGAGTTAAATCTGCTTGGAGTTCTATAACCTTCTTGTATTTGAATGTTGATATCCTTCTATAGGTTTGAGAAGTTCTTTAATATTATCTCTTTGAATAAACTTTCTACACCTATCTCTTTCTCTACTTCCTCTTAGATTTGCTCCTTTGAGGCTATTTTCTAGTTCTTATAAGAGTGCTTCATTTTTTTTTTGATTCAGAGTCTTGCTTCATTTTTTTAATTCTTTTTTCTTTTTTTATTTTCTGACTATTTTCAAACAGCTTGTCTTCAAGCTCCCTTATTCTTTTTTTCTGCTTGGTCAGTTCTGCTATTGACTGATGTGTTCTTCAGCATGTCAATTGCATTTTTCAACTCCAGAATTTCTGCTTCTTTTTAATTATTTTGATCTCTTTATTAATGTTAAATGATATAATTCTGAATTCCTTCTTTGTGCTATTGAATTTTGAATTCTTTCTTTGTGCTATCTTGAATTTTTTGAGTTTTCTCAAAACATCTATTTTGAATTCTCTGTCACAAAGGTCACATATACGTTTCTCCAGGATTGATCCCTGGTGCCTTATTTAGTTCATATGGTGAGATCACGTATTCCTGGATGGTGCTGATGCAAGTATTCTTTGGTGTCTGGTCATTAAAGAGTTAGGTTTTTATTGTAGTCTTCATAGTCTGGGCTTGTTTGTGCTCATCCTTCTTGAGAAGGCTTTTGAGGTATTTGAAGGGAATTGGGCCCTAAACTCAATGTCACTGTGGTTTTTGCAGACTCATAGAGGTACTCTCTTGGTGGTCTTGGATAAGATCTGGAAGAATTATCTGGATTACCAGCAAAGACTTGTTCTTTTCCCTTACTTTCTCCCCCAAAGTGAAGTTTGTCTCTGTCTGTGCTGAGTTACCTGGAACTGGGGGTGTGGTGATGGCACGCACCCTTGGGGCCACCACCACTGGGACTGTGCTGGGTTAGGCCTGAAGCCAGCACAGCACTGGGTCTCACCTAAGGTCTACTGTAACCACTACCAGGCTACTGCTTATGTTGACTCAAAGCCTTAGGGCTCCACAATTAGCAGCTGGTGATGTCAGCCAGTTTTGTGTTCTTCCCTCCAGGATAGAGAGTTCCCCCAGGTACCGACTGGGTTCAGAGATGCTATCTGGTGGCCAGAAATTGGTGTCAAAAACCTTAGAAATTTACCTGTTGTTCTGTTCTACAGTGGCTAAACTGGAACTCAAACCATAATACAAATCCTTCCTGCTCTTTCCTCCCCTTTCCAAAGGGAGAGGAGCCTCTCTCTATGGCTACCATCACCACTGGCCCATGGTGGAGTTCTGCCAGGCCATAGCCGATGTTCCATAAATCTCAGTGGCTCTTTTGTCAGCTTATGGTAAATGCTGCCAGGCTTGGGTCTCACCCTTCAGAGCAGTGGGCTCCACTCTGGTCCAGGACAGGTCCCAAAATACTGTCCAAGAGCATCAGCCTGGACTTGTGGATCCCAAGAGACTGCTTGTTGCTCTACCCCACTGTGGCCAAGCTGGTACCTGAGGTGCAAGACACAGTCCCCTTTTCTTTTTTCTTTGCTTTTCTCCAACAGAAAGAGTCTCACCATAATCACCACAGCTAAGAATGTGCTGGGTCATACTGTAAGTCAGCACTTCTCAGAGCCCAAGGCCATGCTACCTGGGTATAACTACTTGTTATTCAGGACCCAAGCGCTCTTTTGTCAGCAGGTGATTAATCCTGCTAGGTCTGGGTCCTTCCCTTCAAGGCAGCAGTTCTACTTTTGGCCCAGGGTGTGTCTAGAAATGTAATCCACGAGCTGGGCTTGGCAGAGCCTCACGACTCTGCCTTATCCTACTGCAGCTGAGCTGGTATCCAAGATACAAGACAAAGTCCTCTTTACTGTTTGCTCTCCTCTCCTTAAGCAGAAGGAGGGAGTCACTTTCTTTGCCACAAGCTGCACTGTCTGGGCCTGGGGCAGGGGTAGCGCAAGCACTCCCTTAGCCACCCCGACTGGTGTCCCCCTAGGTCATGTGCCACACTAGTCCACTGTCTCTGAGTCCAGTCTAGCACTAAGAGTTGCCTAAGATTGCAGCCCTTGTGTCCTAGGCTGCTTTTCAAGCCTAGGAACCCAGAGCACTTTGGCCCATGTGGCAAGGCTTGCTGAGAAGCTCAAGTTCCAGCTGCTGGAATGGGTGATTTCCCTCTGTCTGGGTCTGGTTCAAATGCTCCTTCTGTGCATGGGTGCTGACTGAGCCCAGCATGGCGTTGCTCTCAGCCATGACAGGACCGCAGTGCTTTCAATGTAAAGTCCTCTCTGTACTCTCCCTCCTCCAGGTGCACAGACTCTTTCTGCACTGTAGGACCTCTGCTGGAAGATGAGGGAGGGGTGGTATAGGCAATTTAAGACTGTCTCTTCTATCCTTTACAATGCCTCTTTCAGCAATATGAAGTAAAATCTAGGTACTGTGATTGCTCACCTGATTTTTGGTTCTTGTCACAGTACTTTCCTATGTGCACATAGCTGTTAAAATTTGGTGTTCTTTCAGGGGCCACAAACAGTGCAAGCTTTTATTCTCCCGTCTTGCTCTGCCACCTGGTTGGTGGTTTTCTTGTGATGTCTTCATCTGGTTTTGGTATCAGAGTAATATTGATCTCATAGAATAAGTTGGGAAGTATACTCACCTTTTATTTTCATCACATCTATTCTCATCACTTCTATTTTTTGGAAGAGCTTGTGAAATATTGGTATTAATTCTTCTCTAAATGTTTGATAGAATTAACCAGTGAACTCATCTGGGCTATTCTTTGTGATAAGTTTTAAAAGTAATTCAATATCTTTGCTTGTATAGGTCTATTTAGACTTTGAACTTTATCTGGAGTCAATTTTAGTAGTTTCTGTCTTTATAGGAATTTGCAAATTTCATCTAAGTTATCTAATTTGTCAGTGGATTAACTCTTATGGGGTATTTTCTTTATGGTATTTTGAAGTTAAATGAGGGTACCCAACAGTTAACTGGAGTGAGGTTTGGTTAAAAATATACCAAATCAAGCCTAAGAGCCTAAACTGCTATAATCCCATTATGCCTGTGTATTGCCCCCTGTCTTTAGAAACTACAGTCTCTACTACTCCAGGCTCTGCAGAGGATGACCAAGGGGGCAAGTTGAGGTGCTTATGATCAGTCTCTGCTTGGGAGGTTTCTTTTTGTTATTCTTTTTCTAAGGCTTATGTCAAGGATTTCCTGATTCCCATAATTATACAAGACTCCAGAGAACCAGTTTTAATGACCAGAGTAGGCTGGGTGAAGACAAAACATCTATGGTGCTGTCTTTGTGGAAGATGGCTTATTTTCATCAGCCTTCTCATGCAAGGCATAGATAGCTTTTTGGGTTACAGAAATGCATTTTACACAGCATTAGCCTCTAGTATGGCTTACAGATGTGGAGGATGCAGATCAATCTCATCACCATGGACACTTAAGGGATGAGAATAGGTGATTTTCATTATGGATTTTAATCTCATTTCAGTTGTGTTGACTTTACTAGGAGTGGCTCTAATGTGAAAGTTGACCATAGTTCTTAAGAGTCAGGCCTGAAATGGAATTTACAGGAGGACTTGTCATGAATGGAGTTAATTCTAGGCCTAAGGCAGAAATTAGAAATACTATGTACTGGCTCTAAGGCAAATAAGATGTCCCTAAGGCAGAAATTAGAAATACTATGTACTGGCTCTAAGGCAAATAAGATGTCCCATGAGCACCTACTATACTCTTTAAAATATTGAAAGCCTAGCCATTCAGAGTGTTGTCAGCAGAGCAGCAGCACTGGAATTACCTGAGAGTTAGAAGTGTAAAAATTCTCAGGCCCCACCCCAGACTCCCTGAATAAGAATCTGCATTTTAAGATGTCCAAATAATTTTTAAGCACATTGATGTCCAGCTCCCTAGGAATATATGAGATCTCTATATCTGGGCTTGGAATCTCTTTATTGAACTTAAGCCATAAAAGAGCATCCTTGGGAATATTCTTCTTTGCTAGGGTTCAGAAACAGTGATCAAGGTATTAAGAAGCGGGTACAAAGTATACTTGAGTCTGAAGGCGTTGTGGGGACTGCAACTAGATAGTTCTCCCAAGAAGAGTGTGGACTCTCACATTCCCAAGGTGGATCTAGCATTGGAAGTAGGGATGACCCTTCAGCATTGATAAGAAGACTTTATCCTTTAGGGCTTAATTGTTAGTGACCAGGCATCATTATAAGGCAATCCCTGTACTCTCCCACTTACTTAGGTTGCAAGTAATTAACTTACCTTATTTCTCAAGAGAATAAAAAATATATTGTTATGTACATTAGAATGGTTTTAATTTTCTTGTTTCTGTGGTCCTTTTCTAATTTATCTCAGCTTCTGCTCTTTGCCTCTCCTACTGTCTCTGTATTGTCTGGGTCATTTCTGGTTTTGCATTACCTGCCTGGGGAAGCAGCCTGAATCAGCCTTCCTGGCCACAGTGTACCCAGCTGATGCCAATTATGCAGAGCCAATTCAGATGCCTACATAGAGCAATTGATTCTAGCGACTTTGAGAGTCTAGTGTGTGGGATTCAAGCCTGGGGAGCCAGAAGGCTGAGTGGGAGTAAACTCCAGGGGCCCTAGCTTCCTGGTGAGTTCAGAGGCAGGGTGCAGAGAGGTTCCTGTGGATTCATCTCAGCAAAGATATTTAATTTTATTCCTGTAATAAACAAGATTCTGGGCTTCTTGGAGCTTTAGTTCAGGGAACATCAAAGTTCAGAGAATTGTGATTGGTCTAGGGCTTTATTAGAGATAGCTGTGTTGGGTTGCCTTGTGTCAGTAAGCATGCTGGGAAATTTATCCTAATGTCCTTAAAAGAAGAAAGAGGTCCTGGAAGTTAGTAATTAAATGGGCCTAGTCATTAGTGTTAGAGTGAAGTGGGGCAGGGAGCCAGGCTGCATTCATGTTTATTCAGAGAATGAACAATTCCCATGAATTGTTCAGTTTGGAAATGTTTAACTGTGAGAAAATCATTATATTTTAACTTCATAAATTTATGCCTAGATGTGTAGAGTACCAGGGATTTTTTGTGTACCCTATGGTGTTTTTATGTGCATGGTCTTTGAGTGCAGTGACCAAAATTCATGGCTTGCTGTTGTTTACCGAACTTAATGGAGAATTGATAAATATTCACAAACATTATTTGGATGTATTCAATCTGATAAAATAGATTTAAGATGATGAGTTTTCTGCTTTGTCTTGACTTGTTGAATGGAGGAAATTTCCCGAATTAAATAATCTCTAAGAGGTAAGATTATGTTTAGAAAACCTTCATTTTATCACATTTATGAGTGAATTATTTTATCTAAGGCTTTTTTGTAGTTCTCAGAGAAAATTATTTAGGCAAACCCTTGAAAACATATTTTTGGAACTAGTTTTCTTCCTAGTATATCCTATGTCCATGAGTTTGATGTAATCTAAGTGTATCTATATCCATGTTTCATCCCAGTTCAGGGTTATGAGGATTACAAAATTATTCTAACATCTGAGGTCCTGTCCTTGCATCGGAGCTGGCAAAGATGGGGTTGGGGATGGGAAAGGAGGTCTCTATTCCTGTTGTGAGCCCAGTTCCAACCTGAGTGGCTCTAGGCCTACACTCTTTGCAAGCAGATTTTCCACAGCTGCCCAGGTAGGGTCCCAGTAGGGCTACATAAAAACTTTGCCATTTGAAGTCACTAGGTGTGTTTAGAGTTTAAGGGGAAAGGAGAAGAAGCTGGTATAAAATACTTCAGTCAGTTCCTATTCTTATCTGCTTTCAAGCGAAATCCATTTATCCTAAAATGTTCTAATAGATTTTAGGGCTTAAACTTTTTTTCTCTCTAGCTTGTGCCTTCTAACCTCTGACTCCTAGGCTTGATAGAAAACTACATTTTCTTTTAGTAAAATTTGTGTGTGTGCATGTATGTGTGTTTTAATCTAACACAGGTCTGTCTTCTCCAGATATCTATTCAGTAGGTTCTTCCCCTTCCTTCAGTTAGCTTTCTCAGAACTGAGAAATGCCAGGCTAGCTATTTATTTCCTTGTCCAGGAAAGACCTCTGTGCTGCTTTGGAGATTGTGAACTCCAAACTGCTGGTTCAACAATGTGTTCTGGCTGTGTCCTTGCCCTCCTGCCCGAATCCTCTCTCTCTCTCTGCTCCCAGCTCTCTTTCTTCTCAACTTTTCACACCCTAGTAATAAACAGATCATAGGCACTTTTATATGCTGTTCTAGCTCTGCTAAAACCAAATGGATATTGTACATATTCAATGAGTCTTATGTAGTAGACATTTAAGGCTATTGAGCTATTGAATCAAATCTTTATGGCAGGTGATTAATTACCTGCAGATTAATTAATTAATTAATTAATGCCGCAGATTCTCAAATAAACTTAGAAATCATGATCAGATGCAGTTATTAGCAACTGGTAAAGTACACCTATGACTACCATAACATATACTGTTTAGATAGGCTTATCAGATAAGTCTGGAGGAAAACAGGATTGGAATTAAACTGAATATTATAATGGTAAAAAAAAGAATGATCAATAATAACAGTTCCAAGAATCTTTTGGCAGGGAGAGGACAAGCCATTATCACACTAACCTCTTTAAATTTTTACAGATTAGATTTTAGTTTTTGAAGATGTAGTTTTTCAGTATATATATTGTTTTGTGTTCCACTCTTTTTCGAAGTACCTGTGGTTTCTATAAGTCTACATTAATTATTAAATATAATGGACTTAGTGATTTTATACATAAATATATATAAGCAATTTATTCATTGTAGAATATTAAGTTAATTTTAATTTCCTTCCTTCTTATTAAAGATACATTTGGAGTAGACCTTTTGTTAATGTGGATTTGGCTTTTGTTAAGTGTGTTTCTTTAGCAATCATTTCTATAGGTAGGGTTGTTGGGTAAAAGGACATAAACATAAATGTTTTTATAAATGAATAATTTTGAAACGTTCAATGCTACGAGCTGTGTAAGTATATAATAAAGTTTCACCATGGCCTGGAGTATCAAATATTATAATTTAAAATATATTTTAATACTCTGATGTGATTAAATTGTTACCTCAAGTTTGCTATAATTTGCTTTTTTTATTATGAGGAAAAGCAAGACATTTTCTATTTTGTGTTTACTCTTTGTATTGTCTTTTTAAAAAAATTTTTCCTTCAGTTTTTATTTATTTATTTTTATACTGTAAGTTCTAGGGTACACGTGCACAACGTGCAGGTTTGTTACATAGGTATACATGTGCCAGGTTGGTTTGCTGCACCCATCAACTTGTCATTTACATTAGGTATTTCTCCTAATGCTATCCCTCCCCTAGCCCCCCACCCCACAACAGGCCCTGGTGTGTGATTTTCTCTGCCCTGTGTCCAAGTGTTCTCATCGTTCAGTTCCCACCTATGAGTGAGAAAATACGGTGTTTGGTTTTCTGTCCTTGTGACAGTTTGCTGAGAATGATGGTTTCCAGCTTCATCCATGTCCCTGCAAAGGATATGAACTCTTCCTTTTTTATGGCTGCATAGTATTCCATGGTGTATATGTGCCACATTTTCTTTATCCAGTCTATCATTGATGGGCATTTGGGTTGGTTCCAAGTCTTTGCTATTGTGAATAATGCCGCAATAAACATACATGTGCATGCGTCTTTATAGTAGCATGATTTATAATCGTTTGGGTATATATCCAGTAATGGGATCGCTGGGTCAAATGGTATTTGTAGTTCTAGATCCTTGAGGAATTGTCACGCTGTCTTCCACAATGGTCGAACTAATACACCCCACCAACAGTGTAAAAGTGTTCCTTTTTCTCCACATCCTTTCCAGCATCTGTTGTTTCCTGACTTTTTCATGATCGCCATTCTAACTGGTGTGAGATGGTATCTCATTGTGGTTTTGATTTGCATTTCTCTGATGACCAGTGATGATGAGTATTTTTTCATGTGTCTGTTGGCTGCATAAATGTCTTCTTTTGAGAAGTGCCTGTTCATACCCTTTGCACACTTTTTGATGGGGTTGTTTGTTTTTTTCTTGTAAATTTGTTGAAGTTCTCTGTAGATTCTGGATATTAGCCCTTTGTCAGATGGGGTATAGATTGCAAAAATTTTCTCCCATTCTGTAGGTTGCCTGTTCACTCTGATGGTAATTTCTTTTGCTGTGCAGAAGCTCTTTAGTTTAATTAGATCCCATTTGTCAATTTTGGCTTTTGTTGCCATTGCTTTTGGTGTTTTAGACATGAAGTCCTTACGCATGCCTGTGTCCTGAATGGTATTGCCTAGGTTTTCTTCTAGGGTTTTTTGGTTTTAGGTCTAACATTTAAGTCTTTAATCCATCTTGAATTAATTTTTGTATAAGGTGTAAGGAAGGGATCCAGTTTCAGCTTTCTACATATGGATAGCCAGTTTTCCCAGCACCATTTATTAAATAGGGAATCCTTTCCCTATTTCTTGTTTTTGTCAGGTTTGTCAAAGATCAGATGGTTGTAGACGTGTGGTGTTATTTCTGAGGGCTCTGTTCTGTTCCATTGGTCTACATCTCTGTTTTGGTACCAGCACCATGCTGTTTTGGTTACTGTGGCCTTGTAGTATAGTTAGAAGTCAGGTAACATGATGCCTCCAGCTTTGTTCTTTTTGCTTAGGATTGTCTTGGCAACGTGGGCTCTTTTATGGTTCCATATGAACTTCAAAGTAGTTTTTCTAATTCTGTGAAGAAAGTCATTGGTAGTTTGATGGGGATGGCATTGAATCTTTAAATTACCTTGGGCAGTATGGCCATTTTCAGGATATTGATTCTTCCTGTCCATGAGCATGGAATGTTCTTCCATTTGTTTTTGTCCTCTTTTATTTTGTTGAGCAGTGGTTTGTAGTTCCCCTTGAAGAGGTCCTTCACATCCCTTGTAAGATGGATTCCTAGGTATTTTCTTCTCTTTATGGTAATTGTGAATGGGAGTTCACTCATGATTTAGCTTTCTGTTTGTCTGTTATTGGTGTATAGGAATGCCTGTGATTTTTGCACATTGATCTTGTGTCCTGAGACTTTGCCGAAGTTGCTTATCAGCTTAAGGAAATTTTGGGATGAGACGATGGGGTTTTCTAAATATACAATCATGTCATCTGCAAACAGGAACAATTTTACTTCCTCTTTTCCTAATTAAATACCCTTTATTTCTTTCTCTTGCCTCATTGTCCTGGCCAGAACTTCCAACACTATGTTGAATAGGAGTGGTGAGAGAGGGCATCCTTGTCTCGTGCCAGTTTTCAAAGGGAATGCTTCCAGTTTTTGCCCATTCAGTATGATATTGGCTGTGGGTTTGTCATAAATATCTCTTATTATTTTGAGATATGTTCCATCAATACCTAGTTTATTGAGAGTTTTTAGCATGAAGGGCTGTTGAATTTTGTTGAAGGCCTTTTCTGCATCTATTGAGATAATTATGTGGTTTTTGTCATTGGTTCTGTTTATGTGATGGATTATGTTTATTGATTTGCATATGTTGAACGAGCCTTGCATGCCAGCGATGAAGCCTACTTGATTGTGGTAGATAAGCTTTTTGACATGCTGCTGGATTTGGTTTACCAGTATTTTATTGAGGATTTTTGCATTGATGTTCATCAGGGATATTGGTCTAAAATTCTCTTTTTTTGTTGTGTCTCTGCCAGGCTTCAGGATCAGGATGATGCTGGCCTTATAAAATGAGTTAGGGAGGATTCCCTCTTTTTCTATTGATTGGAATAGTTTCAGAAGGAATGTTACCAGCTCCTCTTTGTACCTCTGGTAGAATTTGGCTGTGAATCTGTCTGGTCCTGGACTTTTTTTTGGTGGATAGGCTATTAACTATTGCCTCAAATTCACAGCCTGTTATTGATCTATTCAGAGATTCAACTTCTTTCTGGTTTAGTCTTAGGAGGGTGTATGTGTCCAGGAATTTATCCATTTCTTCTAGGTTTTCTAGTTTATTTGCTTAGAGGTGTTTATAGTATTCTCTGATGGTAGTTTGTATTTCTGTGGGATCGGTGGTGATATCCCCTTTATTATTTTTTATTGTGTCTATTTGATTCTTCTCTCTTTTCTTCTTTATTAGTCTTGCTAGCAGTCTATCAATTTTGTTGATCTTTTCAAAAAACCAGCTCTTGGATTCATTGATTTTTGATGGGTTTTTTGTGTCTCTATCTCCTATAGTTCTGCTCTGATCTTAGTTACTTCTTGCCTTCTGCTAGCTTTTGAATTTTTTTGCTCTTGCCTGTGTAGCTCTTTTAATTGTGATGTTAGGGTGTCAATTTTAGATCTTTCCTGCTTTCTCTTGTCAGCCTTTAGTGCTATAAATTTCCCTCTACACATTGCTTTTAATATGTCCCAGAGATTCTGGTACATTGTGTCTTTGTTCTTATTGGTTTCAAAGAACATCTTGGTTTCTGCCTTCATTTTGTTATGTACCTAGTAGTCATTCAGGAGCAGGTTGTTCAGTTTCCATGTAGTGCTGCAGTTCTGAGTGAGTTTCTTAATCCTGAGCTCTAATTTGATTGCACTGTGGTCTGAGAGACAGTTTGTTGTGATTTCTGTTCTTTGACATTTGCTGAGGAGTGCTTTACTTCCAATTATGTTGTTAATTTTAGAATAAGTGTGATGTGGTGCTAAGAAGAATGTATATTCTGTTGATTTGGGGTGGAGAGTTCTGTAGATGTCTATTAGGTCCGCTTGGTGCAGAGCTGAGTTCAATTCCTGGGTATCCTAGTTAACTTTCTGTCTCGTTGATCTGTCTAATGTTGACAGTGGGGTGTTAAAGTCACCCATTATTATTGTGTGGGAGTCTAAGTCTCTTTGTAGGTCACTCAGGACTTGCTTTATGAATCTGGGTGCTCCTGTATTGGGTGCATATATATTTAGGATAGTTAGCTCCTCTTGTTGAATTGATCCCTTTACCATTATGTAATGGCCTTCTTTGTCTCTTTTGATCTTTGTTGGTTTAAAGTCTGTTTTATCAGAGACTAGGATTGCAACCCCTGCTTTTTTTTTTTTGCTTTCTATTTGCCTGGTATATCTTCCTCCATCCTTTTATTTTGAGCCTATGTGTGTCTCTGCACATGAGATGGGTCTCCTGAATACAGCACACTGATTGGTCTTGACTCTTTATCCAATTTGCCAGTCTGTGTCTTTTAATTTGGGGCATTTAGGCCATTTACATTTATGTTAATATTGTTATGTGTGAATTTGATCCTGTCATTATGATGTTAGTTGGTTATTTTCCCTGTTATTTGATGCAGTTTCTTCCCAGCTTCAATGTTCTTTACAATTTGGCATGTTTTTGCAGTGGCTGGTACCGGTTATTCCTTTCCATGTTTAGTGCTTCCTTCAGGTGGTGTTGTATGGCAGGCCTTGTGGTTTACAAAATCTGTCAGCATTTGCTTGCCTATAGAGGATTTTATTTCTCCTTCACTTATGAAGCTTAGTTTGGCTGGATATGAAATTCTGGATTGAAAATTCTTCTCTTTAAGAATGTTGAGTATTGGCCCCCATTCTCTTCTGGCTTGTAGGGTTTCTGCTGAGAGATCCGCCATTAGTCTGATGGGCTTCCCTTTGTACATAACCCGACCGTTGTCTCTGGCTGCCCTTAACATTTTTTCCTTCATTTCAACCTTGGTGAATCTGACAATTATGTGCCTTGGGGTTGTTCTTCTTGAAGAGTATCTTTGTGGTGTTCTCTGTATTTCCTGAATTTGAATGTTGGCCTCTCTTGCTAGGTTGGGGAAGTTCTCCTGGATAATATCCTGAAGAGTGTTGTCCAACTTGGTTCCATTTTCCCCATCACTTTCAGGTACACCAATCAGACATAGATTTGTCTTTTCACATAGTTTCATATTTCTTGGAGGCTTTGTTGGTTACTTTTTACTTTTTTTCTCTAATCTTGTATTCTCACTTTATTTCATTAATTTGATCTTCGATCACTGATACCCTTTCTTCCACTTGATTGAATTGGCTATTGAAGCTTGTGCAAGAGTCACGAAGTTCTCTTGCCATGGTTTTCAGCTCCATCTGGTCATATAAGGTCTTCTCTAGACTGTTTATTCTAGTTAGCCATTCGTCTAACGTTTTTTCAAGGTTTTTGGTTTCCTTGTGATGGGTTAGGACATGCTCCTTTAGCTCTGAGAAGTTTGTTATTACTGACCTTCTGAAGCCTACTTCTGTCAACTCGTCAAAGTCATTCTCCATCCAGCTTTGTTCCTTTGCTGGCAAGGAGCTGCAATTCTTTGGAGGAGAATAGGCACTCTGGTTTTTAGAATATTCAGGTTTTCTGCTCTGGTTTCTCCCCATCTTTGTTGTTTAATCTACCTTTGGTCTTTGATGTTGGTGACCTACAGATGTGGTTTTGTTGTAGATGATCTTTTTGTTGATGTTGATGCTATTCCTTTCTGTTTATTAGTTTTCCTTCTAACAGTCAAGTCCCTCAGCTGCAGATCTGTTGGAGTTTGCTGGACATCCACTCCAGACCCTGTTTGCCTGGGTATCACCAGTGTAGGCTGTGGAACAGCAAATATTGCAGACAGCAAATATTGCTGCCTGATCCTTCCTCTGGAAGCTTCATCCCAGAGGGGCACCTGCCTGTATGAGGTGTCTGTTGGCCCCTATTGGGAGTTGTCTCCCAGTTAGGCTACGTGGGGCCAGGGACCCACTTGAGGAGGCAGTCTGTCCATTCTAAGAGCTCAAACGCCATTCTGGGAGAACCACTGCTCTCTTCAGAGCTGTCAGACAAGGACATTTAAGTCTGCAGAAGTTTCTGCTGTGTTTTGTTCAGCTGTGCCCTGCCCACAGAGGTGGAGTCTATAGAGGCAGTAGGCCTTGCTGAGCTGTGGTGGGCTCCGCCCAGTTCAAGCTTCCAAGCCACTTTGTTTACCTACTCAAGCCTCAGCAATGGTGGATGCCCCTCCCCCCAGCCATACCGCAGCCTTGCAGGTCAATCTCAGACTGCTGCCCTAGCAGTGAGCAAGGCTCCATGGGTGTGGACCCCACTGAGTCAGGCACGGGACAGAATCTCCTGGTCTGCCGGTTGCTAAGACTGTGGGAAAAGCACAATATTTGGGCGAGAGTGTCCCGTTTTTCCAGGTACAGTCTGTCACGGCTTCCCTTGGCTAGGAAAGGGAAATCCCCTGACCCCTTGCACTTCCCGGGTGAGGTCAAGCCCTGCCCTGCTTCAGCTCACCCTCAGTGGGCTGCTCTCACTGTCCAACCAATTCCAATGAGATGAACAAGGTACCTCAGTTGGAAATGCAGAAATCACCTGTCTTCTGCATTGATTACGCTGGGAGCTGCAGACCAGAGCTGTTCCTGTTTGGCCATCTTTGAATGGTCCCTCTACTCTTTGTATTTTATTTTGTATGAATTCTGTTTGTATTACAAGATATGTATTTCTCTTCTCCCTCTCTCCCAAGAGTCTAAAAGCAAACTTTACTCAGGGATAAGAAATTTTATATTTTTTTCATTAAATATTATTTATATTATAAATATATTTGACTAGAATCTAGGATGAATTCCCCAAAGAACCCACAAGGTTGATTAAACTTAAATTTTGGTATGAGAGTTTTTTTTCCCCTCTTTCTTTTGCATTGCAGTTTATGGAAATTACCTACAATTTTACATCACTTTAGACATGTATATTAAATAGTAAAATGAAGTCCTTTTACACATTGTAACCATGTAATTGATCATTATATTTAAGGAACTGACATTCGGCAGGATCATCAGTTACTGGTATTTACTGAGCATTCACTTGAATCAGGTATTGTTAAGTAGGGGAGAGACACAATGGTGAAATGGCTCAGACCATGCCCTCGGGGAACTTTGTGATCTAGGTTATCAGAAAGAATGATAAATAATTTAAATAGATGTGCCATGGTAAGAGAAACAAAATCAAGAAAAATTCACAACCAAGTGAGTCCAAGAAACCCAAAGGAGGCCAGTGCAGTGTGAAAGGGAAGCATTTCATTTAACTTTAACTGAGAGCTAAAGGAGAAGCAGGAGTTACCTGCTCTATCTAACTGGGCCTTAAGTATCCCCACTCTTTTGTTCTGATGGTGATGATGATGGTTGTTTTTAGTCTCTGTGGGTGAGCATTAGTAGGTAGTTTCTGTATTTTCTCAGAAGGCAAACTTAAGCATCACAGAAGAGTCCAGGTCCATGGAGAGAAGCCAGGCAGACACCCTGAACACCAAACTCCTCTACTAGGTTTGTTTGTTTGGCAGCTCAGTGTCTTGACCTGTTTCTTCAAAAAGGAAATGTTCACAAAGTGGTACTTAAGCCTCATGTCCTGGCCCTTCGGGATCTGGTTCAGCACATCTGCATTAAATTCGTGTTCTAGTACCTCATGGCTTATGGGAGGAGAACAGAAGAGCTGTTAAGGAGGAAAATGTACTCTGAGGCTGTCATGCTGCTAATGACCAGCATTCTGACACATGGGCACTTTCTAACACTGAAAGGCCCCTTGCAGACTCATCTGAAAGGCAGCCTTACGTTCTATGAACATATCTCCCTATTCCTTTAGGATCACTACGAGCTGAAGTTACAGAGCTATATAGATTGGCCTCACAGCACGATTCATTTGATTGTAAGAAAGTGGGGCCCACCTCAGAGGAAGAGGTCACCTGGGCTTGAATGACCTGCCATCACTGCCTGCTGTACCTGAGAGACTTGTTCTGCTACCAGAGGGAGATCCTACCTCTGGTCACCAAGAACTTGGCAGAGAGATGTTATTATAGAGCCCTGTCAGTGGCCCTGCACATGGGAATGCCTTTCAACCTGTTGGGAGCTATCACAGGGAATAAATACCATGACATTGAATCCATGTACTTCTATCAGCACTGGCTCTACTCAGAAGTGCCTTTTAAAGGGGCATCTTGGAGCCTCAAAGGGCTCTTTGATCATGCAGGGAAAAGGTACAGCCATCTGAAAATGTACCAGGGAAAGAAAGTGTCCCCCAAGCAGAGGCAGTGTTGGGATAACCAAAGGTTACTGGTTAGCTTCCTCTATCTTCAGAGCCTTCTGCAGCCTCAAAGGAAATTCACAGCAGTCAAGTTGATAGCTAGTTCTGCTACTTCTGCTACTTCTGGAAGACTTGTCTCTGTCTTTCCTATCGGCCATGTCCATCTTACCCAAGCTGAGCGTCCATGAAGTGAAAGCTCCTAAGAGGCGATTTGTTTCTCCTAGACCTCCTCATCTTCCACATGGGGCTTCTTTGACTCATGAATGTGAACAGCCTGAGGAAAACAGGCTTAAAACAGCACAGGCCAGCAGTCATCTTCACCTTGACTTTCTCTCATCTCATTCAACATGTGGATGCACGAATCCAGGCTGAGATCCAGATAAACAAGCTGGCTGCAGAGGTTGCTGTCCCTGGTGATGGAAGTCAGGATTGAAAAGTTTAGGGAGGGGCAACAAGACTTTCCAGCTCCCTGTCCTGGGCCCCACTACAGAAAATCACAGAAAAAACACAGGCTGTCTTGTGTTTCTAGTGAGGGCTACAACTCGGAAGCTAATTTTCATTCTTACTGTGAGTCGGTTGAAACAGATGAATAGGAAAACACATCCTTAAGTTCACAGGTCCACTCAGAAACAAGCATTGAGAGACTTTCATTCAGATACAACTGATGAAGAAGAGACTGGCTTCCCAAATCCAGAAGCAGTACAGGAAAGTGGGGCCACATCCAAATGTAAAGCTGTTTATCCCAGGGATAAGTGAAGGGCACATAAACCTCTCCATCATCTCCCAGATCTGCTGAAAACAACAATTTCTGCCACCCTACCAGCCCCATTGAGCCAAAAGCTCCAAGTGAAACCTGGCTTGTGCTTGGCTCCTGCCTTCAGTTCACGGTATTCTGAGGCCTCAGTCTCAGCTGAGCCCTGCCTCCTCCAGTGCATCTGGCATTAAGTACAAGGATGATATGAGCAGCTTTTTTGAGCTAGAGCCTCCAACTGGCTCCTATTTGGGGCAGAATGCCTCCATTGGCCAGTTTCACAATACTCTCCAGACCATTAAAAAGAAATTGAAGATCCTCTCTGTGGGAGGTACTGCTGCCCACCATCAAGGTGATGCTTGGCTGGCTCTTTGCCAGCCACAACCTCCTCAACTCACGTTAGTAGAGTCCACGTAGCCTGTGGGACCACCTGTTGATGCTCCTGAACCTGCTTCCCTCAGTGGGAGGCCTTCAGGAGCCAGGCCTTGGCCTGTCCCACCATCTGCATGACCTATTGCAGAGCTGTAAAGGTTCCAATAATATTCATTTCTGAGTTTCTTATTCTTTTTAAATGTCTATAAATCCACAGAGTTACTTAGACAGTACCATTTCTGAGAAAAGTTGATGGCCATCAAGAAGAATTAAGCCACTCAAGAATTACTGGAAAGAGTATAGTTAACCCTTGAATAATATGGGTTAGAACTGCACAGGTCCTCTTATACGTGATTTTTTAAAATTAAACTTACACAGAATGTGCCTGTCTTTCTTGCCTCCCCCTCCACCTTCTCACCTCTTCTTCCTCTGCCACCCATGAAAGAACAAGACCAACTTCCCCTCTCTCTCCTCCTACTCAGTCTACTCAACATGAAGATGACAAAGATGAAGAGCTTTATAATGATCCACTCCCACTTAAAAAACGGTAAATATATTTTCTCTTCCTTATGATTTTAATAACAATGTTCTCTTTTCTCTAGCTTACTTTATTGTAAGAAGATAGTATATAATACATGTAACAGACAAAATATGTGTTAATTGACTAGTTATGTTATTGGTAAGGCTTCCAGTCAATAGTAGCTCTTAGTAGTTAAGTTTTGGGGGATTCAAAAATTATATGTGAACAAAAATTATATGACTGCATAGGGGTGAGCATCCCTAACCCCCATGTTGTTCAAGCGTCAACTGTAATTCTGTTTGGATTAACACGTGTTATTCCCAATACTGTTCAACATTATCACTAGCCACAAACTCTGAATATGACTTACCATTCTCCTGGACTCTTTAATCAGGATAAAGCAATCCTGAAATGGGCTCAATCAAGCTTTCAAACCCCATAAGCAATAATATACTTCTATATCAGACATCTATACCTGAAAAGTGGGTGCGGGAGGTGAGAGGTTTAATCTAAAATAATATGTTAGTGGTTTAACTTCAGTACAAAAGTACATTTATCAAAAGTTTCATTTAAGAAGATCTAATGATTTTTTTGTAAAGGAGCACTGAGGAACAAGAAGCAGTTGAAAAAATTGAAGAACTTTTTAGCCCTAGTATTTGGAAGCTGAGACAATTTCCAATAGTGGAAGTACACAACAGAAATATTACACCCCGAATAAGGGGATCACAAATGAAAGGCAGCCTTCAGATATCTACAATTTTATATACAGTAGATCTGGCAGAATATCAGAGGCAGGAATGATCTGACACATAATCTGTTAGCTGCTCTCAGAAGGATCTTTGTTCACTGGTTGGATGGATTTCACTGATTGCTGGCCCTGAGGATGTCAACAGCACCACAGTAGCAAAGAATACATAAACCAGTAGAAACAGGAAAGTCTGAGGGAAGTCATGATTTCTCAGTGGTCTAGTCCAAAAGCAAGAAAATCTTTGCTCAACCTAATAAATGTAACTTCAGTTGCAACAACAACAACAACAAAAAAAGGTTCCAACATCCCCAGGTTGCTGCAACTTCTTGAGGATATTGCTCTGTTCTGGTTGTCTCCCCTGCAGGCTTCCCAGGAAAGGGTGGATTTAGGGCAGGTCCCACCTCCATTCAGCAATCAGGATGAAGCTGCTGTGTGCCTCTGTTTCCCCAGAAGCATTAGCTACTTTGTAACTAGACTCCCTGGACAGTTCTTGAGGTTTAACCCTAAGATGGGTGTCTTTGTGAGCACTACACTTGAAGGAGCAGAAAACCCATCTCAGCAGCTTCCAGGGAGAACTTCAAGGACTCTGTTTTCCAAAGATATGGTCCAGCTCTGGCTTTAGCATGAAGTGGCACAATTCGTGAAGACCTCAGGGGCCTCTAGACTCAGTCAGCCTTGAACCCTTACCTGTTTCGCAAACTCTGGGCCTTCTGCGAGCGTCTTGCAATCATCCAGCAACTTGCCACCTCTGGTAAATTTCCCCTTATCATACCCAAGATTGTGGTTAACACAGTGTATGTCCTGAGGGGAGAAGACCACAGGGCCTGGGCAGCCATCAGCCTCCTAGAGGGGGAACTGAAGAGAGAGAATCAGTACATTCTATGCCAGCCCTTTGTGTTTGAGAGGTTTGTGAGGTCCAGGATGACCAGGCCAGACTCTGATACCTGGGATCTCTATAACATTCTTGACTTCTGCAAAGGCCTGCTGGACTTATCCAGACCAGTGACGCTCGATTCCAGCAGCATGGGGTCTATCATCATCAGCATCTGTTTGGACAACACTAGGAACTTCTTATACCCTCTGTATTTGGCACTGGGGATAGCAAGTGAAGCTAGTGTGGAGATCAAGAACATCCAGCACTTCCAAAGAGAGTGGAAAATGATCAGATGACATAGTCTGTCTCTCTTCTGTCTACTCCTTCAGCACTTATGAATCAAACTCAATTTGTTTCTCTGTCTTGAGTAAGCACCTAATGTTCACAGTAAACATTGTGTAAATAAATATTTGTATCTACTTATGGGTAGAGTTTTAGTGTTCAGTCTTCAGTTTCCTTCTTTGTCATCTTGGCTTGAAACCATGTTTTCTATCTGAAAAAATCTCAAAATCAGGGTAACTCAGTGCATGGTGTTCTTATGGTAAAGCAGCAAGTTCAGGAAGCATTCCCAAGTCCAGATATAGCTAAGTGGTACGCTAATTTGCTTAGCCTGTTTTGCGACATGAAATTTTTACTTTAAAAGTTGCTTTATGATGAGACCATGCCTACTACCTAAGGTAGGTCTCTGCCATCTGTGAAAACTCAATAAATATAAATCTAAAATTTGTTGTCAGGGTGAAGGATTCCATTGCAATTCTTGGTCATGTCTTTACCTTATTCTATACTTAGTTCAGGTTTTACTTTTAGCTAGAACTGGGTTAGTAGCCAAGACTGCTATGGTATACTTTTTTTGCTTTGTCTAACCAAGCATGATAGTAATAGCTCCAAGGATTGGCACACACAGTTCTGCTTTTGATAATCTGGGAATAGGTATTTCATGGTTTAATATTGGCATTTTTTTCTACATTTGCTCAATTTTTTTAACTTTGGTTACCATGAAATTGTCTTTGGGGACTTTTCCTCATTTTCCTACTTGGAATGCACCTCAAAAAGTAATGCATTTTCCACAATTAGCAAAACTTAGATGTGAGTCCTAAAAAAACTGGATGAAAGTTAAAATCCACAACCTTATCTGACTGAAGTGTGTTAAAAGTATTAACATCAATGTCTTCTCTTTTGCCAATCCCTAATTTTCTTCCATGATAGATCATCACATTTCAAAACCAAACTTAATACTTTTTTAGGGTCCCAAGTTGTTGAGGCATTTGCAGTCCCTTTGTGCTGGTGCACCCCTCACTAACTGAGCTTCAGATCCCATTGCTCCCCTTATAAGCAGAGAAATTCCTTATGTGGCTTTTTCCTCACTCTTGGGTTCTCATCATATTTCTCAGTTGCTCTAAGCTAAGCCTTTCTGTTTCAGTTAAACCTTCTGTCACTTCTTCTCAATGTTTTTCTTAAATTTTTTTGGCATTTTATTATATCTATTAGGAAAATTTCAACAAACTAAAGAAATATAGAAAAAAAGAAAAACCCAAAGGTCATTTCTTTTTAACATAACCACTTTTGTTGGTTTGAGTTGTTATTTATAGCCTATTATGTTTCCTCTGCATACATGTTTTTCTTAGTTGTAATTATATTCATTAAGTATCTTTTCAGTCTAGTAGTATTTGAATTACAAACATTTGTTATTACATTATCTTTATTGCTTCTTTGATGGTTGCATTCTATTATTGCTTGCTCAAGTATTCATATTTCTAATATTTTTAGTATTATTAGTAATTAATAATTATTAATAAAGATCTTTTTACCTGGAAGAATTCGTTTCTCAAGACAGATGAGCAGAAATTTATTTACTGAGTTAAAGTGTATAAATATACACATATGTATATATACCATTATATTATATTACAGATGCATATATACAAATAAATATAACTTTTTAAGGGACATTGCCAAGAAAATAATTTATTTCTTAAAAGGAGATAAGCATTCTATATAATTTTATAGCCTACATTTTTCACCAAGTATGATCACTTTCTTACATATTTTTCCTCTTAAAAGTTGATTTTAAGATGATTTTAAAAAATCATCATAGGTGGAAAAACATTCCATGCTCATGGATAGGAAGAATCAATATTATGAAAATGGCCATACTGCCCAAAGCAATTTAGAGATTCAGTGCTATTCCCATTAAACTACTATTGACATTCTTTACAGAATTATAAAAAACTATTTAAAAATTCATATAGAACAAGAAGGAGCTTGTATAGCCAGGACAATCTTAAGCAAAAAGAACAAAGCTGGAGGCATCACACTACCTGACTTCAAACTATACTATAAGTCTGCAGTAATCAAAACAGCATGGTACTGGTACAAAAACAGGCACATAGACCAATGGAACAGAACAGAGAACTCAGAAGTAAAACCACAGATCTGCAACCATCTGATCTTTGACAAACCTGACAAAAACAAGCAATGGGGAAAGTATTCACTATTTAACAAATGGTGCTTGGAGAACTGGCTAGCCATATGGAGAAAATTGAAAGTGGACCCCTTCCTTACACCATATACAAAAATTAACTCAAGATGGATTAAAGACTTAAATGTAAAACCCAAAACTATAAAAAGCCTAGAAAAAAATCTAAGCAATACCATTCAGGACATAGGCATGGGCAAACACTTTATGATGAAATTGCCAAAAGCAATTGAAACAAAAGCAAAAATTGATGAATGGGATCTAATTAAACTAAAGAGCTTCTTCACTGCAAAATAAACTATCATCAGAGCAAACAGACAGCCTATAGAATGTGAGAAAACTTTTGCAATCTATCCATCTGACAGAGATCTAATATCCAGAGTCTACAAGGAACTTAACCAAATTTACAAGAGAAAAACAAACAATCCCATTAAAAAATGGGCAAAGGACATGAACTGACAGTTCTCAAAAGAAGACAGGCGGCCAAGAAACAGATGAAAAAAAGCTCATCGTTAGAGAAATGCAAATCAAAACCACAATGAGATACCATCTCATGCCAGTCAGAATGGCAATTATTAAAAAGTTAAGAAACAACAGATGCTGGCAAGGTTGCGGAGGAATAGGAATGTGTTTACACTGTTGGTAGGAATGTAAATGAGTTCAACCATTGTGGAAGGCACTGTGGCGATTCCTCAAAGATTTAGAACCAGAAATACCATTTGACCCAGCAATACCATTATGGGGTGTATACCCAAAGGAATATAAATCATTTCATTATAAAGATACATGCACATGTATGTTCATTGCAGCACTATTCAAAATAGCAAAGATGTGGAATCAACCCAAATGCCCATCACTGATAGACTGGATAAAGAAAATGTGGTAGATATACACTGTGGAATACTATGCAGCCATATAGAGGAACAAGATCATATCCTTTGCAGGGACATGGATGAATTTGGAAGCAATTATCCTCAGCAATCTAATGCAGGAACAGAAAACCAAACACCACATGTTCTCACTTATAAGTGGGAGCTGAACAATGAGAACACATGGACAAGGGAGGGGAACAACACACATGGGAGCCTGTTGGGGCAGGGCGGTGGTGGGGAGAGCATTAGGAAAAAAGTAATGCATGTAAAACTTAATACCTAGGTAATTGGTTAATAGGTGCAGCAAACCACCATGGCACACATTTACCTATGTAACAAACCTGCACATCCTGCACATGTACCCCAGAATTAAAAAATATATATATTATATGGGTATCCCACAATTTGCTTTACCAGTCTTCAATTTTTGAATTTTTTTGTTATAAATAATAAAAATAAATTTTTATATGTGTCTTTGATTATTAGAATAAATTCCTACAAGTAGAATTACTTGTAAAAATAGATCAAGGTCCTTCATAATACTAAAAATTATGCTAAATCATAATGACACTAAGATTTTAGGAATTCTTACTCCCAAGCATATAAGTGTGCATATTTCACTACTTTCAATTCAGAGAAATTTTTGCTTGCCAATTTGATATGTGAAATTATTATTGTATTTTTGACTGTGAGAGACTGAACTTAATAGCTTAATGGATGTGTTAATTTTAATTTTTTGGCCATGTTCCTTTTCATTTTAAAATCGAACTTTTGTATTTTTTTAATCTTTTATTGTGAAATCTGCAATCACACCAAAAGCATGTGAAGTGCAAATTTAACTGGACCTAAATACAATCACCTTAATCAGATAGTTGACTGCCCCTGTATCTTCTGCTTTGCTTGCTGCAACCTGCCAGGCTCAGTGTTAAATGCATACGAAGGAACTAATAAAACCAATGGCTTGAGAAGGAGGAAAAATAGCTCAAAATATGCAGGGGAGCAGAAGAGAATAAAAGAACAAGAGTAAATTATTTTGAAAAACGCAAACAGAGTTGTCTTTCTGGTGGGAGATATTTGGCGTTTTCACATAGGAAAAAGTGATAATGTATTACTGTGGAATATTCTCCCTTCAAAATGTTTGGATGGCAGGTTCTGAATTGCATTTGGAAAGTGGTAGTCTAATAATATGAATGAGGTTGGGCAAGAAAATCTAGGGCTGTACTTACTGTCAACATAATAGACATTGTAATTGTATCTCATAGTGGATTTTGGTTCATTCAAGCCTGGAACCCAATTCCACTCTCATCCTCACCCCTAAAAACGGGTCATTTAAAAATGCTTTGGCAGCTATGATGCTGATGCAGGCAAGACATGCTCTCAGAAAACAACAATGGCAGCAGCAACTAAACAACCATAGTTCTCCTGATTTAAAAAAATTTTATTACATGCAAGAATCATGCTTCCTGAGAAAGCACACCCCTCTTTGTGTTCTGCAATATTTCTTTTCTTTTCCTGGTAGGTGTTTTGAAACTGAAGATGTTCAGGTAGCCATCAGCAGACACCCCTAGAATGGATTTAGAAAAACACTGAGGAACACTAGGGTGTCTTGAAGATGTCATTGCTATGACTTCATGACTCATGTCACAGATGTCTCTTGTATGGTTTGCTAATTACTGGTTGCCATAAAAAGAATCTTGCATAATCTGTAGAAGAGCTATGAGATGAAGGGAAAGAGAACATTTTATTGTTAAATGATTGGACTTCATTTGGTTTACTTGGGAGATGAGAACCATTGAAGTCAGCCTTTGGCAGTTGAACCACCCAGGGGAAGTCCTTTAATGAAACCTCTAAGATTACTTGTTGTGTCTAGTCATCCTAAAAGTGTTTGTCTTCTAAAAATGTCTTTCAGCCTAGGCCCATGGGATTTTGGACAAAGGTTTGTCTACTAAGAGATTTAGTCTTCTTATGGTTTTCTCCTCTCTTCATCGTGTATATGAAGAATGTTATAAAATGTTGCAAAGAAATGACCAATTTATTTTATTTTATTAATATTTTGTGTAAATAAAAAGTAAAGTATGATTTAAAAAAAGAATGTTATATAAAAAACACAAGAAAATATTAAGCAGTGCAGTACCTAAATCTTAGTATTTTTATAGAGGCTCTGCTGAGGAAAATAACTTAGAAGGCTTTTTATTATCACACGATTTTCTGATAGGGAGAGTGCTGTTTAATACATGAAAGTTTGTCACTAGTCATGGCTACTGCTAATAGCTTAGATGGTTGTGGTAGGAAGAGGACTCCTATGAGTCAACTGGTTTCTTTCACTATACCCTAGAATGTAGGAAAGAACCTTATTTTGCAGATGAGTGAGATAAAACTCGTCAAGTTAAGCAGCTTTCCCAAAGACCTGCAGCTACTACGTGACTTACCTAATATTTCATTCCAGATTTATCAGGCTCTTGAGTAAATCTAGCTCATTTATAAGCACACAAAAGCATGGAATATTCAGTAACAAGGCAGGAAGATGACATCTCAGTGAAGGGCAGCTAGAATCTAGAGGGCACCTTGTGGGCCACAGAAACAACCCTCTCTCTTCCCCCTTCTTACTGTCATGGTGGTACTTGAACTTTCACCTTTATCCAGGTGCTCTAGGGAAAGAAAAGTTAGAAGAGGGAGGAAACAGCTTTGACAGGAGGTTTCAACTCTGACTTGAGAGGCTATTTACCCAAGAGGAAACAGCCTTAAATGGGAAGACGGTGAATTATCTTTACTAGGCAAATTTTGCATTTAGGGTAAAATTGGTTTGAAGGTAAGTTATGTTCAAAGAATAATTAGAGCTAGACATTTCTTTTGCACGTGAGTTGTAATGTGTAAATTTCAGCCTCTATAGAGATATGGGTTATATGTGCTATCTATGCAGCCAGAAACTACATTTACTGTGGTTGAATATAATATTTTGACTGGAATAACTTCTCTTATCAACATGAGACTTGAATTTCTATCTGCCTCCTCAGTATATCTGCTGGAATTTTCCATATGCAATCATGTGCCACATAATGACATTTTCATCAATGACAGACTGCATATATAATGATGGTCCCGTAAGATTATAATTGAGCTGAAAAATTCCTATTGCCCATTAGTGTCTTGATAATCCTGTATAGGCCTAGGCGGACGTGTGTGTGTTTGTGTCTTAGTTTTTAAGAAAAAAAAATTAGCACATACAATTATGTACAGTACATAATACTTCAGAATAAATGGCTGTTCCTAGTTTATGTATTTACTACACTATGCTTTTGATTGTTTCTTTAGCATGTACTCCTACTTACTAAAAAAAGTTAAGTGTAAAAGAACCTCAGGCAGGTCCTTCAGGAGGTATTCCTGAAGAAGTTATTGTTTTCATAGTAGATGACAGCTTCATGCATGTTATTGCCCCTAAAGAGCTTCCAGTGGGACAGGATGTGGAGGTGGAAGACAGTGATATTGATGATTCTGACCCTCTGTAGGCCTAGGCTAATGTGTGTGTTTGTGTCTTAATTTTAACAAATAAGTTTAAAAACTAAAAAAAAAAATAAATTTTAAAAAATAGAATAAAAGCTTATGGAATAAAAATATAAAATATTTTGTACAGCTGTGTGATGTGTGTTTTAAGCTAAATGTTATTACAAAAGAGTCAAAGTTTTAAAAATTAAAGTTTATGAAGTAAAAGAAATACAGTGATCTAAGTAGTGTGTGATTGAAGAAAGAAAAAAATTTAAAATAAATTTAGTGTAGCCTTAAGGGTACAGTGTTATTAAGTTCACAGTGTATTATAGGGTCCACAGTAGTGTACATTAATGTTCATAGTCACTCACTACTGATTCACTGACTTATCCAGAACAACTTCTAGTCTTGCAAGCTTCATTCATGGTAAATGCCATATACAAGTATACCATTTTTTTTTATCTTTCACATTTTATTTCTATTGCACATTTTATGTTCATAAGTTAAGATACATGAATACCATTGTATTACAATTGTTTACAGTATGCATTGAAGTAACATGTTGTACAGGTATGTAGCTTAGGAGAAGTGGGCTATACCACATAGCCTAGGTTTGTATTAGGCTATACAATGCAGGTTTGTGTAAGTACACTATGATGTTTGCAAAATGAAAAAAATCACCTAACAATGCATTTCTCATAACATATCCCTGTCATTAAGTGATTCACGACTGTAACCGAAATTCAAGAGGTCTACAAGTAAAGTCATTATTTGTACCTGAACTAGCCTTCTTCCTTGCTGTCTTTATCTTGACAAATGGAATTTAGCTTAGTAAGTATGAAATACTGTAACACTAATTCTATCATCTCCCTCAATGAAAATAATTTATAAATATATACGTGTGTGTGTGTGTATGTGAGTGTGTGTGTGTGTATTCATTTCAAGGAATCAACTTATGGATGGCAAGTCTCAAATCTGTAGGGCAGGCTGGCAGGCTGGAAACTCTTGGGTAGGAGCTGGAGCTGATACCATAGTCTAGAGACAGAACTTTTTTTTTTTCTCAGAGATACCACAGTTTTGCTCTTAAGGCTTTTATTAAAGACAGCCTCTTTAATAAATGGGGCTGGGAAACCTGAATATCCATATGCAGAAGAATGAAACTAGACCCCTATCTCTCACCATATGCAAAACTCAAATCAAAATGGATTAAAATCTAAGACCTCAAACTATGAAACTACTACAAGAAAACATTTGGGAAAATCTCCAAGACATTGGTCTGGTCAAAAGTTTCTTAAGCAGTACCCCACAAGCACAGGCAACCAAAGCAAAATGGACAAATGGGATCACATCAAGTTAAAAAGCTTCTGCACAGCAAAGGATACAATCAACAAAATGAAGAGATAACCCAAAGAATGGGAGAAAAATATTTGCAAATTACCCATCTGACAAGAGATTAAAAACCAGAATATATAAGGTGCTCAAACAACTCTAAAGGGAAAAATCTAATAATCTGATTGAAAAATGGGCAAAAGATTTGAATAGGTGTTTCTCCAAAAAACACATACAAATGGCAAACAGGCATATGAAAAAGTGCTCAACATCATTTAACATCAGAGAAATGTAAATCAAAACTACAATGAGATATCATCTCAACCCAGGTACAATGGCTTATATCCAAAAGACAGGCAATAACAAATGTTGGCAAGGAGGTGGAAAAAGGGGAACCCTCGTATCCTGTTCTTGGAAATGTAAATTAGTAAAACCACTATGGAGAACAGTCAGGCGGTTACTCAAAAAATTAAAAATAGAGCTACCATATGATCTAGCAATCCCACTGCTGGGTATATACCCAAAAGAAAGGAAATCAGTATGTTTTAGAGATATCTACACCCCTATGTTTATTGCTGCACTGTTTACAACAGCTAAGATTTGGAAGCAACCTAAGTGTCCATCAGCAGAAGATGGATAAAGAAAACGTGGTACATATAGACAATGGAGTACTATTTAGCTATAAAAATGAGATCTAGTCATTTGCAACAACACTGATGGAACTGAAGGTCATTGTGTTAAGTGAAATAAGCCAGACACAGAAAGACCAACATCACATGTTCTCACTTATTCGTGGGATCTAAAATGCAAAACAATGGAACTCACGGGCATAGAAGGTAGAAGGATGGTTACCAGAGGCTGGGGAGGGTAGTAGGGGTATGGTGGTGGTGGTGGTAGTGGGGGTGGTACAAAAAAAAAACCCAGAGTGAATAAGACCTACTATTTTATAGCACAACAGGGTGACTGTAGTCAATAACTTAATTGTACATTTTAAAATAACTTAAAGATTGTCGCTGAATTGTTTGTAACTCAAAGGATAGATGCTTGAGAGGGTAGATTCCCCATTCACCATCCTGTGCTTATTTCACATTGCATGCCTGTATCAAAACATGTCATGTGTCTCATAAATATATACACCTGCTATGTACTCACAAAAATTAAAAATCAAAAGGATTTTTAAAATAAGACTTGTTTTCTGTCCTCAACCAAACACCGCATGTTCTCACTCATAGGTGGGAATTGAACAATGAGAACACTTGGACACAGGAAGGGGAACATCACACACCGGGGCCTGTCATGGGGTGGGGGGAGGGGGGAGGGATAGCATTAGGAGATATACCTAATGTAAATGACGAGTTAATGGGTGCAGCACACCAACATGGTGCATGTATACATATGTTAAAAAACCTGCACGTTGTGCACGTGTACCCTAGAACTTAAAGTATAATAATAATAATAAAAAAGACTTGTTTTCTGTCCTTAAAGCAATCACTTACTCTTTGTGTATTGGGAGAACATTAAATAGTAAATAAATCATCATGGATGTTTGTCATGGTTTTGCTGCACATCCATTAGTACTTCTTTGCTCCTTGGGAAATACCAACACACGCTTTTCCAAACAAGCTTCTGGATTTTCCTGCTGAAAGGCTATGCCAGTGTAACGCTGTCTTCTTTCCCCTAATTAAGTCACTGTAATGCAGCACTGAAGAGCATGGGCTTTGGAGCCAGCCGTTCTGGCCTCAGTCACTTTTTCAGGCAAGATAAATGATGAGTCGTTTGTTTTTTCTAAGTTGATATCCTCACAGAGTTGTCATGCAGACCAAATGAGCCAATATGTGTAAAGTACATTGCATGGTGCCAGGCACATAGTGGCACAGATATAACTATGAGTTATGCTGTCTTGAATTATAACTCTTAACTAGAAAATCTAAATGGTTTGTTCTGTATCAAAACCAAGTGGAAGTAATTGTGGACAGATATTTCTGGGTGAACATTTAATTCTATCTTCTCATTTTTATAAGGAAACTTCTGCCTCTGCCTTGGAATACAATACAATAACTTGAAATCTGATGTCAACATAGAAAATTTATAATTATTGGCTAATCATAGAATGGTAGAGCTGGAAGGGTCCATATAAATGACCTAGGACAATCTCCTCTCTTTGAAAACAAGGCATCTGAGACCTCGAGGGATTTGGTGACTATGTATGGTTGTACAACTAGGGAGTAGTGAAGTAGGGTACTCCACTTCAGCTCATTCTTGGATAAAAGCATGACTCAGAATTTTTCCCCCGTTAGCTCATTTATGCAGATTTATCTAATAAATAAAGGAAAGGCCTGGCGCAGTGGCTCACGCCTGTAATCCCAGCACTTTGGGAGGCCGAGGCGTGTGGATCACGAGGTCAGGAGATCGAGACCATCCTGGCTAACATGGTGAAACCCTGTCTCCACTAAAAACAGAAAAAATTAGCTGGATGTGGTGGTGGGCGCTTGTAGTCCCAGCTACTCAGGAGGCTGAGGCAGAAGAATGGCTTGAACCCAGGAGGCAGAGCTTGCAGTGAGCCGAGATTGTGCCACTGCCCTCCAGCCTGGGCGACAGAGTGAGACTCTGTCTCAAAAAAAAAATAAATAAATAAAAAATAAAAAATAAAAAATAAACAAAGGAAAATAATTTTTCAAATGTGTGAAAAATTTGAATTGCAACTATCCAATATTAAAATATTAAAAACTCATAAAGATGAATAACATATTTTATGGAACAGAATACCACTGCTAGTTTATTTTCATTTGTTACTTTCTAATAAAAATGGAGGTATATCAGATTAGATGAGTTACTTGCAACTCGCTGACTTCAATTAATTTATGTGGTACCTGATTTAAGCACTCGCACTCTGCTCTCTGAGGACTTAGTATCAGGAGACAAAGCTGGCATTAAAGTCAGAGCAGTGTGCAATCACTTCAGCCTCTCTAGATTGGCTCGAGCTGTTGGTATAATCACCAGTCTATGTTAACGCTGAGGTTTTAGATGACTGCCTTAAAAAATAATAACATCTTGGATGAGACTCTGGCTCAGAAATCCTACTCCAAATGAAATGGTCTTTCTTGTATTTAGTTGACTAGAAATACTGGGAGGAGCAGAGAGGTTGGGTAGGCACATGGTTAGTATAATTTTTGTGGGATCATGAGTGTCATCTCTTTAAGGAGTCTACCCAGTGATGGCGTACACCTTGCACATATCATTTATTCACTGGATCTGACCCTGATTTCATTTCCTTCTCTGGTTGTATAATACCTGTCTCCCAAATGAAGTGGCTATTTATTGTGTGCATGTGTTTAATTCTGAGTCCTCTAGGCAAGTTTAAGCAAGCAACAAACACTTAAATGAGTTTTCCCAAAGTTTAAACATGTTAATGGTTCATAGCATCTGTCCAACTTGGTGGAGCAATGCTTTTATTTTATCTGAGCAGATTCTGAAAAGTCTTCTTACAATTTTGAGTTTGATTCCTGCGCTGTCATTTGGCTTAGCTATTTCTGTTTATTATGCCTTAAAGAAGAAGGGATGTCAGTATGGGCACAGAATTCAATAGTAAAAATGTGGGGAGTATTCTGGAGGAGCCACAGAAAGTCACATGAAAGTAAAAATGATGATTTGCAAACCCAAATAAGTCTTTTTAAAGTAGAGATAGAACGAAGATGTATTTTAGCAGTAAAGTCTTGTCACTTTACTATTAGAAGGTAGTTTAAATAATCTAAAAATCAATGCAAAGATTACTCACTTGAAGAATGAGAATAACAAAATGTCAGATGTTTTGAGAGAAAGATGTCATTTAGGAATTTTCACAATGTTCTGTCCCAGCAGAAACTAGTTTCTTTCCATCTTGATGAGGTGCCTCTAACCTCTCTCTGGACTTCTCCTGAAGCAAGAACTCTGGGCCTGAAATGAGGTCAGATTTTTAAGTTGCCACTAAGTGAACATCATTTATAGTTTCCATTCCTCTAAAAGAGCTTATCAAGTAATTGCCTTCTAATAGCAGGCAAGCAGTATGACAAGCAGGATGAGGCATGATGAAGCTAATGAAAATTTAAAGTGGTCTCCATTTTCCGTTGGCTTTGGAAAGGCCTATCAGAGCAATGCCACTCCCCACAGATAATGACATACCTCCTAAAATGACTGAAACAAGGATGTGCAGAAAACAAGATAAGTCTTTTGGTTCCCCAAAGCATAGTCTTCTCAAATTCATGGTTATAGTTCCTGGAACATTAAAAAATTTTCTTTATGCTAAATGGTAGGTTAAGCTTTACAGTTTCAAAGGTAAAATGTCAGAGACTAAGATCCTCATATCTATAGAACTAATCTTGAAGACATTTGATACAAAAATAGTCTATGAAACTTTCATTAAAACTATCTGCATTTAGGTGCTGAACTGGGCCTACACTGTATTTCTGAACTTCTAGAATGTTTTCCTTAGCTGTAGCTAAGGAAAAAAAACCTAGTCATAAAAATACTTGGTTGTGTTAAGGCAGGAAAGACACTTTCTTAGTTTGTGTTTACATAAATCAGACCCCAAGAGAATGGTATAACTACATATATTTTATTCAGGAAGTAATCCCAGAAAGCACAGACAGGGTGTGAGGAAATAGAGAGAAAGAAGAAAAGCCAATAAAGAAAGCATGATTGAGTTGTTTACAAGTGTTGACAATTGGAACTCAATTTCTCTGGGGATCTTTTGAGAAACCATGAAGAATGTTCAGTATTGTTTCACCAACGGAAGAGGAAACTGGTTTATTTATCCAGTTACCCGGCTTTCAGCAACACCCTGTGTATAGGTCCAGCAAGCTTTGTGGTCCTGAAGAAAGCCCTTAGCCAGAAAAGCAGAAGGAATCAGCACTTGAGGTAGGAAGTTTTCTGTGTTTTAGGAACCATCTCAATTACAACTGCAGGTAATCCGAGTAGACCGAGAGATTCTTGGACATGGCATCGACATCTCTACTCAAATTGGTTCATGCCTCTCTGTAAGTCCACTCTGTTATGACTCTTCAAGAGATTAGCCTGTAATCGTCTCTAAGAAAGACTTATAACTGAAGGTTTCATGGACTAAGAGACAGTTGTTGCTGTGGCAGCTGGTCTTGACACATACTTGATAGGCATTATCTTCCTCCTCTTCTACTCATTGTAGGTTCCCCTTACTCTTGGCCAGTACTGCTGCTGATCTAATACAATAGAAGTAGGGTCTGTATTGCATCTTTTTCTATTTTACTTTTGCCTGTTGGACCTACTCAGGCCCAATGCTGACTATCTTTTTTATTGTATGATGGATTGCTGCTATGCCTCCCTGATCTCATGATTGGTAGTTTTGACAATACCCTTTTCATGGTGGGTAGTTCCAGTTGCATGCTCACTTAACTATGGTTAGTTTCTATTAGGGCTCAGTCGCATGCCAGGTAGTCCTTTTCAAGTGGCAAGTGATCAGTGCTACAGAATGCATGGTCTTGCTCCAGAATCTTAGAAAATCTGTGTTACAGAGCATGTCCTCAAGGGCTTGACAGAGACTCCACACAATGTCCATATCTACCACAGGTATCTCTTGATACTGTTGGATCTGCTGGCCTGAAAGAATGTGAAGCTTTCACTGCAAGTCCTCTCTTGCTGTAGGACCCACTCAAAACTGGTAGTTTTCTAAGTCACCCAATAAATGGGTTGGAATAGTATTTCCAAGTATGAAATATATTGCCTCCAAAATTCAGGGCAATCCTTTCAGTGCTGTGCCTGGTTGTAGGAGTTATGATGTTTACCAACTTGCCTTTTTCTTTATAGAGAATATCTCAAATGCCCAAGAAAACCATACCTCTGAAAACTTCACCAAAGCAGAAGGCTTTTGGATCTTTATGGAGTTGATCTCAACCTTTTGGCATGCATGTGTCTTACAAGGACTACAGAGTAATTGCCACTTCCTGTTTACCAAGTCCAATTAGTGTGCCATCAGTATGTAAACAAATCTGATATTCTGTGGAATGTTAAAATAATCCAGGTCCCTTTTGTGAACAAAAGGAAGCAAGAGAGTTAAGACAGCTCTGGGGCAAAAAAGTAAGTATTTATCTCAGATGAATACAAACAGCTTGAATTTAAAAAATGTGTTGCTCAGATTAACAACTACCCATCCCGTGTCAGAGCTGGGTAGATATGTTCTAGTCAGGATATCAAATTTGGCACAGGAGATATGACTGGCACCACAGCTGGCTTATAATGGATTACCATCATCTGCCATGATTTATCTGGAATTTTCCATGACCATATCAGTGAATTAAACTTTCAGTCACCGAAGTTGACACTAGTTTCTATAATTCTACCCCAGAAAATTAAATTTTAAAGATTTACTAATTTAGGGGAAAGTTCCAGGGTTTCCATTTGACTTTTCCCATCATAATGGGTCTTAATCCATAGATTGAGAAAACAATATGAGTGTTCTGCCAGCTGCACTAATCACCTAGGGAAATGATGACAGAAAAGTCCATTGGACACACTGTATGATGGCCTTGGTCTCCATAGGCCCCCACTCTAACAGAAGTTATCATAGTACTTTGGGTCTTCTGGTAACAGTGTCAGCTCAAACTCTGTATCATAGCCCTCAAAATATCTGGGTATTATCCCTCTTCTAGTGTATAATTATTCTGTTAAATGGCCATACTTTTCTATGGGAAAGAATTGGGAGAATATTTTTGCATAACTTGGTGTGGCATTCCAGGGTTCTTTTTTAAGTGGACCTCATCTTTAAGTGATGGACTCAATAACTAGCTCAGATTTGGAAACTGGCAAGAAGTAATGACTTGTCATTACAGCAACCCTTTCCTGAAGAATCTTTGGCCTTTTGTTGTTATTATTGTTAAGTCAAGAGGTGCCCTTATTGGCTGCCTATTCATCTTGTTCCAAGGAATACCATTGTTTATCAGCCATTGTCACAAATCCACGTGGTCAAGACCCCCTGGTTTCCTCTCTGGCCTTGCCCCTCCGTTTTCCCGGGCAATAAAATATGTCCACTAAAATCCTGTTATTCTCGTTGACACTAGGAAGCCTGTTTTCAAGGATTATTTCCTACCATCACCCTGGCTTACAGGAGACCATGAAGCTTTTCAGTGAATCTGGTATCTTCCTCACTCATGCACACCTTATTGCTTTAGTGAAGGAGGTGTCGTTCAGGCTTTTTTATGGAACATAGCTAGCTGGTGGACTTCTGATTTCATTTTGACTTGCTCACCTTTCTGACCCTTTCCTCATTACCCTGCCAAGGCAGTTGTGCATTTCAACTTTGATTACCACAGATCATCATCATATTCAAACTCTAAGGCCACCATAATGTCAAGGGAGAGTACCCCTATATCCATAAGCTCTCAGCCCTCAATCTGACAGTCAATTCAAACTCATTTCCCAATTTCTTGCTATTACATATTAGCTGAGTGCTGCAGATCTACTAGAGAATAAGTCTTTCTTCACATAGAACCTCTCTGTTCAAGCTATGCTAAAACTTGATTCTAGTTGTTGGTAGTCCATGCGTTCTAAACGGGAGTGAAAATTGGTTTTAGGAGCACAAAAAATTTCTTAGATATTAGAATGATTTTTGTCCCTCCAAAGGATGACAGACCATAAACAGATACACTGTATATCTGTGGTATTAACATTTTATAGGGAGGTAGTTAATTAGGGGAAAAATATCTAAGGTGCCTTAGGTAGATGATAATAAAAAAGATTGAGAAGCCTGGTGTAGACACTACAGCAGGGTTTCTCAGCCTTAGCACTATTGACATTTTGGGCCAGATCATCTTTGTTGTGGAGGATGTTCTGTGCCCTATACAATGTTTAGCAGCATCTGTGGCCACTAAATGCTAGTAGGCTTCTCCACCCCACTCTACTGTATCAAGAACCAAAAATGCCTCCAGGTATTGTAGTGGTTGTCAAACTCTATTATGCATCAGAATCACTGGAAGCCTTTGTTAAAGCACAGATAATGGAGTTCTACCTCCAAGTGGGACCTGAGAATTTGCTTTCCTAAACATTATAAGTAAGGAAATTGATTGTAGTACTTATTCAGTAGGTTTATTTTGTGAATTAAATGAATTAAGGCTGAGAACAGAAGTACAAATGCAATGAAGCTGGAACATGCTTTGTTTGCTCAAGAAACAGCAGGGAGACCAGTGGCTGGAACAGAGTGAAAAAGTGGGAGAGTAGAAGTAGACGAAGTAAGAGCAGTAGCGAGATGCCAGTTTATGCAGAGAAGATTGGCCATAGTATAAATAAAATAGTATAAATAAAATGAAATTTCATTTCATTTTATTTATATTATTTTTAATTTATTTTATTTTACTTTAAGTTCCAGGATACATGTACAGGCTGTGCAGGTTTGTTACATAGGTAAACCTGTACCATGGTGGTTTGCTGCACCTATCAACCCATCACCTAGGTATTAAGCCCAGCATGCATTAGCTATTTTTCCTGATGCTCACCCTGCTCCCTCCTGTCACCAGACAGGCCCCAGTGTGTGATGTTCCCCACCCCCAAGTCCATGTGTTCTCATTGTTCAGCTACCACTTATAAGTGAGAACACGTAGTGTTTGGTTTTTTTGTTTCTGTGTTAGTTTGCAGAGGATAATGGCTTCCAGCTCCAACCATGTCCCAGCAAAGAACACAATCTCATTCCTTTTTATGGCTGCATAGTACTCCGTGGCGTATATGTACCACATTTCTTTATCCACTATATCATTGATGGGCATTTGGGTTAATTAATTTTTACTCTGAGAGCTATCAAGAGCCATTGGAGTGTGTTGAGCTGACAGATGGCATGATCTGACTTATTTTATGTTTACTCTGTTTGCTGTGTGAGTGTAGATGGAATGGAAGTATGAGGAAAGCAAGAACTCAAGTTAAGAGGTTATTGCAATTCAGGGCCTGGTGAGGTGGCTCACGCCTATAATCCCAGCACTTTAGGAGGCCAAGGCAGGTGGATTGCTTGAGTCCAGGAGTTTGAGACCAGCCTGGGCAACATGATGAAATCCCATCTCTACAGAAAAATACAAAAATTAGCCAGGTGTGGTAGCTCATGCCTGTAGTCCCAGCTACTTGGGAAGCTGAGGTGTGAGAATCACCTGAGCCTGGGGAGGTCAAGGCTGCTGTGAGCCGAGATCACACCAATGTACTCCAGCCAGCCTACGTTACAGAGTGATACCCTGTCTCAAAAAAAAAAAAAAAAGTTATTGCAATTCAGAAAGAGATGTGTAGGGTTTGGGGAGAAGTGGTCATGTTCTAGGGCTATTTCCAAATAAGTATTGGCAGGATATAATGATGGATTGGATAAGAAAGAGAAAAGACCCAGCGTCAAGAATGTCCCCAAAGACTTTTGTCTGAATTGGAAACATAGAGTTCCCATATTCTGAATCAGAAAATATTGAGAGGGGAGAAAGTTTTGGTGAAAAAAATCTAGAGTGTAATTTGGGACATATTAAGCCTTAGTATCTCAAACAGAGGTGTTGAATAGGTGTCTGGATCTGTGAATCTGGAGTTCAAAGGATGGTCTGGACTAAAAATGTAAATGCCCAGTTATATCCCCACAAATGATGTTTAAAATTCTGACACTGGAAGATATTACTTAAGGATGAGTGCTGATGAGATCTGAAGGGTAAATCCTATTGCACCAGAACTTTTAGTGTAATTGGGAACTAAGGTTATTATTAATAAATTGGATTATCAATAATTGTCTAGCAAAATCTTATAAGTAAGATGACTGAAAAATCACCCAGGTAAATGTCCCCTGGTAAGATAATTTGACCAAAAGACAAACAAAAAATGTTACCCATTATCTTTGGATTCACAGGGCTGGCAAAATCAGTTTACTGAAAATCCAAATTTGCTTATATATCCATGGGCTATAATAGCTACCTCCTGAGGCCAATTATAAGAATTAGAGATAGTCTAAAATTGTTACTATTTTATTTGAAGAGGAATATTGAAATTTGTTTTATGCTGCATAAAGAACTTGTTTGATATATATTTCATGAGCCCTGGTTGAGAGGGAACATTTCATATTGGAATATGTGAAAGCTTCTAATCAAACATTTATGTCAGCAAGAGTTTTCTTTTATGGAGGAAAGTTATTGTTATAAAAAAGTTTTAAAAAAGCATAATAATGCCCTGAAAATGATAATCCATTTTGGACAAGATACAGGGCAGGGAGAAGTCCTAATAATGAACAGATCTTGACAGCTGGATTGAAGTCAGAAGCTGGAGTCAGAGGCATGGCTGCTGACCTTGGTTTTCATGGACAGCCTCCGAACCTTCCATTTTCCTAGCCAACTCTGAACTCATTCTGTTACACCTTCTTTGTAACACAGCAGTTATGAGTGGATGCCTTTACATTTCTTCAGTATACTTTTATATTTGAATTGGAGAAAATAAGGAAGTTCAGTTTAAACAAATACAGTGTCTAGTATGGGCAATTTCTGAAGGGGAAAGAAAATGTTTAGAAGTGGGTTCATTTATACTGGTATTAATAAATTTGTTGTCAGCCTCTGTCTTATCCAGCTGTTCCAAACTGAGACTCTTGTCAGCTTTTGGCTGTGAACCCATTTTCTCCATGGAGTCTGAATTAGTTTTCACAGGGCCTGTGTATGTCTTTGTAGCCCTGATCAAAAGACCCCTCTCTATACCCTCTTTCGTCTTCGGCATGGCTCTTAGGAGACTGGAATAAATCTGGTTTTCTAGAAATGACCACTGGGCCCTTGATTTTGCCTTCATTATTTCTGTTTCATGCTTCCTGTCCTACCCTACCACAGTTTTCCCCCATCCCACTATGTTCTTTTCTGCACATAGACTTGGGATCTAGTATACAAGGACAGGACTCTGGGTTTCTGAGTAGCTCAAAACACCAAACATTTTCATCTGTTATCCTCATTCCACTCTTTTTTGTTTAGGCTCCTGGTTTGGATTTTGACTCAGGTTCTCTTCTCATTCAGTGTAAGTAGTGACTCTGTATGGTGTCCCTCCTCTCTAGACTTGGAGTCCTGACCCTAACCATATATCATTGGGCTGGATCAGTTTCCTTGAGATGGGGTCATCTTCCGGAGGGCCTTATCTTTTTTTTATATAGATCTCATGCAAATTAGCTGTTTCTTCCTTGACAACCAAGTATACAGGAATCTTCTGGTTGCTCTATGTATCTTTCTGGTTGGAGATTATGGTGCTACTAGTTCCAGAACCTCAGTTGTGAGTTGGGTCCCAAAACACCATGTCTCAACCACATGGGCATCATCTTCGTGACAATTTTGATGGAAATCTATTTATTAAATATTAAATGGACTCACTCCTTCCTCAATTTGGTACTGATTTTGCCCTCTCCTCTTTCTCCCCATCTCCCTCTGGCCCTATGTTCTTGAGGTTCTCTTATGTCTGAGACTGCCCAGGTAGATGATATTGTTGGACATGTTGCATCATGTTTATAATGTAACAGATTCTTCTATATAGCATACATTCAATAATGCTTACTGTGAATAAGCCATGCTGTTTAAATTCTATTTTGAATGGGACAATTTATTCAAAGGTTTGTTGTATTTGTTCTTCACGACACTAGGAACTTCACTGATCTAAGTTATAATTTGGGCCCAGTCAAAGATATCTTATCTAAGAGCAGAGACTGGGTTTGACAGAAGGAGGTAGATTTCCCTGTCTTTCAACACATACATACTTATGAAGTACTTACTGTATTCCAGGCTATGTCCTAAGGTCTAAAGACTCACTAATGGCAAGTTGTAGCTCCCATACAACTAATATCAGCAAAATTGATATCAGCACAGTACTTCGCATGTTGTAGGTTTTCAATCATCTGTTGGATAAATATTAGTATTCATTTTCATTTTTATTATCATAAAATTTGCTTTTTACTAACACAAAATTTTAACTTCTAGACTTAATTAAAACACAATTTTGAATCCCTGTCTGAACCTTAAGTTTAATTTCACTGAAGCCTTGTCAATTTCATGAGCCTTTCTGAAGTGAAAAACTTCTTTTTAGTATTGAATCTAGAACAATGATAGCTCTTACATGTATCCCACACATTGATCAACATATCTTCCCCTAAACTTTCTTCCAATCAGCAAAGGGCAATTTTTATCTCATTATTTTTTCTTCAGCTTAGATTAAAAACTAGTTTTTACTGATAAATTTAGTTTTACATAATCTCGCTTCTATTATTGGCTCTGATCACTTGAAAAAATTAAGGCTTGTTTAATGACAGCCTATCTGAATAACTAACTTTATAAAATCAAATTTGACCATTACATGATAATATTTTAAGACAAAAATAGAATTTCTTTACATGCTACTCCCGAAGTTATGTACTTCAAAAGTGCAGGCCCCCTTGTTATTCCTGCAAGTGAATAAAAAAGCTCTGAGAATGCTGTGCCTATGTTCTGTCATCCTCAGAGCCTTGAACATAATAATGATGCTACATTTGAGGATCTTTTATGCATTAAAAATACTTTCACATGTGCTTTTTATAGCACCCTGGTGAAATGAAAGCATGAATTTTTGAGTTAGCCAACCTTAGGCTTAAATCCTAACTGGCATCCTGCTGTCTGTGTGGTCTTGGTTAAGTTTCTTAACCTGTCTGAGCTCATTTCCTCAAATCAAAAATAGAGGTGATGCTACTTATTTAGGGAAGTTGAGGGGATTAAATTATATAATGTAGGTACTACTGGAACATCAAAAGTTTTCAATACATTCTGGTTTGATAATAACCTTGGAAGACTGAGAAGGAGTTGGAGTACTGACCAACATCAATAATTTACAAGGACTTTTCCTATGTCTAATAGATAAGTATTTCCTCCTTACACATCAGTACAAGAAATGTTGTTATTTTGGTTTAATTTTCTAAGTCAAATAAAATGTCTATGTGCCCCTACTCTCCAAGGAGGTAAGGAATTAAATCTCAATCAAGGGTTTTAGTGTCTTCTCACTCCTTATATTCCAAATTTGGGTACTTATGTCGATATAGAAAGATGTGGGAGGTGGAGTGGGCCTCCTTGTTCTTATAGCTCCTTTTGCTGGAAAATCTACCTTCCATTTTCCCCTCCATCGCTTACCAAGCACTGATGCTCTCTGCAAACTTAGAAGTGAATTCTCCAGAGATCCTGTCCAGGGACCACATGCTTGATGATCTGTTCTTGGTCTCCACGGTTATATCAGGAGGAATTACTCATCAAGGTATCTGCATTCATGGTATCTCTACAAACCACTAGACCCTGCCCTGCCTGGGAAAATTTCTTCTTCATTGGTTTCTTCTCTCAGCACCAGCCTTCACCCCTGTTTCCTTTAAGGGTCTTCTCCCCAAATTAAGTCTGTGGAGAAGTTAGCGCTTGTGTACAGTAGATTTCACTTTCTAATCTGAGATTCTCTGAGGCAGTGGAGCCCAGAAGCAGAGTACTAAGTCTTGGTTACTTTGGGGAAAAAGGGATGGTAGCAAGAACACTCATTATTTTGAACATCCAATAGCAGTAAAAATAATGTATAAGGTACATTAACACAATAGTAAGTCATCTGTTAAGGATTTTATTTATTTTTCCCATCACTCCTATGATATAAGTTCTTCAGGCACCACACTACCCTCACTAATGAAAGAGATTTATCCTGGTTTTCTGCTTCATGAAGATCTACCCCTTCCCAGACTACAGCACCACTTAGGTGTTAGAGAGAAGAGGTCCTTTAGCCACTGATGGTTCTGGCCAAAGTTCTTTGAGCAGATGTTCACTTATCCCTTGGTCTTGAAACATCCAACATGAACCACTTATCTGCCTTATCCCAGACTTTCTCAGGTCAGATCCCATCATGATTTGTATCTCTCTCCCTCCTCTGGTCACCATTAGAAACTCAGCTCCTCATGTCATGCATCACTAGTACTCTCACCACTGCACTGCTCCAACCCCCTTGCCATCTTTCTCCATTTTCTGACCCAGTCTTCTTTTCCTCATAGGCTTCCCAAACTCTTCCCATGTGCTTTCTGTCATTAGGAAAATACTCTTTATCCTCATCCTACATTTGTCTTTTCCTGTTCCCTTAATCTTATTTTTGTAGCAGAAACCAGGCTTTCCCTTGGTGCCATTTATTCCTTAGGTCCTTTTGAATGGATGATGTGTTTTCTTCCTAACGTTCTTATCTCAGGGCTTATAATTGGGGCAAATGTTTTACCTTTACAATTTGTCTGTTTATTCAACACCTTCTTTCTTCTTATCTCAGTCAATTATTTGACTTCATAAGAGACGTCTCACGCACTGTTCTAACACTTTTGAGTCCCTACCTCCTTGAAAGTTTATGCCATCAGACTTTGCTACTATTAGCCCTTTCTGTGTTACCTTGACATCTTATTAATCTTTATTATATTTCTTTATTTTTTGCAGACTTTACTATGTGGATAACTGTCTCCCTCTATATCTTCTTAACTATTTACCATTCTTTGTTATTTCAAAATCCAGGTGGAAGATTCAGCTAATACATTGCTGTGTTAGTCTGGGTCCTCCAAAAAGAAGCTTAAATAGGATTAAACATATGTAAAATTTATTAGGGGAATGAATGCTTTTGAGAGTAAAATTTGTGGAGGAACTCAAGAGAAATTTTGAGAGTCATCAGACTATACTGCAGGTTTTACCCCAAGGGAGGAAAGAGGGAGAGAAGAGAGGTTGGATAAAAGTAACTTAAATTGCAGTTCAGTTGTAAGGAAAGCTTTTCAAGGACAATGGGGAAGGCTTGAGGCAAAATTGCTTGTAAGAGGGGTCTTGTGTCTCCCAGGAATGGGCCTGCATTTTTATCCCTGCTGCACTCAGTCATTGGCTGTGAGAAACCTATGGGAAGTATGACTTTGTTGTGACGTGGTGATGGATTTTGGTACACAGTAGCTGGGGTCATCTGTTAATTATGATCCCCTTGGCTGGAGATTTGTGGGATATATTTTAATGGCTGTTATGCTTTCCTCTCAGTTCTTTGACCTCTTTACCTCCAGTGATTTTTTCTTCTACTCCTCCTTAGCTGCCAAGTCCCATGTTTATTTTTGTCATTAGACCTTGTTATTGTGAGAACTGTAACACCTCTAAAAATGATAAAAATGACTCATTCAATTCTACGACCTCATAGAAATATCTCATTCACTCTTCTTACACTAATTTCCCCCTTCTCTTCTTACTAATTATCCACAGTGCATCACTATAATCAATCTCTTGCAATATCCAACTCTCTTGCCTCAACTTTAGCTTATTTTCTGTTTTTATAATAGAATGCCAGAGACTGGATAAATTTTTTAAAATTATTTTTCACAGTTCTAGAGCCTGGAAAGTTCAAGAGCATGGTGCCAGCATCTGGCAAAGCCCTGCCTGGTGCGTTATCCCATGGCAGAAAGGCAAGCAAGCACATGAGTTGGAGAGAAAGACAATGAGCCAAATTCAACTTTTTATCAGAGCCCACTCCTACAATAAAGGCATTAAACCATTCACAAGGGCGGAGCCCTTCTGGCATAATCACCTCTCAACACTGTTATAATGGCAATTAAATTTCAATATGAGTTTTGAAGGAAAGTTCAAATTATAGCACCCCTTCTCCTCTGTTGTATGCATCTACCAAAATTCTAATTGTTCCTAAATCCAAATATTCTCTTATTGTCTAACAGAACCTGAACAGCTGTATGTTGTGAAAACTTCTGTTTTTCCTTTTCTTTTTTTATTTCTTTTTCTCTCTTTTTTCTATTTCTCCACAAAACTCCAATGATTCCTCGATATTGCTTGACTATTTTTGCTACACTTTACCCTCGTATGCTACAAAATGAATATTTTACATTTTCTCTTTTTCCTTCTTATAGCCTCTTTCTCACACTTTATTTTCAGCTGAAGATCTTGCCTCATACTTTAAGTAAGATCAATTAGATAAAAATTCCGTAAACTTCCCAATGCCCAATTTACCAGCCTTTCTACATCTTTACCTATACTTTTAGTCTTCCGTTTATTCATAGCCTATAACATAAGATTTATGAGAAAAATAATCTTGATTTTTTTGTTCGCTGATATATCTGCAAAGATGGTCCATAATCATCTTTACTCAGTAAATATTTTTTAGATAGATCGGTCCATTGAATAATGATTATTTTTTCTATTATACAGGAAGCTTATAGAAATACAATGACTTTTCCAAAATTTCCAGATGTTACTTAAATTTTTCAGATGAGAATACTCAGGACTGAAAGGACTATGAGAGAGAGAGAGAGAGAGAGAGAGAAAGTGATATAATATGGGCTAGTCAAATACTCTTTCCATGGTCACACAGGTTTTTGCTATAAAATATTGCATTTTGTTCTTTGAGCCAGTTTAACTTCTGAGATCACAAATAATCATATTCTTCCAACTTTTAATATTCTAAATAAGTTGGTTCTTAATATTTGGGGGTGATTAAACCTTTGAGAATCTGAATAAATCTATGGCCTCTTAATTCAGAAAAATACACATTCACATACAGAAAAAATTTACTTGCAAGTCAAAAGATTTGTGAATCTAATCAGGCCAATATGTGACTATCATCAGCACTGAAAGTGAGAATAAAATGAAAAGGGATGGTTTATACATTAATTCAGTTTGAACATAAGGATGGGGGCTTTGTCAAGGTTGGTTGGGATGGTCATGGTCCAGGTCTGAAGATAACAACCTGCTTAGGAAGGAGACTTGGAACTGGCGAGTAGACACATGGATGGTGGGCTGCTGTCAAGATAGATCAAAGTTACACTTAACTGGGTTGGACAGGAATTTGGGCAGGACTTCTCTAACCTGAAGTTACCTCAATTCTAAAATGAAGAAGTTGGATTATGTGATATGTTAAATTTCCATTATGCCCTAAGCATCTACATCTGCAGTTACTTTCATAGGTAATACAAGGCATATCACTTGATCAAGTGAAAATATTGCAAGGCACCATCAAGAAGAAAATGCAGATTAATGGCAGGCCTTAAGTTACATGGAAGGCCAAGTGTGTATTTGCTCAGATAAATGTTTGAATTAAATGCTTCTCTTCTATATTTAGCTGCTTGTCTTCAGCGAAGGGAGAATAGCATTTCCCAAAGCCTCCTATTGTAGCACTTATCACATTGTATTAAAGCTTTCTGTTTATGTATCAGTTGCTTCTTAGAATGTTAGCACTTCAAGGACAAAAACTGTGTTCCGTAGGGTCTAGCGCAATCTTGGTTTCCCCAGGATCTAACCCTGTCCTTGGGGTATGGTGAATGGTCTGTACGTGTTTGTTGAACCAAAGTAAAATGAACTGACACACACATAAACACACATGAACAAAAAGGAATCAACTTAAAAGCCATGCTTGTCAAATTTGAAAAGAAACAAAATCTAAAGAATGTCATCAGGCTTAAGTTGTCATCAACATATTATAATTCCAATCCAGGGCCCATGAGAATAATGGCACTGCCAGGCCCTGAGTCCTCAGCACCTATTTTAATGACAAGAGAAGAAAAAATGTTTGTTCTTAGGTTGTCATAGGAGCATAGTCTGCATTTAGACCGAGAAGTTGTACCATATGTCAAAACAATATTTGGTAACCAAAATAATTTGTGAGTAAAAAATGAACCAAGTGTGTTTCTATAAACTTTTCCATCACCATTGGAACCAACTTCTTGAAGATTTAGATAAAAATATGACATTTTCCATAAATTTACTCTTTGTTAATTATATAACTTTGTTCATAGATGAATAAGGAACAAAGCCGAAGAAGATAACAAGCAAAGAAAACATTATATTCCCATATGTCTCATGTTAAATATAGAATCACGGGGAGGTATGATACTTCAGGATATATTACCACAATAATTGCTATACACTGAGTATTATATTTTGCTGTGTTGTTTAAGCAGAAACTCAACATATCCCTTTAAAAAATTGAGCTTACAGTCTGAATAGCAAAATAATAAACTTCCAAAATGCAATTTTAGTAGGTCCAAATACCTACTAAAAGAGGTCTGTTTTCTTATTTGAAAATTCAATGACTAAAAAAATTTTAAAGTTATCCTTTGGTGTTTTGATTTACCACAAAAAAATTATTTACCTTGTCTGAGAGGCTATGTGTTTGGTTTTGGCAGATTGATTATTTTCAAGATAGTTTCCCAACAGACCCTGGCATAAGAGCTCAGTCTGAATGAGAGGAACAAGGAATGCGCTTTGCCACCAGATGGAAGCCTGTGGTAATCAGCGAAGTCAGGTTCCTGTCATCAGGTGCAAATCACCCAGATAATGAAAGTCCCTTTTGTACACTGTGCACTAGTTCCAGAAAGCATTAGTTAAAATTGGCTAAATTCTGCTCTGTATGTATTCTCTCAACCTCATTATGTTATTTTCTTGGTAGAAGATGAGGTGCTAGGATCAAAATGTTAGTCTAATGACATGTTTTCTATATTAATAATCCTTAGGTCATTGCCATATTCAGAGCTGTATTAGATAATAACATTTAAAAAGCCCATTTTCATTCTGAGCGGCTCAGTTTTAGTAACTGTTGAGTTTCACACCACCACCTCTTATCCCTATACCAGCTGCCTACAGGAAGCACAGAAACTTAATTATTGACAGACTAAATATTTGCATCTTGTGGAAACCAGAATATTCCATAATTTAAGAACTTAGCAAATATTTTCCCTAAAACCAGATTTTGTACTTTATTGTGGGTTGCATTTAAGAATAGCAGTATGAAATTTTCAAACTGCAGTTGGGAACCTTTATCCTTTCTGAGGTCTGAGCATGGATTGTTAGCTCTTTTTTTCTTTTTAAAATGTTTAATCTTTGCCCACTTTTGCCATTTCTTCTTTCATGTGCGTGAAATGTCAGCTTGCAAATTGGTGAGCTGCTACCTACTATTTTCCCTCAATATATGAGTAATTTCTATGCCATGTGGATGCATTTGTAAAAGGCCACTGATTAAGGTTATTCTGTGCACAAGGATCTTATTTAAGAGCATCCATGATCAGATTTTAATTTCTCTTGCTAATCTGCAGTTCTCCGCCAAAAAAAAAAAACAAAAAAAAAACTTGATTAACATCTCATTTGGTGTAAATGAATTGTTTTGTTTTGCAGGTACAAACTTCTCTAGGGAACTACAAAGTATCATATACACATCTTTTGAGAAATATAAAGTGCCATGAAAATAAAAAAACATTATTGTTCTTATTTTCTTATAGCTCATAGGTGACCCCCATTTTAAGAATTACCTTTGGGAATCCCTCCAAGTTAGGTGTCATGGAAGCAACTCTGCCAGGACAAGATTTTCAAATCTTATTTTTGTGTATGGAAACAAGGCTGTTGGAAATGGTTTCTATCCCTGTGAGTGATAGGGGCTGAAGTTCTTTCTCTGCTTTTCTGATGCTCAGTTCATTCAATAGCAGGGTTGTGAAAATGGCAGGGAATTAAGAAACAGATGACGGAGTTCAAGGCGCTGCTTTGCTACTTCTCTTCTGCATAAATTTGGGGAAATCATTGAGCCTGTTTGAGACTGTTTTCCTATATGTAAAATGAGAATAATATGCTTGCTTGACCTGGCTATTAAAATTAAAAGTAATCAAGGATTTTAAAGTGCTACACAAAGTTGGTTATTACTAAGACTGACTTATTGGTGTGTTGTTTTTCATCAGAGAACCACACACCCAAACTGCACTGTTTTAATTTTACTAAACTGCATTTTGGTATCTATTAACCAAACTTGAGGGACATGATAAGAAAATTAAAACACTTTTCTATTCACCTTAGTGTAGAAAAGTAATTGGGGAAAGTTTTTATGCCTCCTACAGTATCCTTTCTAATGAATACCTAGAGACATGACACATTTTTCTCAGAATATCTGGATTACTTTTAAACAACAGCTTTCTGTGTTTATTTTTAAAGTCATATATAACTTATTGTGTTTTCCTCTTTATACTGGCTTCTAGGCAGTTCTGAGTTAAATCCATGGTTTATATCTAGCTAAATATATATGACTTTATAATATTTATTTTACCTCACCAATGTCTTCAACTTGTTGTTTTTGGCTATATTTTCCTTTTGTTCATGATTTCTTCACTTTTCCCTTTTCATGTGCTACATGTGTTTTAAAAACCTCATAATTTTTGGAATGAGGTGATACTATATCTAAATAGAAAATAATTGTTTTCTATAAGATATCTGAGGTAGATAATAATTGCTACCATATTTTGAAGTCGTACTACATGTTAGGCCCTGTGATAAGCACTATCTATTATCTCTTTTATTTTTTGCCCAAAAGGTATCATTTCCTGTGTTTTACAAATGATGATACTAAGGCTTAGAAACAAGTAAATTGACTCATCTAGTGGCTTTCCTCTAGTAAATGGAGGAAATTGATTTCCAATGTAGATTTATCTGATTCTAAAATTCATGTTGATTAGTCGTTGCATTATACTGCCTTTTATTACTAAGTAAAATAATGCAACAAATGACTATCATTATTATCGTTGCTGTAGAATTATTATCAAAGGTTTTTGATGTAGTTGAATATTTAATTTTGACCAAGAGCATACATAATTAAAAAAATACATGTTCTAAAACTCTATTATTCATATTTTTGCTTGACAATTTGATAGTGCGAGTGTTTTGCCACATCTTGCCTTTACTGCCAAGAATGATTTCAAGGCCTATCTCCATATGTAACTTGGTGTACAACCCAGGAGAAATGTATGCCTCTTACTGACATATGGGGAAACACATCCAACAATCCTTTTTTAGAATGTAGCAAAAGCTTCCTGGCACTTTCGAACAATCTTCTGCCATGCTTTGTTCCTTCAAATTGTACTTCAAGTGCATTTGTTACTCTCTTTCTCTTCGTGATCTTCAAGTTTATTATCCATTGCCATATCTTTCTGTTTAGTTGTTTAAATAGGAAGGTTCTGTTTAGTTTCTCTCTTTTGGTACATGATAACTGCCCCTAAGAGGCCCCTTTTGTTTCTAATTTTATATCCGTGATTTTAAAGAAAGATTGAGAAAGTGTAGGCCACACAGAATTGACAAAAAAAAGTAAACAGTAAGATCCTGGCTTGGGTAGTGGGAGGATGATATTTGCTATCACATGAGGAAGGCATTATGGAGTTAATAACTTCTGAATTGGGTTTATATTGAAAGGAGGGGGTGTCTTGAGGGTGGGGTGCTTAGAACCATAGAAGGGTTTTTTTCTTCCTACCAAAGCCTTATAAAAATCTTCCATACAGCAAGTTCTTTTCCTAAAAGAGAAGCAATGTTCAGAAAGCCTGAAACATGTGGCCCAGTTAGAGAAGTCACTTCCAGGAAAATTCGTAACTAAGGCAGTTATTTTTCAGAGAATTAAAAGAGACAAGATCTCCATCACTTCAGCTTTTGAACATATCTGTGAAGGAACTAATGGGAGCAGGAACAGCTGGAGCCATAAGTAATTCATAAAAACTCAACGTGGGGTGATCATGTTGAGCATTATATTCAGAAAGAATGGAATGCCTTAGCAATTGTGCTATCATTCCAATGCAGACTCACATGGGAGAAGGATCAGGATTGCACACAAAGGATGATCTGCCAAGGCTACTATGTCAGGCTGTGAAAGAGAAAAAGGATAAGAGGAGAACGAATAGTGAAAATTTTTTTCTTAGCCAAACTTTTGGAAATGTTTCAACAAGTCCTTATTGAAGTATAATTAGAAGTGTATTTCTCAACCTTGTCTTTTATTTTTTACAATTTTTTTTTGTGAGGGAACCATTTTATCCATTATGTGATATAGGCACAATTCCTAGGGCTGTAAACTTTTGGAAGGTCTACAAATATATGTGCAACCTGAAAAATGACTTAATAACTCTATAATATGAAAACTGCAAAATCAAAAGGAATTAATACTTAATGAAATATCCACAAAGCATAACGTTATTTTACTTGTTTCACTGCAACTTAACTGCTATATCTTAGGATAGATAATAAATAGCAAGGAAAATGTAAAATATTTATTCTCAAATAAGCAAAATTATAAAAATTATCTCTAAAAATGTTACAATAAAAATATTCTTAATGCATGATGTAAGCATTGCAAAATATGCTTGATATGATATGCAGTGAGACTTTTAAAATTAAGAGAGCCTCTTGTCTAGGATGGTGGTCATTAAACAACTCATAATGGGTTTATGTACAACTATGTTTGTTTCAGTTTTCTATTGGTACGTAACAAATTACCACAAGCTTAGCAGATTAAGACAGCACATTATTACCTCATGCTTTCCCTGTGTTAGGACTTAGGGCATAGGTTAGCTGAGTCTTTCATTCAGGGTCTAACTGGCATGAAATTGAGGTGTCAGCCGAGGCTGTGGTCTCACCTAAAGACTTGACTGAGTTGGCTAAGGTGGAGACATCATGGGAGTGATATCTCATCCTCTTTGTCATATATGTAATCTAGTCAAGGGAATGACATTCCATCACTCTTACTATATTCTATAGACAAGAAATCACAGGTTCTGCCTAGACCAAAACAGGGGATTATGTAAATTGGGAAGGGGATCACACATCCTTAAGAAATGTATTGGAGGTTATTTTAGGATATGTCTGCCAAAATGTTTAAAGTTATGTTTTTTAAGGTTTTGTTCTCTAGTATGGGCTCAGTTATTGTCAAATATTTCTTTAGTTGTCTTTATAAAGTTCTGAGATAAAGAACCCTTTCATCTATGTTATAGATATTTAGAACCAGTTCGGCACATAGTAGGTACAGAATTAATGAACTGCAGAAAAGATTCTTTTGACTAGAGAAGATATATAAAAGAGAGAGTTCGGAGAAAGATTTGTTCCAATCTGATTGTGTCTTACATTCCCCAAGCACTCATGCTTCAAGTATTCCAAGAACATTCTTGGTAAACTTAATTCGGAGCTTCCGAGGTCATAGAGCAGGTTAAAGTCTTTATACTAGCAGAGTCTAGAAGGCTAAGAAAAAGGCATCAGTTAGGACTGAAAGTATTACTGGTTATAAGTGCATTCTGACACCCTTGCTGATCACCAACATATATCTCCCCCTAAGGATGTTCTTCTTTATCCCTGTTTCTCTCGTTTCCTCAGCTCTCCATCTCTCATGCTTTTTGTCTTTCTTGCTCATAACCTCTCTCCACAGTCTGGCTTTTCCTTCATTTTATCATTTTAACTCTTCTAATATTTGTCTCTCGTAGTCTATTATTCCATCTCTCAGGATTATTACTTTCATCAATATTGAGAGGGAGTGTGTGTGTGGCTCTGTGTGTGCATGTCTGTGTACATGTATGCTTATGTCAGTGTATAAACGTGGTGTGTTACAATCAGATGGCTTTACATTTATGTGGTGGGGTACATAGGCCTTCTTTCACACTGAGATGGAGGAGTCAGGGTCACCCGAGTCATGGCCGGAGTAAGTGATGCCTGCGATATGCATGCCCTAGAAAGAGCCTGGGAACTCAGTGGAGCAAGAGGCTTTATTGGAGAGGCCTTCCTTGTAGTTAAGATTTCACAGATGGAATGGACTTCCTAAGAAAGAAGTGAATCTCAATAAGTCTGCGAAACAGAGGACAGGTTTTTGGTTTTTGTTTGTTTTAGTTTTATTTGGTGAGATTCTCTGACTCTTGGCGCAGTGTTTTTAGGGCAGGACTACATATGTAACAGCAGTAGCAAATTTTAAAGATCCAGGTGAGAACAATTAGAAGGAAGAGCCTGTGGATGATATTGTTAGTTTTAAATCTATCACTCTGGGAGCCAAGTCATGAAGAATCCTATACGATGGGTACCTCTACTGGCTGACACTATAAAACATTAACGTGGCTGTATAAGTTCATGGCTCCTAGTTTAAATTCCCACTCTGAAGAAAGAAGCTATGTATATTTAGAAAACAGTCGCTTCTCTGTAGGAGTGCTTTATACCACAACCATCTGAAGAGCTTTCAAATTCAGTATATTTTGGTATCAGAACAAATAAAACCACATCTTCAACAAGTGAAAATTTCCAGTCTTCTCCATTTTTATTTTCTTGTCGACCAGTGATTGCAGATGCTTAAGCTAGCCTCCTCAGCTGAAAATTGATGGATTCAGAACTAGCCACATGGTGTGCTCATATGATTTTTGCCATCTGTCTTTAAATACAACACTCCAGCATGTGTCTGTAAGTAACATAACAAGAAAATTTCCACGTGGAATTACTAATCAAGCTTGAAGTCCACATTTCCAAACAGAGAGATTACGGAAAGATAAAGAACTAACAAGGGAAAAAGGTAATTTGTGTAAGGAAATAGTATAAAAGAAGAAAAGAAAAATGAAAGTAGGTAGATAATTAATTAAACAGCAGGAAGGAGATGGACAATTTCCAGAAACAGTATTTTCCTCCCACTTGAAAGCTGGGGAGCTTAATTTTTCTCTTTTTCTGATAATTCGTGAGAGATCCTCTTCAGAGCTAATACATTTTATTGGTTCATTTAAAAAACATTCATTATATTGGAACAACTTAAGTCTGAAGATAGTTGTTTTAACCCTTCTATTAACACTGCATAATCTTAGAAACTATATAAATTAGACTATATTTTAAATGAATCTTCACAAATATATTGTGATTTCTCTATTTTTGTAGCTAAATTCAAAGTGAATAAGCAGACCTTTAAAATGCATTAAAATTATCTTCATTCATATATACTTACCTTTTTAAATAAAATAAACAAAAGACTCATATTTTTTAATAAACTGATATAATCATATTCAAACTTAAGGAGACCTGGCCTGATATGAGAAAAGAAGTTATATCCTGGAATATCATAAAAAGAGCAGGATTCAGAATTAAGCCTCACTTCTACTTGTAAGAAGATTTCTAATCAAAAGCTTCTTCTTAGAGAGTATTATATTGTGCCATCAAACTTCAGTCTCTTCCTAACATGTCCTTGATACAGAACTTCCATTAAGGAAGCCTATATCCGGAATCTCCATTTAAGAGCATAGATTTGTGCAGACTAACTCTCAAACTAAGTGGGATTTTGGAAACTCCCCAAGGCTGTTTCAGTTCTTAAGGGAACATTAAAATTAAGCAATATGCAAGCCAGATAATTCTTTTTAAAAGCAGAAAGTGCTTCCTTTATACCAATACTTTATTTTTTCAAGAAGCATTAGAGATCATAAAGAGTGAATCTATATGCTGCCTAGCAGAATTTGGTAGAGAACAAGGATATTTTCTTATTTGAATTGTGTTCATCTTTTGAAACATTTTATCCATAACTAGAGAGTAAATGCAGATGCTTAGCTTGACTCAGAAGTTTTGGATGGAATAAGGGAATATGTAAAATGCTTTACCTATTGTTGAAAGGAATAAAAAACCACCACATAAAGTCATTGAAGTTTGACATGGAAGATGAATCCAGGGTCACAGTGTTCACCTCTAAATTGGAAGACTGATGATTTATCGAGACTGGATGTCAACTTTCAATGGCTAGGTGTCACTGAAGAAAAGTACCCGTAGCTCTAGAACACAGATAAGGTAAAAAAAAATAAAAATCTAATGGGAAAGTACATAGCACCAACAATGAGTTATAAAAATAACATAGGAGCAAATGTTAACTCATGATGAGTTTCTTCAGCAAGGTAAATTGACTTTTTTAAAAAAATGAATTAACTTTATAATATAAAATTAGTCTTCGTAATGTGATAATTTGGGACACTTTAGAATAATAATGGGGAAATATCTCAAATCATCATAGAGTAAACAATTAATTGAAATAAACTAGATAAACCCTCTTATTGGGCATTTTCAAAATTTAAAATTTTGAAATTTGTTATAATTTTTATGTTTGCTAAGAAAATAGTTAAGTCCAGTTTTCTACTGTTTCTTAGAGTGTTTCTATTCTATGCCACAAAGGTGAAGAGATAGTCTGGCTCCATTTACAACTGCTGTGACTGAGAATATGTTTTTCTATTCATCAATTCAATAGGGAAAAGGAGGAAAAATACTTCTGAGTACTTGAAGGGAGTTATTACATTGCTTAAATGAAGCAGTAAAATGAAAGGGAAATAAAAATCGGGGGTAAGATTAAATTAGCTGTGTATTGAAAGTAGTTTATACTCTCTGATTCTTTTTATTTTTGTAAAATAAGGATAATAATTCCTAATTGGACAGATTGTTGTGATGAGTAGAGTGCTTACCAAAGTCATCATGCAAAGTGTGGTATTGATTTTTTTATTATTGAGTTTCATATACCTGGAACTCACTGGAGATAATTGAAGATGTTTCTCTTGGATACTTTGAAATTACAGAAAAAGAAAATCCACAGTTAGAACTTATTCTCCATAAAAACAAACATTAACTTGACAATAGAAAAGAGCTTATATGGTTAAATTTTACAATGAACAATAAAGTTTGGGGCATTTTATTCTATGGTCATCCTGTTATTTGGGACATTCTATCATCTGGTTCACATTGTCTGCTGAACTTGGTTGGGCAACTTAGTTGAGCCTCATTCTAGTAGAGAAGCAGATTATGAAATTAATTTTCAACTTAATAGAGCAACTTTGTGGATGAAGTTAATTGAATTATTTTATCCTGGCACATTTTGGAAGCTTCTGATATAATGTCAGAGAACTGTAAATAAAGCCTTTGAAGATGACACTTTCCATTTTATTTGCTCAGGTGGAAGTATAAGAGCAATAGTAACAATGAAAGGGGGGTCCTAAATAAGGCTTGCCATTAAATGGTAAGATTGAGGATTTGGGTGTGAATTTAGGTGTGAAGCGATGAAGGAGGCTGTTTAGCCTGATTTAGTTTCCAGAAGTGGATCTGCCTCTAGATATAGCAAAAGTAGTTTCCTCTGCATCCAGTTAGTAGATTAGGGGACTAAATTAGTTTGAAATCAAAGCCCCAGATGAAAAGTAAAGCATTTATCTCCTTTTCCTTGTATTTTGTGCATAAATATTATCACTGAGAGATGTTTCATGGAGAGATGTCTGGTTAGAGACAGAATGTGGATTTGGGATTCCTACATTTGTCTACATATTTATGTAGATACACTATATATCTGTAAAATAAGCTTATAAAGCCTACTGAAATTTTCTTACATTATTGAGTGAGTCTTGTATGTGGAAGAGGTTTTGAAAAAAATTGATTGTTCAATACAAGCCTAAGGTCACTGGTGAGAACTCTTATGAAAATTGTTCAAAGAAGAAAAGATTGAAAGAAGCCTTCTTTCCCACTCCCACTAGGCTTTGTTTACCCTTCTCTGCTTTACTTTCAAAATCAGAAGAATAGTAAACAACTTTACATGAAATGCTTTTCTCTTTTTAGAGCTTTGTTTTTATCATGACTTCACTGGCAATAATTCAACTGATGAATTGAAAGACAATTGTGTAATAGATAAGAGCAGGGATTCTAGAGCCAGGCTCTGGGTTTGGGCCTTGTCACTGCCACTTACTCTAACTTTTGACAAATTATGTGGCATCTCTGCTCCACAGTTTGGTTTTTGTTCTATATCAAATGGGACTAATTGCATAGAGTTGCTGTGAGGATTAACTAAATTATTTCCGAGAATAGTACCTGGTACTTCCTAAATTCTCATAAATTGTCAGTTATTTTTCTCATTATAATTCTTATTACTATGAAGGTAGCCATGTATTTTTCTAAGAAACTTATGACAGCCCCAAGCTGATCAACTGATTTTGAAATTGTAGGTAGAATGTCAAAGAAATTTTGAAATTAATTGCTTAATATTTGGGATACCATTCCTTCTCTTCACAGTTACGGTATTCTGACTCAGAATAAATGAAGACTTTTCTTCACACTATTATTATATTTGAAGATGAGTTCAGCTTTGGTGGGAGGTACAAGACAAAGGTTATGTTAGAATTTGTTCTATGTGACAAACTGAAATCAAATTATTCAGAGTAGCCTGTCATAGCAGGAGACTGCAATAGCTAATGTGGTATTGAATGTTGATCATGACTAAGTAGTATATGACTTCATGATACTCTTGCTCATCCTGGTGCCTAAATTTGTTGTGTAGTAAATATAAATTCATCTCTGTAGCTAGTAACTGAAGCCATTAACCATGTATCCTTTGGGCTGGAAAAGTTAGAGCTTTAGGTTCCTTATTGATATTGTGTCTAGAAAAGACAAAGATTTAAAACTAAACAAATCAGCTGCACTTGTTTATTATTTTTATTTTTGTATGTACATGATAGGTGTATATATTTATGGAGTACACAAGATGTTTTGATACAGGAGTACAGTGCATAATAATCACATGGTGATGAGTATCCATCGCCTCAAGCATTTATCCTTTGTGTTACAAACAATCCACTTATAGTTTTAGTTATTTAAAAGTGTACAATTAAATTATTACTGCCTATGGTCACCCTGTTGTGCTATCAAATACTAGGCCTTATTCATTATTTCTATTGTTTTTTGTACCCAATAACTATCCTCACCTCCTTCCCACTCCCCAACTACCCTTCCCAACCTCTGGTAACCATCCTTCTATTCTCTATATATCTTTATGAGTTCAATTGTTTTCATTTTTATCTCCAGAAAATAAGTGAGAATATGAGATGTGTATGTTTCTGTGCCTGGATTATTTCACTTAACATAATGATCACCAGTTTCATCCATGTTGTTGCAAATGAAGAATTTCATTCTTTTTCATGGCTGAATAGTACTCCAATGTGTATAAATACCACATTTTCTTTATCTGTTCATCTGTCGATGGGCACTTAGGTTGCTTCCAAATCTGGGCTATGGTTAACAGAGCTGCAACAAACATGGAAGTGCAGATATCTCTTTGACATAGTGATTTCCTTTCTTTTGGGTATATACCCAGCAGTGGGATTGCTAGATCATATGTTAGCTCTACTTTTAGTTTTTTGAGGACCCTCCAAACTGTTCTCCATAGTGGTTGTACTAACTTATATTCCCACCAACAGCATACAAGCGTTCCTTTTTCTCTGCATCCTCACCAGCATTTGTTATTGTCTGTCTTTTGGATACAAGCTATTTTAACTGGGGTGAGATGATATCTCATTATAGTTTTGATTTTCATTCCTCTGATAATCAATGATGTTGAGCCCCTTTTCATATGCCTATTTGCCATTTGTATATGTTTTCTTTTTTGAGAAATGTCTATTTAAATCTTTTGCATGTTTTTTCATTGGATTATTCGAGTTTTTCCTATAGAGTTGTTTGAGGACCTTATATATTCTGGTTAATAATCTCTTGCCAGATGGCTAATTTGCAAACATTTTCTCCCATTCTTTTGGTTGTGTCTTCACCTTTTTCATTGTGCAGAAGCTTTTTAATTGGTTGTGATCCCATTTGTCCATTTTTGCTTTGGTTGCCCGTGCTTGTGGAGTATTACTCAAAAAATGTTGGCCCAGACTAAAGTCCTGGAGAGTTTCCCCAATGTTTTTTTGTAATGGTTTCATAGCTTGAGAGATTTAAATTTTTAATCCATTTTGATTTGATTTTTGTATATGGTGAGAGATAGGAGTCTAGTTTCATTCTTCTGCATATGTATATTCTGTTTTCCAAGGACAATTAATTGAAGAGACTGTCTTTTCCCTAGTGTATATTCTTCACACCTTTGTTGAAATGAGTTCAGTGTAGATAGGTGGATTTGTTTCTAAGTTGTCTATTCTTTTTTTTTCTTTTATTATTATACTTTAAGTTTTAGGGTACATGTGCAAAATCTGCAGGTTAGATACGTATGTATACATGTGCCATGCTGGTGTGCTGCACCCATTAACTCGTCATTTAGCATTAGGTATATCTCCTAAAGCTATCCCTCCCCCCTCCCCCCACCCCACAACAGTCCCCAGAGTGTGATGTTCCCCTTCCTGTGTCCATGTGTTCTCATTGTTCAATTCCCACCAATGAGTGAGAATATACAGTGTTTGGTTTTTTGTTCTTGCGATAGTTTACTGAGAATAATGATTTCCAATTTCATCCATGTCCCTACAAAGGACATGAACTCATCCTTTTTTATGGCTGCATAGTATTCCATGGTTTATATGTGCCACATTTTCTTAATCCAGTCTATCATTGTTGGACATTTGGGTTGGTTCCAAGTCTTTGCTATTGTGAATAGTGCCACAATAAACATACGTGTGCATGGGTCTTTATAGCAGCATGATTTATAGTCCTTTGGGTATATACCCAGTAACGGGATGGCTGGGTCAAATGGTATTTCTAGTTCTAGATCCCTGAGGAATCGCCACACTGACTTCCACAAGGGTTGAACTAGTTTACAGTCCCACCAACAGTGTAAAAGTGTTCCTATTTCTCCACATCCTCTCCAGCACCTGTTGTTTCCTGACTTTTTAATGATTGCCATTCTAACTGGTGTGAGATGGTACCTCATTGTGGTTTTGATTTGCATTTCTCTGATAGCCAGTGATGGTGAGCATTTTTTCATGTGTTTTTTGACTGCATAAATGTCTTCTTTTGAGAAGTGTCTGTTCATGTCCTTCGCCCACTTTTTGATGGGGTTGTTAGTTTTTTTCTTGTAAATTTGTTTGAGTTCATTGTAGCCCTTTGTCAGATGAGTAGGTTGCGAAAATTTTCTCCTATTTGGTAGGTTGCCTGTTCGCTCTGATGGTAGTTTCTTTTGCTGTGCAGAAGCTCTTTAGTTTAATTAGATCTCATTTGTCAATTTTGGCTTTTGTTGCCATTGCTTTCGGTGTTTTAGACATGAAATCCTTGCCCATGCCTATGTCCTGAATGGTAATGCCTAGGTTTTCTTCTAGGCTTTTTATGGTTTTAGGTCTAACATTTAAGTCTTTAATCCATCTTGAATTAATTTTTGTATAAGGTGTAAGGAAGGGATCCAGTTTCAGCTTTCTACATATGGCTAGCCAGTGTTCCCAGAACCATTTATTAAATAGGGAATCCTTTCCCCATTGCTTGTTTTTCTCAGGTTTGTCAAAGATCAGATAGTTGTAGATATGCGGCGTTATTTCTGAGGGCTCTGTTCCATTCCATTGATCTATATCTCTGTTTTGGTACCAGTACCATGCTGTTTTGGTTACTGTAGCCTTGTAGTATAGTTTGAAGTCAGGTAGCATGATGCCTCCAGCTTTGTTCTTTTGGCTTAAGATTGACTTGGCAATGCAGGCTCTTTTTTGGTTCCATATGAACTTTAAAGTAGTTATTTGCAATTCTGTGAAGAAAGTCATTGGTAGCTTGATGGGGATGGCATTGAATCTGTAAATTACCTTGGGCAGTATGGCCATTTTCACGATATTGATTCTTCCTACCCTTCAGCATGGAATGTTCTTCCATTTGTTTGTATCCTCTTTTATTTCATTGAGCAGTGGTTTGTAGTTCTCCTTGAAGAGGTCATTCACGTCCCTTGTAAGTTGGATTCCTAAGTATTTTATTTTCTTTGAAGCAATTGTGAATGGGAGTTCACTCATGATTTGGCTCTGTTTGTCTGTTATTGGTGTATAAGAATGCTTGTGATTTTTGTACATTGATTTTGTATCCTGAGACTTTGCTGAAGTTGCTTATCAGCTTAAGGAGATTTTGGGCTGAGACAATGGGGTTTTCTAGGTATACAATCATGTCATCTGCAAACAGGGACAATTTGACTTCCTCTTTTCCTAATTGAATACCCTTTATTTCCTTCTCCTGCCTAATTGACCTGGGTTTTTTGAAAGGATCAACAAAATTGATTGAACGCTAGCAAGACTAATAAAGAAGAAAAGAGAGAAGAATCAAATAGATGCAATAAAAAATGATAAAGGGTATATCACCACCAATCCCACAGAAATACAAACTACCATCAGAGAATACTACAAACACCTCTACGCAAATAAACTAGAAAATCTAGAAAAAATGGATAAATTCCTCAACGCGTACACCCTCCTAAGACTAAACCAGGAAGAAGTTGAATCTCTGAATAGACCAATAACAGGCTCTGAAATTGTGGCAATAATCAATAGCTTACCAACCAAAAAGAGTCCAGGACCAGATGGAATCACAGCCGAATTCTACCAGAGGTACAAGGAGGAACTGGTACCATTCCTTCTGAAACTATTCCAATCAATAGAAAAAGAAGGAATCCTCCCCAACTCATTTTATGAGGCCAGCATCATCCTGATACCAAAGCCTGGCAGAGACACAACCAAAAAAGAGAATTTTAGACCAATATCCTTGATAAACATTGATGCAAAAATCCTCAATAAAATACTGGCAAACCGAATCCAGCAGCACATCAAAAAACTTATCCACCATGATCAAGTGGGCTTCATCCCTGGGATGCAAGGCTGGTTCGATATACGCAAATCAATAAATGTAATCCAGCATATAAACAGACCCAAAGACAAAAACAACATGATTATCTCAATAGATGCAGAAAAGGCCTTTGACAAAATTCAACAACACTTCATGCTAGAAACTCTCAATAAATTAGGTATTGATGGGAAGTATCTCAAAATAATAAGAGCTATCTATGACAAACCCACAGCCAATATCATACTGAACGGGCAAAAACTGGAAGCATTCCCTTTGAAAACTGGCACAAGACAGGGATGCCCTGTCTCACCACTCCTATTCAACGTAGTGTTGGAAGCTATGTTGTCTATTCTTTTCCATTGGTCTATGTTTCTTTTTTTATGTTGTTACAATGCTATTTTGGTTACTATAGCTCTGTAGTGTAATTTGAAGTTAGGTAATGTGTTTCCTCCAGTTTTATGTTTTTTGTTAAAAATAGCTTTGGCTATTCTGGGCCTTTTGAGTTTCCATATAAATTTTGGGATTGTTTATCTATTTCTGTAAATAATGTCATTGATATTTTGATAGTGATTTTATTAAATCTGTAGATTGCCGTAGATGTCATTGAGTCTGTAGATTGGTATATAGGGATTTCCTTGAATGTGAAGCATGGACATTTAACACTATTGATTCATCCAATCCATGAACATGAAATTTCTTTCCATTTTTTTTTTGGTATCCTCTTCAATTTCTTTCATCAGTGTTTTATAGTTTTCATTATAGACACTTTTCACTTTTTTGGTTAATTCTTAGATATTTACTTTTATTTGTGGCTACTGTAAATGGGATTACTTTTTAAAATTTCTTTTCAGATTGTTCTCTATTGGTATATAGAAATGCTACTGATTTTTGTATGTTGATTTTCTATCCTGCAAATTTACTGAATTTGCTTAACTGTTCTAATAGTTTTCTAGGAGATTCTTTAGGTTTTTCCAAATATAAAATTATATCATCAGCAAACAAGGATAATTTGACTTCTTTCTTTCTAATTTGCATTCCCTTTATTTCTTTCTCTTATCTGATTGCTCTAACCAAGACTTCCAGAACTCTGTTGAGTAAAAGTGGTCAAAGTGGGAAAACTTGTCGTGCTCCATCCAGATCTTACAGGAAAGGCTTTCATTTTTTTCCTAATTTAGCATTATACTAGCTGTGGGTCTGTCATATATGGCTTTTATTATGCTGAGGCATGTTCCTTCAATGCCTAGTTTTTTCAGGATTTTTATCATGAAGGGATGTTGAATCTTATCAAGTGCTTTTTCAGCATCATTTGAAATGACCATAATGTTTTTGTCCTTCATTCTGTTGATATGATGTATCACATTAATTATTTTGGACATGTTAAATGATTCTTGCATCCCAGGGATAAATCCCAGTTCGTCATGATGAATAATTTTTTAATATAGTGTTGAATTTGAATTTTTAGTGTTAAGGATTTTTGCATCAATGTTCTTCAGAGATATTGCCTGTAGTTTTCTTTTTTTGATGTGTCTTTGTCTGGATTTGGTACCAGAGTAATACTGGCCTTATAGAATGCATTTGGAAGTATTCCCATCTCCTCTATTTTTTGGAATACTTTGAGTAGGATTGGTATTAGTTCTTCCTTAAATGTTTGGTATAATAAGGCACTGAGGCCATTGGGTCCTGGGCTTTTCTTTACTGGGAGACATTTCATTATGACTTCAGCCTTGTTACTTGTTATTGGTCTGTTCAGGTTTTGGACTTCTTCATGGTTCAATTAGCCAGTTCTGTGTGTCTAGGCATTTGTCCATTCTTCTAGATTATTCAGTTTATTGGCATATAGTTGCTCATAGTAGCCATTACTAATCTTTTTAGTTTCTGTAGTATCAATTTTAATGTCTCCTTTTTCACTTCTGATTTTATTTATTTGTGGCCTCTTTCATTTTTTTCTCAGTCTGGCTAAAAGTTCGTGATTTTTTTTTTTTATCTTTTCAAAAACCAACTTTTTCATTCATTGATATTTTGTATTTTTTAATTTCAATTTTATTTTTTTCTGCTCTTATTTTTTTGTTTCTTTTCTTCTGCTAATTTTGGGTCTTGTTTGTGTTTTTCTAGTTCTTTAAAATGTGTCATTAGGTTGTTTACTTGAAGTTTTTCTTCTTTTTGGATGTGGACACCTATAGCTGCAAACTTCCCTCTTAGTACTGCTTTTGCTGTATCCCATAGGTTTTGATATGTTTTATTTCCATTATCATTTTTTAAGACATTTTTCAATTTCCCTCTTAATTTCTTCATTGATCCATGGTCATTCAAGACCATATTTTTAAATTTCTGTGTGTTTGTGTAGTTTCAAAAAATCTTCTTGTTATTGATTTCTAGTTTTATCACCTTGTGGTCAGAGAAGTCCCTTAATATTATTTCATTTTTTGGAATGTTTTAAGACTTATTTTGTAATCTACCATGTGGTCCATCCTTGAGTATGGTCCACATGCTGAGGAAAAGAATGTGTATTCTGTAGCCATTGGATGAAATGTTCTGTAAATATCTATTAGGTCCATTTGGTCTATGGTGCAGATTAAGTCCAGTGTTTCTTTGCTGATTTTCTGTCTGGAAGATCTGTCCAATGATGAATGCAGGGTATTTAAGTCCCGTCTATCTCTCTCTTTAGTTCTAAAGTTTGCTTTATATATCTGGGTGTGCCAGTGTTGGGTACATATACATTTAAAATTGTTATGTCCTCTTACTGGATTGATCTCTTCATAATCATATGCTTACCTTTTCTCTTCTTACACTTGTTGCCTTGAAATCCATTTTTTCTGATATAAGTGTAGATACTACCACTGTTTTTTGGTTTCTATTTGCAGAGCATATGTTTGCTTATCCCTTTATTTTCAATCTATGTGTGTCTTTATAGGTAAACTGTGTTTCTCGTAAGGAATAGATCATTAGATCTTCTTTACTAGTCCATTCTCTTCTTCTTTTTTTTTTTTTTAGATGGAGTTTCGCTCTCATTGCCCAGGCTGGAGTGCAGTGGCACCATCTCGGCTCATTGCAACCTCTGCCTCCCGGGTTCAAGTCCATTCTAAGCTGCACTTTTGATTGCTAGATTGAAATCTTACCTTAGGAGAGAATCCTCCCGTACTTCATTTTATTTAACTTAAAAATTTTTTTTTGACTTTTAAGTTCAGGGGTACAAGTGCAGCTTTGTTACATAGGTAAATGTGTGTCAAGGGGGTATGTTGTACAGATTATTTCATCAAGTAGGTATTAAGCATAGTATCCATTAGTTATTTTTCCTGATCCTCTCCCTCCTCCCACCCTACACCCTCTGAAAGACCCCTGTATGTGTTATTCCCCTCCATGTGTCCATGTGTTCTCATCATTTAGCTCTCACTTATAAGTGAGCACATATGGTATTTGGTTTTCCATTCTTGTGTTAGTTTGCTAAGGATAATGACCTCCAGTTCCATCCATGTCCCTGCAAAAGACATGATCTTATTCTTTTTTATGGCTGCATAATATCCCATGGTGTATATGTACCATATTTTCTTTATCCAGTTTATCATTGATGGGCATTTAGGTTTATTCCATGTCTTTGCACACTTCTCTTTTTGTCCTCTCTGCTTTCTTTCCTCTGATGACTTCATATATCTCACAAATTATACACATAATTTAAAGACAATAATTACACAATGAACAAAAAATTTGCATTACTTTAAATTGTCTATAGAAATAAAACAAGATTGTTCATATTCATTTCACCAGTAAACATTTATTATGGATAGTCTCTATATTGTTACATAGTAGTATGAACAAGTCCCTTTTATAATGAAAAGTGATTGAAAACATACATATAAACAAGTGTAGAAGAATGTTAATTTCAAAAATTGGTTAATGTTATGAAAGAAGTTAAATAGGATAATGTGATGAAGAAGATAGTGTGTGGCAAGAGAGCGACAGATAGGATGAATCTTGCCTTCAAAGAAAACCTCAATAAAATGGGGAGATGTAGGTTAAAGTTACAAAGTAGCATATATGTAGGATAAGCAAATCTAGAGATTTAATGCACAAAATGAGGATGACAGTTTATACAATTTATTAGGTATTTTTGTTAAATAAGTAAATTTTCTTGCTCTTGTACCCAAAAATGTATGTGGGATTATAGACATGTTAATTTGCTTCACTGTAGTAATAATTTAACTACTATATGTAACTCATAACTTTGTTTTGTGAACCTCAAATATACATAAAATTTATTTTAAAAGAAATAAAGATGTTCTTTGAAACCAACGAGAACAAAGACACAACATACCAGAATCTCTGGGACACGTTCAAAGCAGTGTTTACAGGGAAATTTATAGCACTAAATGCCCACAAGAGAAAGCAGGAAAGATCCAAAATTGACACCCTAACATCACAATTAAAAGAACTAGAAAAGCAAGAGCAAACACATTCAAAAGCTAGCAGAAGGCAAGAAATAACTAAAATCAGAGCAGAACTGAAGGTAATAGAGACAAAAAAAGCCCTTCAAAAATTAATGAATCCAGGAGCTGGTTTTTTGAAAGGATCAACAAAATTGATTGACCACTAGCAAGACTAATAAAGAAAAAAAAAGAGAAGAATCAAATAGACACAATAAAAAATGATAAAGGGGATATCACCACCGATCCCACCGAAATTCAAAACTACCATCAGAGAATACTACAAACACCTCTACACAAATAAACTAGAAAATCTAGAAGAAATGGATACATTCCTCGACACATACACTCTTCCAAGACTAAACCAGGAAGAAGTTGAATCTCTGAATAGACCAATAACAGGCTCTGAAATTGTGGCAATAATCAATAGCTTACCAACCAAAAAGAGTCCAGGACCAGATGGATTCACAGCCGAATTCTACCAGAGGTACAAGGAGGAACTGGTACCCTTCCTTCTGAAACTATTCCAATCAATAGAAAAAGAAGGAATCCTCCCTAACTCATTTTATGAGGCCAGCATCATCCTGATACCAAAGCCTGGCAGAGACACAACCAAAAAAGAGAATTTTAGACCAATATCCTTGATGAACATTGATGCAAAAATCCTCAATAAAATACTGGCAAACCGATTCCAGCAGCACATCAAAAAGCTTATCCACCATGATCAAGTGGGCCTTATCCCTGGGATGCAAGGCTGATTCAATATACGCAAATCAATAAATGTAATCCAGCATATAAACAGAACCAAAGACAAAAACCACATGATTATCTCAATAGATGCAGAAAAGGCCTTTGACAAAATTCAACAACCCTTCATGCTAAAAACTCTCAATAAATTAGGTATTGACGGGACGTATCTTAAAATAATAAGAGCTATCTGTGACAAACCCACAGCCAATATCATACTGAATGGGCAAAAACTGGAAGCATTCCCTTAGAAAACTGGCACAAGACAGGGATGCCCTCTCTCACTACTCCTATTCAACATAGTGTTGGAAGTTCTGGCCAGGGCAATTAGGCAGGAGAAGGAAATAAAGGGTATTCAATTAGGAAAAGAGGAAGTCAAATTGTCCCTGTTTGCAGATGACATGATTGTATATCTAGAAAACCCCATTGTCTCAGCCCAAAATCTCCTTAAGCTGATAAGCAACTTCAGCAAAGTCTCAGGATACAAAATCAATGTACAAAAATCACAAGCATTCTTACACACCAATAACAGACAAACAGAGAGCCAAATCATGAGTGAACTCCCATTCACAATTGCCTCAAAGAGAGTAAAATACTTAGGAATCCAACTTACAAGGGACGTGAATGACCTCTTCAGGGAGAACTACAAACCACTGCTCAATGAAATAAAAGAGGATACAAACAAATGGAAGAACATTCCATGCTGAAGGGTAGGAAGAATCAATATCGTGAAAATGGCCATACTGCCCAAGGTAATTTATAGATTCAATGCCATCCCCATCAAGCTACCAATGACTTTCTTCACAGAATTGGAAATAACTAGTTTAAAGTTCATATGGAACCAAAAAAGAGCCTGCATCGCCAAGTCAATCCTAAGCCAAAAGAACAAAGCTGGAGGCATCACGCTACCTGACTTCAAACTATACTACAAGGCTACAGTAACCAAAACAGCATGGTACTGGTACCAAAACAGAGATATAGATCAATGGAATGGAACAGAGCCCTCAGAAATAACGCCGCATATCTACAACTATCTGATCTTTGACAAACCTGAGAAAAACAAGGAATGGGGAAAGGATTCCCTATTTAATAAATGGTTCTGGGAACACTGGCTAGCCATATGTAGAAAGCTGAAACTGGAACCCTTCCTTACACCTTATACAAAAATTAATTCAAGATGGATTAAAGACTTAAACGTTAGACCTAAAACTATAAAAAGCCTAGAAGAAAACCTAGGCATTACCATTCAGGACATAGGCATGGGCAAGGACTTCATGTCTAAAACACCAAAAGCAATGGCAACAAAAGCCAAAATTAACAAATGGGATCTAACTAAACTCAAGAGCTTCTGCACAGCAAAAGAAACTACCATCAGAGTGAACAGGCAACCTACAGAATGGGAGAAAATTTTCGCAACCTACTCATCTGACAAAGGGCTAATATCCAGAATCTACAATGAACTCAAACAAATTTACAAGAAAAAAACAAACAACCCCATCAAAAAGTGGGCAAAGGATATGAACAGACACTTCTCAAAAGAAGACATTTATGCAGCCAAAAGACACATGAAAAAATGCTCATCATCACTGGCCATCAGAGAAATACAAATCAAAACCACAATGAGGTACCATCTCACACCAGTTAGAATGGCAATCATTAAAAAGTCAGGAAACAACAGGTGCTGGAGAGGATGTGGAGAAATAGGAACACTTTTACACTGTTGGTGGGACTGTAAACTAGTTCAACCCTTGTGGAAGTCAGTGTGGCGATTCCTCAGGGATCTAGAACTAGAAATACCATTTGACCCAGCCATCCCGTTACTGGGTATATACCCAAAGGACTATAAATCATGCTGCTATAAAGACACATGCACAGGTATGTTTATTGTGGCACTATTCACAATAGCAAAGACTTGGAACCAACCCAAATGTCCAACAATGATAGATTGGATTAAGAAAATGTGGCACATATACACCATGGAATACTATGCAGCCATAAAAAAGGATGAGTTCATGTCCTTTGTAGGGACATGGATGAAATTGGAAATCATCATTCTCAGTAAACTATCGCAAGGACAAAAATCCAAACACCGCATGTTCTCACTCCTAGATGGGAATTGAACAATGAGAACACATGGACCCAGGAAGGGGAACATCACACTCTGGGGACTGTTGTGGGATGGGGGGAGGGGGGAGGGATAGCATTAGGAGATATACCTAATGCTAAATGACGAGTTAATGGGTGCAGCACACCAGCATGGCACATGTATACATATGTAACTAACCTGCACATTGTGCACATGTACCCTAAAACTTAAAGTATAATAATAATAATAATAATGAAAAAGAAAACCCTGATGATCCAAAAATTAGAACCCATATTGGATGTATTTTTTGACTACCAAAATTTAATGACAATAAGAAACTAAAAGTTAAAGTTAAATTTAAGAATTATCTTAAATAATTTTAATAACTGTTGGACCAAAAGGGAAATAAAAGTTGTTACAACAGGATGCAAAGAAGTTAATGAAAATGACCAGCTTTCTTATAAGATGCTGGCAAAGAGATATTCATGGCTTTTAAAACTTAGCTACTTAAAAGAAAGAAGAAAATAAAAAATTTTGATGTTTAACTTACATAAGAAGATTTTAAGAAGAACATAATGGAAGAATGCAGAAAGATAAAAACAGAACTGAATAAATTAGAAAATAATTGATAAATAGAATTAAGAAATCTAAGAACTAGAGTTGTGACAAGGCCAATTGAACAAACTTTTAGTACTACCAATAAAAAACAATAATGCATAATATTTTGAATAGAAAAGAAAAAATAACCACAGATTGTGTTAAATTTTCAACTTGTAAGAAAATAGGTTACATAGCTCTATGCCAAATTTAAATTAATTTGATTATATGGGTGATTTTCAGGGAAGATGAGTTATCCAGAATTAACAGTAAGCAATGTTCAAAATGTGACTAAAATAAAACTATAAACAGAATTGAGAAAAATGGCAAATAAATAAAAATGGCAAATATTTTCTCTTCCATAATCTGCAAACAAACAAAAACATCACCCAGCTCTGATTATAAAGCTTCGAGGAGCAATTTCTGATATTTAAATTGTCTCAAAGTATTAAAAAACTATAAAAGATTCACAATTCGTTTAGAAATCTAACATAATTCTAATATTAAAATCTGAAAATTTACACAAAAATGGAAAACAATGATCAAATGAAAATAATTTAATTGCAGAAATTCAATTAAAACAGCAGCAATTTTATTATAAAAATAGTGCATAATAAAAGAATAAAACATTATGGACAAGTAGGATTGATTTCAAGAATGAAAGGATGAGCTGACATTAGAAAAATTTTCCACTGTAACTCATCACACAGGTTGAGAGATTTTTTTGCTTTTATTTCTTATCTTTCTGTTTATCTGATTCAGTTGTCTTGTCATCTCAATTTGATCTTTGTAACTTAGACTGTTTTTCACACGTACCATGTCTATGTTCTCCCGAGAACACCAAATGTGTTCCTGAAATGTCCTCAATCTTGAAATAGCTTTTAGAGACTATCTCATCCTTTGAATTACCTTTCACAACAAAAAACAGGGTGTTACTAAAAGGTTAATCAGCATTTTTTTGTTGTTTATATTTATCATTCTCTGATGAAACTTGCTTCTCAGACTCAGTATTTGTCAACAATCAGCAAATAGATTCCCCTTTGACTACATACACAGGTATGATGGTTTGACTTCAGGCACAGTATTCTTGGCTATTCTTTCCCTATTCCTGGGATCCTTCTCTGACAGAATGTGGGTGGGCACCATCCAATTGGCTGCAAGCAGAGCTAGGGCAAAGCAGGCAGAAAAAGGTGGGATAACCTTGCTTCTGGTTTTCATCTTTCTCGCATGATGGATGCTTCCTTCCATTTCTCCTGCCCTTGGACATCAAACTCCAGCTTCTTTGGCCTTTTGACTCTTAGACTTATACCAGGAATTTGTTGGGGTCTCGACTGAAAGCCGCACTATCAGCTTCCCTACTTTTGAGGCTTTTGTACTCTGACTGAGCCCCTGCTGGCTTCTTTCTTCCCCAGCTTGCAGATGGCCTACCATGGAACTTTGCTTGTAATCATGTGAGCCAATTATCCCTAATAAACTCCCTTTCATATATACATATATCCTAGTAGTTCTGTCCTTCTGGAGAACCCTGACTAATCGAGTACCTTTCTTGATTATTATCAAACCATAAGACCTTACTAAATGTTCATAGATATTGGCTATCTACTAAATTTACATAGTACACAAAGCCTACAAATGAAACAAAATAATATAAAATCAAAATAATATAAAAATCACAAAAAAGCAAGAATAGTGAAATAGACCAACTTAATGAATCCATAAGAAATAATGTGAATGATAACTATACATTACAAATAGAATAATACAGACATGGCTTTAAGCAGTTAGACTAATTGAAACTGTCTAGAGTAGACTTCCCCTTTCAGACAAAATGGACCAGATTTACCCTCTCAGCTGAAACAAGTAAAAAAACTGTAAAAATATATATGAAGCAGTAGTTATTAGACATTGGGCATTAGGTAGTCCAGAAGAGTGATTCCCTGAGGAAGGGGAAACAAATAAGGTGCCTCCTACAACAGACCCAGCTTACTGCTTGGAAAGAGTTTTCAGGCTTTTGCTCAGGAAGGTGGAAACCAAGTGGAATCAGGCAGTCATCCTGAGTTAAGGAGTCTGGGAGTCTGGGGAGGCCAGTGTGGCTATAGTTCACAAGGCAGAATACTAGGGAGGTGAAAAAGATGACAAAAACAAGCAATGGGGAAAGGACTCTCTATTTAATAAATGGTGCTGGGATAACTGGCTAGCCATATGCAGAAGACTGAAACTGAACCCCTTCTTTACACCATACACAGAAATTAACTCGAGATGGATTAAAGACTTAAATGTTAAACTCAAAACTATAAAAACTCTGGAAGACAACCTAGGAAATAGCATTCTGGACATAGGAACTGGCAAAGATTTCATGACAAAGATGCCAAAAGCAATTGCAGCAATAGCAAAAACATTGACAAATGGATCTAATTAAACTAAAGAGCTTCCGCACAGCAAAAGAAACTATCAGCAAAGTAGACAGACAACCTTACATAATGGGAGAAAATATTTGCAAAGTATGCTTCTGACAAAGGTCTAATATTCAGAATGTATAGGGAACTTAAACACATTTACAAGCAAACCCAAGCATCCCCATTAAAAATTGGGCAAAGGAAATTGACAGACACTTTTCAAAAGAAGACATATACGTGGCCAAAAAGCACATGAAAAAAAGCTCAACATCCCTAACCATTAGAGAAATGCAAATTAAAACCACAATGAGATACCATCTCACACCAATCAGAATGACTATTATTAGAAAGTCAAAAAATAACAGATTCTGGTGAGGTTACAGAGAAAAGGGAATGCTTATGCAATACTGGTGTAAGTGTAAATTAGTTTAACCATTGTGTAAATTAGTGTGGTACCTCAAAGAAGTAAAAACAGAACTACCATTTGACCCAGAAATCCCATTGCAGGGTACATTCCCAAAAGAATATAAATCATTCTACCATAAGGACACATGCATACGTACATTCATTATAGCACTATTTGCAATAGCAAAGACATGGAATCAACCTAAATGCCCATCAAGGGATGGATAAAGAAAATGTGGTACATATATACCATGGAATACTATGCAGCCATAAAAAAGAATGAGATCGTGTTCTTTGCAGGAACGTGAATGGAGCTGAAGGCTATTTTCTTTGGAAAACTAATTCAGGAACAGAAAACCAAATACCGCATGTTCTCACTTTTAAGTGGGAGCTAAATGTTAAGAACACATGGACATAAACAGAACAACAGACACTGGAGCCTACTCGAGGATGAAGGGTAGGAGGAGCAAGAGGATCAGAAAAGATAACTATTGAGTACTATGCTTAGTAACTGGATGATGAAATAATCTGAATGCCAAACTCCTGTGACATGAGTTTACCTATATATCAAGCCTGCACATGTACCCCTGAACCTACAATAAAAGTTTAAAAAAAAAAAAGAAGAATGCTGGAGAGGCAAGAGATAGACAGAACTCACACGTGAACTGCAGAGGGTCTCCCTCGAGTCTTCAGCTGAGTACTGCATTAGCACATGCATATAATGAAACTACTTTATTCAACGGGTCGGGAGTGGGTGAAAACCTCTAAAATACCTAAAATAAGCAAGGAAAACAATCTTGAGGTCTCACACAGGTTTGGGAGTAGTTGGTATATCTACCAGCCAAAGTGGGACACTACATAATTTATGGGACACGTAGAACACTCAGAATGGCATTTCCTCCCTAATGGGGCCAAATTTGTTCTAGATTATAGGCTGCACTGGTCCTGGCTAAAAAAGTTTAAAAAGAAGCCTCAGAATAATCAAATTCTTTCCAAGCAACTTACTGCTTATCAGAGCAAAGTTCAATAATATTTATAGGGACATAAAATTACTCAACATTTAGCAAGTGTAAAAAAAATTGGGTATCAAATGAAAAATTACCCATTGTGGAAACAAACCTGCAAATACAACCTATGATGAACAAAGGAAAATAATCAGTAAAAGAGATCCAAATATGACACAGATGTTAGAAATAGTGAACAAAGACATAAAATAGTTACGCTAACAATATTCCATATATTCAAGAATATAGAGGAAATATGGAGCTTCTTATATAAAAATATAGAAAATAAAAAAGGACCCAAGTAGAACTTCTAGAAATGAACAGTATAATATCTGATATGAGAAACACATTTCCTTGGATTAAAAGAGGATTTGATACTGATGAAGAAAAGATTAGTAAACTTGAAGATGGAGCAGTAGAAACTATCCAAAACGAAACCCAGGGATTTTTGTCAAACATGCCAAGGTAATTCAATAGGGTAAAAGATGCTTTTTCAACAAAAGGTATTGGAACAACTAGTTCTCTATATACAACAAAACCCTTGATTTATATTTTGTATTATAACAAAAGTAACTTAAAATTCATTATAGACTTAAATATAAAACTCCAAATCATAACATTTCTGAAAAAAGGATAACATCACAGATAGACATATATCAAAACTTATAAAATTATACAGATTCAATATGTACAATTTATTACATGACAATTACACCTCAATAAATCTATTACAAAACCACTTTAAACAAAATAAACAATACTATGCAAAAATAATTTAAGGTGCATTGTGTCTAAATGTATTACATTTTACAAATACTTAGTAAAGTAGAAAATTAATGCCCAAGTGAAACCTTACATGTAACATTTCTGCAAGTTAAAACAAGAAAAAAAAATAGAAAACTACTCTTGAAAGTAAAATAAATAAACTTAAAGAGGACTGAATCTTCCTGTGAAACTTGGCAAGTTTACTAAATCATATTTTAGTCCAAAGTGTCTTTATTTGCATTATTAATTGGCTATATTACATTAAGATAATTAAATTTCTATACAATTTGGCTTTTCAGCAAAATGGGTTGCATCCAGATATGATTCCTACTAGTTTTTTTTTTAATTTAAATACTTTATTTATTTATTTATTTTAGCAGTTTTAGGTTCGCAGCAAAATTGAGAGGAGGTACAGAGATTTCCCTTCTACTCCTCAGTCCCCACACATGGATAGCCTTCTCCATTATCAACATCCCTCACCAGAACCTACCTTGTTTTTAAATGAGAGTTTGGCTGGTCATTGCTTGTCCCTCTCTTCTCCCTGGCTAAGGTCTTTTGGCAAATACTATCTGTTCACTATCTGATAACTTTTCCTCTGTTTCCTCCTTGCTGCCTGCCAAAACTTAGATTTTAATTTTGCATTTGAAGGTAACACGCTTAACTTTTCTTGTATTTCTTCCTTGCTACCTACCAAAACTTAAATTTTAATTGGTATTTGAAGGTAATATACTTCAATATAAACTGGGAAAATCTTGGTTAGTTCAAGCTAATCATGTTAGTTCCGTTTCCCTTGGCTATTAATTGACTTAGGAAGAATAATTATATGACACAATTCATGGTCATGAGACATGCAGGAATAGCTATTGAAGGCAGCCATCTTGAAACTGTGAGGGGACTAGTTTCAAGGCCAAAGCCAATATGTTAAAGACAGCTAAATTGAAAGAAGAAAAGAGCCTAGGTATTTGATGGTGTTGATGAGTCTTTAAATTAATTATGTTGAAAAGGGCCTATCTCCATCTTTCTCATTACATGAGATAACTATTTAGTTAAGCCATTTTGAGCTTATTTCTTCCCAGCTGAATGTATCATGAAGGATTTGCAACAAACATTATGCCCCTGAATGAATAGGGCATGTAAAATTGTTCCCATCCTAACTTTGATTTTCTCCCCTATTTGTACATTCACCCTCTCTGAGCATCACCCAGCTGATTTTTTTAATGTCCCCTGCACTGCCTTATGCTATCTTTCTTCACCTGACAAAGTCCTTCTTAATGTTAAACTCAAAACTCAGATATTATCTTTTCTGTGCAGATTTCCCCAACTCCCTCAAGAATTGTTTTTAATCCTCTCATCTTGCTGCTATGAGTATTATTTTCTCCTCTACTACGGAAGCTTTTCTCTCATATTTGCATTTCTATCTACTTGGTAGCCTGAGATTCTTGAGGGCAGATTGTTTTATTTATGATTATATTTTCCCAACTGTATTGGCATAATATAAATACTGACCATATATGGTACAAATATGAAAAATAAGGTATGTTAGATAGAGTACTAATTGCTTTTCAGTATTATTCAATTCCTGTGCAATAAACTCTTTGGCCAGGAAATAAATGACAGTCATGTATCTAAAAGCTGTTAGAGTTCAAGTTTTCCGGGGCTCCAAGAAAAAGAGAAACCATTAGGGGCAACTCAGGCAGAAGGAATAGGGACTAAGACTGGCTGTTTCCTATTTTAAATAATCATTTTCTGCTTATATGTCACATGAGAGAAGTATCAAAGTGGTCTTGTTTGTTGGATCAGCTACTTGCTGTGTACTATCTCTTCCACTATATTTTTCTAGACTATTAGGAAAAATCCAAAAGCATCCAATTTTTTGAATTGATTTCTCCTGTCAACCCGTTTTGGAATCAGCAGTAGCACAACCAGCACCTCTTTATGTGTCAGAACTGTTCATAGTTAATTTTAAATGCAAACACTACAGCTCTGTGTTTAATATAGACTGCTAGGAAATGTGTCTGGCTATGACGATTTGATGAAACAAAACTGAGCATTTCCTGTCATCTTTGCCGAGATCTTTTTTAAGTGGAGATAGGTCCAATTTGTTAAAGAAGGTGTAAGGAAATAAAATTTCATAAGTTTTAAAACTACATAGGAGAGAGGAAGCAGGGAGGGAACAGTTGGTTGTCGTTTCAATCATTAAATGCTGCTTTAAAGATTTTGTCATCTTTGGGTAGAAAGTCAGTTCAAGTCTCTGAACACCGGATTCAGCTTCATTATATCTGAAATGAACATTGTACAGGTCACTTACAAGACCCCTCACTATCAGACTTTCTAAGATAGGGAGACACATTTTCTCTTTTCTGATGGAGATATATCTTGGATTTGATCCTCTTTATCTCGAACGTAGTTTATTAATAATAAAAATAATATCTTTTGCTTCATCATTATAGTTATAGTAAATGGCATTAAGATCAAGTTTCCCTTTCTTACACCTTATACAAAAATCAACTCAAGATGGATTAAAGACTGAAACATAAGACCTAAAACCATAAAAACCCTAGGAGAAAACCTAGGCAATACCGTTCAGGATATAGGCATAGGCAAAGACTTCATGACTAAAACGCCAAAAGCAATGGAAACAAAAGCCAAAATTGACAAATTGGATCTAATTAAACTAAAGAGCTTCTGCACACCAAAAGAAACTATCATCAGAGTGAACAGGCAACCTATGGAATGGGAGAAAATTTTTGCATCTGGCAAAGGGCTAATTTCCAGAATCTACAAAAAACTTAAACAAATTTACAAGAAAAAAACAAATAACCCCATCAAAAAATGGGTGAAGGATATGAACAGACATTTCTCAGAAGAAGACATTTATGCAGCCAACAAACATGAAAAAAAGCTCATCATCACTGGTCGTCAGAGAAATGCAAACCAAAACCACAATGAGATACCATCTCACGCCAGTTAGAATGGCAATCATTAAAAAGTCAGGAAACAACAGCTGCTGGAGAGGATGTGGAGAAACGTGAATGCTTTTACACTGTTGGTGGGAGGGTAAATTAGTTCAATCATTGTGGAAGACAGTGTGGCGATTCCTCAAGGATCTAGAACTACAAATACCATTTGACCCAGCAATCCCATTACTGGGTATATACCCAAAGGATTATAAATCATGCTACTATAAAGACACATGCACACGTATGTTTATTGCAGCACTGTTCACAATAGCAATGACTTGGAACCAACCCAAATGCCCATCAATGATAGGCTGGATAAAGAAAATGTGGCACATATACACCATGGAATACTATGCAGCCATAAAAAATGATGAGTTCATGTCCTTTGCGGGGATATGGATGAAGCTGGAAACCATCATTCTCAGCAAACTAACACAGGAACAGAAAACCAAACACCACATGTTCTCCCTCATAAGTGGGAGCTGAACAATGGGAACACATGGACACAGGGAGGGGAACATCACACACTGGGGCCTGTCGGTGGGTGGGGTGCTAGGGGAGGGATAGCATTAGGAGAAATACCTAATGTAAATGATGCGTTGATGGGTACAGCAAACTACCATGGCACCTGTATACCTACGTAACAAACATGCATGTTCTGCACTTGTATCCCAGAACTTAAAGTATAATTAAAAAAAAAAAGAAGACTAAAACTAGCAAAAATGCATGAACAACGACAACAAAATAATCAATTTAGGTTAGAATAGAGATTGCAGAAAATAAAATGCAGAGACTATAACATTTGCTTAATAGTTTTTCATGTTGTGGTTCTAAGAAACTTCAGAATTGTACGTAAAGTGTCAAAACTTATGTATAGTACAGTGTCTGGGAATTCTAAATGATTAGTATGCTACTAAGAAACATTTCTTCTCTTGGGGAATTTTCTCATTAAAACAAATGTTTTTTTCACAGTGATATATTTCACATTTGAAATAAACTGCACATCCAGAAGTTAGAGAATTACTAATGGGCTTCCGATGCCTTTTCTTACTGCACTCAAAATTCTGTATTCAAGAGGAAATCTTTTAAGAAAGTAATAGAGTGCTGTTTGTTTTTGAAAGACAAATTATCTTGGTGTGAGTTCCTCTTCTGGAGGTTCCTCCAGAGTTTAATAATTTCTAACTTTTCTAGGTCAACTTAGAAAATTGAATACACGGGAAATGGTATTGAATTATAGTTTTCATCTTCAACATTTAATAACCTGGGATGAGATTTGCATTTTCGGGTAAAAATCAGGACTGTCTTATCTATAAAATTGCTCTTCCACAGTGTTTGCAGCAAGTAAAAGATTTATATAACATTTCAACTGCAAGTTAGAAAAGGTCAACGTGATTGAAGTATTATTTAAATTCAGAAATGATTAGAAACAGTAAGTGGCATTGTGTACTGAGTAGGTCAGGTAACTTACAGAGGAAAAGCCCGTGAGGCAACATGTAAAAACCATTTGTCTGGAATTAGAGAGCCTGGAATTGCCTATAGGCCTGGATTTTAATAGCCAAGGAACTTTGCACAGTCTGCATGCCTTCTTTAAGTACTAGCATCTCATCTTTGAAATAAGCTCATGGAATCATGAAATAGTTCAAGTTTCTTTCTGTATTGATATTTCAACCCCCCCTCTTTTTTTTTGGAGAGTCATTTTATATTTGACTCAGGAGGAATGGAGAATGATGGAAGATTTTTATTTAAAAATTATTTTAAAATCAGAAAATTATACTATATACTTTAATAGTTTAACTATTTATTTAAACTAATATTGCATATCTACTACATCCCAGCCACTGTTCTAGGTGTTAGGGACACAGCAATGAACAGACAACATTCCTTCCTCCGTGCTCCCTGCATTCTAAATGCTCTTAACTGGTGCTTGGAGAGTGAGGAGGACGGCACAGCAAGTTGGTTTCAAGTCGATTTTTCTTTTTTTGGATGAGAAAGCAATGCAAAATCAGGAAATTAGTGACATAGGGATTAACTTCAGGAAGGGTGTGGTAGGCACTGATATTTTATTTTGGCAGTTGGCCACGAGCTAAACCATTAAAAATTAAAAATAAGTAATTCCTGTGGCTGCTTCACATTCCAGCTCCTGGATCCCTCTTCTTCCTCTATTCTATGTTCTATCCCAGACCATAGTTTACCAAATGTTTAAAAGTCTCATGTCACACTGACTCTATGCGTAGACATTATATGCTTTTCTCCTTACATGAAGCACAGTGGAGATGGTGACATGCCTGAATATTTTCTGTTGGACAGAAAGGAAAAGAGACCGAGAGGCAGGGTTATAATGATGTCTTAGAACCTCCAGGTATGAACTAACTCAGGTTTAGTCTTAGCGCTATGTCTAGTCTAGTCTTAGTGCTATGGTCCTTGTAAACTCAAACTTCCTGACAGCTGCTTTTGACTTTTGGGCAAACTAGAGAGAAAAGCCAAGTGAGAGACTAGAATCAAAGCATATCAGTATTGGCAAGAAAATGAGACTTACCTAGATAAATAAACTGTGGACCATACGTGGACTTAATTATCTTGGCTTTGGAAAAAGAGAATGTTTTATTTGTTGCTTAGCTTCCAGACTCCGCTGGAAGCGGGTGTTTCTTTACTAAGGCTCTTTAGAGTCCTTGTCTCATCCTGGCTGATTTCAACAACCTGAGCTTTAAGAACCCTCTTTTCACATTTCTTCCCAACTTATCAATCTCAGAATTGGAAAAGCCTGGGGAGTCTATTAGCTCCAGCCTTCCCAGCTCAATTCAGGCCCAGCATAATACCCGTGGAGCAAAATATTGGTTTAGATGTGAAGAAAACATCAGTGAAACAAATATTGGCTGAACATGCACAGAAGAGACACCTGCCATAGGTAGAAAGAGGGAGTGCCTTGTTTTCTTGTTTTTGTTTACAGTTCAGGAGTTACCACAGCCACTGAGTAGGAAATGTGATTTTAGTTCCATTGTAAATATAATGCCATATCTCTGCCCCCAAATCCTAGCTCTGATGAACAAGAAAATGTGAGCTGAGCTAGAGGTGTTGATAGAGATTTCCATTTTCCAGACACTATTTCGTGATACAAATGTCTGCCTTAGCTGTGACTGCCATTACATAGGCAGCCTGCATTGAAATGCTGACTCAATTTCCCTATTTTCTCTTCCATTAAAAAAGGTCAACTTTTAATTTGGAAATAATATATGTATATAAATATGTACAGTTTGTAAGTGTATAGCTCAATGAGTTATCTGTCATACTGTGAATACTTCTATGTACTCTCCACCCGTCAAAAAATAAATCATCATAAGCATCCCTAAGTCTCTCTGTGCCCTCTTCAAATCTCCTCTCCTTCCTTCCCACTATCCTGTCTTCTACCACTTTTGTTTTGCCTGGGTTTGACTTTTTTTTTTTTTTTTTTTTTTTGAGACTGGGAGGATTGCTTGAGCCTCCACTACCCAGGCTCAAGCAATCCTCCCACTTCAGCCACCCAAGTAGCTGGGATCACAGGTGCACACCATTATGCCCTGCTAATTTTTTACTTTCTTTGTAGAGATGAGGTCTCATCATGTCGCCCAGGCTTGTCTCAAACACCTGGGCTCAAGCCATCCTCCTGCCTCGACCTCCCAAAGTGCTGGGATTACAAGTGTGAGCCACCACACCCAGCCCTAGTTTTGAATTTTATATAAATGGAAACATACCTTATGTACTCTTTTCTTTTTGGTTTTTTTTTTCAACATAATATTTGTGAGATTCATCTATGTTAGCATGCATGGCAGAAGTATGGCAGAGACTGGCATTACTCTCTACCTACATTTTTTCAGGCCACTATTGTAGTGAGTGAGGCCAAATTGTACCTGCCTGGGGGCTGTCTTTGCCTCACCTCTTGCATCTGAAAGCCAGAAATTTAGAGAAATTAATGACGGTCTAGCAGATCTCAATCAATGACTGACAAAAGTTTGTGTATAAATGCCCTAGCTCCCCGACTCCGTGGGTAACATAACTCTGAGGCAAGTATTTGACACTGAGTCTCAGAGTTCCCCAGTGGGATTAAGTTCCACTTACTTGTAATGATAACTGTCTTGCTAATGTATGTTTTATTGGCCGGATTCCCTTTCCTGTCTAATTTCTCCACTCCTCTAATAATATTTCCTGGAGTCATCTTCTATATAAATCAGTTGAACTTGAATTCTTGTCTCTGGGTCTGCTTCTGGGAATTCAATCGAATAACAAATAGCTTGATCATTTTCATTGTTCTGTGATATGCTGTTACATGACTATACCTTAAATTATTTATATGTTATTATGTCAGTGGACATTTGTGTTGCTTTTGAATGTGGCTATTGTTAATCTTTTGGTAAACATGATTGTGAAATTTCTTTGTCAGAGTATACATATATATTCAACTTTAGCAGGTGATAAACTATTTTTCAAAGTGGCTGAAACAATTTAAACTGCCATGAAATGTGTATGAGAATTCTAGTTGTTGCATATCTTTGTCAATGTTTCTTGTTGTCTTTTCATTTTAGTCATTCTTCTAGGTATACTCCGGTATTTACTGTGTTTTAATTTATATTACTTTGAAGATAAATGATATTGAACACATTTTCATATTTTATATTCATATTTATCATTTGGATATTCTCTTTTGTGAAGTGTTTTATTATGAACTGAATGTTTGCGTCTCCCTAAAGTTCATCTTTTGAAGCCCCAACCCCTAGTGTGACTGAATTTGGAGATTGGGTATGAAGGCAGTTAAGGGTGAATGAGGTCCTAAAGGAGGGGCCCTGAAACAATAGGATTAGTGTCCTTACAAGAAGTGTAGAGGGATCTCTTTCTCTGTTATGTAAGGACACAGGGAAGAGGCCATCTGAAAGCCAGGAAGAAAGCCCTTACGAGAAACCAAATTGGCCAACGCCTTCATCTTGGGCTTCCCAGCCACAGAATTGTGAGGAAATTGATTTCTGTTGTATAAACCATGTAGTCTGAGGTATTTTCTCATGTCAGCTAGCTGACTAATACATCTCTCTTAAATCTCTTCTTTTTTTCTTTTTTTAATTATTTTGTGATTATGATTATGATTATTATTATTTTTTTGAGAGGGAGTCTTGCGCTGTTACTGGGCTGGAGTGTAGGGGCGTAATCTTGGCTCACTGCAACCTCTGCCTCCTGGGTTCAAGCGATTCCCTTGCCTCAGCCTCCCCAATATCTGGGATTACAGACATGCGCCTCCACGCCCGGCTAATTTTGTATTTTTAGTAGAGACGGGGTTTCTCCATGTTGGTCAGGCTGGTCTTGAACTCCCAACCTCAGGTGATCTGCCTGCCTCGGCCTCCCAAAGTGCTGGGATTACAGGCGTAAACCACCGCGCCTGGCCTATTTTTTTCTTTTATATCAAGTGATCTGATTTTTTTATTTTTCTTTTGATTTATAGGATTTCCTATACAATCTGGGGAACATTTAATTGGTTATAAGTGTTGCAAATATCTTCACCCATCCCACAGTTTGCCTTTTCACACTTTTGTGCTTAATTTCATTTACCAAAATTTAAATAATTTAAATGCAATTTATTTATCTTTCATGATTGATTATTCTGGAGCTTATTTGAGAATCTTCTCCCCACTCTAAGGCCACCATGATATTTTTCTAGGTTGCATTGTGTTGTGCTATCCAATATGGTAGTCACTAGTCACAAGGGTTGTTGAATACTTGAAATGTGTTTAATCCAAATTGAGATGCACTATAATTATAAAATATACATTTCAAAGACAATATGAATAACAAATATAAAATATTTTATTAACATTTTAACATTGACTACGTATAGAAATAACATATTTGATGTGTTAAATATATTATTTAATATATTAAATATATTAATATCACAATTATTATATTAACAATAATTATAACATAATCAAGTAATAATTAATTAATATAATAATTTAATTATTAACAAATAAATATATTAAATATATAATCTATGAAATATATTACTAAAATTTAATTCAGTTTCTTTTTATCTTTTTATGCATAGATCTGAGAATTGCATTATGTGGGTTGCATCATATTTCTATTAGATAATGATGACTTAGAAACTTTATTTTTACTTTTTCACATTTATATCTACAATCCACCTGGAACTGATTTTAGTGTACGTTATAAGGTAGGGTTCAAGGTTTATGCTTTTCCCCCCTATATAGATATCTAATTGGCCCAGTAACCTTTATTTAGAATACATCCTTTCCCTACTGAATTGTAGTGGCACCTTTGTTGTGAATCATATGGCTAAAAGCAAGTATGTCTATTTCTGGGCTCTCTATTATATTTCATTGTCTACTAGTCCATCCTTGCATCAAAACCACACTATTATAATTACTGTAGCTTTTAAACAAGTTTTGATATCTGAGAGAGGAAATCTTTCAGGTTTGTCTTCAGTAAGAGGTTCATAGCTATTTTTGACTCATTGTATATCTGTATTTATTTTACAGAAAATTTGAAAGTTTTCACAAAAATTGATGCTGGATTTTGATTGGAATTGCATTAAATATATGAACGTTTTGGGGTAAATTGATATCTTTATTGAATCTTCTAACATATGGTATAGTCTTCCATTTATTTAGGTCTCTTTAGTTTTTTTTCAGTGATGTGTTATTTTTTGTTTAGAGGTCTTGCAGATATTAAATTAGGTTTATTCTTAGATACTTGACTTCTTAATGTAATTACAAGCGCTGTCTTTTAAAAATGTGTTTCAATTGTTTACTTACTAATTGCAATAACTTATTTGTAGAGATTTTTAGGTTTATTTTTCTGACATTAGTGCACTAGGACCTCAAGTATAACAAATAAATAGAAGTGTTGACAGTGAGCATTTTTATTGATAAAAAATAATTGTGCATATTTATGGGGGCTGTGTGATATTTTGATATATGCATATAACATGTTTTGGTCAAATCAGAGTATTTAGGATATTCATCACCTGAAACATATATCATTTCTTTGTGTTGAAAATATTTCATATTTTCCTTTCTAGCTATTTTGAAATATAAAATATATTATCATTTTTAACTATTGACACCCTACTGTGCCACCAAACACTAGAACTTATTCCTTCTATATAATGTATGTTTGTACCCATTAACCAACCTCTCTTCATCTCCACTCCCCCTTCCTTGCCTCTAGTAATGATCATTCTACTCTTTAGCTCAATGATACCCACTTTTTTAGCTCCCACATATGAGTGTGTTCACGTAATATCTGCTTTTCTGTGCCTGGCTTATTTCGCTAAACATAATGACCTCCAGTTTCATCCATGTCGCTGCAAATGACAGAATTTCATTCTTTTTATGGCTGAATAGTATCCGATTCATCTTTTGATGGACACTTAGGTTGATTGCATATCTAGGCTTTTGTGAATACTGCTGCAATAAACATGAAGGTACAGGTACTTCTCTGATACACTGATTTCCTTTTCTTTGGATAAATACCCAGTAGTGGGACTGCTGGATCAGAGGTAGTTCTACTTTTAGGTTTTTGAGAAACCTCCATACTTTTTTTCATAATGGTTGTACTACTTTATACATCCACCAACAGTGTACAAGGGTTCCCTTTTCTGCACATCCTCATCAACACTTTTTTTTGTCTTTTTGTTAATAGCCATCTTAAGACATTTGAGATGACATCTCATTGGGATTTTAATTTGCATTTTACTGATGATTAGTGATATTGAGCATTTTTTCATATACCTGTTGGCCATTTGTATGTCTTCTTTTGAGAAATGTCTATTCAGATCCTTGGCTCACTTTTTAATAAGTTTTTTTTTTCTGTTGAGATGTTTGAGTTGCTTATATATTCTTTATGTTAGTCTCTTGTCAGATTAATAGTTTGCAAATATTTTCTCCCATTCTACAAATTGTTTCTTTACTATATTGTTTCCTTTGCTGTGCAGAAGCTTTTTAGTTTAATACAGTTTTATTTGCCTATTTTTGTTTTTGTTGCCTGCGCTTTTGAAGTCTTAGCCACAAATTCTTTGCCTATACCGTTGTCCTGAAACATATCTTCTAGATTTTCTTCTGGTAGTTTATAATTATAGGTCTTATGTTTAAATCTTCAATCCAATTAATTGGTTTTTGTATATAGTGAGATATAGGGGCCTGGTCTTATTCTTCTGCATATGGATATTCAATTTTCTCAGCACTAGTTATTGAAGAGGTTTTCCTTTCCCCAATGTATGTTCTTGGCACCTTTGGTAAACATCAGTTAGCTGTAAATATGTGGATTTATTTCTGGGTTCTCTACTCTGCTCCATTGATCTATGTATCTATTTTATAGCAATATCATGCTGTTTTGACTACGAAAGCTTTGTAGTAAATTTTGAAGTCAAACAGTACAAAACCTCCAGTTTTTTTCTTTATGCTTAGGATTGCTTTATTTATAGTCTTTTGTAATTTCATATGAATTTCAGAATTGCTTTTCCTATTTCTGTGAAGAATGTTGGAATTTTGATAGGGATTGCATTGAATATGTAGATTGCTTTAGGTAGTATGGTCATTTTAACAATATTAATTCTTCCAGTTCATGAGCATGAGTGACTTTCCATTCATTTGTCTCCTTTCAATTTCTTTCATCAGTGTTTTGTAGTTTTTGTTGTAGAAGTCTTTTACTTCTTTGGTTAAACTTATTCCTAGGTAGTATTATTATTTTGTGGCTATTGTAAATGAGACTGCTTTCTTGATCTCTTTCTTACAAAGCTTGTTGTTTCTATATAAAAATGTTACTGATTTTTGTATGTGGATCTTCTATCATGCATCTTTTTTGATTTTATTTATTACTTCTAAGAATTTTTTGGTGGAATCTAGGTTTTTCAATATATAACATTCATATATTGGAGTCTATAGGTTTCCAATATAAAACATCATGTCAGCTGCAAAGAGAAACAATTTGACTTCCTTTTTTCCTGTTTGAATGCCTTATTTTTTCCTCTTGCCTGATTACTCTGTCTGGGACTTCCAATACTAAGCTGAATGAGAGTAATAAAAGTGGGCATTCTTGTCTTGTTCCAGTTCTTAGAGGAAAAAAATCTTTCAGCTTTTCCTCATTCAGTATGATACTAGCTGTGGGTTTGTCATATATGGCATTTATTACATTGAAATATGTTCCTCCTATGCCTAATTTGTTGAGAGTTTTATTATGAAGGGAGGTTGAATTTTATCAAATGCCTTTTCTGTGTCTGTTGGGATAATCACATGGTTTTTGTCCTTCATTCTGTTGATACGATGTATCTCATTAATTGATTTGCATATGTTGGACCATCCTTGCATCCCTGGGATAAACCCCACTTGATCATGGTGTATTATCTTTTTGACGTGTTGTTGATTTCAGTTTGCTGGTATTTTTTTTTTGAGAATTTTTACACATATTTACAGGGATTTTGGCCTCTAGTTTCCTTTTTTAGTTGTGTTCCTGTCTGGTTTTGGTACCAGGATAATGTTGGCCTCACAGAATGAGTTAAGAAGAATTCCTTTATCTTCATTATTTTGGAACAGTACGAGAAAATTGGTTTTAGTTTTTCTTCACAATTTTGGTAGAATTCAGCAGTAAAGCCATCTGGTCCTGGGCTTTTCTTTGTTAGGAGGCTTTTTGTTACTGATTCAATTTTTTTACTAATTATTGGTCTGTTCAGGTTTTCTATCTTGGTAGGTTGTATGCATCCACTAATATACCCATTTTATCTAGGTTTTCTAATTTGTTAGCATATATTTATTCATAATTGTCTCAAATGATTCTTTGTGTTTCTGTGGTATCTGTTGCAATGTGTTCTTTTTCACTTCTGGTTTTATTAATTTGAGTCTTCTCTCTTTTTTCCTTGGTTAGTTGAGCTAGAGGCTTATTGATTTTGTTTATCTTTTCAAAAACATACTTTTCATCTTGGTCCTTTGTACTTTTTATTCTCTGTTTAGTTTTGCTCTAATTTTTTATTATTTATTTTCTTCTACTAATTTTGGGTTTGATTTGTTCTTGCTTTCCTAGTTCTAGTTAGTTACATAGGCTTTCTTCATTCTTTTACTTTTTTTTTTTTTTATCTTACTGGGTTATGTCAAAAAACCTGTCTTCATGTTCAGAAATCCATTCTTCTGCTTGATCTAGTATATTGTTGAAGCTCTTGATTATATATTTTATTTCATTCATTAAATTCAATAGTTCCAAATTGTCTCTTTTTTAAATGATTATTTATCTCTGTTGAATTTCTCACTCAGATCATGAATTGTTTTTCTGATTTATTTGTATTGTTTATTTGTGTTCTCTTGTATCTTGTGTTTGTGCATGTTGCACCACCGGTAAGAGTAGTGTTGACAGGTCAATTGTTGGGTCCTTGAGCAGTGAGTGTGGGCACCAGTGGCAATGGCAGCAGGCTGGGCAGACTGATCTCTAGGCCCTTGGCAGGTGTACACAGGCACTGGCAGCAGGTGGAGTGACCCTGTCATCATGCCCCTGGACAGTGTGCATGTGCACCAGTAGTGGCAGGGTGGATCAGTCCCCAGGCTCCTGGATAACATTTGTGGGTGGTGGCAGTGGCAGTGGCAGAAAGGTCAGACCTGTCCTCAGGTTCCTCAATGGGGACACTCCCACCAGTGGCAGTGGCTGAGGGAGATTGGTTCCCAGATCCTCAGATAGTGTGTTCAGGTGTCAGTGTTGGTGATGACGGGTGGTGACGGCCCTGTCCTCAGTTATGAATATGGCACCCATGTAGGCTCATGCCCAGGTCCCTTGAAGGTGTGTGCTGGTACATAGTGGCCCTGACTGGAGAGGGTGGGGTTGTTGTCAGTAGCAGCAGCCCTGGGCAGGTGCCTTTCTGGCTCTAGGTAATTCACACTTTGGCTCCCTTTTTCCTAGAGGCAGCCTCCCTGGTGCACTCCCTGGGATGTAAAACCCTCATGGGCGAGAGTACTAGGAACCTGGCCGCTCTGTTGAGTTCAGCTGGTGTAGTGATGCTGCAGCCCTCTGGGTGGATGTGGGGGTATATTAGCAGTGATGTGGAGATGCAGTGGCTCTTGAGCCCCAACACAGGATGTAGTTTAGTGGGGGCTGCGTTCTTAAAATGTTGCTGTGTTGTAGCTGCTTGTTCAGAGTGTGTGTGTGGGACTTTGTGTGAACTCCTTCTTTGGAGCAATGTCACTTTCTCTACTCCAGTAGCTCTGTGTACTAGTCTCAGAGCCTGTGAGGGCTGAGGGCTCTCTCATGCCTAGGATTGCAAGAGTACACTATGTGGAGGGGTTGTGGACTGCTGGGGAATCTCTCACTTACCTTTTTCTTGCAACGGGGAGTTCCTTCAGGCTCAGAGCCAATACTGTTGGGCTGGATGCTTCACTTTCCTCCTCTCATGCCTCAGAGCTCTTCTGTCACTTACCGGTGAATTTTAGTATTCTCTCTTAGAAGGTCTATTTAACACGTTATCTCCTCTCTGTGTTGGTCTTTTTTTGTTTTGTTTTGTTTTTGTGGAGAAGGGGAATGCCAGGAGCCTCTAGTCAGCCATTTTGAAACTCCCTTCAATAGTGAGCATTCTTGCATTGTTTTTGATCTCAGAGGAAAAGATCTCAACATTTTCACATTAAGCATAATTTGGGAGTAAATACCCTTTATCAGAGATTGATTGTTATGGATAGCTTTTATCATAGACTTTAAATTTATCTTGTAAATATCTTTTATCAGATAAAGTTTCTATTTCAAATTCGCTTATAGTTTTCATCATGAATGAGTGTTTATCAATTGCATTTTCTGCATTAATTGAGATGATCACATGATATATCTTCATTATTCTGATAATGTGGTAATTTGCATTGTTTTAAAATATTAAAAGTAAACTTGCATTTTAGACAAAAATCTAGCCTGATTGGAATATAAATAGTACTGGATTTAGATTTGTAACATTTTACTTGTAACTTTATATTATGTTTATATATCAGATTGGTCTGTAATTTTTTTCTTTCTTACCATGTTTGCCAGGTTTTGTTATTAAGTTTTTCCTGGTCTCATAAAATAATTTAGTACAAGATCTCCTTTTTTCAACTCTATGGAGTTATTTGTGTAATGCTAGTATTATATTTCCACAAGTTTTGGAAGATTTATTGGTGAAGGCATATGGGCTTGGAATTATATTTATTGGTAAATTTTATATTATGGATTTTTATAATGAACATAAGATTATTTGGGTAATCTATATCATCTTATATGAGTTAGGTGTTTTATTTTTAACATATGAATAATTATTAGAATAATTTTCTATTTCTATAATATTTTTCTATTATCTTTGTAATGTACATGTGATGTATAATGATGCACCTGTTTGCATTCCTAATATTGGTTATTTATGACTTCTCTTTCTCTTTTTTTATTGCTCAGTCTTGCAAGGAATTTTTAAATTTTATTACTATTTTCAAAGAATCCAGTTTTGGATTTGTTGCTCCTATTTATTCTTTGTTCATTTCTATTTAATTTCTTTATGTTATGTTTATCATTTCTTTTCTCATAATATCTTTGGGTTTACCTTCCTGGTTTTCTAAAATAATTTATTGATATGGATATTTACAGCATTTAGTTTCAGCCCAGGTACTGAGATATATGTACATTCTTTAATGTAATTTTAAATTACAAGACATTATTATTATTTTTATACAGTCAATATTATGTAGGAAACTATACTTGCTCTATACATTGCTCTTCATTTTTTTCTTACATCTCTGAGATTTTCCTCTGGGATAATTTCCCTCTTCTACAAAGGTATCTTTTAAATTTCCTGTAGAGTAAAACTGATGGATGGTAAAAATTTCTTTCAGATTTTTTGTTTATGTGAAGATGTCCCATTTTGTCTTTTTTGTTTATGAATATTTTCACTGGATGTAATGTTGGAAAGTAATTTTTATTTAACTCTTTGGTGACATTCCATTTTCTTTTTGTTTCCTTTTGAGAAATCCATTGGGAGTCTTATTGTGAATCTTTGAAGGGCATTTGTATTTTTTCTTGAACTTCTTTTAAGAATGACTTAATTTTAAAAATGTGTTAGCTTATTGTGATGTACCTTGAGGTGGTTTTTCTTTCTTTTCCTTTTTTTTTTTTTTAAGGAGTTCATATTGTTTTCAGAATCTGTGACCAGTCTCTCTTTTATCTACACATCTGGATGTCCAATTATAGGAGCATGGGCCCTTTTATTATATTGCAGGTCTCTTATACTCTACAAATTTTTTTTTATTTTTTGAGACAGGGTCTTGCTCTGTCACTCAGGCTGGAGTGCAGTGGCACAAGATTGGCTCACTGCAACCTCTGCCTCCCAAGTTCAAGCAATTCTCCTGCCTCAGCTTCTTGAGTAGTGAGATTACTGGCGGGTGCCACCATGCCTGGCTAATTTTTGTATTTTTAGTACAGACAGGGTTTCACCATGTTGGCCAGGCTGGTCTTGAACTCCTGACCTCAAGTGATCCACCTGCCTCCACCTCCCAATGTGCTGGGATTACAGGTGTGAGCCACTGCACCCGGCCCACTCTTCAAATCTTCTAAACATTAGTTTTTTCTTAATTATGAATATTTTTTCTGAACTTTCTTTAATATTATGTAACCTGGTATTAAAATCATCTAATTACTTTTAAATTTTAGTGATTATATTTTTAAATTATAGAATTTCCATATGATTTTCTATAGTTTCAAATTTTGCCACAACTTTCCATTTGTCTTGCAATCCATTGATACCATTAATCATGAAATACAAGTTTTACATCTGGTAGCTCCATTATTTGGATATTTTCTAGGTGTGATTCTATCTTCTATTTTTTCTTGGGTTTTAGTCAATTCTTACCTTTGTATGACATAGTTATTTTGATTGGGTGCTACAGATGGCTTGTTAAAAATTGTAGTTAATCATTTGAGATTCTAGATATTTTTCTTTCTTCCGAAGAGGATTTGCTTTTGCTTTCGGTAGTCAGCTATGGGGGGCGGGGGCGGGTGTTCTAGCAATCTCAGATCACCTTTGTCTTGTCATGGATTGAGATGATGATATTGGGCTTGTGCCCCTTACAGTCTGGTAAAGTCTGTGATGTTTCCTTACTCCTAGGATAGAATCCTTTGGGGTTTAACTTCGAAGTCTAAGGTGTTTTCCATTGGTCCTTCTACTTGTGAGTTCTACAAGAACCCTATTTAGTTTTTCAACTTTACATTTCAGAATAGGCAAAATTTCAATTGCTCTTTAGAGTAAAAGCCAGTGTTCTTCCCACTCTACCACATTCAGAACAAAACCTCTACCTTTAAGAAAGTATAAATATTCAACTATAGTTCAATCTATTTGTTTCATTTGTTAAAATTTTAAAACAAATCTCTCTGAAATTTATTTTTGTGTGATTATAAAGAATGGATTTAACTTTATTTTATATTTTCCAAATGATTGAATAGTTACTCTAAAAGCAATCATTGCATAATCCATATTTTCCTCATTAAAAAAATCAAAGACTGAATTTTAGATACTGCCCAAAATAAAGCTAAGGTATTGTAACAATGAAAATTATAATTTAAAACAGTAATAACTTACGCATTCAATATTGAAGCAACAAAATAAAGACTGTCATAGAAGTATCAACAAAACAAAAATAATTTAGCATCTGCTCTAACTTCAAATACATAAATATAACATTTAGTTTGATTTAAATTCCAAGTTTAACCCCTTTTATTGTTTATTACTGTTTTTTACATCTTGTCTTTCCCATTCTTACATTCTTATTTTGATTTATTTCTTGAATAGGTTGTAACTTCGTTTAGTTTCCCACCCCCAGAAAGCTTTATGAAGTCTTTCTCATTTTAAATATGTGTAAATATTTCTCTGTTACCTTTACATAGCTCATTTAATTGAATGTGGAATTCATGTTACATGAACCTATGTATTTGGAATTACTGGTCATTAGCATTTAGTGCTGCAGTTTGGAAATCTGAGGTTAGTAAGACTTTTGTTACTTTATAAGTTACTTGTATTTTTTCTGCCTTAATGCAAAGATTTTTCTTGATCTTGGAATTAAAATGTTCATCATGAATCTTTCTTAATAAAAGAAAGATTATTTTTATTAGTTTTATAATAACATGTACTATTTGAAATTCAAGAATTTCTAATGTAATTTCCATTTTCTCTCTCATACCTAGCTTTTCGTAATTAATATTTTACATTCTTTATCTCTTCTTGTCCTGTCTTTTATACTCTTTGCTTTTCTCTTATTTTAATATTGCATACTTTTCTTTTGACCTTTGAGTGAATCATTCAGGCTTATCTTTCTGCCGGTGATTTCATTTTCTACTGCATCCAAGATCTTATTCATTGACTTAACTTAGTTTTATTTATTTTATTTTTTCTTAGTAGTTTTATTTTGAAATGTTTTTAGATTACAAAAGGCTTGCAGAGATGGCACCAGAGAGTTCCTGTATAGTTTTCCCTCAGTTTCCACTAATGTTAACAGCTTACTTAACCATAGGACATTTAACAACACTAAGAAGTTAGCATTGGTAAAATACTATTAACTGAGCCATTCCTTTAATTTGGGTTCTCCAGTTCTTCCACTGTCCTTTTTCTGTCCTAAGGCAAGGCCCAAATCAAGATTTGGCATTACATTTAGCTGCTGTGATTCCTTAGGCACCTCCAATCTGTGACAGTTTCTTGGTTATTACTTGTCTGTCATGACTTTGACAGTTTTGATGAGTACTTTATAGAATGGTATTTCACAGAACATCCCTTAATTTGTTTCTCTGATGTTTTATTGTGTTAAGGGTACCAGGGATTTGTTTTAATCACATATGGTAAGACATGCAGACTTGGAAATGACTGTTATGAAGAAAGATGTTTATTACTAGATCCTTAGAAACAGGAGGCATGGCATGCCATGCAGGGCCACACAGAGAGCACCAGAGTTGGTCTGGAGGCAGGGCGAGTGGGGAACATGTGGAGAAGAGCGTGTATTGTATCTTCTATAGGAAGGAACAAGTGAGGCAGGGTGAGCAGGTTTAGAATCGAATAGTTTGAATAATTTCAGTTGGCTCCAGGGTATACAGTGTCTCCCTAGTTGTCTGGTACCTGACCCTAGGGTGATTTGAGTAGGTAAGTAGTGGCTTAGAGTGTGAGAATATGGTACATGAAGTAGTTGAGGAATGACCTCTGGATTGGTTAGTTGGGAAAAGAAAGGTAATAAAGTTTGGATATGTGTCCTCACCCAAATCTCATGTTGAATTGTAATTCCCTATGTTGGAGAAAGAGCTTGGTGGGAGGTAATTGGATCATGGGGGTGGGTTTCTCATGAATAGTTTAGCACCATCCCTCTTGGTACTGTCCTCATGACAGTGAGTGAGTTCTAGTGAGATCTGGTTGCTTAAAAGTGTGTAACACCTCTCCCCTCTTTCTCTTGCTCCTGCTCCTGCCATGTAAGATGCCTGCTCCCCTTTGCCTTCTGCCATGATTTTAAGCTTCATAAGGCCTCCCCAGAAGCAGAAGCTGCTCTGTTTCCTGTGCATTCTGCAGAACTGAGAACCAATTAAACCTATTTTCTTTATAAATTACTCAGTCTCAAATATTTCTTAATAGCAATGAGAGAATGGACTAATACAAAAGGCATGCCAGCATTTTAATCATTTACTTATCTCTAGGAGTTGGCTTTCCCTAGGAGGCACAGTTTCTCTAGTGTCAGCAAGTCTCCAAAGTACTGAAATATCAAACATATGGAAGACATAATTAATACATTTCTTATTATTGGACTGAGGAAATATCAATTTAGTTTTGAAATTAGCAATCATGTTTTTCATTTTGAAAAGGTCTTTCCTGATCTTGGAATGCTTAGTTCATGATTTACTCATTTCAGTGCGTCTCATCTCCTTTGATGAGTTGGAGGTTTGAAAAGTTGTCTCTTATTCTTGCAACCTTATTTTGTAAGAGAAAATTACTTTTACTCTTCAGTGTTGTCTTTATTTAAACAATCGAGTGCAAATTCTGGTGTTTTTCTTTCCCCCCCATTTGCTTATGCATACAGAAAGTTGTTTGCTTAGTACTGGAGATGAGATGACTTCTATCCCAGAGTATGTGGGTCTTTATTAAAATCTTCACTTCACAGGTGGAGAGAAAATGAAAATGTTAATATTTTATTTATTTTTGTCTTTCTAGATTTTAGGATCAGTAGTCTGAGAGATAGGAAAAAAATAAAGAGACTTTTCCCCCTACACTCACTCATACTGTCAACCCAACACTTCTGACACCAAATGTGTGGGAGCTTTACCTTACGCACCAACTAAGCAATTCTGCAGCAGACACCAGCTGGCTGTCTTCTAATTTAATTCAATTATGACACTTCCTACCTGGTGTAAACCAAAAATAAAATTCTAAGCCCCCTGACTGACTAAATAGACCACATCTCATGGCCAAGGGGATACCAAAGACACCTGAAAAAGGAATTCAGGTCATGATGGGAAGGGGGAGTCAAACATACCTCATTATACCCTCCTCTCTTTGGAGTTCAGGCATAAAATTGACCACCATTAACATTAAAACAGAGATCTGAAGACTGACAAAATAGGCTCTTTGTAGCAATAAGATACCACATTCCAACCTGGATCTAGTATAGCATCACATGACATATGGGGGCTCTGAAAGTAATCAAAATAAAGTATTTTACCCCAATATATTTCTTTGAAATATTTTGAAATGGCTCTGCAAAGCTGTCTCTTGTGGGGAAAAATTACATTCTATAGAGAATCCCCCTCCCTTTCCAGGTCTTTTTCTGATCCTGAAAAGATTAGCTGGGAGTCTCGCACATTTTAAAGCTCTGAAAAGGAAACAATTTGCCATCTATTGCCCCTAAGGATGGACGCCTTCCTATGAGATTTCATCTGTATAATAATAACTTTGATCTTCACAATGCCTTATCTTGACTCAGACACTCCTTTCTATTGATTCTGGGTCTTCAGATAGTAACTCTTTCAACCAATTGCCAATCATAAAATCTCATGATCTTCCACCTGTAACCTGGAAGCCCCCACTTTGAGATGTCCTGCCTTTCCAAACTGAACCAATGTATACCTCACATGTATCGATTGATGTCTTCTGTCTCCCTAAAATATATAAAATCAAACTGTAACTCAGCCACCTTGGGAACATGTTTTTGGGACTTCCTCAGGCTGTGTCATGGGTTATTATTCTTAACCTTGGCAAAATAAACTTCTAAATTAACTGATACCTATCTTAGACACTTTTTGGCTTATGCTTGAGATACTGTCAGATCCCACAGGTTGAGGGCTCAGTTCCACAGGACTGTCCCCCACTTCAGGTCACCAGTTTGCAAATAATAGTCACTTATACATTGACCAGCCAGCTATAAACTGGGGGTTCCCATGACACCTACCTTGGTTTTGATTAATTTGCTAATGTGACCAGTAGAATTCTGGGAAACATTTTAACTGTGTTTACCATTTATTGTAAAGGATATTACAAAGAATACAGAGGAAAAATGAGATAGAAAAGATGTACAGGGCAAGGTATGTAGAAAGGGACACAGAAATTTCATGTCCTCTCAGGACATGCCTCCCTCTAGGAACCTCCAGGTATTTAGCTATCTGCAAGCCCTCTAATGGAAGCTTCATTATGTAGTCATGATTGATTAAATCATTGGTCATTGGTGATCAGTTCAACCTTCAGCCCCTCTCCCTTCCCTGGAGGTTGTGGATGGGGCTAAAAGATTTAATCCTGTAATCATGCCTGGTATTTCTGGTAACCAGCTTTCATTTGGAACCTATTCACAACTCATCAGGATATAAAAAGACACTTATCACTTGGAGATTCCAAGAGCTTGAGGAGTTGTGTGCCAGGAAATATCACCATTATATTCTCATGATCACAAGTGGCCTATTGGCTACATCATGTAGGTGAATTTTCCTACAGGAGTTGCATATCTTTCCACTAATTTTTCTATAATCTGATATTTTTTCTTTAGGACCTTATTACTGGTAAATTTCCCATGTTATTTAAAAGGAAGGATAGTCCATATGTAAAGTCCATGGAATTGTTAAATTTATAATATTATAGGTTGTGATAGGTAAGGTTTCCCAGATTCAGAGTCTGAGAGGGAAGTGATTTATTGAGGAAGTGACAGGGAAACAATTTTATCACAGAGTTTCTCCCATTTTAAAGAATTAGGGCTGAAATTTTACACCCCTGCATCAAAAAGTCACTTTCTCTGGGTTTCCTATAGGGCAGGAAGTAAGAAGGCTCCCACTGGTTGAGGAAAATTCTCCACAGAAAGTAACAGATGTGATTCATTAGTAGACGACGCAGCCACTGCAAGATGAGCAAAAGGGACCTGAAATGTCACTGTCAGGGAGGGAATATAATTTCTCCTCAACTCTCATAAGTTCATAGTTGAGACAGATCCCAGTAACAAAAGACAGATTAACAAGAGAAAAACAGCAAGTTTATTAATGCATGTAGCGCACATCATACAGGAAAAACCTCAGTGAATGGGAACTCACGGCAGTGGCTTACAGCTCTGGCTTATGTAGCATATTTAACAAAGAACAATACATTTGTGGAAAAATGACTGACCAAAGGAAAACAGTTTTACTCTTCCAAAGGTGGGAAATTGTGGGAAGAAACGAATGGAGTAAAACTTGTGTGTAGATTCCTCTGGTGCCATCTCTGAACTAATAAGAGTTGTCTTCAGTAAAGAATTTATATCTTGTCTTTAGGCAGAAAAGGGGGAGGATAGAGAGAATTCTTCCTCTATTGGCTGCTTTCTAATTGGCTTTAGCTAATAAATTCTTCATTCCCTGGGGAGGCACATTGTAGTCTCCCAGGGCACTGACAGTGGTTTCTGCATGTGCCACTGCTCCAAGGGTCAACCACAAAGAAGATGCAGTTTCTCTATTTCTGGTCACTGGATTTTAAAAATAAAGTAGCCTTTCTGATTGTGAGTAAATGAGCATTCAATGTCACAAAGAACTGTTATGCTTGAAAAAAGATATCTGACAAAACAAAAATCTTTAATAGTGGTGCTTCCCATGACATGTGTTAATTTTATGTTTAGTAGAAAATAAGTACTAAGCACATACTATCTGTACTTAGAGGTGTTTATCAAAAATATAACTTCTTCTCAGAGGTAGTATAGCATGCTAATTATCCACCAGAGTTGCTTTTGTGTTCAAATCCCCAACATCCTGAGCTGTAATGGAAGTTGTCAATCTAGAAAAGCAAACCAATTCAAAACTCATTAATAGGAAAAGCAACAGCTGTTATAAATAGTGCATCATATGTCTTTCAAGTATGATTTAAGCTGCTCCTGAGACTGAAAGGTATTGTGATTATAGGAAAGTTTAGTAACACATCCATTCAAAATTAAACTACAAATTTCAATGTAATTCAGTTTTGCAGTAATACATTAATGCTCAATGACCAACACTGTTCTGGGTTTGGTGGAGAACCAATGTAAAGAAAACCCTCAGTGGATCTTACAGACTTCTACCATTATGAGAAAATTAATACAATAAATTACACTTTTATTTCAGAGAGCTTTTTTTAAAAAAATAGTATCCTGAGTCATAATGTGCAATATTCGCTTACCTTACAGTTAAGCTATGGTTAACTTCTATAATTCAAAACATAATCATGATAAAATATGTTCAGAGAAAAGAAAAATTATAGCTATAAAATACAGAAATTTCTTTTTAAAGGAGAGGTGTAGGCCTGTGTTTTAAGAGTCTAATGACCTAGAGTTCTGCTTAAAAATAAGGGTTTGGTGGTGGCAGCCAAGATGGCCGAATAGGAACAGCTCCGGTCTACAGCTCCCAGGGTTAGCGATGCAGAAGACGGGTGATTTCGGCATTTCCATCTGAGGTACCTGGTTCATGTCACTAGGGAGTGCCAGACAGTGGGCGCAGGTCAGTGGGTGCAGCGCACCATGCATGAGCCAAAGCAGGGCGAGGCATTGCCTCACTCGGGAAGTGCAAGGGGTCAGGGAGTTCCCTTTCCTAGTCAAAGAAAGGGGTGACAGACAGGACCTGGAAAATCGGGTCACTCCCACCCTAATATTGCGCTTTTCCAATGGGCTTAAAAAACGGCACACCAGGAGATTATATCCCGCACATGGCTCGGAGGATCCTACACCCACGGAGTCTCGCTGACTGCTAGCACAGCAGTCTGAGATCAAACTGCAAGGAGGCAGCAAGGCTGGGGGAGGGGCGCCCGCCATTGCCCAGGCTTGCTTAGGTAAACAAAGCAGCTGGGAAGCTCGAACTGGGTGGAGCCCACCACAGCTCAAGGAGGCCTGCCTGCCTCTGTAGGCTCCACTTCTGGGGGCAGGGCACAGACAAATACAAAGACAGCAGTAACCTCTGCAGACTTAAATGTCCCTGTCTGACAGCTTTGAAGAGAGCAGTGGTTCTCCCACACGCAGCTGGAGATCTGAGAATGGGCAGACTGCCTCCTCAAGTGGGTCCCTGACCCCTGACCCCTGAGCAGCCTAACTGGGAGGCACCCCCCAGTAGGGGTGGACTGACACCTCACACGGCCAGGTACTCCTTTGAGACAAAACTTCCAGAGGAACGATCAGACAGCAGCATTTGCAGTTCATGAAAATCTGCTGTTCTGCAGCCACCGCTGCTGATACCGAGGCAAACAGGGTCTGGAGTGGACCTCTAGCAAACTCCAACAGACCTGCAGCTGAGGGCCCTGTCTGTTAGAAGGAAAACTAACAAACAGAAAGGACATCCACACCAAAAACCCATCTGTACATCACCATCATCAAAGACAAAAAGTAGATAAAACCACAAAGATGGGGAAAAAACAGAGCAGAAAAACTGGAAACTCTAAAAAGCAGAGCGCCTCTCCTCCTCCAAAGGAATGCAGTTCCTCACCAGCAACAGAACAAAGCTGGACGGAGAATGACTTTGACGAGTTGAGAGAAGAAGCCTTCAGACGATCAAACTACTCTGAGCTACAGTAGGAAATTCAAACCAAGGGCAAAGAAGTTAAAAACTTTGAAAAAAATTTAGACAAATGCATAACTAGAATAACCAATACAGAGAAGTGCTTAAAGGAGCTGACGGAGCTGAAAGCCAAGGCTTGAGAACTACGTGAAGAATGCAGAAGCCTCAGGAGCCGACGCAATCAACTGGAAGAAAGGGTATCAATGATGGAAGATGAAATGAATGAAATGAAGCGAGAAGGGAAGTTTAGAGAAAAAAGAATAAAAAGAAATGAACAAAGCCTCCAAGAAATATGGGACTATGTGAAAAGACCAAATCTACGTCTGATTGGTGTACCTGAAAGTGACGGGGAGAATGGAAAACACTCTGCAGGATATGATCCAGGAGAACTTCCCCAATCTAGCAAGGCAGGCCAACATTCAGATTCAGGAAATACAGAGAACGCCACAAAGATACTCCTCGAGAAGAGCAAATCCAAGACACATAATTGTCAGATTCACCAAAGTTGAAATGAAGGAAAAAATGTTAAGGGCAGCCAGAGAGAAAGGTCGGGTTACCCACAAAAGGAAGCCCATCAGACTAACAGCGGATCTCTCGGCAGAAACTCTACAAGCCAGAAGAGAGTGGGGGCCAATATTCAACATTCTTAAAGAAAAGAACTTTCAACCCAGAATTTCATATCAAGCCAAACTAAGCTTCATAAGTGAAGGAGAAATAAAATACTTTACAGACAAGCAAATGCTGAGGGATTCTGTCACCACCAGGCCTGCCCTACAAGAGCTCCTGAAGGAAGCACTAAACATGGAAAGGAACAACCGGGACCAGCCACTGCAAAATCATGCCAAAATGTAAAGACCATCGAGACTAGGAAGAAACTACATCAACTAATCAGCAAAATAACCAGCTAACATCATAGAGACAGGATCAAATTCACACATAACAATATTAACTTTAAATGTAAATGGACTAAATGCTCCAATTAAAAGACACAGACTGGCAAATTGGATAAAGAGTCAAGACCCATCAGTGTGCTATATTCAGGAAACCCATCTCATGTGCAGAGACACACATAGGCTCAAAATAAAAGGATGGAGGAAGATCTACCAAGCAAATGGAAAATGAAAAAAGGCAGGGATTGCAATCCTAGTCTCTGATAAAACAGACTTTGAACCAACAAAGATCAAAAGAGACAAAGAAGGCCATTACGTAATGGTAAAGGGATCAATTCAACAAGAAGAGCTAACTATCCTAAATATATATGCACCCAATACAGGAGCACCCAGATTCATAAAGCAAGTCCTGAGTGACCTACAAAGAGACTTAGACTCCCATACAATAATAATGGGAGACTTTAACACCCCACTGTCAACATTAGACAGATCAATGAGACAGAAAGTTAACAAGGATATCCAGGAATTGAAATCAGCTCTGCACCAAGAAGACCTAATAGACATCTACAGAATTCTCCACCCGAAATCAACAGAATATACATTCTTCTCAGCACCACACCGCACTTATTCAAAAATTGACCACATAGTTGGAAGTAAAGCAATCCTCAGCAAATGCAAAAGAACAGAAAGTATAACAAACTGTCTCTCAGACCACAGTGCAATCAAACTAGAACTCAGGATTAAGAAACTCACTCAAAACTGCTCAACTACATGGAAACTGAACAACCTGCTCCTGAATGACTACTGGGTACATAACATAATGAAGGCAGAAATAAAGATGTTCTTTGAAACCAATGAGAACAAAGACACAACATACCAGAATCTCTGGGACACATTCAAAGCAGTGTTTACAGGGAAATTTATAGCACTAAATGCCCACAAGAGAAAGCAGGAAAGATCCAAAATTGACACCCTAACATCACAATTAAAAGAACTAGAAAAGCAAGAGCAAACACATTCAAAAGCTAGCAGAAGCCAAGAAATAACTAAAATCAGAGCAGAACTGAAGGAAATAGAGACACAAAAAACCCTTCAAAAAATTAATGAATCCAGGAGCTGGTTTTTTGAAAGGATCAACAAAATTGATTGACCACTAGCAAGACTAATAAAGAAAAAAAGAGAGAAGAATCAAGTTGACGCAATAAAAAATGATAAAGGGGATATCACCACCGATCCCACAGAAATACAAACTACCGTCAGAGAATACTCTAAACACCTCTATGCAAATAAACTAGAAAATCTAGAAGAAATGGATAAATTCCTCGACACATACACCCTCCCAAGACTAAACCAGGAAGAAGTTGAATCTCTGAATAGACCAATAACAGGCTCTGAAATTGTGGCAATAATCAATAGCTTATCAACCAAAAAGAGTCCAGGACCAGATGGAATCACAGCCGAATTCTACCAGAGGTACAAAGAGGAACTGGTACCATTCCTTCTGAAACTATTCCAATCAATAGAAAAAGAGGGAATCCTCCCTAACTCATTTTATGAGGCCAGCATCATCCTGACACCAAAGCCTGGCAGAGACACAACCAAAAAAGAGAATTTTGGACCAATATCCTTGATAAACATTGATGCAAAAACCCTCAATAAAATACTGGCAAACCGAATCCAGCAGCACATCAAAAAGCTTATCCACCATGATCAAGTGGGCTTCATCCCTGGGATGCAAGGCTGGTTCAATATACGCAAATCAATAAATGTAATCCAGCATATAAACAGAACCAAAGACAAAAACCACATGATTATCTCAATAGATGCAGAAAAGGCCTTTGACAAAATTCAACAACGCTTCGTGCTAAAAACTCTCAATAAATTAGGTATTGATGGGAAGTATCTCAAAATAATAAGAGCTATCTATGACAAACCCACAGCCAATATCATACTGAATGGGCAAAAACTGGAAGCATTCCCTTTGAAAACTGGCACAAGACAGGGATGCCCTCTCTCACCACTCCTATTCAACATAGTGTTGGAAGTTCTGGCCAGGGCAGTTAGGCAGGAGAAGGAAATAAAGGGTATTCAATTAGGAAAAGAGGAAGTCAAATTGTCCCTGTTTGCAGATGACATGATTGTATATCTAGAAAACCCCATCATCTCAGCCCAAAATCTCCTTAAGCTGATAAACAACTTCAGCAAAGTCTCAGGATACAAAATCAATGTACAAAAATCACAAACATTCTTATATACCAGTAACAGACAAACAGAGAGCCAAATTGTGAGTGAACTCCCATTCACAATTGCTTCAAAGAGAATAAAATTCCTAGGAATCCAACTTACAAGGGATGTGAAGGACCTCTTCAAGGAGAACTACAAACCACTGTTCAATGAAATAAAAGAGGATACAAAGAAATGGAAGAACATTCCATGCTCATGGGTAGGAAGAATCAGTATTGTGAAAATGGTCATACTGCCCAAGGTAATTTATAGATTCAATGCCATCCCCATCAAGCTACCAATGACTTTCTTCACAGAATTGGAAATAACTACTTTAAAGTTCATATGGAACCAAAAAAGAGCCTGCATTGCCAAGTCAATCCTAAGCCAAAAGAACAAAGCTGGAGGCATCACGCTACCTGACTTCAAACTATACTACAAGGCTACAGTAACCAAAACAGCATGGTACTGGTACCAAAACAGAGATACAGATCAATGGAACAGAACAGAGCCCTCAGAAATAACGCCACATATCTACAACTATCTGATCTTTGACAAACCTGAGAAAAACAAGCAATGGCGAAAGGATTCCCTATTTAGTAAATGGTGCTGGGAACACTGGCTAGCCATATGTAGAAAGCTGAAACTGGATCCCTTCCTTACACCTTATACAAAAATTAATTCAAGATGGATTAAAGACTTAAACGTTAGACCTAAAACCATAAAAAGCCTAGAAGGAAACCTAGGCATTACCATTCAGGACATAGGCATGGGCAAGGACTTCATGTCTAAAACACCAAAAGCAATGGCAGCAAAAGCCAAAATTGACAAATGGGATCTAATTAAACTCAAGAGCTTCTGCACAGCAAAGGAAACTACCATCAGAGTGAACCGGCAACCTACAAAATAGGAGAAAATTTTTGCAACCTACTCATCTGACAAAGGGCTAATATCCAGAATCTACAATGAACTCCAACAAATTTATGAGAAAAAAACAAACAATCCCATCAAAAAGTGGGCATAGGATATGAACAGACACTTCTCAAAAGAAGACATTTATGCAGCCAACAGACACATGAAAAAATGCTCATCATCGCTGGCCATCAGAGAAATGCAAATCAAAACCACAATGAGATACCATCTCACACCAGTTAGAATGGCAATCATTAAAAAGTCAGGAAACAACAGGTGCTGGAGAGGATGTGGAGAAATAGGAACACTTTTACACTGTTGGTGGGACTGTAAACTAGTTCAACCATTGTGGAAGTCAGTTTGGCGATTCCTCAGGGATCTAGAACTAGAAATACCATTTGACCCAGCCATCCCATTACTTGGTATATACCCAAAGGACTATAAATCATGCTGCTCTAAAGACACATGCACACATATGTTTATTGTGGCACTATTCACAATAGCAAAGACTTGGAACCAACCCAAATGTCCAACAATGATAGACTGGATTAAGAAAATGTGGCACATATATATCACGGAATACTATGCAGCCATAAAAAAGGATGAGTTCATGTCCTTTGTAGGGACATGGATGAAATTGGAAATCATCATTCTCAGTAAACTATCGCAAGGACAAAAAACCAAACACCACATGTTCTCAGTCATAGGTGGGAATTGAACAATGAGAACACATGGACCCAGGAAGGGGAACATCACACTCTGGGGACTGTTGTGGGGTGGGGGGAGGGGGGAGGGATAGCATTAGGAGATATACCTAATGCTAAATGACGAGTTAATGGGTGCAGCACACCAGCATGGCACATGTATACATATGTAACTAACCTGCACATTGTGCACATGTACCCTAAAACTTAAAGTATTATAATAATAAAATTTAAAAAAAGGGTTTGGTTAAACAGAATTGGTTATCTATTTTTCACCAGGAATTTTAAATTTTTATAGACTGTAACAGAGTAGCATATTAGTCTGTTTTCATGCCGCTGATAAAGACATACCGGAGACTGGGTAATTTATACAGGAAAAAGGGTTTAAGTGAACTTACAGTTCCACATGGCTGGGGAGGCCTCACAGTCATGGTGGAAAGTGAAAGGCGGGTCTTACATCGCAGTAGGCAAGAGAGAGAATGAGAACCAAGTGAAACAGGTTTCCCCTTAACAAACCACCAGATCTCACGAGGCTTATTCACTACCAGGAGAACAGTATGGGAAAAACCGCCCGCATGGTCCAATTATCTCCCACTGGGTCCCTCCGACAACACATGGGATTTATGGGAGTATAATTCAAGATGAGATTTGAGTGGGGACACAGAGCCAAACCATATCAAGTAGCACTGCAGATGTAGTGGTCATGAAAAGTCACTGCTCAGATCTCCAGCTGCAGAGAGCATAGTTAACTGATGGCTTCATCTACTGCCCCAGTGGGTCTGACACTGTCTGTGCTAAGGCCATACTTCTTGCAAGCTACCCTGAGCTAATGACTGAGCACAGAGAACGTAATAAGACGAGCCCATTATTGCTAGATGCTGGACTCTTCCTGTGTGTGTCTTTGGATCAAAGACCTGCCCCATCTTTTGGTTAGTTCAATCATTCTTAGAACTGTGCTGCTAGTGTTGCTATTTGTGATTCCTCCTACCCTGTCCTCTTTATTTCCCTCCCTCCTTACACAGGAGTCACTCTAAAGGTTCCCTCTACCTTCTCCTGTTCCCTTTTCAAATCTCTTACATGCATTATCTCATATTGGTAAGTGCTTCTCAGCAGACCTAAATAAACACAGTGGTTATGAGAGGGATCCAAGAAAGCAGGTGATAGGATGAGGATATGAGACTATCTTACCAAGCACCTAGTGGACAAAGAAGATGCCATCCTCAGCGGATCATCCCTGCCACAAATTGGTTGCTCAGTTGCTAAATATTTCAGCAGTGGTAACTTGGGAAAGCATACCAAGAAGGGGAATGCCTTGCAGGTTTGATGACTCAGATATTTGAGAGATATGGAAGTGAGGGGAATGTTTACAAAAACAGCAGCATTGGCTTGTTAGTACCAAGTTGTATTGTCATCTTACAGAGGAATAATAAGAAATTGAGAGCTGTTAAAAGCTAAGTGTGGGAACCAGAAAGCCTCTTTGGTAGCTTCTAATGAGTACGTTATCTTCTGAGCAGAAAAGCAGACACAACTGCGCAGAAAAACAAAGATTTGACGAGTCACAGAGCTCCAGAGGTGTTTGAATGTTCATCATTTCAGACAGGCCTGTTATGTTAAATTCAGCCTTCTGGATTGGAAACCCACAATCCAGAAACAGAGAAAGGACATTTGGGGTGAAACTCCTGCATAGGTTGGCTCTGCAGATCCTCTAGAAAAGTAGTTAACCTTTTGCTATAATGCTCTGCAGAGGCCTTATCCGTGTAAGATAACAGGTGTCTCACTCAGGAACTCCTCCTTGTTCCTCTTCTGGCTCCCAGGCTAATTAAGTTTAAATTCCAGCATATCCCATCTGCTGGGCCTGAGAAGGGAAAGTTTATAATCTGAAGGCATTGTGAAACTTAGTTATAGTGTACTGGTAGGAGCCAGGGGAGTGTACCTGAGATTAGATTTTCAGGGTGCTTTATAAAAGAACTAGAATGTAAAATAGGACAAATAATAATTTATTAGCTTGGTGGCACTTTCTTTGGAAAAGGAATTTAAAACCCTGGCAGGAACCATAGGGGAGGAGATAAGTTTACTATTAAGATGGCTCCTTAGAAGCTTAATAAAATTGAGAGCCAGTGCTGAGCCCCCAATACGACATGCTTCCTTAAGGAGACCAACAAGTCAGTATGTGGCAATCAACTATATTATAATATCCATATAGTATAATCGTCTGTCCTGGAAAGGCCAGCAACTTGCCTTCACAGGGATGGATTAATATTCTGTATGTAATTTTTTCTTTGCCATCCACAGAGCTCAGGCAGCACTACTATCGTGGGACTATGGGATGCCTGTTCACAGACATCGAATCCCACATTCCACACATGAAAATGTGGAGGATTAGTTTCATTGGAACCACTGATTAGATCACATACCATACCATGCAGGGAAGAGCTGTCATCACTGAATGCTGGAACATCCTGCCAAAGGCAAAGTTTCAGAAGTAACGCTCTGAAAGAATGAGGTGTCATCGTTCAGGATCCACTGTATGTATTAAACCAGAGACCTCTATGCAGTGCATACAGTGCTGTGTCCCCAGTAAGAATACATGGGTTCAGAAACAAAGGAATTTAAGCAAAAATAGCCCTACATACCACCTTTCCCAATAACTCTGTGTTTCCTGTCCCACTACTCTACAGTTGCAGGGTTGGAGGTCTTGGTCCCTAAGGAGACTCACTCTTGACAGGGGGCACAGAAAATTTCCCATTGAACTATAAGTGTCATTTGCTGTCAGGGCACTGGAAACTTTTTATTTCCAGGAATCTGTAAGGAAGGAGTCACCATCATGGCAGAGGTTAACAACTCTGACCAGGAGGAGGATATAGGCCGCTTTTATACAATGGGACAGGAAGAAATATTTGTGATACTCATGTGATCTTTGGTTGCCTTCCATTACTACCTTGCCCTATTGAAATCATGAATGAACAAGAACAGCAATGAAATCTGAAAAAAGTATGATTATTGAGTCCTCACCCCCCTCAAAAAGGGGGTTTTGGGTCACAGTAGTTACCCAGACCTCTTGAGGTAATAGGTGAAGTTACAAGAAATTTAGAATGGAAAGTGGAGACAGGCAAGGATGAGTACCAGCTGTGGCCCTGCAGCCAACTATAATGATGAGACTCTAGTTCATCTCACTAACCTCCCTCTTTTAGGCTTCTCCTTGGGAAGAGAGTCTCACAAGAACTGTGGAGGGGCTGACCTCGAGACCTTCATGGAGTGGTAGATCTGTACTGCTCCAAGGTGGGCTTTGGTAGCTATGGAAATTTACTGCAGAGATTTCCTGCTGCAGGGAGCATAGCGGCATGATGGCCCCTGCGCTGCTCCCTGAATCTACCAGTGCATTTGTACCAACACTGTGCTTTTCACTGGCTGCTCCTGGTTAATGACTGGGCATGGCAGGGAATCTAGGGTAGCCCCGTTCTGCTGATATGTGGGAAAACTCATATGGGTGACATGTGAAATATTAAGAATAATTCATAGATGTATAAATATATACACACATACAAATATACATATATATGAAAGAAAAAAAACTTAGTTTCTGTTCTTCCTTTAACGAGTTTTAAATATTCAAAAACCCCAGATATTTCATAATTAAAAATAGGCAGAAGATGTAAACATGCAGTGGTATAAATAACCAATAAATTAATGAAATATTTTATTCTCTCATAATTAAAGGAATTTAAAAAGAATCTCCCATGATTAAAGAAATAATAGAAACCACAAGATATATATAATTTTCTCACCTTCCAGATTTACCAAAATGGTTGACTTTATCCAGCATTGGAGAGGATGTTGGGATGTTGGGTAAGCTCATATTATATTTTGGGGAGTATTAATTGTAGAAAATGTTGAGAAGGATGATTTCTATTATTTAACAAAATTTTAAGTGATATTTCCTTTGATTCAACAATTCTGGCCAGTTGCTGACTCCTGGAATCCCAGTACTCTGGGAGGCCGAGGTGGGAGGATTGCTTGAGCCCAAGAGTTCAAGATCAGCTGGCAATATAGCAAGACCCTTTCTGTACAAAAAAATTTAAAAAGTTTGCCAGGTGTGATGGTGACGTCTGGTAGCCCCAGCTCCTTGAGAGGCCAAGGTGAGAGAATCACTTGAACCCAGAAAGTTGAGTCTGCAGTTAGCTGTGATCATGCCACTGCACTTCAGCTTGGGTGACAGAGACAGACTCTGTCTCTCAAAAAATAAAATGAAATTAAATAAATAAACAATCCTATGTCTAAGAAGTTTTCCGAGTTTCATAAGTGCAAGGACATTGAACTACACCACTGTTTTTAATAGCATAAGCTTCGTGGTGGCTAATACTGATTGTTTATTCTGTATAAAACACTGTTATAAGCACTTTACGTGCATTGGCTGATTTGATCTCCTCAAAAATCTTATGAGGTGGGTAACTTATTACTCACATTTTACAGATGAGAATAGTTAGGCACAGAGAGGTTAAGTTACTTGTCCAGGATCTAGTTAGTGGTGGAGATGGAATTGGGCCCAGTCTAGCTCTGCTGCCCATGCTCTTAACCACTATGCACATTACTTCTTGGTAAGTCATGGCAGATTCACAATTGCTTAGCCACAATTCTGAATTTCAATTCCAATAACTGAAAATTGTTTTTATAACTCACTTGGTAGAAACTCTGACTTAACTGAACTCATATGACAGCAGAACATGAAATCAATTGACATGAAGCTATTTATAGTTATTATTCACCCCATTTAGCAATATATTAATTAATGATTCACTGCAGAAATATTAACGTGTTCAATTATAGAATGATGTCCCATACCATGCTGAGGATGTTCTATGATGTATGACATATAAACTCTCTATGGATGGACTAGACAGATACTTAGGAGATAAAATCAACAGTGATGCAAAATTGGGTAAGGAGTGAGGGAGCGGGACGCTCCAAGAGACTCAAGGGTTAATAACTTGCATTGAGCCATTCACTGAAATAGGAAACATTGCAATGGGATGGATTTGTATAAAATGTGAGTTCAGTTTGATTTCTCTCTGAGACATCAGCAGGTATATCAAGTAGGCAGTTAGATATATTGATGTGGAAGTCAAGGATAGCTCTCTGCTGGGAAACAAAGTTTGTAATTCTGTAGTAGGATTTGTGAAATTCTGCTGAAGTATCAAGTAAGACAGGGCTTGATTAAGCTACTTGTAGGGTATAGATAACATTAGTAAAAACTGTTTATGTGGGATGTTACTGTAGAATCTTGGACCAGGAAGTGAGTGGTAGAGTAGAAATGAAGATAAAAAAATACAGTTGATGCTTTTAATAAGTTTTGCTATTAAGGGTGGAGAGAAAAAAAGTGGTAGTTGTAGGAGGCTCTGAGGCTAGAGTGAAGATTATTGAGACCTGAGCATACTTAAGCACACAAGAGCCCGGGCATGGTGGCTCACGCGTGTAATCCTGGCACTTTCAGAGACCAAGGTGGGTGGACCAATTGAGGTCAGGAGTTCGAGGCCAACCATGGTGAATCTCAGTATCTATTAAAAATACAAAAATTAGCTGGGCGTGGTGGCGGGCACTTGTAATCCAGCTACTCAGGAGGCTTAGGCAGGAGAATCACTTGAACCCAGGAGGTGGAGGTTGCAGTGAGCCAAGATTGCGCCACTAACCTCCAGCCTGGGTGACAGAGTGAGACTCCGTCTCAAAGAAAAAAAAGAAAAAAGAACACACGATGGCAAAGACATACTCAGCGTGCAGGTTTTGAGTAAATGCAATAGAGTAAGCTCTAGAATGCTAATGGAGGGATAGGCCTTAGGAGGAAGAAATGGTATTCTCTTCTTTTAGGAAGGAAGGAAGATAGCATGTGTGTAGATTCTTATGTACACAGGTCTCAATGTTTTAAATCAAGAAGATAAAAAGATTCTATCAGTTAGCCTCAAGTTAGTACCTCATCTTCTGCGCCATGAGTGTGGGTTACACTTGGAGGTTTCATGAGAGGAGAAAAATTTTGAAATAATTCTTGCCAATTGTGGCAGATCATCAAACAGATTAGCAGAATATTGCCGTGCAGGTTTGAGAGTCTGTTGAAATAAGAGTTAATGGTTTAATATGATAGCAAAGTGCAGCACTTTCTCCAGAAAGGCTTTCTCCTAGTAAGGCTATTAGGGTACAAGAGTATAAATACCTGCTATAGAGAGGGCTATGTCACACCAGAAGACCTATCTCGGTTTAATCAAGGAAAATTAGCTGCTAAATTCAAAAAAGTAGAGTTGCTCATTTCTAAATAATCATTGTAGCCAAAATACTAAAATGAAAGTTATAGAATGGAGTTTAAACAGAGCTTGGGCTCGCAGGCCAGGCGGCCTTGGTTGGAATTCCAGCTCTGCATTTACTTAGCTGAATATCCTTGGACAAATTGGTTCACCTTCCGGTGCCACCACTGTCTCATCTGTAAATTGGGCTAATTAATGGAAAATAGAACAGTGCTTGCACGTAATAAGTGCTCAGAAGTGTGGCACCCTGCTCAGGGCTTCATAAAGAGTAAGTCAAGGAACCAACAAACCCAAGAGTCTGGCTTGAGTCTAGGTTCTTAAATATTATTCAGGGACTGTTCAGAAAGGCCAAATGTTAGCTGCAATTTAAAAAATTTAAGTATGACTTTCAAAAGTATGCCTTCATTTTTTGTTTGTTCATTCAAAATCAATAAAGAATAAATACTTTAAAAAACATTCTCTTTCAAGACTGTCCTTGGGTGATACAATGGATTGACATTTTTATAACAATAGGCTACATCTAGATTTCACTCAACGTGGTGGCATTTAGATGTCAATAAATGTGAGTGTTTGATACTATCTTTATTAGCACAAAACTAAGTCTCTTAGGAAAATACAACAGTCATTTGAATGGATAAAATTGGTAGATAATAGAAAAATTTGTGTTTGTATCTCTCAAGAAAAAGTGTTACCCAAATCGGTTTTTAGGCTTTGAAGCCAAATCTATAAAATAATCACATTCTCACAACAATTATACTGGGGTTTTTGGTTAGAAGGATAACACAATATATCAGTCCATATGTATATACCTAACTTCCTGTGGTGTGTCTTCAAAATAAGAAAAAGAAATTAATTGAAGAATTATGGAACAAAAAGTGCAGATTTTCTTTTACTCCAATTAGTAGGGTCAAGTCAAAAGTGAAAAAAATTAAAAGGGAAAATAAAAGTGAATACCACAGTAAATAGTAAATATACCAAAAAATCCTTCTAGAATACACTAAAGCTATCCAAAGAGATAAATGTCCTCTAAACATTTTTTTTTGTTTTATAAGATAAAACAAAAGTTTAGGAAAGTTTAGAAGTGGATCCTGTTTAGTCAGATTTTAAAATTTCACCGATTTTAGGAACCATTTTCTGTTAAATCATATAAACACAAATAATAATACAGTTTACAATGAGGTACTATTTAACATCTTTAAAAAATGAAGAATAAGTTTAAGTAGTGGAATGACACACTAGTCTAATGATTTCACTAAATCCTCTTTCCAATTCCCACAGCTTTGACATCATTAATAACCTTCTCATTTTGGAAGCCTGAAGGGCTCATAATTTTTATTATAATAGCTTTCATATTTCTATTTTTATATTATTTTAGATTATGCCTCTTTCTTTTTTCCCTGAAATGTGGCTCCCTCTATGGATACTCTTTGGTCTTCTTTCAATTTTTCTGCACATTTCCTCTAATGATTGTTACAGCTTGAATTCCATATGTGAAAATAAGTAATTCACAATCTAAGCTGTTGGAACTTAAAAATATTTTGAGCCTTAAGGGAATGTAATTATGAAACCTGAGTCACAAAAACAGGCAGCTATAACCTAGGCAGCTGTAACATTTGTTTTTCTGATTATATGTTAGCATTTTTACTTACATTGTTTTATAAAATATTGTAAATGACTGACAGGTGCTGGGGAAGACTTCTTCCCTCCTACCTATTGGTCTTAATTACAAATTATCTTCTCTCTTTCCTCTCTCCCACAAAGACTTCATGAGTATCACATTGTTTAAGAGAGAATGTTAAAAACATTCTTTTGAATTAGAAAGAAAAATAAAGCAAGATGTGTGAAAAAGAAGACAAACTGCAGCTAAATTGTTATAACTCATAAACTGGCCTTGTATAGAAAATGTTACAATCCTACAAAATTTCATTGTTTTCTACCTATATAAGCGGACCTTAACTTTTAGCTTTGGAGTACTGATCCCATTCCTCTGAAGTCTGTTACCTGAATGGCTATTCTTAGCTTTACACTTGAATAAACTCTTTTAATCTGGATTCTGATCCTTTCAATTATTTCACCTTGGCACTGATAAACTTGCAAAACCTTCTTAACAGTCCTAATTGTTCACAGGAGTAACATTCTATCACATTTGCTCTATTACATAGACTATTCAGGCGACTCATATCCCATCACCTTTTCCATATTTTCATGGTTAGCTATAATTTTATGATGCACCTAGGTTCATAAGTGAGTCTGTATTTTTCCTTTTTCTATCTCCTTTATCTGTTTTTGTAATTTATAAAATCAATAGAAATCCAAAAAATATTTTGGACTTAACCAAAAACATAGGATCTTTATGATGAAAGTGAACATATAGAAAGACATTTCATGATCTTGGATGGATTACTTAGTATTACATAAATATACATTCTTAACAAATTATATATTACATACAAATAAATAAAAATGTATAAATAAAAATATTACAAAGACAGTAATAAAAGTAGTGTAGATTAGTGCAAGAACAGAACAGATCAATGCAAAAGATTAGAGAACAACAGAGACAGACCTCTGTATAAAGGTAATTTGTGGAGATATACAAACATACCCAAGAATGACTCCTAAGTCAATGGGAAATAGATGTATTGTAAAAAACAAAATAAGGCTGTCCAACTCTATGGAAAAATAATAAAACTTAATTCCTACTGAGTACGATGTGATCTCTATTTAAATTAAACCTCACTATGACAGGTAAAACAATAACCATTCATGAAAAAGTCTCCTCTCTAATAAAAATCTTAAATTTTCAAAGCATAACTCATAAGGCAAAGAAATTTATGAATTTAATTCCATTCAAATAAAACATTTCTTTCAAAAAGGGAAGAAGTTAATAGACAAATGGCAAAATGACAGAAGAGATTTGCAATCTTAGCGCCTACTAAGGTTTTAAGATTTCTTAGTCATTAAAATGTCTTATCTTTACAAAAAATTATTTAGTTTACGAAAGCTTTTAAAATGGAATTTTATTCTTTTACCATAAATGTATATTCTTTTAGCATTTAAAAATGATTATTGCAAGATAGGTTGTATGAATGTATAATACCAGTGGAGAAAATAAACATTGTGTTTTAAACTGATAAGAAGAGATACTACACTTGATCTTAGCCAAAAGGCTGAGATGTGATTAACATTGTGTTTTATAGAGAGTGGTTCAATAGCCATTCCCATTAGAACCTGGAGAATTGGTTAAAACATATTCCCAGTTCTACACCAGCCCTATTTAAATTCACTGTGATACTAGATAGTTTTCCCCCATGCTGTAGGAAGTGAGGTCTGTCCTTTCTTCTAGCTATGACTGTAGTAAGATTAGTTTCTTCCTAGGAGACTCTACAGGGATGTACAATTTCTTGCAAAGGTTGATCCTAAAATTTGTTCTCCAAAGATTTTTACCATTCTTTAGCTACTTGCAGTTATTTCCATAGTAGTTTAATTGTATTTTCTCTGTAGAGGAGGTACAGTTGATTTTATGGAACTGTGTTTTCTTTGGACAGGTTGAACATGAGTAGCTATATGTTTTAAAAATCCATAATCTGACAAAATTGCTGTTTTTCTCATAGTATGTCCTATCCTAAATGATATTGCTGGTGGAAGGATGAGCAGAAAAGTAGGTACAGTATGACAAGAAAAATAAAAACATTTGGGGGAATAAAGATGGCCATTTTCCCACAATGATGCTTTAGACCTTGGTGGTTCTGAGTGCCTACTGCTTAAGAATAGGTATCTCTTACCCATTTTCAAATTGGAAAATTTAAAGAATTTTAGGATTAAAGAGAACAGCATTTTGTATATTGTTATAATCCTGCTACCATCTTGGTAGCTACTTTGCTGATTACATGTTAGGGTGATCAATGTTGATTTTCAAGTGATTAGGGAAGATTAGGGGTATTCAAACTTTCTGTAAAGGGCCAGAAGATAAATAATTTAAATTTTGTGGGCCATATGCTCTCTGTCACAACCACTCAACTCTGCCATTGTAGTGTGAAAATAGCCATAGACAATACACAAACAATGGGCATGGCTTTGTTCCAATAAAACTTTATAAGAACAGACAGTAGATTTGGCCCAAAGCCATAGTTTCCACACCTCTGGTCCAGATATAAGCATGTTGGCTCATGTTTGGTTGTGGTATGTGTGTCAGGAGTGGTTGTCCTTCCATAAAGATCAAGAGTCTGGCAATGAGCTGAGGGACTTGTGTTGGTAACAGAAAAATAAATGTCTTGGGATAGAGATTTATCCACACAAATAAAGTCAGGGTTAATTGAATGAAAATGTGTTTACAGTGACAAATTAATGCCCTTACAGCATTAAAGAAAGATAAACTAGTGGATTTCTATTTCCATGGAGATTTTATGTAACACAATGGCCTTTTCACTGTGCCATTTTATGTAATTATCATTAGCACAGAGGCTATTAATTCAATATAATCAAGGAATGTAAAGGTCAGCTAACATTGTGCTATGTCCAGCACTAAATATTTCTCTCAATTTTTCCATATTTTATAATTGAGTTTTCTTGTCAGACTTTTCAATATTATTTTGAGATTTGGCTCTTCCTGCCAAAATGAAGTGAAATTATTAACAAGAAATTGTCAGCATTCATTCACATTAAAAATTCCATTTAATACATACTTTTTCTGTTACATTAAGCAGAAGAGGCTTTCATTTATCTCAAATGTACCCATACTTGCTGTGGGTGAATGCAAGGAACATCACTTATTGATCTCAGTCAGAATTAATGAGCAATAGTTACTTGTGAGCCCGTGTTCTTTTGTCATCTTTCTTCTTCTCTTGCCCAGTGACTCAAACCACCATTATAATGGGCTTCCTCTGTACATTTATCATGTCTTTACTGATTGGGCTGTATTTGAAAGTCAGACACTTTGAGCTTGTAACCCTGACTTTCACATGTCAGCCACATGTATAGTGTTGTGTTTTTAAAACATGGCACTCTATTACTCTCCAGTTTCTCCACAAGTGAAATAAACTTAGAAAATACATTTTTATATAATATATGACACTAAAAAAGTAAACTAATTAAAAAATTACTTAACAGGGAAAATAAAAATTGCTAAAAGCACTATCTTATTATTGAGCCCCATGCCTGAAAGAATTTCCTAGAGGTCTCGGTTCATCTTCGTAAGATCTATGTTTAAAGCATGCCAGAAAAATGTGTGCTAATTTTATGAAATTTCTTGGAAAGCAGATTGGATTTCATCATGTCACTACTCTTTGAGGAGTAGTATACTCAATATGGTACAGCATACTGACAGAAGCAAACAACCTATAGGTCATGTGATTACTAATGCTTACCTCCTCTACTTCACAGTCCTTACACAATTTTTTTCCCATTTATTTCACAATCTTTATTTTCTCTTTTTTTCCATATCCACTTTCATCACTGGAGTTTCAGCACTTATTGTTACCTAGTTTACTGAATTTATCTTCTGATTAGTCATCAAAACATCAGCCTTGACTTCTGTAATTCATCCTTCACACTATCATCAAAATGACTTTTCTTGCAAAAATGATTGTTACTTTCCTGCTCAAAAGTCTTCAAAGATTTCTAATTGTTTACAGGAAGAAAATTTAGACTACTAGGCTGCTATTTTAGGCATGCTGTCTTAGGAAAGCAGAGCTTAAGACCAAGATCTTCATGCACATGGTTTATTTGGGAAGTGATCCAGGGAGCAGGAACCTTTTGAGGAATCTTAGGTTCTCAGATTCTCAAATGTATTGAAGAGCTCCCTGCTGGAGACTAAAAAGGGAAGTATTTGTTCTTCAGTTCCTTTTCCTTCCTGGTGAAGGGGAGCTCTGTGGGTTTCAATGGCCCTACCCATCTGGCTTGTACACGCATAATTGCCACATGTGATCCTACGGATGTCTCTAGCATATTATCAGAGAATGTCCTGGACAGGAAGTAAGAAGTATGGGACATGGGAAGGCAACATCCTGTAAGAATGCTCCTGCCCAAAGTATGCGTGGAAATGATTTCCACAGTAGTGGCTGGAGTTAGAGATGGGGCTATTAGGATTTGAAGTAGTACCCAAGAATTGTCAAAATCATGTGGCATAAAAATGCTTCTTACATTATGTGACTTGAATTGCTATCCAATCTGATATTTCATCATTCTTTTTCTATGCCCAGACCAAATGTATAGAGGCTACTAACTTGCTTATTAATTAATTTATTCATTAAAAGTTTGTTGAGCGAGATTGTGTATCAGGTAACCTTTTAGATATTGGGGATGCAGAGAAGTTTCCAGGCCTCATGCAGGTTGTATTTGACTTGGAGGAGGCAAATAACAAACATGGAAATATATGAATGTGACGATTTCAGTTAGTGGTAAGGGTGATAAAGATAATAAAGCAAGGCAATAAGATAAGTAGAGTAGAGGAAGGGCTGAGTGAAATCCTGTCCCTGGAAATTATATTTGACCTGCAGTTTAAAGGATGAAAGTGAAAAACCTATGCAAGAATCTGGGGACAGTATGCTGCAGGTGAAGATAATAAAAGTGCAAAAAATCTAGAGCTGCAAATCAGTTTTGTGTGTTCTAAAGGGAGGGAGAAGGCTATATGGTTAAAGTCTAGTGAATAGAAGAGAGAGTGAAGAGAAGAAGAAATATAGATAGGACTAGAATTTGTAGATTCCTTTAAGTCAAGGTAAAAAGTTTGGATTTTAGTAAAATTTCATTGAAATATCACTGAAGGGATTTAAGAAGAGAAGAAATATGATATGATTTGCATTTCATAAAAATGCCTCTGGCTACTATAAGGATTTCCCTGGGACTTGAACCTTTCCCACCCTGTGCCATTGAAGATGCTGCCTTTATAATACATATCACCGTTTGAATGTGTTTTCCTTACAGGATGTAACTCTTCTTGAGAGAGGGCACCATGTCTTCATATTTTTGTAGACAGTGCACCTCACATATTACAATTACTAAATACATGATTGATAATAAATGTTATAAGATGGATGAATGAATGCAGATTTACAAGGGTGTTTCAATAAGTGATAGTAGAATATGAAGACTACACAGCATACAGAGTAGTGGTTTTTCTGAACTATTATTCATTGCCCGAATATTTTCTAGTCCTCTATATCTAAGTCTTAAGATGACTGTGTTGTTCGCTTATGTTCGACTTGTGACTTACTCTGCTTTCAGGTCGTTCCCTCCTCTTCCACTGAATAGCTTAGATGTTTTTCACTGTGAAGTTAATTTTATTTCAGTAAGTACAAGAGAAGTAGTAGAGTATAGGTTTAAGAGTACAGAAATTTGAGTAAGGAAACAAGAATTTAAAGGGTGAATTAAAATATGAACTTGAGACAGTGCAAGGAAGATCCAGTGTTCTAAAAAGGCATTGGTGACTTTGAAAATCTTTTCAGAATGTAGAAATAGGACAGCCTCGCAGGTGTTTGAGCTGTATAGTTAGATTTGCGATTCAATCATGAATGTACTATTCATTAGCTCAGTGACCTTGAGTAAGTCACTTAATCTTAATAAACCTCAATTTCTTCATGTATTTTATGTGAATAACAGTGTATACTCCATAGGATCCTTGTGAGGTTTAAGTAACCTAATTGTATATGAAATGCTTAGGACAATTTTGGACACATTTTATACTCTCTAAACTGGTAGTATTATTCTTAGTAACCAAAATATGTCTTGAAAGAGAATGACACAGTAATAGCCTTTTCCAACTGTAGTGATTAAATTAATTATTGGTTGCTGATATTTCCAGGAGAGTTGATTTGCAGGGTATTTTTGTTGAGGCACAGAGCTATAGTCCAAGCTCCTTTGATTTCTGTTTTGATTTCCAACCTAGGGTCAAAATAAGTCAATTTGTGAATCTTGCAATGAATCCATTATCCTTAAGGAGGGAGCATTTGGAAGACAAATTATAAAATTAAAAAGAATTCAGAATATTGCTGAGTAGAACTATAATCCTATTTCTCTATGTAATTTTACATATGCAATTTTAGAATAATTCTACTTTGTTGGCTAAGAACAATTTTGGTTAGAAGTGGTAGAAAATTCAGCTCTAAGTGGCTAAACAGATAGTAGTTTATTTTTCTCTCATATAAGAAAAAGTTGAACTGTTCATCAAAGCTGTTAATCAGTGTTTTGATTTCCTTCCTTCTTGGAAAAATGATAGAATAGTACAATTCTATATGATAGATTTATACTTCTTTCTTCCTTAAAGTTAGGTGTAGCTATAGTTGCTTTGGCCAATGGAATGTGAGCATGTGTGGCATTTCTGGGCAGAAGCCTTGAAGAGTTAGTGTTTCTGCCAAGCTCCCTTCCCTCTGCCATGGTGACTGGTGATATATCACATGACAGTCTAAAGAAACACAGCCTTCATTGGCCACTGGGGTTTTGAGGTTGTTGGTTACAGCAGCATATTCAACTGATAAATAGCCTTACTAACACAAACCATACAAGACATCAGCTTTATCATATCCTGTTTTATCATCTCTGTTTTTATTTTCATTCCTATCATATCATATTCTCAAGATGGCTGCGGCAACTCCAGGAATCATTTTAGTGTTCAAAGCAGGAAGAGTTGGTAAAGAGTGGTGATACCAGGCACATTATTCATTTTACCAAGAATGCAAAAGATATTCTGGGAAGCTTTTCAGACCTCCCCTTACATCTGCTTGGCCAGGAGAACTGGGTTAAATGGTTGCCACTAGTTACAAGGGAAGTTGTAAAGTGGGCATAGTTCCATCCCAAAAGAAACTGAGAAGGTGTGGGGATGTGATATTGATCAGGACACTGACAGTGTATGCCGCAAGGGCACAGTTACCATAGCAAGTGTTCCTTTTTCCAAATGAAGATGGAAACACTCCAGTAGCATCAACTCAAAATCCCCATTTCAAGTCAGCAATCAACTATAGAAAACCACTTTTGGATTAATTCTCCCCACCACTGTATCCCAATGCATCAGTTTTATGAGCTAAACCCTATTTCCCAAATTGTTATTGAACAATTATATGGGCAATAGTAAAAAAAAAAAAAATTTGACTGAGGCAAGATATATCACTTCTGTTACTTCTTCCTATCTACAAATCACCACATTTTGGTAAGCAAGAGAGTTAGTTTGATCTGGTCATAATAGTCTTTCATAAAAAATGTTAAAGGGACTTATTTTTTGAAAACATAAGCAATTATGATTTCAGTTATTACCCAAATCATAATCATCTTTTGGAAACTTAAAATTGACTCGTAGTTTGTTCAGAAGTCCTAGTATATATTAGAATTGCTGATTTTTAATATCCAGGCTATAATACTTTCACTTTTTTCATATTTTCCATTTTTGGGAAATTATATGTACTGCTCTTGTCTTTTTTAAAAAAAACGAAATGTCTTTAAAATGACATGCCCTTTTTTTAGGGAAGTTCCATTTTTAATTTGGACTTCTTGATGCTCATTATACAAAATCAATGTAGCTTTTTATATTTTAAAATTCTCTGTTGATGGTATAATGTGTTCAGCATATGTATGGGGGCGGTGGCTGAGAAGACAGGCATTTAAGCAACAGTTTGTCCTAAACTTGAGGGCTCCCTTTGATTTGGTTTAAAAATACAGTCACTAGTCATTTTTTCAGTTTCTTGAAGAGCTTAATAATATAGATATGTACTAAGCCTGCTAATGTTTATAGCTCTGTTTTTTCCTCTGAGACTAACTTATAAGGCAAACACTCTCTCTTGATTTTGATACATGTAAAGTTGGGCTGAAACTGCTGTTTCCATGTTCTGCTTGACCGTCAACATTATGATTTTGGAAGACGTGTATGGTTCACTCTGTAGTAGCTTCCCTTTAACAAGGCATTCAACAGAGCCTTCAGTTTCCCTTTCCAGCTTTTCCTTTGGTCTACTGGTTTATCATAAATAATTTGAAGGCATTGGTCACTTAGAAAATGTGACCAAAGACTAGACCTACCAAGATCTTTCCAGAAAAAAGCTTATGTGGTTTATGAACAGATCTCAGTCCTATGAATTTGTGAAATTCTTTGGAAAGCCATGTGATAATTTTACATTTGGAATAAAATGTGTTAATTACATTTTAATTGAGATTAAAAGTAACAGAATATCCTTTAAAAATACTTAAAGCTTTAAGACTCATTAAGTTGCTTAATGCTATAAACAAGCTTAAGTTTATTAAAATTAAAGATAAGGATTACAGAGTTTGTGAATGCAGGGAGTTCACTTGCTCAGTGTGCAGTAAAAAATTAACCTTGCCCAGAGAATCATTTGGCCTTTAACTAGCTTCTGGGAGATAACCTTTAAGCCCTTGGAATGTCCTGCTTGATAAAAGTGTCTGTTTACCAGGGGGTCTTGGGCCATTCCAGATACTCGATGACTTATGGTGGAGAACTTGGGCCATGCAGTATTAACTTGATACTTGAGGAGCTGGGGATAGGTCAGCCAGGCAGGTGGTTAGCGATGTTTATGTGGCCAAGCCATAATAAACCTCTGAACACCAAGATTTGGGTGAGTTTCCCTGTTTGGCAATACTCCATGCGTGCTGTCACACAGTACTGTTAAGAAAAACCATTGCTATCCGCATTGTAACCATAATAAGTCCATTTATCAATACTCAGCAAGTCAGTACACTGAGACACAGGGTTGCATCAGATAAAGTGGTTTAATTGTAGGACTGCTGAATGAGAGGATGGGAGGAAATCTCAAATCCATCTCCCTGTAGAGTTTGGGACTAGACATTTTAAGGGTTTTGGAGTGGGCTGACATGTGAAGAGTACAGGGTGAAGTGATAGGTCAGAGAACAGAATTAACTGTATTCCTATGTTGATTCTGTTCCTCTGTGGGGGTCCTCAAACTGGTTGGCCTCAGCTGTTTTGTTGGAATTCAGGATCTGAAAAACATCTTAAGCAATTCTTAAACAAAAGCCTTATGATTCTAACATCAGAAATCCTATCGATTGGAACAGTAGGGATGCGAATGTTATCTAGTGACTTTTGGTTACAAGGAAGTGGGTCAAAGTGCAGCCCGATTAATGCTTAATTTTACCTATACTTCTGTCCAGAATTCTTGTTAGCGTTGTGAGGACAAGTTCAGCATGACTTTACCAGGAAAGGACAAGTGGAAGCACCATCAAGCACCACACTTGGTCTCTCATGGACCCTGCTCTTGGCAACTCTTCCCTTTGTTGATTTTAACCTGTATCTTCACTGTAATAAACTGTTGGTGAATATAATGGCTTTCTGAGTTCTGTAATTCCTCCTAGTCAATTCCTCCTAGTCAAATCCAGGGTAATCTTGGAGACCTTCTGAATTACATTTAGATTGTCATCCTTTGGCTACTGGAAATTTGCTTTAAGTCTAAAAATAGTTGCAAAGAATCCCCACCACTTTCTTCCGCAGGCTCAGTCCACCACAAAGTCTCCTTCTTTGGTGGACTCAGAAATGCTGCAATTAGATGTGTTGGATGGTAGTTACACCTGCTTCACTGCACTCCCATGAGGGGAGGTGATGGATGGTTTCTGATGCAGGTAGTTCTTTGCTTTATTACTAGTGAACATGACTCTCACAAATTCTGTCCTTCACTGATGCTGTGGTCAGCCTAGGAAGCATTGGGAAGGAGACTAAGAACATTTTCATCTGGCTGGGCGCGGTAGCTCAGGCCTGTAATCCCAACACTTTGGAAGGCCGAGGCAGGTGGATCATGTGAGGTCAGGAGTTCGAGAGCAGCTTGGCCAACATGGTGAAACCCCATCTCTACTAAAAATACAAAAAAATTAGCCAGGCGTGGTGGCATGCACCTGTAGTTCCAGCTACTTGGAAGGCTGAGGCAGCAGCATGTCTTGAACCTGAGAGGCTGAGGTTGCAGTGAGCCGAGATTGTGCCATTGCAGTCCAGCCTGGGTGACAAGAGTGAAACTCTCTCTCAAAAAAAAAAAAAAAAAAAAAAAAAAAGAATGTTTTCATCCAGACATCCAGTTTCTTTCTTCCTCCTAACCTAACATCTCATTGCCTCAGCTTCTGTTTTCCTGAACTTAGGCTATATTCTCAAATTACTGTCAACTAAACCCTGCTAGTGTAAGCTAAACATGGCTTAGAACACTCCTTTTTGGAGCATTTTATTTATGATTAGTAATACTGAACACTGGCTTTCTGAAGGAGAGGAAGTATTTGGGGGACAAAAAATTTTTCACTGCCTATTTTCAATGGCCACATTGGGCATGGGGAGATCAGAAAAGTGTCTTTTCTGATGTGACCCAGTATTACTCCTGAAAAGAGAAGTTGAATTGATTTGGGAATAACTTCACTTCACTTAGCCATTTGCAATGATCTCTTTCAGGCTTATTGGTATTTATTTACACATTCTTGTGCCAGTAATATCTCCCTCTTCACCCAGATGAGAGGTCTGAAGCACTTTATACCATGTTCTTGAGCAGAAATTCTAGAACCTCTGGGACTCTCACCAGGAAACTCCTTGCTAAGCTTCTTGCACCACCTACTGTTAGGGTCTTTGCTTTCCCCCAGGTTTTTACCTCTTTATCCAGCCCTCTGGAATTAACCTTTCTTTTGATTCCTTCTTTAGTTGTAGACTCAACCTGAATTCCCCATGGCTTCTGTCTTGACTCCATGTACATCTCTGTAGCTCTCATTACGCTTGTCTCATCACATATCTTCCCCTGTAGGGTGAAAGAACTGTGTCACCTATGTTCCCACTTGTGTTCCCAGTACCTAACACAGTTCCAAAAAAACAGTAGTTGCTCAATAATCATTTGTTGGATTGATGAATGAATGAGAGCTAGGCATATTTCCACTTTCATATCTGAACTGCCTCCAGGAATGTCAGTTTAAGTCAGAGACTTGGTACCTTTAGTTTCCTGACTTGAGCTTTTTGAGAATTTAGCGGTTATAATTTAAAAGGTCTTTTTTGTAGCTTGATGAATAAGAGCATCAATGAAATTTTTTTCCAAACAAAAAGGCAGCAAACTATCAACAAATCCTGCAGAATATTTATTTAAAATAAATACTTAGGAAGATCAGAGATAAAATAATTGCTATCTACAATACAAAATAAAAATCAGGCCACTGGAGGGGGGCTGGGAAACAGAGAGACTTCTTACAAATTGTCATTCTTCAATTAAAGATTGCTTTCTATTTTGGTAGCATCTCTGCTGAGAGCATTCCCACAGTTTTTAATAGCTCAGTCTCAGCTGTCAGGAACATTTGTGTTAATTTTTCCTGTTCAGTACACATAAGAATTTCTGTGCCTGTTGTTTGCAGATACCAAAGTCTGCTTCCTAATAATGTGACTGAATATGTCCATCAAATATAGCTGTAAAAATTCCCTTCTGTTTCTTGAAAACCCTGGGATGTTATAAGATTTTTCTGCTTGGATATCAAATCATATTAAAAATTAAATGTAACAGTGGAACTATTTAGAGATATTTCTTTTGCTGTATTAGTATGCTCTGGTGAAAATGAAGAAAGGATACCATATGATTACATTTTTTGACCTTATTGTTATTATTATCAAGAGGGTGATTTGCACATCATTTTGAAAACATTAACTATACATGGAAAACAGGTACATTAAGAATTAGACAAACATTACTCCTGCATTTTTAGTGGATTCAAATGCTTCCTGTTCTCAAAAATCATTTGAATCTTCTCCATATTGAGTATATTCATTTGCTATAACTGCTATTAAACATTGCTGCTACAATTGACAGTTTCATACAATTCCCATTTGTCATTTCACAGCTCTGTAGCTCAGAAGTCCAGGTGCAGTGTAGCTCAGCTGTTTCTCTGATCTGGGTTTCAAGGACAAATTCAAGGTGTTGGCAAGGTGCATTCTTTTCTGGAGGCCCTACGGATGAATCTCCTTTCAAGTTCTCTTGGATTATTGGTAGTGTAATTCCATGGAGTTACAGGACTGAGGTCTCAATGTACTTATTGGCTGTTGGCTGGGGATTCTCAGCTTCCAGAGGCTGCCTGCATTCCCTGGTTTGTGGCCTCCTTCCTCCATCTTTAACACCAGCAATGGAAATTTGAGTCTTTTTATGCTTCTACCTCCCCTTCTTCATTATCTTTATTCTGCTTTCCTCTTCTGTGGCATCTCTCTCCTGATTCTTGCTGGAAATTTTCCTCAGCTTTAAAGGGCTCAATTGATGATATAGGGCACACCGGGGTAATCCAGGAAAATTTCCTTATCTTAAGGTCTATAACCTTAATTATACCTGCAAAGTATGCCATAGTAATTGGTTAATGTTTAATTAGCTAAGTGTTAGGAATCTTGGAGGAACAGGGGTGGCAAGTAGAGCCCAATGTGCATGGACAGTAGATGTTAATGTCACCACTGACCCCATGTGTGATAGTGTGTGAGTTAAATAACTGCAGTAACCCCTGTGCACTGAGGTCATGCTAGATTGTAGGCACTTTATACAGTGAGGACCTAATCCTTAAAACAACCCTGACATTTTGTGGATTATCATTTTATTGGTGAGAAATAGAGATATAAAGTCACTAAGTAACTTTCCCACAATTACAGTTTTCAAGTTGTAGAGCAACAATTTGAGTCCAGATTTGATTGACTTAATCTGCTTGTCTTGTGGATTTAAAAAACAGGTGTATGCAGAGCACCCAGAAGAATGGTTACATATATTTTATAACAGTTGAGTGGCAACTGGTGGGCTATTTTTTTTTACAATTTTCATTTATTTTATTCTCATTATCTACTCTCCAGCCCTCCTTAGCCCTTATTTTCTCACTATTGGCCATTACTGCAAAATAAAAGAAAGTGCTATACTGATCAGCAAGAAGGAAAAAAAAATTCTGGGTATTAAGAACTTACTGTATGCCAAGTATAGTACTAGATATTTTTCATTGTTTTCTCATTTATGTGCATCACATTTGAGGATGTCTATAAAATAATGAATGTGATAATGTTTTAAGAAGCTGGAGTGGTGTGTGAAGAAGGAAATATTTATTCAGTGCCCTCCAAGTACTGTGCAAACAAATGAATGATTCTATCACTTAATCCTCCTAATATTCATAAAAATTAATTTTTACTACTTCAATTTTAGAGATGGAAAAAACAGATGAGATACTGAGAGAGGAAGCCACTTGATCAAGGGTGCAGCAATAAACTAATAAGGAAATTTGACTGAATCTGTCAAATCACAAACTCAATTTCAGAACCAAAACAAATAAAAGTTCCCTTAAAAGTAGGCTTTTGTTTTGTTTTGTTTTGTTTTTCTTCTTTTTTTTTCTTTTTTTTTGAGATGGAGTCTCACTCCGTCACCCAGGCTGGAGTGCAGTGGCACAATCTCAGCTCACTGCAACCTCTGCCTCCTGGGTTCAAGCAATTCTCCTGTCTCAGCCTCCTGAATAGCTGGGATTACAGGCGTGCACCACCACACCTGACTAATTTTTGTATTTTCAGTAAAGACAGGGTTTCACCATGTTGGCCAGGCTGGTCTCGAACTCCTGGCATCAAATGATCTGCTGCCTTGGCCTCCCAAAGTGCTGAGATTACAGGCGTGAGCCACCAAGCCCAGCCAAAAGTAGGCATTTAGAACTCAAATGACCAATACTGCTATTGTTAAATATTGTTTTAAAGTTTTTTTAAAAACTACCTTCTTAAACTGTATTAAATTAACGAATTGATTCAACAGCCTTTTATTACATACATGCCTTCTATATGCCAGGTTCTGTAGAAGGGCTGCAATAATGAATGAAGCATCTCTGTCAGAAAGCTGACTATTTTAGGGAGAGAAATGTAAACAAGTAATTAATATGTCTGAAAAATCCGTGAGAGAAAAATAAGAGACCTGTGCCTAAAATGGGAAAGACTTCACAGGATAACATGGAATTTGTGTTGAGTTTTAAAGATGACTGGAAAATTCAGGAGTAGATGGAAGGAGTCTGCTAGGTAACAGGAAATGAATATACAAAGACATAAAGGCAAGAAAGTACACACTTTTGTATATAATTTGTTTGCAAGTATGTATGTGTATGAACTCACTGAAGTGTAAACATGGACGGATTTTGTTTTTCCAATAAATATTCCCAACTCTGCTCTGTCAAATATCCTTCCTGCTGAGTAGCTGGTATTGTTAATATCTCTGATCCCATTCCTCAACTTTTCAGTCTTTTTAGTTATTCAGAAGTCAGTCCCGATAACATCTCAACTCATAAGTTATTCAAAAGTAGGCTCCAAAAACATTTCAACTTATAATTGATTCATAGTTTCCTCTTTCACTGCCCTTCCAGGGTAGTAAATAGTAATGGCAGATGTCACTTCCCTTCTTTCTTTCTAGTTATCCCTACAGCTTACCCTTGTTCCTCTAAGAAATCTTTGGGTTTTGAATAACTTTATTTTCTGCTCTATTCTTTTGGTTATGTTCTTTTTTTTTTTTTTTTTTTGAGAGAGAGTTTCACTCTTGTTGCCCAGGCTGGAGTGCAATGGTGCAATAATTAGCACTAATGAAGGTGATATTATAGAAAGGTGGAGCTGTGTGTGGAGAAGGAAACCATATTTATTCAATGCCCTCCAAGTACTGGGCAAACAAGTTAATGATTCTGTCATTTAATCCTTATATTCATTAAAAATAATTTTTATTACTCTGCTCCCTTTTCCTTCCCTCTCGTGACTAGCATTGTTCAATGTTCCAGGCAGTGGTGATGGCTCAAAACCTGAGCAGCTGGTTTGTGGTTATCACATCAGGCTTTTAAAATTTTAAAATATACTTTTTATAAATATACTTTTTAAGATACATATTACATAAGAAAAATCAGAAAGAATAAACATTTGTCAGATTACTTAAAAATTAAAAAATGGGATATAAAAAGTAAAATATGTAAAGAAAAAATGAGTATAATTTCAGCTTTGGAAGGATACTTAGGTCATTAGATTAATGTCTAATCCATTAATTTTACAGATGAGTAAATTACAGACTGTGGGGATTAAATGATTTCTTCAAACTAGCCAAATCAGTACTCTTTTCCTTTCTTCTTCTTTTTTTTTTCACAAAGCCTGGACTTTTATCAATTAGTAGTTAATGTGATTCTAAACGTTTTAATTTTATTAAATTAACACATATGCCTCATTTAACCTGAGTCTCTTCCTTCCAACTGAGGCATTCCTGGATGTTCTCCTCTGATAATGGCAGCAGTAGTCTATGCAACCTGTGGGTTTTTTCCTGGACATTCCTTTCCTTGTCTATCAATTTGCCTTCTTATTCAAGGATCAAAACTCTGGATTTTTCTTTTCTGTTTAACACGTTTTCACTTACAAACTTCTAAGAATTTGAAAACTGTAAGCTATACTAACTGATTAGCAAGAATAATTGTGACTGGCTTCTGCTCAGCTCAGAAAAATGTCTCACATATTTGCTATGTACCTTATTCTATAAGCCTTTGTGTCTTTGTTTTTTCATTAGAAAAATTAAGCTTGTAGACATCTGTTATTCTACATCATGAGTGTGACTCTTAGTATGTAAACCTTTAAACTAAAATTTTAATTAACTTTCATATTATTAGAGTTTGTATTATTACTTAAGAACAGGCTTGAATTAGATAACTAATTCCCAATACTAACTCCACTATGTGTCAACGATACGATCTTTGGAAAGCTACTTTATTCTCTAAAATGGGACTAACATATCTATCTCATAAAATTTGAAGACCAAAAGATTATTAGACTATTGGTAAGTGTTAATTCTCTTTTCATCTCTCAACGTCCTTTTTTTTTAAAGGATAAATAATTTGATGACTCTTAGTTTACTGAGTATAATATGAGTTAGGTTAGGGTTAGAGTAACTTTTTTGTCCACATCTTGGCAGTGAAGTTTATTTCAATAAAGTAATTTAATTGAACTTTGCTTAGTTTTATAGTTTTATAACTTTTGACAGATAGTTGCCTTTTTTAAAAAAAAAAAACTGAGTCTGGCTTCTGCACTTTGGCTGGAGTGAAATGGTGCAATCTCGGCTCACTGCAACCTCCACCTCCCAGGTTCAAGCAATTCTCCTGCCTCAGCCTCCCAAGTAGCTGAGATTACAGGCACATGCCAGCATGCTCTGCTAATTTTTGTATTTTTAGTGGAGATGGGGTTTCACCATGTTGGCCAGGCTGGTCTCGAACTCCTGACCTCAAGTGATCCACCCGCTTTGGCCTCCCAAAGTGCTGAGATTACAGGTGTGAGCCACTGCACCCAGCCATTTGCCTTTTTAAGAAATCTCTTTGGCAAGAAAATAGAGTCAAAGAAAGAATCATTAGTTTTATAATTCATATTCCTGCTTCTCTGATAAAATAATGCAGCATTACTAATCATATTTTTAGATGTGTTTGTGTTAATTTCAGCACTTTATTTTTTATCTGTTTTATTGGGATGTTTGTCTTGAAAATCATTTGGTTTTTCCTTATATGTCTTTATATCTGGTAATGCTAACATTATTCAGTATCTTTCTTTTTCAGTTTTTAAAATAGCTGCTTTTGCTTGATTAATTTGTATATAAGAAATCATAATCTTCTTATATGGCTCCAGTAACATTCTTCTGTTATTTTTATTGGAATTTAGTTTAATGTGTAGCTTATTTTAAGGAAAATTAGCATCTTTATAATATTAAATATTTTTAACCTATAAAATGGCATGCTTTTCTATCTGTTCAAAGCTTCTTTTATATTTTTCAGTGACTTGGATTTTTTTTTGTATAAATTTTGGAAATTTTTGGCCAACTTTATTGTAGGAATTTAATATTTTGAGTTGTCATTATAAATTGTGTCTTTGCTCCCATAACGTCCTCTTACTGGTTGCATTATTAGTTCGTATTTACGGAAGCTTAAGAAAGATCTTGAGCCCAACACCTTATGATCTATGGAAAAACATTATTTACTAAAGAAAAATGATAGACAATCTCAAAACAAAACAGATGTCAAACAATCATCCTTTACTATGTACCCAAAATTGTCTTTCTTTTTCAAGAAACTGGAATAAATTCCCCGTAAAAAACTTACTCTATACTCCCTTGTTCTAACCACATTTGCTCTAAGGCATATTCCTCAGGTGATGCAAATGATAGGTTTCTGACATGCTTCATCACCTACTTTCAAGCTAACATGAACATGTGTTTTCTAGTCTAATTTTTCAAAGACACTAGAGTCAGAAGAAAAAAAATTACTGCATGACTAATTTGCACTTAGGATAGAATGTTTATTTTATGCTGCTCAAAGAAAATTTACCTCTTAAATATTCTGTTCTCATCCACAAAATTATTAGATATTAAAAATCGATCTTAAAGAATAACACAAGGCCAATAAAGTCAAATAGTTTAGATCTTGATCAAGTTTTATTTGATAGATTATTTTTCTGAGCTAAGTTACTAAAAGAAGTCTCGTATATGGGGCTGCGTGTTGCTGAAAGGGCCTGGGTAAAGCCTTTGAGAAGCTCTATCAAGTCAAAAAAGAGAGAAGTAACCAGCAAAACATTGGACACATGCTCATTTTTGACTTTTATATGAGCGTGTTTGAAAATCATGTATGAGGCTGGGAGCTGTGGCTCACACCTGTAATCCTAGCACTTTGGGAGGCCGAGGAGGGCAGATCATGAGGTCAGGAGTTCGAGACCAGCCTGACCAACTTGGTGAAACCCTGTCTCTACTAAAAATACAAAAATTAGCCAGGCATGGTGGCACACACCTGTAATCCCAACTACTCAGGAGGCTGAGGCAGGAGAATCGCTTGAACCCGGGAGGCGGAGGGTTGCAGTGAGCCGAAATCATGCCACTGCACTCCAGCCTGGGAGACAGAACCAGACTCTGTCTCAAAAAAAGAAAGAAAGAAGAAAAAAAAAGAAAAGCATGTATGAGCATGATAAGATGACTTTTAATATACATATGGAGCCCCATGGTCTAAAATAGACGTGGATATGGGTACATACAGAACAAATGACCACAAAGGCCCGAGTTGCAAAGTAAACAATATCAGCGTTTTGCCAAATATGAAATTCCTACCCAACATAGACTACTAAAACAAAGTTTCTTATTTTTCTTCTATTTTGTTTTTAGGAATTTATGGAATGAGATAAGTGAAGTAAGGAAGATATTACAAAGAATATAATTGTAAAATACAAACATCACTTATTGAGAATTTGCTGTTTCATGGAAGTTTCATTATGAGTTACCTATTAAGTCTTTATCAATTCGAATACATTTGTGAATTATAGAAAATTGTTATATAGCAGATTAAATCAGGATAATAGCTATTACAGTTTGTGCAAAAATCAGATCCAAAATACAGCTACTTTTATGTATATTATGCTAAGCATTCTATGAGCTATTATGGACCAGTTAAAGCGCTTAATCTGTATCTCAGATGATGGAGGGAGAGCCTCAGAATGATTAATTGATGTAAACTGAGGCATAGAAGCGAGACAAAGAGCTCAAATTATAACATTTTGATTCTTGTTTTAGTTTAACAAGTAGTGATTTTTTTCAACTCCTTTATTAAATAGTTTTATTCTTTTGTCACATTCATTCTCTGTATAAATGTTAATATAACTGTTAGCACTTAAAATATGATACTGGTTATTATTTGACTGACATACAATATCAGTATCATTATCTTAAAGGGAAATATGCATCTGGACATTTTAATTAAATATAAAATAATTTAATCATACTAAATGTTTCACAATGTAGAGCAGCTGCCTTTGGAACTAAAGAAATTATAAGTGACATTTCTCCTTTTGCACCTCTCATTATACATGAAATCTATTATTACTTCCAGATGTGTTATTAGATAAGTAATTTGAGGCTAAAAATTTTTTAGCAGTATTCTTATTTCAAATGTGAAGTGTTAAAATTAACTTGGCATCTGTATATTGGCCATAATATTTTCTATAAAGGCTTTATTTTTACTCATTGTAGAAAAATTCTAATCAAATTTATCTGTAAGACTATGGACAGTGACTGATAGCCATGTCAATAATAATAGAACTGAAAATTTCAACATGGTTTTGCATTATATTATTCTGTACAAAAACAAAATAAGATTTCTTATTTAAAATTCTCTGTAGATAAGAAACTAACATTTTGCCAATTTGCTGAAGATATGTTTCCTTTCTAGAAGGGTGCACTAAGAGTGTATCAACTAGTTGATTCAGTAATGTTTGGATGAGGTCCACTTGAGTTACTGATGTTTGAAGTAAAATTTCAAATTAATTAAGTGGTGATAAAGTTAGGATAAGCAAAATTTGAAATTCACAATCAGAATAGAAATAATATCATCCCTCCACACTATGGACGAGATGGGTATACAATTTTCTTTTCCCTTTTGTCTGCAGGACAAGTAGATTTTTTTTTTCTTAATGTGGACACACCAAGGGAATTTGATGATATTTACATAAAATCTGAGCAGCTAGTTGAACTATAAAAAGCCAAGTACTGGTGTTATAACTATACAGTGGCAATTAACAAGACAGATATTCTTCACCACAGAACTAATATTAAAACAAAATCCTTTCAATAGATCAAATAGGCTATGTTTTGGAAATATGACACCTCTGAAAGGTCATTAATTCATGGAATTGAGATTTACTTTGGCATTGTGTGGTTGAATATCTATAAGGGGCTATAATTAAAAATGAAAAAACAATCACCCTCATAGTTCAAATACGCTTTTATCCCTGTACTTCCTTTTTTTTCTTTTCTTTTTTTTATTATACTTTAAGTTTTAGGGTACATGTGCACATTGTGCAGGTTAGTTACATATGTATACATGTGCCATGCTGGTGCGCTGCACCCACTAACTCGTCATCTAGCATTAGATATATCTCCCAGTGCTATCCCTCCCCACTCCCCCCACCCCACAACAGTCCTCAGAGTGTGATACTCCTAAACATAGCCGTAATCTGTGTATAAAGATGAGGGAGAGAAAAATGAAGAGGACATTAAGAATGAATTAGTGGCTAAATGGGTGCATGAGGAATGCTCAGGATCTCCATGTGCAGTTAAGAAATAGTTAAGTGGAAAAATAAAAAAGGGAGAGGTGAGAATGTATTTAAGAGGAGGGCGTATTATTTAAATATTTATATAGGCTAGTAGGAAAAAGCTTTATTCAAAAGCAAGCCAAAATTGTGGTAAACAACAACAGCAACAATACCAACTAAACAATCATGTTAATTAAATCAGAATTTTATAGATTTGACCTCTTGAATGTTTCTCGAGCTTTTGCCTTCTGCCTTATCCTCACTCCACTAGCCTGGTCTTTTATAAACCTTTCCATTTCTCTTCTTGAAGCCAGATTTTTCCCTTGCTGATCCAATTTCCACACTCATACCAGAGCTGGCAATCTAAAATACAAACCTGACTCATTTCACCTGCTACTTCAGAGCCTTCTATGGTTCCCTGTGGTCCTATAACAGAAATTGAGACATTTACCACTGAACCCCTGAATTCTTTTCTGTTTTATCTTTAAACTTCCCATTATGTCTCCTCTGTTGCAGGCACACCACACCAATTGACATGACCTTTTAATTTACTGGTCACATACTTAAAGTGCTTTCCTCTTCTTTTGCTGCCTTTGGAAGTTTTACCAATCCTTTGAGACCTTGCTCACTATTCTCCATATTCTCTAAGCAGAGCCAGTAACCTTCTCTTCAATGTTGTTATGACATTCTGTTAATGCCCCTGCTGCTCCTTAATTATATTATATTGCAATTATTTATTTATGTGTCTCTTTGACCTACAAGATGATGACTCAAATGCAGAGGAATATCTTAGCCCTTCCTCCACCTCTGCAATGGCTACCCCTCCGCTGTCAGATGATAAAGATCCAGCAGCTCCAAACTTAAAAGAGAGATTTGAATGTATCCAACATTCAAATGTTGTGCTTCAGAAATGATACTCAGGGGATCAAGATGAAACCTGTAGGAGCTAACCAAACCAAAGGATAGGAAGAGTTTAAAGTTAATTGATAAGCATCATTAGAACCATTTAGGTTAGGTGGAACCAAACAAATTGATCTATGATAAATTTTTTGGCGTTTCTAAAAAACTTTCTTACATTGCCAACTTTTTTTCTTCACTTTTTATTTCTTACTGAGAATATTCAGACTGCTTAAAAAATTACTGCATTCAAAATGAATAAAATAGCAGTTTTTTACATTCATATCTCAAAATAACTTCACAGATGGTCTTCAAACTTTCCAAGAAAATAAACTTTGGAAAGAAATCAAACACGAGGTTTTTCAACCTAAAAATACACCCCTTAACTCCAGCAAAGTTATAGATATGAGGTAACTAGATATAATTTCACTTTGATTAATTAGCACTTTCATTGTTACCAATATTGTCATTTCCTGGAGAAAGATATTGAATTTATATATATATATATATATATATATATATATATATATATATATATATATATATATATATAAAAATATACTTGAGTAGTAACAATTATTTACATATGTTCAAGATTTAAATTTTTATTTAATGATTATCATTAGAACATCATTATCACCATCATCATCATAGTCATTGTTAACAACACTCTCAATTAGTTACTATTTTCCAGCTGCTTTACTAAGCATATTTTTTTACATATTTTTCCTCATTTAATATTTAGATGTCTATAAAGATAGTGTGGCAGATACTGAAGGGAACTCAATATCTTTCCAATTTCCTTCTTTTTGATCTTTATATATTATGGTGGTTAGAAAGTGAAATATTCAAACTTATAATCTGTCCTGTAGCTAGGTTTGTGAATGTGACACAATTCTGACCAATGAGGAATAGGTGGACATCTCGGGGAGAGAATCTTTTCCCAAAGTCTTTCACGAGAGAATTTTTGCCCTTTGTCCTTCCCAATGTTTGCCTAAAACCTGATCTGATGCCTGAACATTCAGCAGACACTTTGAAAACATGAAGAACAATGGATGCTAAGAATAGAGATGCAAGAAGAATCACTTGGGACATTAAATAGCTATTAGAAAATAGCTTCATCCAAAAGCAACCTCTTTCATGGTAAACAATAAAAATACTAAGCAACTATGTTAATTTAAACAGAATTCTGCAGATTTGATCCCTTGAAAAATTCTCAAACCTTTGCCCTCCCCTCCATCTTTGCCATCTGGCCATTTATAAGCCTTTCAATTTGTCTTCTTGAAGCCCCAATTTCTTCCCCTTCTTGATGACCTAATTATCAACAATAACTTCACTTTTTGTTTCTCTACCTCAGTATTTTTAGTTATGGGAGAAAAATAAAGCCCGTATTTAGTTAGACTGCTGTGGCTGGGACTTTCTTAGGCAACTAAACACAAAACTAATTCAGGTTGATTCTGCTATCTCTGTTTTATAGATGATGAATGGAGGATCAGAGAGGTTTTGCAACTTGCTCAAAGTTGCATAGGCTGTAAGCATGTTTTGCAGGATTCAAATTCACCCTATCAGAACCAAAGCTAATATTTACATTATGCAATTAAAATTTTTTCCTATTAGGTGGAACCATTTAGAAATATCAATGGCAGTTTCATATGATTCATCCTAATTGGTTGAGTAATATAATAATAACATATGTTGTGAGTATACACACACACACACACACACACACAAGAATTCTAATATTGCATCTTTATGTTTCTTGGTCAATCCATAAAATTCAGATTTAATTAATTCAGGTGGTGAATATGGAAATTCTGTAATTACTGGATTAATGAAATTACTATTTCCAAAGCTAATAATTTTTAGTATATAAACATAGCTTTAATGCTATGTTTATACAGCACTCAGCAAATGCTCCAAAGTGTTCATTGAATAAAGAATATTTTGAATTGTTTAATGTCCTTTGCAGGTGACTTTTGCTTTGAACAATACGTTTTGAAGGAAGAAAATTATTACTTATAATATAGTTATTGATCTGATGCTTAGTTATGTTATTCTTTGGAAACAAATTTCTGGTTTTACCATGGGTATTCTTTCTCACTTGGTCTGATAAACTCTTATTCTTATTTTAAAATATGGCTCAGATCATCCACATTGTAAAGATTTCATAATATCTTCCTTGGTATTATAACACCTGTTTACCTTGTACACAGCTTATTGCATTAATTACAATCTCTTATGTTTATTTTTCTTACTAATTTATGAGCTTTTTAAAGAAAATAATCTTATATTTATCTTTATATCCCAAGGACTTGATGGCAATTGAAAATATTCAATGAATGAAATGTATTTTTCTGATTCAAAATTATTTAATATCAACTGTACATTTTATAACTATAGATTTATCTGAAAACATATGCTTTAAACTTTCCAAATGAAACTTATGACTTAATTGTTGGGGAATATAGGTAAGGCACTCACTGGAAAGAAAATATAGTAAGTTAAAGTTAAATTTTGAAGAAATATTTGAATGTGTGGAGATACATAAAATAATTCAAAGAGGAAGAAATGGAGAAGTGGGCGGTAGCAGATGTCTGTGGCTATAATGGACATCCAGACAAAGTTCCTCTGTGATTTCAATGACATTTCATCATCGTTGTGTGAAAGCAATGAGATCTATATAAAAGACAGCTGAAGGCTGGTGCACGAGCATGAATAAAAGGAAGAGCGTGATGGTTGTGAATGTGGTTAAGTTTTGATATGCTTTAAAAAGTTCTGCTTTGTTGCAACATTTTTTAGTATGAAGTCACCGTTGTTGGAATTAGGAGACAAATCTAAGATTATATAACTCTTTATGTGACAGAAATATGAGATTTCTGGTGTTGGGTAAGGCAGTCCACCATGGGCCCTGATCATTTCTAAATGTTCTTGCTGAGTATCCCAGATCTCAAGGCTTATCCATCTCCTAATACCAAACCATCCTTGCAGCTGGTCACATAGACAGCAAAGTACACTGAGGTAACTATAGCACAGCTTCAGCATAACTGATTGCTCCCTGGGAGTAGAGTATTGTCTTGTATGCTGATTGCTACAGTGTTTGTCAGTCACTCACAATGTGTTAGGGCCCTTGGCTTCTTTCCTGTGATGCAACCCACTGTGTGCTGCTGTCATGTAGACTTTCACATTACCTTTTGGGAACTTGGGTAAAGATGCTGATGTTCATGGTGCTTGTTGTGCTGTGAGTAATAAAGCCCTTTTCCTTGACCCCAGAATCTATTGCCTTCTCTCTGGATCCATGAAACTCTGGCAAGCTAAATTGTTAGACTGCCAATCGAGTAAAATTTCTGACCCTTCCCAGTTTTTGAAAATGGATGTTTCTTTCATAAAATCCATGCTTATTGGATAAATGAAATTTTATATCAGATTGAGTGGTATACAAGGGATCATCTGAACATAAATATTGAAAATATTTATAGAATATTTTCTATTCTAGAAAAATAAAAGCTAACATGGAAAATATTGGAACATCTTGAGTTAAAGTGGCTCTCATGTTCTGATCAGTTTGTAAATTTATTTTTTTCACACTTAATGAACATATTTTTATATTTATGTTAAGTAGACTTTTGGGCTGGGTAGGTTATTTTAAAGCACTGGATTTCAGATACTATTGCTAGATATAATGGGTAAAAGGCAGCTGATACCAGAGAAAGATTGAATGCTTACTGGAGCTTTCAGGAAATTTCACTCATACATACATAAAAGTTAATAAAGAGTTCTATTGAAAAAGCAACATTGGGTTGAAGAATGGCAAGTGAGTAATGCAATGAAAGTAAAGTGCTTTTATAAATAGTTGGAGACATGGTTATACATATAAAATAGACAGTCAATAGTTCTGTTAGCACTGTATTCCAGGGCAGTCAAGTGAATAATGAAACAGCAGTAAGATACTCTTTTAGACACGGGGAGACATGGTTAGTTGCAGAAGTAATTGTGTTGTAATCATTGCTGACTTTTGAGTTTTAAAGAATCTTTTCAAATGCTGCATCAAATGTTGTAGTGTAAAGAAACATGGAAAAATAAGCACACAATATTGGAAACTGCTGCCAAACAAAAAACAAAAAGAGTGAAAAATAATGGGAATTGTGAATTGGGGAGCATGAGAAACACGAAAGTGTTAATGATTTAAGCCTGCTAACATGCATGAAAAAAGATGCCATAAAGATGTGTTCATTAATTCAGAAACTTTCACAACCATGAGAAGAGAGATTCCAAAGTGGGCAGACCTGCATATAAACATTTAACAATCTAGAAGCAATAACTATCTAGGGAGGTTGAATTTTAATTGAATGCCTAGAGGCAATCTAAAATTATGTAAGTGAATCTAAATTTAAAAAAGAAATAATCAGTTACAATTACAAATGTAATTATAGAGAATCAGATTATTTCTATAGTGATATAATTAAATAAATGCTGTGTCCTTTGGTCTGTGGTTCATTTGTTCAATAATTGAGCTGCTACAACATACTACCCACTGTTTCTGTTCTTTAGGAGTTCATATTTCAGTGAGGAAGGAAATACGTGAACAACTGCCTCCAATATGTCGGATTTAATTAACTACTTTAATAAAGATACTAAGTTGCTTTGAGACTAATTTCTGAGTAAAGCAATCACAGAGGACTTTGTGGAGGAACTAATATTAATGCTAAGACTTGAAAAGTCCATCAAAGTTTCAGAGACAAAGGAATTGGAAAGGCCATGAACCCAGGCATGAAGGTGTCAATGTGCTGGGCATGTCTGGGGAAGGCTTAGTGGTCTGGAATGTCGGTGGAGTCTTGGATTTTGTTCTGTTAGCCAATTTTAAAATCTCTTTTATTTCTCTTAAGAGATTGGCATGAAGTTTCAGTTATGCAAGATGAATACATTCTAGAGAGTTGCTATACAACATGATGCCTATAGGTAACAATACTATATTATGTAGTTAAAAATTTGTTGAAAGAATAGATATCTGTCCTCTTCTGTCATTTATATATATTTTTTATCATCTTTGCTTACCTTCTATATCTGTCCTTTTCTCTTAAACCTTTCTATCCTTCTTCATTTCTTTTTAAAAACATTTCCTGTTTTCAGTTGCTTAATTTTCCTTAATCATTGTCTATTGTGTTTATTCACTCTTGTTTTTCTTTTGATTCCATTTATAAAACAAGATTTTTTCTCATTATTCTAATTCTGTCACTCCTCTTTTCAGATCTTCCTTTTCTACAATTACTGCATTTCTGTTTTTATAATTCTGATTTATGTTGTTCTTTGTAGCTCATAACATTTAAAAATTGTTTCTAGCTTGTTTTGAAATATTAGATTGTTTTTTCTGTCTCGTTTTGTGGACATGTGCTTTGGAAATGCTTTTAGTGTAGAGATGTTATTCTATTCCTTCTCTCTCTCTCTCTTTTTCAGCATCCAAAAATCTTTTAAATAAGATGTTAGGACCAAGGTTAGTTTTCCGGCCCTTGGAGCAGACAAAGGGTTTGCTGTGGTGGTTCAGGGCTGCTGGGGCCTTGCAGAAATGTCCTCACACCTCTAGGCCCTTGTAAGGATCAGAGAACAAGATGGTGCTACAGCCAGTCGGGGAGTCTAGGGCCAGCTGTTCCAAGGTGAAGATCTTGTCTGTAGCCTTGAGGATGTGGTTGTGGCCTGGCTGCTGACATGCAGCAATGTACTCACCCTCAGTTTGGGCACCTCCTGGACCTGCAGGTCACCTGTTATGGTTCCCACAACCACATTTGTTTTGTTTTCCTGGTGAGGAAGTTTTATCTTTTGGATCATCTGGGAAAGAAACAAGGGTGGCCAGTTGGTATGAGTCATAAACGACCTCTGCCGCACAACCTGGTTGAAGGTGGAGTTGGTTCCTCTGTGCAGAACCTGTGAAGCTGAACTAACAGCCTTAGGTGGATGTCCTGGCTCTTGGGTTCCTTGCACTGAACCTTTCTGTGCTTGTTGTGGGGGATGTCAACTCCCACAATGGCACCTCATGCTCAGCCATGTCTAGAAAACCTTATCTTTTTCAAAAAAATAATGGTTTCAAGTGGGATCTGATTACACTCTTTTTTTTTTTTTACATATTTTAAAAAATGAGATGCATCTTTCTGTTCTTTTAGAAGAGCAGGGTCACCAGCAAACCATTTTTAGCCCCCATGCACTAGAACTCCCCCTTCTGTCATTTTCGCCAAGTGATTAAAAATGCTTCCCTTTCTGCTCCCCTTCTCCAATTTTATCTAAATCTTCTTTCCTTTGTCTCTCTAATTTGAATTCTGCTTCCAGGAATTTCTTCCCTAGGGCTTTGTTTTTGAAAAGTGTTTTAGTTTGCTATTTTCTTTTGTTTTTATTATTATACTTTAAGTTCTAGGGTACATGTGCACAATGTGCAGATTTGTTACATATGTATACATGTGCCATGTTGGTGTGGTGCACTTGTTAACTCGTCATTTACATTAGGTATATCTCCTAATGCTATCCCTCCCTCCTCCCCCCACCCCACAACAGGCCCCGGTATGTGATGTTCCCCACCCTGTGTCCAAGTGTTCTCACTGTTCAATTCCCACCTATGAGTGGAAACCATGTGGTGTTTGGTTTTCTGTCCTTGCAATAGTTTGCTGAGAATGATGGTTTCCAGCTTCATCCATGTCCCTACAAAGGACATGAACTCATCATTTTTTATGGCTGCATAGTATTCCATGGTGTATATGTGCCACATTTTCTTAATCCAGTCTATCATTGTTGGACATTTGGGTTGGTTCCAAGTCTTCGCTATTGTGAATAGTGCCACAATAAACATACGTGTGCATGTGTCTTTATAGAAGCATGATTTATAATCCTTTGGGTATATACCCAGTAATGGGATGGCTGGGTCAAATGTGTGGTGATTCCTCAAGGATCTAGAACTAGTTTGCTATTTTAAAGAGTTCCTTTAGCCCAGACTGTTCTGGCACCATCAGATAGCATCACAATTTGTTTGTTTGTTTTTGGCAGAGCTGGTGTTCTTTGTGGGTTTCTTCCTTCCTTCCTTTCTTTCTTTCACTCTTGTATCGGATCTTCCAAAACCTCCTCCTAGCTTTGGTTGCCATTCCAGTGAGGATGCACTGCTTCTTGAGTATTCTTCTATTACAGGATCTTTAAAAATTCTTCTATTACAGGATTCTTCTATTACAGGATCATTAAATTCTTCTTATTCTTCTATTACAGGATCATTAAAAATTTTTACTGTCCGTCTCCTTTCCCTTTATATGTATACTCTGCCCTTCACCCCACCACAACATTGCTGTTGTCATGCTATCATGATTTTATAGTTGTTGGATGCTGGTGAAACCTTGTCATCTAGTTCTCTTGTAGATGTTGTATCTGATGCTTTTATTTTGCTATCCTAGTTACTCTGTCTGAGACATGCCTTTCTCTTGTGGCCAAAGTCAGGAAAAAGAGATGCCAATCCAAACTATGCAATTATATTTAAATTACACCTGCTCCTATTCCATTAACTAGCATATTGTATGGTGAAACCCAACTTCACAGACGCAGAGGAGGACACTTTTCCTTATCATGGGGCAAGGAAATATTCATATTTGTGAGCAATAATACAAACTACTACAGTTCTTATATGTATTCTGTTAAATTCTTGGTCCTATGCTCCCCCGAAAGAGGGTTGAGCACCTATTATTGCAGTAACCACATGGAAAGGGAAGAGAGTAAGAGAAAAGCACCTTTAATTAATTCAAAAGGATAAGGTGCAGAAAATTAAAAAAACTGAGCCATTTGAGATAAGGAATTTTAATGTCTTCACACAGTATTCAATTCTAGGAATAGACTAAGGTGAAACAAATTACTGTGAACATGCTTCTCATTGCAAAGATTTAGAAATACAAAAATACTTTATATGTACATTATTTAGTAGGGAAGAAATGTAGCTCCTTGGCATTAGACAAGAATTGGGAGTTGAAAGCCAATGTGGTAGACTTGAGAAGGTGATACTGTGGCAGTCCTGTACATTTAGAGAATCGAGAAATAGGCCCTTTGTGTTAAGGGGCTTGGGAGTTTAACATTCACAAAAAGGCAGAAAAAAAGACCTCAGCCCATCATGAGAGACAGTTAGAATTAGGACACTTAATATATGTACCCTAAGAAGCTGGCTCAGTGCTCTCTGGAGAAGAGGACTGTGAAAACTTCCATCCACCACCATGGAAAGCATGAACCTTATTTCTTCTGATACCTTAGATGAGAAAAAAAAGTCTTCTGTAAGCGATACAAACTCCAAGCTAGCAATGAGCAAGGGATTATATCTGAATTTACAATACACAAGTTGCAAATAAATCTCTAAACTGAAACTTTAACATAAAACTGATCCAAGCTTGGTGACATCCCTGGGGCCCAAAGCAGTAAGAAACAAACAGTGAACCTCTCAAGAAAGACATTTCTAGAAATAAAGCTATGTAGAATTCTTATTAGGAGTAACAATCCCTTGCATAAGATCTGTCTCTCTCTCTCCCCTGCCTCCCTCTGTCACACACACACACACACACACACACACACACACACACACAAAAAAAAAAGAAAGACCGTACAATGATATAACTCACCTTGAATGTAGCCTGCAGACATAACAAGGAGGGTAATTCTCTTAAGAACTTGAGATAATGGATAAACTGAAAGAGAAGATTTTAAAAAACTAAAACCATAGTTATCCCCTACCTAACAAGAATAGTCTGAAAATACTGAAAAGCAGGTATTCCTCCAAAAAGAGAGAAAGAAAACTAGAAACTGATTTTCCCATTATTTAAAATGGAAAAAATAATAACGTATAATGTATTACATGTTATTCCCAAACACCCAATTTCCTAAAATGTAGCTAAAATACTGTAAAACTTTTACATATGAGTTAAAAAAAACCTACTATGTATGTTAGTATGTAAAATGTTTAAAGCATTACATTGCTTATTGATTATAAAACAATGTCATCTTTAATCCTGTTTTATATACAGTGACATGGATGGTTTGCATGCTGTACTGTAAACACTGTGTTTGCATTATGACACAACAATAACAGAATGATAAGTAAATATGTCAGAAAAATGCAGACAGTTTACAATAAAAGCCACAACATTTTTCTGTAATTAGCTATTGTTACTCAACAAGAGGAGTTAAAACCTGAAGCTTGAAGAGAGTAGAGAAGGGAATTGGGAAAGGCCATTGAAGTGATCACCGCAACCAATCGCAAAAGTTGATGGTGCACACAAAGTGAATGATAAAGGAGTGATTTCAGGTAGAATATCAGGTTCAGAGAAATATAAGTTAACCATTTGGTCCAGGTTCTAAACGAGGAAGCTCTGAAAAATCTTCAAGAAAGATGACAGGGTTCATGATTCAGGATAATGACTCTTATAATTTAGAGCTCTGCTTACATGCCCATTGTTTGTGTTGGTAAATATGTCTTCTATCTCCTAGTACCAGCAACATCCAAGACATGCATTCTTTTTGTAGGATGCTCAGCAAGATTTTTCAAAACAGCTGATGCTAACTTTTAACATTTTAACAATTACTATAGCTTGAGACTTTTCTCCAAATGTTACTTTGTAAAAAAAAAAAGAATTGTTGTATTGAGGTTTAAAAGCATAAATATAAAATTTTTCTATATAAGCTAGGTATAGTGGCTCATGTCTGTAATTTAAGTGCTTTAGGAGGCTGTGGCAGGAGGGTCACTTGAGGCCAGGAGTTCAAGAGCAGTCTGGGCAACATAGTGAGACCCTGTCACTACCGAAAAAAAAAAACAACAAAAAAATCCCCTGTAGACATCAGCCAAAACATATTGCCTTGAGCACTGAGACAGGTATATTCTATGAAGTTTGAAAATAAAAATCATGATGCATACTAACAGAAAAATGTGCTGTGAGGTATGTCTGTTTAATATTATTAAATAGATGAGAAGAATATAATCCATAAGGAAATAATAAAATAAGAAAAGAAAGACTATGAGCAAAAGACCAAAATAAAACTTTTAAAAATAGAGTACAGAAGCATTGAAATAAAAACCTCAATGGATGGCCGGCCATGGTGGCTCATGCCTGTAATCCCAGCACGTGGGGGGGCTGAGGTGGGTGGATCACAAGGTCAGGAGTTCGAGACCAGCCTGGACAACATAGTGAAAACGCTGTTTCTACTAAAAATACAAAAATTAGCCGGGTGTGGTGACATGTGCCCCAGCTACTCAGAAGGCTGAGGCGGGAGAATCACTTGAAGCCAGGAGGCAGATGTTGCAGTGAGCCAAGACCACGTCATTGCACTCCAGCCTGGGTGACAGAGTGAGACTCCGTCTCAGAAAACAAACAAACAAACAAAAACTTTAATGGATGAGTTAAAGTGGATATTGGGAATAGCAGAAGAGATAATTAGAAAACTGAAAGCTATATCTAATGAAATTACTTAGAATGATCGCAAAGAGTAAATTAGATGAAAATTATTTTTTAAAGAGATAGATATTTAACTGAAGTGCCAGGAAAACTCAGTGGAGGAAATGAAAATCTCTTCAATAAATTATGCTGAGACAACTGGATATCACATACAAAAGAATAAAATTAGACCCCATCTCACATCATTACATAAATCAAGTGGAAATGAATTAAAGACTTAAACATAGGATCTGAAACTATAAAATTATGTCAAAAAAAGCTCCATGACACTGGTCTGAGCAATGGTTTCTTGGATATGACCCCCAAAGCACGGCCAAGAAGAGCAAAAATAGACAAATTGAATTAGGTCAAATTTAGTAAGCTTCTGCACAGCCAAAGAAACAATCAATGAAATTAAGAGACAACTTATGGAATGGTAGAAAATATTTGGAAATCATATATTGGATAAGGAATTAATATCCAAAATACATAAGGTAATCAAACAACTCAACAGCAAGATAACCTGATTCAAAAATGAGCAACGAACTTGAATATACAGTTCTCAAAAGAAGACATGCAGATGGCTAAACAAGTATATGAAAAAATGCTCAACATTACTAATCATCAGAGAAATGCTAATTAAAATCACAATGGGATGCCACCTCACTCCTGCTTGAATGGTTTCTGTGAAAATAAAAGATAAATGCTGGCGAGGATGTGGAGAAAAGAGAACACTTGCACATTGTTGGTAGGAATGTAAATTAGTACAGCCGTTATAGAAAATAGTATGGAGGTTCTTTAAAAAATTAAAAATAGAACCACCACATTATCCAGTATATATTGTAAGTAAATGAAATCAGTATATAAAAGAGACATCTGCACTCCCATGTTTATTCCAGCACTAGACACAGTAGCCAAGATATGAAATCAACCTAAGTGTTCATCAACAGATAAATGTATAAATAAAATATAGTATATATATACAATGGAATGTGATTCAGCCACAAAAAAAGAAAGAAATCTTGTTATTTGTGACAACATGACATTATGTTTGGTGAAATAAGCCAGGTACAGAAAAATATTGCATGATCTCACTTATATGTAGGATCTAAAAAAATTGAACTCACAGAAGTAAAGAGTAGAATGGTGGTTACCAGGAACCAGAGATGAGCGTGAAGTTGGGGAGGTTTTGGTCAAAGAATACAAAATTGTAGTTAGGTGGAATAAATTCAAGAGATCTATTGTACAATGTGATGACTATAGTTAATAACATTGTATTGTATTCTTGAAAATGCTAAAGGAGTAGATTTTAAGTGTTCTCATCACAAAAAATGTAAGTATGTGAGGTAAGGAATATGTTAATTAGCTAGAGTAGGCATTCCACAATGTATACATATTTTAAAATATGTTGTACACAACAAATATGTGCAATATTTTTAGTCAATTAAAAATTTTAATACAAAGAATAGAATTAGAAAGTTTCAGAGAAGACAATTGGCACACTAAAACTTGAAAGAAAACAGAAAAATCTTAAAATCCTTAAGAGATGAATCCCACCTCCAAAGTAAGAGTCATTAGGTGAAAAGCAAATTTTAAACAATAGAAATAAGATAATAGTAAAATAATATCTTGAAGAAGTGGAGAGAATGTAGCTACAAAATTATAGTTCTTTACTAGCTAAACAAAAATTTAAGATTGATGGTGAAATAGTTTTTTATCTACTAAATAAATACTTCTTTCATGAATAAGAAAACGACCTCAATGGCCGGGCACTGTGGCTCACTCCTGTAATCCCAGAACTTTGGGAGGTGGAGGTGGGTAAATCACTTGAAGTCAGGAGTTCGAGACCAGCCTGGCCAACCTGGTGAAACCCCATCTCTAATAAGAATTCAAAAATTAGCTGGGCTTGGTGGTGGGTGCCTGTAATCCCATCTACTCAGGAGGCTGAGGCAGGAAAATTGCTTGAACCTGAGAGGCGGAGGTTGCAGTGAGCTGAGATCTCACCACTGCACTGCAGCCTGGGCAACAGAGTGAGACTCCATTTAAAAAAAAAAAAAAGAAGAGAAAGAAAACTGGACCTCAAAAAAAGTAATAAGAAAGGAATTGGCTAACATTCTGGTAATTTAAAATAATAATTATTTATAAAAACTAACAGTAGTTCTAATGATACTTGAGTTTTTAATAACAAGACAGAATTAAAATACATGACAAAGATAAGAATGCAGTCCTTTGAGTTAAATAATTATATCTAAATCCTTTTATTATGTTAGCTGAGAAAATATATAGTAATTTGTTCTAGACTTTGTTAAGTATGCATGCTAAAAACTAAATACCATTTGTTAGAAAAATAGCAATAACAATGTAACTTTCACAAAAGCTAAAGGGAAAAATGGAGAATATAGCAATTCAATACCCAGTATAAGAGAAGGTAAAAAAATGAAAACAATACAAATAAGCAAAGAAAAAAGTTGATAAATAGAAGGTAGTAAGTAAAATTGTTAGCAATGTGTCCAAATGTATTAGTGATTAGAATAAATATAAAATGTTTTATCAATTTATATAGAAGTATTTTCAGATTTAATTGAAGTAAAAAAAAGCTTTTTGCTACTTGCAAAAGACAACCTTAATATATAAGAGCAGATAAAGCTTAATGCTACTTGCAAAAGACATGCTTAGTATATAAGAGCAGATAAAGTTTTAAAGTAAAGGAGTAATAAGCTTTATGCTACTTGCAAAAGACATGCTTAATATATAAGAGCAGGTAAAGTTTTTAAGTAAAGTAATAAAACATACATGCCAGGTAAACAATAAGCTGAATAAAGTTGATATAACTATAAGAAGACATAGACATTAGGACAATAAACAATAAACATTATTTAAGATAAAGAAAATTACAATTACAAAAGGAACAACTTTTCAACAAGATACAACAATCCTAAACTTGTGTGTACCTGAAACATGACAAAAAATAAAAAATAAAAATCTGATATAGTTACAAGGTGAAATAAGCAAATCTGTAATCTTACTGAGAGGATTACAGTCGATCTTTGAACAATACTGGTTTAAACTCTGTGGGTTCATTTATACGTGGAATTTTTCAGAAAATATATTGGAAATCGTTTTGGAGATGTGTGACAATTTGAAAACACCGGGAGATAAACCACATAGAAATATCAAAAAAATTAATAAAAAATTAGGCATGTCCTGAATGCATAAATATATATATATATACTATTTTATCATTTACTACAATATAATATATACACATGTATTATAAAAAGTTAAAATTTTTATTAAAACATGCACACAGACTGTACATGGAAAGATACAGTATTAAATCATAACTATAAAATTAACTATACTACATACTGTACTACGATAATAATTTTGTAGCCATCTCCTGTTGCTATTGCAGTGAGCTCAAGTGTTGTGAGGAATATGTACTTGAAATGCTTTGTGATGCTAGTCATCTCCTCTTGAGCAGTTTATCTCTCCAGTAAATTGTGTATTGCGATAAAAAGTGATCTCTGGAGGTTCTCACATAGTTTTCATCATGTTAGTGTGATACCATAAACCTTGAATAACACCATGGGACTCATACTAAATGCAACTAGTGATGCTGGAAATGCTCCCAAGAAACAGAGAAAAGTCCTGACATTATATGAAAAAGTTAAATTGCTTGATATGCACCATAGATTAAGGTCTGCAGCTAAGGTTGCCCACCACTTCAAGAAAAGTAAATTCAGCATAAAGACCACTTGGGAAAAAAGAAAATAAAATTTATAAACTTTGCACTTTTTGGGAAAGGCTGTTTATCTTGTATTGAAAATGTAGCTTTTATGTGGGTGCAGGATTATTATAAGAAAGACATAGTTACAGACTTGAATAATTCAAGAAATAGTAAAGTCATTATATGACAACTTAAAGCAGAAGGAAAGTGAAGGATCTAAAGCTGGAGGAGTTAATGCCAGCAAAGGATAGCTTTATAATTTTAGAAAGTGGTCTGGCTGAAAAAAATGTCAAGATAACCTTAACTTACACGATCAATTTAGTGAAAATAGCTAGACAAGAATCTTGTATGTATGGAGTGATTATGGTTTTTACTAATACACAAAGAATACTAGACAATGTAACAAAATTCAAAGATGGTTGTGCAACTGGGGTGCAATTATGATTAGTGATAATTATAAAAATTTTTATGTGATTATCAAGTTAATAATGAGACATTTATTTTTGCTGATAAAGGATCTCTGAACAAACTAATCTGATTCATCTACAGAGAATAAGATTTTTATATGGCTTTTATGACAGTCAATCTTCAGAAGATTGTCTTCTGATGTTCAGATAATTTATTTAAGGTATGTAATTGTGCGTGTGATTACCGCTGTACAAATTCATAAGTTGTGCAAATCTAGTAGATAAAGAAGAAGGAGACACAAAGGGGAAAGAGAATAGGAAAAGACTACTGTCAATGGGAGAAAGTGTTACGTTAGAATGATAATCACTATGCCAGGTGAGTATTAAAACCAAGGGAACTTCCGCAGGTGGCCAGGCTATCTGAACATGAGAACCATTGTGAGAAGAAATTCTTTTCACTACAGTCGGGATTATGAGACAGAATATGGAAAAGGAAGAGTGTAGGTCTAGGATTGGACAGATTTTACCATGTATAAGATGCATGGCCTTGGGAAGTAGCTTAACTCCTTGGGAAGTCACTTAACTCCAAGAGCCTTGCCTATTTTTTAACCCGTAAAATGGATTTTTATTTATAAGAACCAAAAATATTAAAATGTTGTAAAAATTAAATATGACCAATTATGTAAATCACCAAACCCTTAGCAATAGGTGCTAAATAAATGCTAGTTCAATTAACCATTTCTTTGTGTTCCCATAATAACTTTTACATATTTAGTGATGGCCTTTTATTCATTTGAACACATTGTCATTTCCTATATTGATTAAGTCTAAGTGTACAAACTGTTAATGCTGTAGGTATCAATAATAGAAGTTATTTAGTAGTATTCATGTTAATATACTTATATGAAAAAATGGTTATCTCGTGCAATTCTTAAGTAATTTTTATTTTTGATCAGCTTCATTTTATGATTATATAAAGGCTACATTTATAGCTGCTCCAGCTGAAACTTCTTTCATTGAATATATAATTTTAGGGTTTATGAACACAGAATAATCAGTGATACTTTCATCATTGTGATTTTCATCTTTTCACTGGGAACTACTGAAGGAGATTAGGAATATTTGTTTTAACGAGAAACTCTGAACACCCTGAAATAAGCCACCTTCCTTCACAATGAACCTATTACCTACATTGTCTATCTAAGTTGCTATCTTACATTATTATCACTCTCAATCTTAGATTTCTGAATAGTTCCTTAGTGGTGCCACGTTTCCTCATTACCATGCTTAACCGTCATTTTTATGAGTATTATTTCATTTCCCTAACCTTGAAGTGCAGGATTGAGCTTTGAATTCATTTAACTAAATTACAGGGTAAGACTGTGTAATGCTTGTGACTGTCAAAAGATTTCTAATAGGAAAAAAAAGAAAATTATATAACCAGCTGGAAAAGAACCAATGTTTACTAAGTAGTTTATATATGCAGTGAAATGCTGCATATGAAAATGATAGCGACTCTTAAGAACCACAAAGGGCTAAGATCAAAATGTTTTTCATTTTTTATAGTTGAATTTAGGCTTTAAAGTTTTAGAGGGTTGGGTGATAATCTTGGTGTCGAATATTTCAACTTACAAAAAGATATTTGAGTGGCATTGATGATTGTGCATGTTATATTTTCACTTTGCTGGTTGGCGCTCTGCTAGGTACTTCCAATTGGGCTGCTAGAGGAATATTGCAGGGCTGAGGGAGAAGATAGGGAAGTGTAAGATAACACCGAGTGGTAAGGCAGGTTGGCTAAGTGCAGGGTAGATGCCACAGGTAAAAGCCTTAATTGTCCCCTCTCCTCCCCCCTCCCTCCCCTCCCTTCTTCTTTCCTTCCCTTCCCTTCTTCTTTCCTTTCCTTCCCCTTCCCCTCTCCCTTCCCCTTTCCCTTTCCCTTTCCCTTTCCTTTTCCTTTTCCCCCTCCCCTCCTCTCCTCTCCTCTCCTTCTTCTTTTCTTTTTTATGAACACTGGACACCCTAAACATCTTTACAGGGTTTGTCTGGCTAACTCCTTAAATCTGTGATCCTTGTGAAAGGAAAGAACTGTATTATTAAGAGTCATGAAGCCCTGCTTTTGGAAACCTCTATAAAAGAGCTGTCAGTGAGCAGAGGAAAGAGCCTCTTCATTGGTCAGAGAAGAGCACTACAGGCCAGCTGTCCAGAGGAAATGAGCTGCAGTGTAGGACATAGATCAACTTCCAACACTCTATCCCCCTCAGAATGTAAAGATTACTGGAAAATATTAGACTCCCTTCTAATCAAACATGAGGATGCTCAGAGCACTAGAATTGAGATACTGTGAATTTTGCAGAGTTTAACTTATCACCAATGAGGCTCCACTAATTTGTAAGTGATTTTTGTTTAAAATAAAATGAATGCTATAATATTCATAAATTTATATATCCACTATCTAGTTAATGAGTATTTATTAAAGATGTCAAATTTATTATCAGGCTACCTGCTACTCTACTAAAAAACATAATATTTCCAGCATATTCTATTTGTTGTAAATGACATGATAAAGGGACTTAGGTACATAAATAATTTTGGTATATGCATTTATTGTAGTTTCCACAGAAAATTATTAAGAGTACTGTGAGGAATAGTGTATTAGTCAGGGTTGTCTAGAGGGACAGAACTAACAGGATAGATGTATAAAAAGGGGAATTTATTAAGGAATATTAACTCACACAATCACGATCAGAAGGTCTCACAATAGGCTGTCTGCAAGCTGAGGAGCAAGGAAGCCAGTCTGAGTCCCAAAAGAAGGAGTCCGATGTTTGAGGGCAGGAAGCATCCAGCATGGGAGAAAGATGTAGGCTTGGAGGCTAAGCCAGTCTGATCTCTCCATGTTCTTCTGCTGCTTTTTATTCTAGTTGCACTGGCAGCTGATTAGCTTGTGCCCACCCAGATTAAGGATGGGTCTGCCTTTCCCAGCCCACTGACTCAAATGTTAATCTCCTTTGGCAACACTCTCACAGACACAACCAGGATCAATACTTTGCGTCCTTCAGTCCAATCAAGTTGACACTCAGTATTAACTATTGCAAATAGTAAATAGTGTATGGCTGATTTAAAAAAAAAGAGAAAAGTAACTAACAGACTGAACATACATATGGACAAAATATGCCAATCGTCATCAGGAAATATTTATTGAAATCAGTGTTAATAAATTGTCATATGTATGTCTGGCGATAACACTGACATTTATTTAAGATGCCTGAATGAAATTTTATGTAAAAGAATCATGTGATTTTTGAAAATAAAAATTTCAATTCTTAATTTTATGTCCATAATTTTAATTATCATTTTTTAAGCTTGTGCCATGTGACAAGTTGTCAAAGGTACCAGGTTATAAGGCATTGAAATGAGGTTGAGTAAAATAGATACCTGAGTTCTCTCTATTCAATTATTTTAAGGTTTAATGCAAAAAGCATTTGATTTGGCTAAGGGGAAATCAATTAACCTATTGCACTTTTTAAACTTGTGGTAGGAATGAGTTGGGGATTTGGGAGGCTAGAGTAACTAGGTAGATGATTTGGAAATGAAAGAGACTGAGAAACAAATTAAAAAGGGAGTAAATGCAATGTGGAAATACTTTGGTGGTGAAAAATTGGCAAATGTAGCTCTAAACATTTCATTTTTGTGAGGAATGGGGATAAGAGAAGAAAACAGTTTTTGACATTTTATTTTTTCTGGAAGTGACATTTCAATTTTAGAATAATTTTAAGACTTCTGGTAAATGGCATTTTAAATGCTTAACGTTTTAGGATAAATGTAGATGATTATTATTTCGTGAAACATTTTTATGGTGCATTCTAGCTTTAATATACAAATTGGATTTAATTTTTGCCTCTTTAGCAAAACAATTATTTCAGCATATCAACCATTGGGAATATTCTTTTCCCTCTACAGTTTTCATTTGCAAATTTCATTATAGCATGATATGGTTACCATCTGGTGTTTCTTATATAACATTACTCAGGCTTTTCAGCTTTGAAATAATATTTCAAAGCAAATGGAAATCCTTTCTGAGGATATCATTTCATGTAAGTATCACATTTATAAAACATAGTATAGTTTAAGTTTATACTATTATATATATTGGAAATATGCAGATGGCATATTCATAGAAATTTAAAACCTTATTGGTATTTAATAGTTCACCATGCAATTTATCAGGTTCTTCAGATTAGCTTTTTTGCTTAATATTATATTATCATTTTAGTTGTCTTAAAACCTATAATTTTTAAATAAATGGATTAAAAAATTTGTCAGGTTTTATAAAGTTTCTTTAAGCATCTCTATTGAATATTTTGTACCTATATCGTCTCTTTTCTGAAGGAATATTTAGTTTTCCACCACTCCCTCCTGCCCTCTCTCTCTCTTTAGTTCTCTGTGGTTTTGCTTTTGGAGTCTACTATAATCTTGGCAATAAATTTTCACAGTTAAATTAAAGTTTTGGATGTGTTTCAATTACAGATATCATTTTATTCATCCATCAAAGGACATATATACAAAGAAAGAATAATTTATATTTTATTTCTCTTTATTTATTTATTTTTGAGATAGGGTCTCATTTTGTTGCCCAAGCTGGAGTACAGTGGCACGATCATGGCTTACTCAAGTTTTGACCTCCTGGGCTCAGGCAGTCTTCCCACCTCAGCCTGCCAAGTAGCTGAGACAACAGGTGTGTGCCACCATGTCCAGCTGACTTTTAATTTTTTTTGTTGAAACATGGTCTCGCTATATTGCCCAGGGTGGCCTTGAACTCCTGGGCTTAAGTGATCCTTCCACCTTGGCATCACAAAGTGCTGGGATTACAAACGTGAGCCACTGCATCCAGCCTTAATTTATTTTTAAGGCAACTTGAGGTCCAGTGGCAAGAACAATGCTAGATACATGATTGGTATCAGTAAATTTTTGTCAAACTGTACTCAATCTGCATCATTTATTTTATAGGCTCATTTAACATTGTTGCTTTATATAGATCATAAATTTCTGTCTTTAATTGAAATGGTCTGAATCTTTAAAAATATTTTTATGGAAATTGATTCATTTGTAATTTTTGTTTCTGACTGACTTATATTGACTTCATCAACAAACATTTACTATTTGGTAGACACTCAAAGACATAATTTCTGTTCTTTGATAGTGAAGTTTAGCAGATATATACATAAACAAGTATATGTAACAGCTAGCATCAAAAGATAGTTTTGCATACACCATAGTTTCCCAATGAACTATGCCTCCCAGAATTCATGTTCTTATATAGTTTTCTCCCGTTGAATTAGGACTGACCTTGCAACCAATATATGGCAAAAGTGATGCTATATAACCTACAAGGCTAGGTCAGAAGAAGCCTTACAGTCCTGCTTAGGTCCTTTGAAATGCTCCCATACCACTAGAAAGCAGTTGTCAAGTAGGAATCCAGCCTCCTGAGATGCCATTTTATGAGGAAGCCCAAGGTAGCTGCCTAGTGAAGCTGGGTGAAGAGAGAAAGGCCCAACCAGACCCCAGCTATTCTAGTCAACCTGGCCAGATATGTGACTGTAGAAGCCAAAAGATGTCTCCAGCTTAAATCACCATGTAAGGGAGCCCAAGTAAGAATGGCCCAGCTGAGCCACCAAGCTTTGGGATAGGTTGCTATGCAGCAATACATAATGCAACAGTAGCATATGGTGTGATGAGTAAAGAATGGAAGTCTCCATTCAAGGTGTGGAGGGCAGTGGTGTGGCAGAAAGACTAGAAGGAAGGAAAACATGAGGAATATGGATGGTTTGAAAAACCAAGTCGTAAAGCAGTAAATGATGCTTCTTTCATGTTTTGAACTGCAAAGTAGTTTTCTAATTGAATCTTTCAAAGGCAGGAGAGTGTGCTCAGAAATCATAGATGGAGTCTAGAGGAAGATGTTCACTAATTCATTTATTTATTTAAGAAACTTTTGGTAAACTTCTACTAAGTCTAATGTTCTGGGCCATATGTAACCCATCGTTGAGGAAACTGGGCCAGGGAGTGCCATTTACATTTCAGTGAGAATGATGGTAAAAGGAAGAAAAGAAAATGAGACAGCTGCTGAGGTGGATACAAAGCGGAGGAAAACGAAACAGAATTGTAAGAAACCAAATTATATAAAGGGAGTTAGTTACAGGAATATGTTTGGAAACTGAAGATCAGAGGCATAGACAGAGAAGAGGCATAGATGGAAAGAAAGCAGCATTTCTCCCTCTGAGGTAGGCAGAGAATAAGATGTAAAGATAACGGGAAGACAACTAAGTTTTTAGTGGAGGAGAAATTTATATCAAATGGCATCCGTAGTCCCTGTTGAGCAAAAGGTGAGTTAATTTGCTCAAAGTAGGACAGGGACTGAAGGGAAAGGAAAGTGGTAACTATTACAGTTTATGTGCTAAGGAATGAGATACAGAGCCAACAAGTGATGATTAGAATTACTGTTAAGCTGAACTGAAGGCCCAGTTAAGGTTGGAAATCATGCTTGTCTTGCAGCCAGTCACCATGGTAATGTAAGTTTCTCAGACATGTAGTTCCCAGAAGCAGAAGGAAAGGAAATGAATGGCTGAGTTTGGTTAGAAAGAGTATTTTCAACACTTACCTTAGCAAGTAACATTGAGTGTGAAAAGCTGATGGAATAATACATAGAAGTCTTGGGCTTGAGCTCTGACACTTGAAATTCCTGGCAGACCTTGGGAAAATCATCTAGCCAGTTAGCATTTTTCCTCACACATAACATGAGAATATTTACCTACTAGATTTCTTATGAGACAAAAACAAACAAAAATAAGTAAAGTACTTTATAAATTTTAAGGTGGATTTTATTACAAGGTACTATTTTTCCTCTTTGATAGCAGGTAAGGACTCATTTGGTGGATGACTTCAATTACGTCTTGTCCGTTGCTGTTTGTCATCTTTTTGAAAATCTGAATTTGCAGAAAATTGTTTCACAACTTACTTATTCCTCATAGCACTTTCTCTCTTTCTCTCTCTCTTTTTTTCTGTCTTTCTCTGAAAGTCCTGGTTCTAATTTATTGATATCCTTTCTGTAATTGCCTAGTGAACTTATGGATACTTTAGTTCTTAAACAGGTTGATCCAGTGATGAAGGATGCCTGGCATTTCTATGTCTAGTATCTTAGATCATATTTTCCTATAGTTAGCATTTCACCACATCCCTTTATTCACAGAATTGCTTGTCATTTGTACAATTTTCTTAATTCTTCTCTATTTATATGTGACATCTTGTTGCTGTCATTAGTTTTAAGACATAATCTTTAAGCAAGAAGTAACTATGCTTGTTCAACTTCTTTTTGCATGGTGTCCATAAAATTCTCAGATGAATGTTGAATTTTAAAGCTATTTTTGTTATTTAAATATCCCTTTAGTATGTGCTTTTTTCCCCTTTTCACACTTCCATGAAAAAATGAGTTAGAATTTCTAATTTCCAAATGAAAATAGTAGCCAGACTGAGTAGGTGAGCTGTAAATTGAAAGAGGATAGTGATGGCTTCATTTGATTGGAGTGATAATTTTCAGTTTATTCAAAGGAGGAATGCTGCATAAAAAAAGAGACTTTGCAGACAGCTTCCACAAAAAAGAGCCTGGCACAGTTCTGATAATTGTAATAGAAAAACTCTAAGGAAAATGATATATCTAATGGGATGATTGAGATGATACACAAAGGTAACAGTGACATTGCTGTAACAGAACGAAAAAAGAAACAAATACATTATTCTTTAAGTATTAATCTGATCAAATCCACACATAACAGATATGATTAGCTGTTCATGGGAATCAACACTAAAATTGTATTTTTACCTGAAAAGTCTAACAACACTTAAAAATCAAATCCCAAAGATCTAGGTTTAGTCTTACAGAAGCGTAACTGGAGTGTGGTTATGGCTTAATTAGCAGCAGCAATCATTTGGCTATGCCTTGTGGACCGCTGTCAAGATTGCCAGTCATGGTAAGAAAAGGGAAGCGCCAGAACCAAAGAAGCTCTGCTTATCCAGCACTGATTTTAGCAGACACAAATATGTCCCAGGAGAGGTGTACTTTATTTTGGATAGAACAGTTTATCCAGCTTTACCATGGTTAAAGAGATAAAATTGAGATTATTTGTGAAACTTTTGGTCTTATTCCAAAATCATCAAGAAAATGTGCTCTACATATAATACTTGAGCAAACTGATAACTCAAAAAGAATGTCTTCCATTAGAAATTAATTAATTGCATTTCTAGCTCCTAACATTATGATTTGATTGTCAGTTACTTTGGAGTCAGTTAACTTGAGTCACTACTCGAAGTCTAGTTTCTGGTTCTGTGGGAATGAGAACCAGTGATCTAAGCTAGCTGTTCCCAAAGCATAGTCAGCTGACCCCTGGGATCTCCAACTTTTTGAGGAAATCCACAAAGTCAAACAGCTTTCATAATAACATTAAGATGTTATTTTCCCTTTTTACTGTATTGATTTTGCATCAAGAATGAAAGCAATTGTGGCACCTTAGTAAGAATAAAGACAATGACATCCAACAGTGCTGCACTGTATTCTGCACTTTTATACATGTGTAAAAATTAATTTTGCTTAAAAATGTTCGTAATGAGGCAGTAAAGTTTATTAACTTTATTAAATCTTTGAATGACAAAATGGGAAGTAAATGTAAAGCAAATCCGTAGCATATGGAACTACAATGGTTGCCCTGAGGAAAAACACTTGTACAATCATTTGAGTTGTGAGCTGAACTAGCTTCTTTTTTCGTAGAACACCGTTTTTACTTGAAAGAAAGACCGAGAGATAAACTGTGGTTATTTACACTTGGGTATTTTGCAGACATTTTTCATAAATGAACAAAATGAGTCCATTATTTTAAGGAAAACAGCTGGCAGTATTTGATTAATGCCAATAGTAAAATGTAAGCTTGAGAATAAAAATTAGATTTTTGGATAACATATCAGCCAGACTTTTCTAATGAGATCAGTAAATATATTAACATATGTTATTTAATATGTTATATTAAATTTTGTTCACAATAAAACATGTCAATTTTTGGAAGATCTGTAAAGCTCAGTGAAACAATATTTTCCAAATAATCAATACAAGTTGTTACTAAATCATGCATGGGTAAAAGATTCATTCAAAATGCAAGATATATCAATAGATTTTAATGTAGTACTGTGTGAAAAGTTATTGATGTGATTTCAGATTTTGTATTGTAGTTGATCTTTTAAAAATACCACTTAGTATCAAAGAAGAACATTCAAAATTGTCTGGAAAGGGTACTGAAATGCTACTTCTTTCTCCAGCTGCATATCTATGTGAGGCCAGATTTTCTGCATGTTCTTCAGTAGAAACAATCTATCAAAACAGATTGTATGAAGAAGCAGATATGATGTCTTCTCTTAAGCCAGACATTAAAGAGATTTTTGCAAAATAATATAATGCCACCCAACTCATTATTTTTTGTTTTGCAATATAGCTAATTTTTATAAAAATATGTTATCTATGTTAATAGGTAATGGGTATAATGAAAAATTTCTAAGTTTTTAATTTCTAATGTGGTAAATTGTCAATAGATTTAACCTACAGAAACACAACCTTTTTGGGATCCTCAATACTTCTTAAGATTGTATGATGAGAACAGATGGACACATAGAGGGGAACAACACACACTGGGGCCTTTCCAAGGCCAAGCAGGGAATGTAAAAGTATGCAGGGAGAAGTTAGGCCATAGGAAGAGTAGAAACTGAAACAAACTACAGAGCACAGAGTTAGTATAGAGGGAGCAACTCGCCTCTTAGCTCCTGATGATTTTTACCCTAAGGAAATGCAGACTCATTACAAGAGCTTTTGCTTTGTCTAAAGAAGTGGAAAACAGAGAATCTTATGTGAAACATCCCACTTTTTCAATATTGGCAACTAATTTGATTAAAAACATGAGAAATAAAAATACTTCTTTTTTATTTTATTAATTTTTTTATTTTATTAATTTTTAAATTTGTATTATTAAAAAAAACAAGCCAAATAAAATACCTCTGGAAGCAGTTTTGGACTATAGGCTGTTCATTTGTGAACACTCCATAGGATCAACGTGGGTGGTGGTGAATTCACTAAGGTAGCACCTTGTTGTGAGATGGTTGGCAATGAGCCAACAACTACATCCTCTGTGTGACTCAATAAAACCAAGAGGTTGCTTTGGAAAAACTTTCTCTGTGGGCCTTGATATTTGTGTCTAAAGACACAAGTAAACCAGTATCATTTATTTATAAGGGATCTAAATCATTACTCCAACCATGCTCTAAGAATTCCATGACAGGGCTGATATAATAAGTCTTCAATGCTACCTTAGCCAATGGCAATATGTCACACTGTAGAACTTCTCTTGCTTTACTTGTGGTGTTTCAAATGATTCATGATTGGTATAATAAAATACTTCTGTAGAGAACTACCTAGTATACAACAGGCTATGATCCTGCCAATTGTTTTATTTATATAATAAGAAGTTATTTTGGACCTAAGAAAATAGATGTCAAAATGACAACCAAAAATTGTTGAAAATGTAAATTATCTTTATAATAAAATTAATAGGCTAGCTATGATTTCATATACAAATTTTAGGGTACTAAAACTTAGCTTTTTGATATAAAATATCATTTCCTAATTCTATTTTTAACTGAATGCTTATATTTATAAATCGTTCATTTAAGTGAAGACAATCAATGACACCAATTTTGATAATTAGTTTTTGTACAGGGCTATACAGTTTACATGAGAAACTGTTATGAATAGAGTATTGTAAAACTATAAAATTGTTAAATAGAATTTATTAAAAATTCAGTGAAGTACCCTCTTTACTCAATTTTAAATCAAGAGATAATTCTTCAAAACAGGTCAATGACTAAAATACCATGATAGGACTAGAAAAAAACTTATCCATATCTGTAGAACACAGCCATGGATGGGGGGAAGATGATAAGAATCTCTTTCTCTTTTGATTTTCCTATTTTTCCTGTCACGTGGCTGATGTGGTAAGTGTTTTCTACTTGGAAAATGCCTGTATTCTTAGAAGATCAAAGCAGTGTTAGAACAGGACAGAGGAGACAGGAAGCATGAAATGATTATTTGGGATTGGTTTTGCTCTAGATTTCAGTGGAGAATGGTAAAGGCCGTGAACTTGCTTCTACAATTTTTATGTCATCCAATTCACTCCACCGAGGCAGGAGACATTATGGAATATGAAACAGCCACACCAGCTGGGAGGGGCATTGTGCTGCACTGTGTGGCATTGTGCAAGCCACTGGGCATATCTCATAACTGAATTAGTTACTAACTTTTAAGAATCGGATTTCAAGTAAAAGTCCACACTTCCACTTCCCTTGATGAAAATGAACCAATCTGGCCACTCTGGGCAGTAAACTCCCATTAGAAGTAACTGATAGCAATAAATAGCTGCAGCTTCATTTAATTTAGACATGCTGTCTCCAGTTACCCACAGTCTCCACTTGGCCCACATCACTTATTTATATGCCTGGCTTATGTAAACATTTAAGTTTGTAATTTCTATCCTAGAACTTTAATGTCTAAACCTTTTATTATAACATTTTAGTGTTAAATAATTTTAGAATCTCCTATGTGATAATGGCTATATTTTTAGTTTAAGTGACAGAAAATTCAAGATGACACATAGATTTCAGGACAATTTGTATTACCATTTTAGTGCTTCTATAGTCCTTATTCATAGAACAAATATATATTAGACCTACTAGGTGCCAGTCACTAGTCTAAGAACCAGGTATACACATGTGACAAAAACTAAAAAAACAGTCCCTGCCTTTAAGGAGCTTACACTCTGGTGGTAGAAGATAAATGGATAAAATATGAAAAATTATAATTAGTGGCAAAAAGAATAATAAATCAAGGAATGGAGATAATGAGTGCTGGGAGTGTGTGGCGGGGATAGAAAGAAGGGTACAATTATAGGTAACAATGCCAGAGAAGCCTTCATAGAGAAGGAGACTCTTAAGTAAAAACTTGAATTAGGATTAATAGAATATTTCAGACTCAGGATACATCATTTGCGATGGCCCTGGGGTGTGAGCAATCCTAGCGTGCTTAAGAACTGTACAGAAGCTGGGCATAATGGCTCACGCCTGTAATCCCAGCACTTTGGGAGGCCGAGAGGGGTAGATCACCTGATATCAGAAGTTCAAGACAAGCCAGGCCAAAACATGGTGAAACCTTGTCTCTACTAAAAATACAAAAATAAGTTGAATGTGATAGCAGGCACCTGTAATCCCAGCTACTTGGCAGGCTGAGGTAGGAGAATCGTTGGAACCTGGGAGGCAGAGGTTGTGGTGAGCCAAGATTGCACCACTGCACTCCAGCCTGGGTGACAGAGCGAAACTCCACCTCAAAAAAAAAAAAAAAAAGAAAAAAGAGAGGGAGAGAGAGGGAATTACACAAAAGATCAGATGGCCTAGGGCAGGGTTTCTTAACCTTTACAATATTTAAATGTTAGGGTGGGTAATTATTTGCCTTGCAGGGCTGTCCTGCGCATTGTGGGATGTTCAGCATCTCTGATATTTACCCACTAGATGATGGTGAGAGTTGTTCCTATTTGTTCCAGTTGTGGCAATCAAAAATGCCTCCACAATTTCAAAATGTCCCCTGGGGGGACAAAATTCACCACTGGTTGAGAGCCACTGCTCCTGGGGCATTATTAGTTATTTTAAGTACTTTGGATTTTTCTAAGAGTGACGGGAGAAATCATTAGGGGTTTTAGCAGCAAAATAACCTGATCTGACTAATGTTTAAACATGCTCTCTTGCTGCAGTGTTGAGGTGAGCAAGTTCTACAGCAGGCAGATCAGCAAATGGATGAGGAATGGTGGTGCCTTAGACCAGCCTGATAACAGGAGAAGTGTTTGCATACCAGATACATGTTGAAGGTAAGCCAATGGATTGTATGTGGGGTATGAGAGAGAGAGAAGAGTTAAGAATGCTGAGTCTTGGAGTTGAGATGGGAAGAGTGTAGGTAGAAAATATGGAGTAGATGTTTGGCTATGTTGAAAATTTTGAGATGACTGTTAGAAATTTAAACAGATCTGTTGGAAAGGTAATTAGACATACAAAACTGGAATTCATGGGAAAGATCTGGGATGAATATATACATTTGAGAGCATATTTAAAATCATGATACTGGATTAAGAGGGTAAATATAGATGGTAAAGAGAAAAAAATGAATAAATTTTTAGCTTGGGAGACGTTGGGATAGACAATTCAGTAGAGATAGGATCCTGGGTTGAATACAGGTCCAGTAGAATAAATACTGGGAAATGTTAATTTCTCAAGAGACCAGGCTAAAAATTTTCTTGTTTGGTACTCAGGACTTTCCTGTGATAGGAGCAGAACAATGATTATTATCTGTATTCTATAAGAGAAAAACTGAGATTGAGAGGAGAACTTGATCATATCTCATGTGTATTCAGTAACAAAAGTGGGATTAGGAACCCAGATTTCCACACTTCTACCTTGCTTCTTCAAGGAATTGACTCACAGGATTTGTCCAACCCTACCTTGGTGACATCTTCAGAAACCTTTCATTCTGCCATTTGCCATTCTTTTTTTCTTTTTCTTTCTTTCTTTCTTTCTTTTTTTTTTTTTTTTTTTGAGACAGGGTCTTGCTCTGTTGCCCCAACTGGAGTGCAGTGGTGGGATCTTGGCTCACTGCAACCTCCACCTCCTGGCTTCAAGCAATTCTCCTGCCTCAGCCTCCCAAGTAGCTGGGACTACAGGCATGCACCACCACCCCAGGCTAATTTTTGTATTTTTAGTAGAGATGGAGTTTCACTATGTTGGCTAGGCTGGTCTTGAACTCCTGACCTCAGGTGATCCACCCACCTCAGCCTCCCAAAGTGCTGGGATTACAGGCTTAAGCTACTGCGCCCAGCCCTTTCATCCTGCCATTCCAACTGGAGGTTTACATCACAGCTGTACAAAGATTATAACTAAGATTTTTATAGCCTTCATAGCAGTAATGGGACACAAGCGATTTCACTCATTAATGAAAGAAGTCAAAGACTTAACACATCATGAAATTCTCTTATCTCATCTATTTTGCATTTAGTGCAAGTTATATTTCATTGAGAAAACTAGTTGCTTGTCAAGCATAAATGTTGTAATTTTCTTAGTTTTATCTTCCCACTGTTGAATATCCCTTAGAGACAAGAACTTTCTTGATATTCAAATAAAAGATGTTGATTTTAATCTACCCTGCTAGTCTTTTAATAATACTGTTTCCACAACCAGATTGTTTTAATCTGTATAAGTTCCTGGCTACCTGACTAGAGTCAAAAGACTTAAATTAGGGTCAGAAATATTGTGTTACACTTGCATTCATGTTCTTTTTGCATCCTGAAATATGACTGATTAAAAAAATACAAACCAAAACTATCAGTGTTTGGTCTGTTTTAGTGAAGATAATCTTCTACTTGGTAGTGCCTAGTCTAGTTCCCCAAAACAACTATATCTGCCTCTATGTTAAGCATTAGGAGCCATCTGAAAGAGAAATTCAAACACCTTTGTCAGTGTTCATGGCCATGAAAGTAGGAACTCGATTCCATTAATCCTTCGTTCCAAATTCCATCCTTTCTCAATCTTCTAGATTTTGGATCATATTTCTGTCTCTCATTTCTCCTTACCACATATTAGATGAGTGGTGCCCAAACCTGGTTGCACCCATTACCCGCAAGATCAGATTATGTGATGATCAGGCCCAGAAATGTGCATATTTAACAAGAGCCCCTGGTGATTCTATTGTAGCCACTCTGGTACTAATCTTTAGCCTGGCGCTTGGGAACCACTAACCTAGGATCTTTCATTATCAAAATTCTTCACCACTCTGTCTTAAACTATGTTGGGTACATACCCCTTCCAATTTTACAGAAATGGTTAAGATCAGTTGTGGAGTCAGAATTCTGGGTTTACATCTTGGCTTCAGTATTACCAACTTTGGGTAAATACTTTGGGTTTCCTGATCTGTAATTTTTATAATGAGATTGTTGGCATTACAAAAATTAAAGTGTGTATATTACCTGCATAGTGCCAAGAACATAAAATGTTCAATAAATATTAATTTTTGGTGCTCATATTGGTTTTGAGATTACAACTTGCATGCTGGAAGCCTGGTGGGATGGCCCTCTCTGGGCCTTCTCTAATCCCAGAGATGAAATCTGATAGATAAAGATGATTTTGTCATCATAGAGGAGACTTAGGATCTTATAAACTTGTCTGAACATTCACATTATACAACAGTATTCAGAAGTTAAGCGTGGTCCCAAGACATTTGCCAAGTAGAAGGCTAGACTTCCTGCTGATATTATAATTTTATATTTGGATTCTGCAGCTTTAGAATTAAAGCTGTTTCTAGCTTTAGAATTAAGTAATCGGTGGGCACTAACCTCATTAAAATTTTTCATTAGATTCTTCTGGTGTCATTCTAAACTAAATTTTCTAAAAATATTCTAAAATAAGTTTCTGTTGCTTTCCTCTTGAAGTCGTTTCTGCTGCAGTGCTATTTGAAACCCTGATCTTTTCTCAGGGTTGCATATATTAGAAGCAACCCTGCCCCTCCTGCCATCCTCAAATGCTCTTGTAAGAATGGATTAATGTCAAGGAATTTACTCTTTACTATTCTTATTTAGGTATTAATACACTTAGAATAGTTATACGTTGAAGGAATAGTTGGAGGCCTGAAATCTTACGATCAGACTACTGCTACCCACTTGGTTCTCTTTTCTTCCCTTATGACAAATATGGAGTTATTAACTTCTATTGGTGAAGACATAAATATTATTTGCCTATTTACATAATTTTGATATTTTAGCTTTTGAATGCCACCATTATTACATGTGTGTTCTTTGATTGTCATGATTCAAAGCTGTCTTCCTAAGATCTGTATATTTCTTATTTATTTCTAATTTATTCAAATGAAACCATTTCCAGTGGCGACTGATTGTGATGTCCATAGTTCTGATAGCTGTAGGTGGTTATCAACAATGAAATAAATTTTGCATATTTTCCTGCATTAATAACAAAATAACATTTATGAATGAAAAAATGAATGGAAAAATAATTGATTTTCTATTAGCTCTTTAATTTTTTCTTAAATTTTGATTTCCAATATATATGTTTGTTTTCTTGAGAAAAAGGCAAAATATGCAAAAATTAAATCTAGAGGCTGATATTACCATTTTATAAGTTAAAAAATAATTTTCAGGACACTAGTGGTAAACAAACTAAATAAAGACTTATTCTCGGGCCAGGAGCAGTGGCTCATGCCTGTAATCCCAGCACTTTGGGAGGCCGAGGTGGGTGGATCATCTGAGGTCAGGAATTCGAGACCAGTCTAGACAACATGGTGAATCCCCATCTCTACTAAAAATACAAAAATTAACGGGGTGCATGGTGGGACACGCCTGTAATCCCGGCTACTCAGGAGGCTGAGGCAGGAGAATCTTTTGAACCTGGGAGGTGGAGATTGCTGTGAGCCAAGATTGCACCACTGCACTCCAGCCTGGGCGACAGAGCAAGACTCCATCTCAAAACAAACAAACAATAAAGGACTTATCCCCAGGTGGTCCTGGCCATTATAATGATCAAAGACTTTTTAGTTTGAGAGACAATGAAAATACCAGAGTTTTTTTTTAAAAAAATATTCTGTAGAGTATGGAAGAGAGAGAAATCCCCTCTTTACTAGGAAAAAGTAGGAAATGAGATTGATATTTTAAAACTATTGTTTGCATGTACATATTTCACCAAAACATGAGTCTTAATTTGTCATGATAAAGAGAGATAAGGTTACAAATTCCTCCAAAGCAAGTAGAACAAAGTGTTTAAGACAACAATAGTAATTTGCAGACTGGCAGAAAATAAAAAAGTATTATGTTTATTTTTCCATCTTTTTTATTTCTGTTCTTCCATGGGGTTTCATTTCCCTTTTCAATTTCTCCCCTGAAGCTCTCACAAATAAAGATAAATAATGAGGGAATGCTTTGTTATAAAAACAAAAACAAAAATAGATATCATGGAAATATGTTAGTTAAGATCACATTCACTTTTCCCAAAAGTATGATTATTTGCATTTTCTTCACCTGACCAGAGCATTTTAAAAGGCAAAAGATATATGTGATGTGAAGAGAAACCAGAGTACTGACCAGAGCATTTTGAAAGATATGTTCAAAATCACCTTTGTGCATACCTTTTAACAGCTGAATTAGAGCAAGGATATCAGTCACCCAAAGCAAATTAATAATAACAGGAATTTGTGCCAAATCAGACCAGAATGTCAACATTGCTGTGGGAAAGATGATTCAGCTATTTAGCCCTGTATTTTTTATAATGACAAATTTTTTTGTATTGGCAATTCCCATAGACCAATGCATTAGTCTCAAATTTAATCATTGGATTAAAATATTTTTTCTTTTGTTTCTACAGAAAGCATTTTTTTCAGAACATCAGATGAGCATGAATAGTAGTATGAAATGAAAGTCAGGAGGATAAAAGAAACAAAGCAAAGGGAATGACTGAAATTCAGCACACCTTACAGGGAAAAGTTTATTTTTTTAAGAAGGGATTTCATTTAATCAGGGCACTATAGCAATCAAATTTCTTGGTTCTCAGATTATTTATATTCAAGGACTACTTTGAACTCCATAGGTCTATTAACTGGAATTTGGTGCAATTACAGACTGTGGCTTACAGTGAATCAAGAGCACAGAAGAACCTGACCCCAAAGCTATTGATCAAATACATTTCTGATTAGCTGGGTTTAGCTTTTTGATAGAAATTTCCCTTTTTTGTCTAGAAAGCAACTTTCTTTTAAAACTTAGATATTTGATACTAAATATTATATAGATAAATAGAACTTAACTAAAACACAATAAGTACCAGATACATAAACTGTTCAAAATAAAATTTTGCAATAGTACAAATTTTTTTTAAAGCAAATGACCATGTGATAAGAGTTACTTTATCTTAAAAAGGAATGTAAAAGTATTATCCACTATTTATTAGCATTTAGAAAGTTTATTTCATTTTAATAGTTTTAAGGGAAGCCTTTGCTCTCCTTTGAGAGTTCTTTCACTTTCACTCAACATTGTGTTCAAGTTAAACATGTGTTGAAAATATCACAGAAATATGTGAAGGTTCTTAGTTACCTCTGTTAAAAAATGTACTTTCAACAGGTCTATTTTTTAAATACTTTGTTAAAGTATAATTTCCAAATGCTAAAAGCATGACTTCCATAAAAATAAAAAATGAACACATGTCAAAGATTTTATTTAGCTTAATCAAAGGAGAATTTGAAGTTTGAAATATACATATATATATGTATATTTCGGGTACATATATATGCATTTCATATATATTTATAGATATATTTCATATATATGGGTGTGTATGTGAGTGTGTGTGTCTAATCTTCAGGAATACATAAATAAATTTGCTAATTCATACAAAAATGGTTACTACCTCATAAAGTAATACCATACACTGTTTGGGTCACCTTTTCTATAGAATAGGAATAAATTGTATCTCTATCAGAAAAAAATCACTCATTTGCCTTACTATGAATGTAAACTATTTGCATTACTATTAGTTTTCTGCAATTTAACTTATAACTGCAGAGTTGCAAAATGGCCTTGTTAATAGACAATCAAAGGAGAAGACTCATATGAAAAGAATTCCTAGGGGAATCTTTAAACAATTTCTGGGCCTATTTGCTTCTTTATCTTGCTTTCTTGTTCCTCTGGGGTGGTTTCTGGAACTCTAATATCATCTCTCCCTAACTTAATTTCTTTCTTTATTTTTTTAGACGGAGTGTCTCTCTGTTGCCCAGGCTGGAGAGCAGTGGAACGATCTTGGCTCACTGCAACCTCCACCTCCCATGTTCAAGTGATTCTCCTGCCTCAGCCTCCTCAGCAGCTGTGATTACAGGCACACGCCAGCACGTCCAGCTAATTTTTGTATTTTTGTAGAGACAGGGCTTCACCATGTTGGCTAGGCTGGTCTCAAACTCCTAACCTCAAGTAATCCGCCTGCCTCAGTGTCCCAAAGTGCTAGGATTACAGGCATGAGCCACTGTGCCTGCCTCTAATAATTTCTAATCTCTGTTCCAGGTCTACATTTGTTATTTGAATGCATTAATGTACTTCATGGAACAAAAGGGTCTTTCATTTAATTTGAAAGCAGTTGGGTGTTAAAAATAATTTTCTTCCATTCATTTCATATGTATTAAAAACCTCCATAGATATCTGAAAACCTTTCAGGTAATCCTTGGCCAAAATTACTAAATGTTATCTCTCTCTGTGCCTTAGATATTTGCTCTGCCTGCTGTTATAACCCTGGCTCCCAAAAAATGAATTTCAAAACTTTCCTATAAGTTGACAACATATCTCTATGTAAAATGCTAATGAGGATCTTAACAACAGGACTCCTGGAAGGAGGACTTGTTACTGGAAATGTAGGAATCCTTTGTTCTTGTCTAACTTGGAAGAAAGGATTTAGCCAAGCGATGCATAGCAAGGGTTAAGTAACAGAGTTTATTGAAGGAAGATAAAGTACATTTCTAGAGAGGAGGAGTGGAAAACAGCTCCAGACTGACCCAGTTGGAAAAATAGTAGCAACAGTGTTTATTTAAAGAGACAGTACACTCTGAAAGATGAGACAGAGTGGGCTGCTCAAAAGAGTGAGCCAGCAGCAGCTTGTGCTGGGGGACTCTATGAGAATCTTACATGATTATTCATGAAGGGGCGTGAGGGGGTGTCACTTGCAAGCATGTTTTGAGATGTCCCTTTGGGCGCTCATGCTCTGTGGTTATACATGCTAGTAGACATGTTGCCTATTCTCATTAGCATCTAAAATCTCCATCCAGGGGTGTGTTTGGTACTATTATAATGAGCAAAAGGCTACTCTGGGGCAAGTTTTTGGAGGAGCGTGCATGAGCGTCAACAGGAAAAATCCCTAGCATTGTTATATCTGGTTACGGCCTGATAAGTCTTCTTCAGGGTCAGAGGAGCTCAGCCACAAGGCCATATGTAGCCAATGTAGCCATTGTCCTTTTTGCTGACTGTCAGTTGGCAGTGCTGACTATCAGTGGGCAGCATCTCTAGAACTTTTAAAAAAATTCCAGGGTGGCCGGGCATGGTGGCTCACACCTGTAATCACAGCACTTTGGGAGGCAGAGGTGGGTGGATCACCTGAGGTCAGGAGTTCGAGAACTGCCTGACCAACATGGTAAAACCCCATTTCTACTAAAAATACAAAATTAGCCAGGTGTGGTGGCACATGCCTGTAATCCCAGCTACTTGGGAGGCTGAGGCAGGAGAATTGCATGAACTGGGAGGCAGAGTTTGCGGTGAGCCGAGATAGCAACATTGCACTCCAGCCTGGGCAACAAGAATAAAACTCTGTGTCAAAAACAAACAAAAACAAAACAAAAAACAAAAACAAACAAACAAAAAATTCCAGGGGCTCCCTTTCCTGCTAATTTCTGGCTGTCTGCCTACTCAGACTCACCAGTTAGTTAGTCTAGCCTAGGCAATTGTTCCTCTTGGAAACCATGCTTGCTTTTTTACTGAACTACAAAGATCATTCTTTCTTTACATCAAAATAAAAATTATTATGGTTTTAGTTTTAGAAAAACTTCATATTAATTAGTCATATTAGGTTTGCTTAGTCATTAGTCATATGTTAGGTTTGCTTTAAGGAGTGTTAGATGCATTTTTGCAGGAAATATATGAGGGCTATCCATGTTCACTGATGCAAAACTTGAGGGCTTTGGTCAAACAGAAATGTCTTTCTCTTTCCTTCCTACCCTTTCACCTTCTAATCTTCCTTCTGGTTCTTATGAAGGTGCATTTTTGTATGGATAGTTGTTTAATTTTGTGTTCCTGCCAGGGTGTAATCCATGGAGGGTTCTCCATAGCCATACTTGCTCTGCCTCCTTCCTCAAGATCCCTAACTTTTTTTCTCTTCCTTTTTACCACATGTATTCATTTAGCATCTACTGAGTGACAGTCAAGTGCTAAGCCCAGGTTTATAATTGTAAATGAAAGAGAAAATATGTTCTCAAACAGCTTTAAGTAGGTGGGAACAAATACATCTATTTATTATAAAATGGAATTATAATAAAGTATCATGACAAGGGAAGTACTAGTACTACAGGTGGACATAGTAAGGGTATTATATTATCTATTTCTTTGTAACAAATTTAGTGACTTAAAACAATAACAAGCATTCATTATCTTCAGTTTCTATCTGTCGGAAATAAGGAAGCGCTTAGGTGCATGGTTCTGGCTCAGAGTCTCTCACAAGATTGCAGTCAAAATGTAGAACAGGGCTGAAGTCATCTGAAGGCTGAAGTGGGTCTGGAGAATCCACATTCAAGATGGTTCACTCACACAACTGGAAAGTTGGTTCTGACTGTTGGCAAGAGGCATCAGAGGTACTGACCTCTCTGTAGGTCTGCTTAAACTTCCTTACAATATGGTGGCTCATTCTGGCTTTTCCCAGAGTGAGTGATTTAAGAGAGGACAAAGAGGAAGTTTTTAATATATTTTATCACCTTTCCTTGAAAGCCCCACACCACCAACTCTTGAAATATTCTGTTGGTTTCCTAGGTCAGCCCTATGCATTATGAGTGGATGGAGGAAATATACAACAGTGTGAATACTCAAGAGGTGAGAATCATTGGTGGCCATATGGGAAACTGGCTACCACAGAAACCCAACCTAGTTTTGGCAGGGAGAGAGAGTGGTTTAAACATCTAGTCATGGAAATGAAATTTAGATCATAGAAGATTTAAAATGTTGGGAAAAATAACTGATTTTGTGGCTCTAGTTATTTTAATAATCAATTGGATTGATTATATGGATGACAGATTCTGCAATGTCATAACTGAAATGCCTAAAGATCTTTGCTTGGAAATAACTGATTGTAAGTTGCATAGCTGTATCTAATGCCACTGTTATGTTTTCTAAACCTCAGTGCCTGGAAAGTTTAAAGTTATCAGTATTAAAATGTTCAAGAGAGCTGGCAATGAATTACATTTTTTACTTGTTGACTTCCAAGTACACCAAACCTAAATTGGTTATACGTTCTTTCTTCTTTCTTGTTTATAAAGAAAATGTTTTCCACTCCTTTCCCTTCACATTCTCTCCACCATATTTTGACTCTTTTTCTTTGAATTATTTTTTAAAAATATTTTGAATGTCATTGGTATACTCTCCCTAGAGCCAACCCTGGGAAAAAAGTAGACTTTCATTTTGAGAAAAGAATGTCAAGGGTCACTCACTATTACCATCGCCATTTAATATTGAACAAGAGTTCCTAGCCAGGGCAGTGCAGTAAAGAAAGAAAGATATACAGATTGAAAAGGAAGAAGGGAAAATGTAGTTTATGGTGATAATATTAATTGCATATGTAGAATTTACAGATAATATGATTATGTATATAGAAAATAAAAAATAAATAAATTACTAAGTAAGCTTAGGAAGATTTCTGGACAGAAGGTCAACAAGCATTTAAAAAATACATCAGGTACATAAAATACCTAAGAATGTGTCTAATAAAACACCTCTACATAGAAAACAGTAAAACAAATTGAGAGAATTAAAAAGATTCAAATATTTGGTGGGCTTGTGCAAGAGTTAGAAAACTCAATATTTTAAATATGTTTCTCCCCAAATTAATAAATCAAATCAATGAAGTAATAAATATTAGAAGTTTTTAAAATGAAATTGATAATCCAATTTCAAAATGCCAACAATATCCTGGAGAAGCTTGAGTAAGAATGAGATGGGAGGACTTGCTCTAGCTGTTACCAAGAATTATTATAAACCTGTAATTAACAAAAGATGGTACAAGATGGCCAAATTAGACTCACAGGTTGAATGAGGGATCTGAGAAGAAGAATCACGCTTATATGAACACTGAAAGTTCAACTAATGTGGTACTACAGAGCAGGGAAGTTTTTCTAATAATGATTTTGAATTTTTTTTTTTAATTAAAAATAAGGAAACCATCTGCATCCACCTTACTTCACACCATATAAAAAATAATTCCAGGTAGAGTGTAAATCTATGTCAAAAGAACATTTTTTCTAATAAAACTTTTAGAAAAAAATCAGGCCGGGTACAGTGGCTTATGCCTGTAATCCCAGCACTTTGGGAGGCCTAGGTGCGTGGATCACCTGAAGTCAGGAGTTCGAGACCAGCCTGGCCAACACGATGAAACCCTGTCTCTACTAAAAATACAAAAAATTATCCTGGTATGGTGGCGGGTGCCTTTAATCCCAGCTGCTCAGGAGGCTGAGGCAGGAGAATTGCTTGAACCCAGGAGGCGGAGGTTGCCGTGAGCCAGGATCGTGGCACTGCACTCCAGCCTAGGCAACAAGAGTGAAAACTCAGTCTCAAAAAAAAAAAAAAAATCCTATTGTGTGAGATGGTAATGCAACTCAAATGATAATAAGCAGAAAAGTCCTTTAGTTGCTAATGTATGTAATTAAAAAATCTGGATTGTGAGCCTCAGTATCCGAAACACCGTATTTCTTTCCATCACTTGGCTCTCCTAACTCCTGCTTGGTTTTGTTTTATGTATTGGCCCTCTTTCAGGTGAACAGTAGCCACCTGCAGTGTCAGACTCACATCCTCTGACATTGGCATCTCCACTAAAGAGATGATCTTCTCACTTACTGACTTTTCCTAGCCTTGGTTCACATACACATGGCAAACAGAGCACAATGATCGCTGAGTGTAGTGGCCATCTCCTAGTTGATTGCCACAGCCTTGACTGCTCCAACAGTGAGACAGGATGGGACTGCTCCCCTACAGTGGCATAAAGTGGTAGAGTGGTTCTTAATTAAATTACATTATTTATTTATTTATTTATTTATGAGATGATGCTGACAATTTAGGTTTAAAATGAAAATTGCAAAAATAAAATTTTGGCCTTAAACTTATAAATTATATGTGAGTATAATGTAACAGAAAAATGACAATAAAATGTTTCTTGCAATTTTTAAATACTGCATATATATTTTTCCATGAATATAATAAAGTGTATTGTGTACTGAGCATATAATAAGTGCCCTGCTTTTTATATACATCATCTCTACTCTTTACAAAAAACATAAATTATTCTATTTTTATTCCCATTTGAAGAGGAGGAAAAATGTCAACATGGCAAGATTGTGATTAGACTCCAAATTTGTCTTGAGTCCAAAAACTATTGCTTTACAGTGTATAATATTGCAGTTCAGTTGAAGATTTGCTGTCTCAAATAACAGTCAATAGCTAGTATAATCAGCAAAGGTCAATAGATAGCTCCTTGTGAAACAGACTTAGATATAAATTTGAAAAAATAATTAAGCCTTAATACAATTTTTAATTGTAGGGAGGACAATTTTTACATACTAAATTTAGAGTTAGATTGCATATAAATTAGGAATAACAAGGGTAAAGGCAGAAATATTAAAAACAGCATACATTGTTTTCCCTGTGACTAATACAATATTATTTACAGACTTGGTTGCTGTGGTGATGGACTCATATGCTCATCTTCGTCCAGAAACCTAGCAGAGATTTTTCTAATAGCGTAAATAAATTCCAAATTAAAAATTTTATTTTAAGATATCACCTAATTTTCATAAATACAGAAAACATTAAATTATATAATTATATTATATCACATTATTAGAGTAATAAATTTAAAGATGTATTAAAATCTGTAGACTTCTAAGATTAGATTTGGAAAACAGGATTCATTCCCTCCTGATACACACTTTGTTTACATATTCCGAAAATGATGTGACTTCTTGTTGTCATTGTTAAGCCTGGGAAATTTGTAAGCTTTTACAGAGCTAATAGTGCAACTGTAACCAGTAACTTTTCTGTTTGGTTTTTTAATACAAAGTCCAAATATATATATATATATATATATATATTTGGCTATATGAAATGTCCATATATATATATATATATATATATATATATATATATATATATACAGGCTATATGAAATGTTCAGCCATTTGGAGGAAAAATATTTTCCTGCATGATCTCAAACTTTCATTCTTATGGGTACACAGTTCCTGTTTTCATCCCATATAGATATTTGATGTAGAACTTTCCTATAGAGTATTGAACATTTATGATATTTAAAATCCACGGTCATGTTAATTAGATTTTCTTTTCTTTTCTTTCTTTTCTTTTCTGAAATGGAGACTCACTCTGTCACCCAAGCTGGAGTGTAGTGGCACAATCTCAGCTCATTGCAACCTCCACCTCCCAGGTTCAAGTGATCGTCCTGTCTCAGCCTCCTAAGTAGCTGGGACCACAGGTGTGTGCCACCACACCTGGCTAATTTATTATATTTTTAGTAGAGATGTGGTTTCACCATGTTGGCTAGGCTGGTCTCGAACTCCTGACCTCAAGTGATCTACCTGCCTTGGCCTCCCAAAGTACTTGGGATTACAGGCATGATTTCTATAATTCCTTGGGATTACAGGCATGATCATCATCTGGCCAGCTTTTCTTCCTTTGCTACCCTCTTCCAATTTCCTTACATTGGCTTGAGAGCTAGATCATTTAATTTTGCCATTCATAGCCAACTGAATGACTAATTGACTATTTTTTGTATGTTTCTGGATGTTTGGAGTAATCTATATAGAGTATTTATTTATTTTGACAGGTTAATAATTTTTCTTTGTTTTCTTTTTTCAATATCAGTATTTAATTTACCCTTGTCAGAGATTAAATTTTTTGTCCCAATTGCTGTCAGTACCTGGACATTTTGAAATGATCAACTTGCATGTAGATTAACATTCACTGTCTGATAATTATCTAGGAATTAGTTCTAAAGACTTATGATGGATGGTTTAATTACTGAGGGAGTAAGACATTTCTAATTCTGTATGAACGCAGCTTTAATTTCTGCATAAGGTGGATTACTAGTGGAAGTCAATTTAATGTAATCCTAGGTAATGATATTGATGAAATTACAGCATTAATGTGCTGATTATATTTTCCTAATATACACTGAAATAATCATTAGGATTATAAGATTGTAATATTTCACACAAAATGTTCAGCATACCATCAGTAGTATGTTTATTACATCTTGCGGTACACTGGCTTAAAAAGTAAAGCCCAGATTCCCTGATTTCAAAACATGTTATATTCTTTATAATCTCATCTCAGCTTGTTTCTAATTCTATCTTTAGTTTCCCCCTATTATATACACATTTTTTTCTAGCTTTCTTTATAAAATGAACCCCTTCTTTCTGTTATTTCTTCTAAAAAGAACCCCTTCCCTTCAACTTCTCCACTTAGAAAACTCACATGATTTTCTGTATACTTCTCTTGGAGCAATTATTACATTATATTTTATAGACTTATTTGCTGACAATGTATTACTTCTCATAGACACGCTTCTTATAGACTATCTGTCTCTGGCTTTAATGAATCAAACCTCAAAAATTACTGGCTACTATAAATCATGTTTCCAAACATCAGTGATTATGTTTTTCTTTTTAGAGACAGAGTCTTGCTATGTTGTCCAGGCTGGACTGCAGTGGCTATTCATGGGCCAGATCATAGGGCACTGCAGCCTTGGACTCCTGGCCTCAAGTGATCCTCTCCCCTCAGCTTCCCAAGTGCTGGAACTACAGCTCATCGCTGTGCCCAGCCATCAGTTATTTTTGATGTTTTATGTATTAAATTCATTTCTTGATAATAAAATTATCACATATTAATTGGAAAATAATTGGAAATGTATTAGAAATTCCTTTATGCTAGACTGATTTAGAACCTAGGTTGGCTTTAATGTTGAGCCAGGCTTGTGGGTTCATTTACAATGCATTTTTCTTAAAAACTTGGCACATTGGTCGGTGTGGTGGCTCAGGCCTGTAATCCCAACACTTTGACAGGCCAAGGTGGGAGGATCACTTGAGCCTGGGAGTTTGAGACAAGCCTGAAGAACATGGTGAAACCTTGTCTCTACAAAAAATACAAAAAATTAGCTGAATTTGAAGGTGTGCACCTGTAGTTCCTGCTACTTTGGAGGCTGAGGTGGGAGGATCACCTGAGCCTGAAAAGTCAAGGCTACAATGACCCATGATGGCACCACTGCACTCCAGCCTGGGTGACAGAGTGAGACCCTGTCTGACAAAAACCAACCAATCAACCAACCAACAAACAAAAAAAGACCAACAAATGCAAACAAACAAACAAATACCACTTTGCATATCTAGTCTATGTGGTTCTTGTCAGTTATATGAAAAAGTAACCACAGTCAAAGATCTTGTCTGATTATAGTTGGTTAACCTGAAGAATCTTTATTTTCTGTGACCCCTATGCTGGACTCATCACTCTGTCCTTTAAACGTTGAAATAATTTAGAATTAGTTATAAGCCTAGTTTTCACTCTCTAACAGAGAAGTCTGAATGTGAGATTCTTAAGAAACATCACCCTGGCCCGAGCATGGTGGCTCATGCCTGTAATCCAAGCACTTTGGGAGGCCAAGGCAGGTGGATCACCTGAGGTCAGGAGTTCTAGACCAGCTTGGCCAACAACGGTGAAACCCTGTCTCTACTAAAAATACAAAAAATTAGCTGGGAGTATTGGTGGGCGCCTGTAATCCCAGCTACTCAGGAGGCTGAGGCAGGAGAATCGCTTGAACCCGTAAGGCGGAGGTTGCAGTGAGCTGAGGTCACGCCATTGCACTCCAACCTGAACAAGAGCAAAACTCCGTCAAAGAAAGAGAAAGAAAGAGAGGGAGGGAGGGAGGGAGGAAGGAAGGAAGGAAGGAAGGAAGGAAGGAAGGAAGGAAGGAAGGAAGGAAGGGAAACATCACCCTGAAATCTCATCTTCTCCTTAAGCTATAGATGCAGTTGACTTTTTCTTTTTTTTTTTTTTTTTTGAGACAGAGTTTCACTCTGTCGCCCAGGCTGGCAATGTTTACCATTGATAGAAATGTTTATTTAAATAGAAGTGAAAAAATAGTAATGACATAATAATGCTGATATAATAATATTTATATGATATATTCAGGTTACCATTTTGCCTAAGAAAACGAAAGCTATCTTCTAGAATGGCGCAGAAAGGAGCAGCTTAAAAGAGACATTCTGAATAAGAATGGCTTATCTCTTTCAGATAAGCCAGTGCTTCCTACAGTAATGACATGGAAATCCATCTATTATATACAGTCAATGGGATTGCAATACCCAAATCTTCCTCTCAAGGAAAATAGATGAGGAGATTTCTTGGTCATAATCAGAGATTGCAATGGTGTTGAATAGGCAACATAATATGAATATCCTCTTAAATATAAAGGCCAAACTAAACTGATCTGTTTTTATCCATGCAACTATTTGTTAGCATCTTTGCAGGAGGTAAGTCTCTCTCTCTCTTTTTTTTAGACTAGGTCTTGCTCTGTTGTCCAGGGTGGAGTGCGGTGTCAAGATGCAGCCATGACTTCCCAGGCTCAAGTGATCCTCCCACCTCAGCCTCCCGAGTAACTGAGACTACAGGCATGTGCCACCATGCTAGGCTAATTATTTACTTTTTTTTTTTTTTTTATAGAGAATAGGCCTCACTATGTTGCCCAGGCTAGTCTTGAATTCCTGGGCTCAAGCAAACCACCTGCCTTAGCCTCCCAAAGTGCTGTGATTACACATGTGAGCCACTGTGCCCAGCCTAGAGGTAAGTGTCTTCTAATGGAAACAAATAAATAGCTAGTGCCCTTATAATTATGCTGAAGTAAAATAAGCCTGAGAGAGAAAATAACCTATCTGGAATCAAATTATTACGTGCAGTGTGGACAGTGTGGATATAGAATTTGATTAAACATTTAAATGAGCATTTAAGAAAATAACTAAAATGTAATTTTGAAGGGAATTTTAAACAACCTCATATTTCACTGGAATTGTTAATCCTCCTGTCTTCACATTTTAAAGGCTGAATTATTAAACATTATAATAATATCTTAGTCACCTTAAGTGTCAAATAAATTACTTAGAGAAGTGATCTGAGACTTTCAGTGAATCATTAAAGACTCCTTTTTTTGTGACTTAGTCCCTTCTCTCTGGAACAAAATAACATATATTTTGATACAACACATTGTTAAAATCAGAAAAAAATTGTTTTAAGTTTCTTCAACTTTTGAATAAATTTTATTTGAAGTAGTTTTTGAGTACAAAAACATTAAGAAGATAGTAGAGAGTTCCCATATACTACTCTACAAAGTTCTTTCCATTGTTAACATCTTTCATGTTAGCATTGCATTGTTACAATTACTTGACACAATTAATAACTAATATAATATTAAATACAGTTTATAATTTATTCAGAGGTCCTTAGTATTTACCTAATACCCTTTTCTGCCCCAGTTTTCTATCCAAGATACCACTAATTACATTTAGTTATCGTGTCTCTTTATGATCTGCCTGGATGTGAGAGTTTCTCATACTTTCTTTGTTTTTGATGCCTTGAAAATTGTGAGGAATACTGGTCAGCCATACAGTAGGATTCTTCTTTCTGGGAATATGGCAGACTATTGTAGGATTCTACTCTCTTAAAATTTGCCCATTGTTTTTCTCATGATTAGACTGGGGTTATGGGTTTTGGAAGGAAGATCACAGAGGTAAAATTTCATTTTCAAAAAATCATATCAAAGGTATTAGTCAGGGTTCTCTAGAGGAACAAGACTAATAGAATATATATAGATAGATATAGATATATATCTTATTATATATAAAACACTATATATAATATAGTGTTTAGGTTTAAAATGAAAATTGCAAAAATAAAATTTTGGTCTAAAACTTATAAATTATATGTGAATATAATGTAACAGAAAAATGACAATAAAATGTTTCATGCAATTTTTAAATACTGCCTACATATTTTTCCATGAATATAATAAAATGTATTGTGTATTGAGCATATAATAAGTACCCTACTTTTTATATACTTCATCTCTACTCTTTATGACAAACATAAATTATTCTCTTTTTATGCCCATTTGAAAAGAAGGAAAAATGCCAACATGGCAAGATTGTGATTACACTCCAAATTTGTCTTGAGTCCAAAAACTGTTGCTTTTCAGTGTATGATATTGAAGTTCAGTTGAAGATTTGCTGTCTCAAATAACAGTCAATAACTAGTATAATCAGCAAAGGTCAATAGGTAGCTCCTTGTGAAACAGACTTAGACATAAATTTGAAAAAATAATTAAGCCTTAATACAATTTTTAATTATAGGGAGGACAAGGTCCCACAATAGGCTGTTTGCAAGCTTGAGGAGCAAGGAGAGCCAGTCCAAGTCTCAAAACTGAAGAACTTGGAGTCCAATGTTAGAGGGCAGGAAGAATCCAGCAGGGAGAAAGATATAGGCTGGGAGGCTAGGCCAGTCTCTCTCTTTTTCACGTTTTTCTGCCTGCTTTATATTCACTGGCAGCTGATTAGATTGCGCCCACCAGGTTCAGGGTGGGTCTGCTTTTTCCAGCCCACTGACTCAAATGTTAACCTCCTTTGGCAACACCCTCACAGACACACCCCAGGATCAATATTTTGCATGCTTCAATCCAATCAAGCTGACACACAGTATTAACCATCACAAGTCTACCCGTTTTCAACTTGAACCCATACTCATCTCCTAAGATAATACATAATTTTCAAATAAAGACAATAATAAGGTCATAATTACACCTAACATAATACAAGTATCCTTCATACAACTGGAAACACACCAATCCCCAACCCAAATACTATTACATAAAGTTAATAATACTTAAATGCTGATATGAAGTCAATAAATTTTATGTCACATGATAAAGGAAAAGGAAATAAAATGAAGAGATTTTCTTAGTACAAGTGTATCCATGCACAAACATGCTTTTAACAACAGAAAGAGGAAATACTCATGACAGTTACAATCCTCATTTCTGCAGCTGGTCACGTGGTCGTAGCTGGTATTGATGACTACCTTCTTCTACTACCCATTCTGTATTCCCTTTGCCTTCAGCAAGCACCTCAGCAGGTTGTGGTTTTTTTCCTGGTGGAGTGACTCAAGCCTTCATTCCTGAGGGGTCTGGACCATTTGTAGTCCGGCCTGGATTGGGCTGTTGTAGTTTTCCACTCACCTTAATCAGGGCAGGGTAATACTAAGAGATGCCCTAATAGATCTCCTGTATTGAATGCATACTCTTTCTTACCTTTGTTACGGAGTAGTAGACTGATTTCATCTTAACAGTCTGGGTCAATCACCCCAGCCAACACTGTAACTCCCTTCTTAGCCTGTTGACTTAAAGGTAGGAGGAGCCCAAAGTGTCCAGGTGGCAATGCTAACTTCCAGTTTAATGGAATCATTGTTGTGTCCCCTGGTGGCAGCATTCCTTCCTCTGGAACTAAGACTTCTAGGTCAGTAGAAAATAATGTTGCAGGAACAGGAAGCAAAAATTTTGCTAGTGGGTCAGTAGGGGTGATGGTGAGTGGTGCCACTTTCACTTCCACCCCTTGATTCCTAGACCTATTAATCCTGGCTATGGGAAAAACAGTACCATATGTTGGATGCTGGTTATTCAGAACACACACGGCCTTCTGGAGAACTGCAAACTATTGTCACCTAGTTTGCCCTGCAAACTGTTGTCACCTAGTTTGCCCTGCAAATTGTTGTCACCTAGTTTGCCCTGTAGACTGTTGTCACCTAGTTTGCCCTGCAGACTGTTGTCACCTAGTTTGCCCTGCAGACTGTTGTCACCTAGTTTGCCCTGCAGGCTGTTGTCACCTAGTTTGCCCTGCAGGCTGTTGTCACCTAGTTTGCCCTGCAGACTGTTGTCACCTAGTTTGCCCTGCAGGCTGTTGTCACCTAGTTGGCATTGTAATTGTTACTTCAAAAGGCCATTCCACCGTTCTATCAATCCAGCTGCTTCAGGATGATGGAGAACATGGTATGACCAGTGAATTTCATGAGCGTGAGCCCACTGCCGCACTTCTTTAGCTGAAAAGTGAATGTCTTGGTCAGAGGCAGTGCTGTGTGGAATACTCTAATGGCAGATAATACATTCCATGAGTCCATGGTCTTGGCAGAAGCATTGCGTGCAGAATAGGCAAGCCCATATCTGGAGTGTCTATTCCAGTGAGGACAAACCTCTGCTCTTTCCGTGATGGAAGAGGTCCAACATAATCAACCTGCCACCAGGTAGCTGGCTGATCACCCCGAGAAATGGTGCCACATCGAGGGCTCAGTGTTGGTCTCTGCTAATGGAAAATTGGGCACTCAGCAGTAGCTGCAGTCAGGTCAGCCTTGGTGAGTGGAAATCCATGTTGCTGAGCCCATGGGTAACCTCCATCCCTGCCACCATGGACACTTTGTTCATGGGCCCATTGGGCAATGACAGGGGTGGCTTGATAAATAGGCTGAGTGGTGTCCACAGAACAGGTCATCCTATCCACTTGGTTATTAAAATCCTCCTCTGCTGAGGCCACTTGTTGATGAGCACTCACATGGGATACAAGTATCTTCACGGTTTTTGACCACTCAGAGAGGTCCATTCACATACATACCTCTTCATCAAATTTCTTTGTCACCTATTTTCCAATCATGCTTTCTCCAAATCCCTGACCATCCAGCCAAACCACTGGGTACAGCCCATGAATCACTATATAATTACACACCTGGCCATTTCTCCTTCCATGCAAAGTGCACAGCCAGGTGCATGGCTCGAAGTTCTGCCCACTGGGAAGATTTCCCTTCACCGCTGTCCTTTAGTGATGTTCTAGAAAGGGGCTGTAGTGCTGCAGCTGTCCACTTTCGGGTGGTGCCTCCTTATCATGCAGAACCATTTGTGAACCAGGCCCTAGTCTTCTCTTCCTCTGTCAACTGATCATAGGAAACTCCCCATGAGCCCATTGGTGCAGTCTGGGGAAGAGAAGGCAGGGTGGCAGGAGTGGATACCATGGGCATTTGAACCACTTCCTCATGTAACTTACTTGTGCCTTCAGGACCTGCTTGAGCCCAATCATGTATATACCACTTCCATTTGATGATGAAATGCAGCTGTGCACGACCAACTTTATGGTTAGATGGGTCAGAAAGCACCCAGTTCATGATAGGCAGTTCAGCTGTCATGGTGACTTGATAATCCATAGTCAAACGTTCAGTTTCCACCAAAGCCCAGTAACAGGCCAAGAGCTGTCTCTCAAAAGGAAAATAGTTATCTGAAGAAGATTGTGGGGCCTTGCTCCAAAATCCTAGAGGCCTCCGCTATGATTCACCTATAGGGACCTGCCAAAGGCTCCAAAAAGCATCCCTATCTGCCACCTCATGCACCATTGGATCTGCCAGGTCATATGGCCCAAGTGACAGAGCAGCTTGCACAGAAGCCTGGACCTGTTGCAGAGCCTTCTCCTATTCCGGATCCCACTCAAAACTGTCAGCCTTTCAGGTCTCTTGATAAATGGGCCAGAGTAACATACTCAAATGAGGAAGATGTTACCCCCAAAATCCAAATAGGCTCACTAGGCATTGTGCCTCTTTCTTGGTTATAGGAGGGGCCAAATTCAGCAATTTATTCTTTACCTTAGAAGGAATATCTTGACAGGTCCCACACCACCGGACTCCTGGAAATTGTAATGAGGTAGAAGGTCCCTGAATTTCAGTCAGATTTATTGCCTGTCCTCTGGTATGCAAATATCTCACCAATAAGTCCAGTGTGTTTGCTACTTCTTGCTCACTGGATCCAATCAGCTTAATGTCATCAATGTAATGGACCAGTGTGATATCTTGCAGAAGTGAAAAGCGATCAAGGTCTTTCCGAATAAGATCATGACACAAAGCTGGAGAGTTGTTATATTCCCAAGGTAGGACATTAAAGACATATTGCTGGCCTTGCTAGCTGAAGGCAAATTGCTTCTTGTGGGCCTCATGAACAGGAATGGAGAAAAAGGCATTTGCCAAGTCAATGACTGCAAACCAGGTACCAGGAGATGTGTTAATTGGTTCAAGCAGTGAAACCACATCTGGTACAGCAACTGCAATTGGAGTCACCAATTGGTTAAGCTTACAATAATCCACTGTCATTCTGCAAGATCCATCTGTCTTCTGCACAGGCCAAATGGGAGACCTGAATGGGGATGTGGTGGGAATCACCTCCCCTGTGTCTTTCAAGTTCTTGATGGTGGTGCTAATCTCTGTAATCCCTCTAGGGATGTGATATTGTTTTTGATTTACTATTTTTTTAGGTATAGGTAGCTCTAATGGCTTCCATTTGGCCTTTCTCACCAAAATAGCCCTCACTCTACCAATCAGGGAACCAATATGGGGGTTCTACCAGCTGCTAAGTATGTCCATGCCAATTATACATTCTGGCACTGGAGAGATGACCACAGGATGAGTCTGGGGACCCGCTGAACCCACTGTATGTCAGATATAGCTAAAACTCCATTAATTACCTGACCTCCATAAGCCCCTACTTTAACTGGAGGACCACAATGACGTTTTGGGTCACCTGGAATCAATGTCAGCTCAGAACCAGTATCCAGTAGTCACTGAAATGTCTGATCATTTTCCTTTCCCCAATGCACAATTACCCTGGTAAAAGGCTGGAGGTCTCCTTTGAGAAGGATGGGAGAGAGATTCACTGCATAAATTGTCAATAATGTAGTGGGGTCTTTCCTCAAGGGGACCTGGCCTCCTCTTCATTCAAGGGGTTCTGGGTCTGTAAACTGGCTCAAGTCTGGAAATTGATTGAGGGGCCCTGATTCTCTGTTTTTATAATTCAAATTAGTCTTTTGTCCATTTGACCTAGAAGTTTTCTCCTTGTATAAATTAAGCAGGAATGCAGTAGGCTCCCTATCAATTTCACTTCTAGGAGCACTGTGATTAATTAGCCAATGCCAGAGCTCTACATGAGTCAGACTATTCTGATTGCTCTTTTGTCTCTGCTGTCCATTACAGTAGCCACACCAACCTTGTTTCTGATAGTCGAGTGCCACCACTAGGCTTCTGCTACCTCATGATCCAATTTTTCCCATTGTATTTAGATTTTATAGTTGAGTGACTGTGGTTCCCACTGTTAGATCTGACATACAGAGAGGAGCTTATGCCATATCCTTAATATTCATTCCCATGCCTGTTCTCCAGATTTCTGTTTATATAAATTATAGAACTCAAGCAGTTCTTTTCGAATGTAGCACACCTTCTCATGGGTCAACCTCATCTCTCGAAGCCTACTAGGACTTGAGTCTGGTTATAGGTCTAGAAGCAAACGGGGTATTGGGGTGGCTCCTGAGGAAAATCAACATTATTTTGCCTGGCAATTGCCTCAGGGGAGGCCATCACTGTTGCTTCAGGCAGCACAGAGTTTATCTCCTCAGGCAAAGGTGGAAAGACTGATGGCGGGATGAATCGGGGAGGAGATGCTGCCTCTACTGAGGATGGGGAAGGTGTTCTCTCTGGCAAAAAAGGTTCATCAGAGTTTGCAAACTCAGTGTCCCCAGGTCCATCAGGGTCCTCCCACACATCCCCATTCCAAGTTGCAGGGTCCCATTCTTTTCCAATCAATGCCCTCACTTTAACAATAGACACCTGGCAAGGCCATGCGTGCATCTTTCGTTGCTGGTCAGCCACTCGCATAATAAGAGCTTGAGTCTGTCTTTCCACAATTTCAGCTCTTTCTCTACAGGCGATAAGACTCTCAGGGCAGTCTTAGCAGATTTGAGGCTCAGTATCTGCTTTTGAAGCTGGAGGACAGAATCCTCAAGTTCATCATTTTCTTTCATCACTTTGTTCACTGAACTTAGGAGCAACCAACCAGCTACATTATATTCCTTGGTTCTCCACATATGGTCAAAAGTATTATGTATAGAGTCACTAAACACTAAATTTCTTGCCTCTCATGAGCAGTGAATCAGAAGTGTCAAATGCATTTATTTTGCATAACTCTCTAAACAGTTTATGCCAAGTACTATCAGCGTTCTCTATACTATTAGAAGTAGAGTCCTTAGTATTTTTGGGTCTATTCATAAGCAGCCAACTCCAGAAACCCCAAAACCAATGAAAGAACTTTATCCTTAATATTCTGTTCCTCTGTTCCTCATATATATATATATATATATATATATATATATATATATATATGAGTTTATTAAGTATTTACTTACACAATCACAAGATCCCACAGTAGCTGTCTGCAAGCTTGAGGAACAAGGATAGCCAGCCTGAGTCTCAAAACTGAAGAACTTGGAGTCCAATGTTTGAGGGCAGGAGGTATTCCATGCAGAAATATGTAGGCTGGTAGGCTAGGCCAGTCTCTCTCTCTTTCATGTTTTTCTCCCTGCTTTATATTCCCTGGCAGCTGATTAGATTGTGCCCACCAGATTAAGGGTGGATCTGCCTTCCCCAGCCCACTGACTGAAATGTTAATCTCCTTTGGCAACACCCTCACAGACACACCCAGGATCAATACTTTGCATCCTTCAATTCAATCAAGTTGACATTCAGTATTAACCATCACAGGTATATACTATCAATGTGATTTATGATTATTGGTATTGACCCTGGACACATAGCTAAAACAGTGTTTGTTATGTTTCTTTACTGTAATCTGTTTTCTTTTCCATTGTCTATGCTGTAAACTTTCTGTGAAAAGCCCTATGAAAAGCCAACATTTATGGAGTGGGAAGCTAGGCTTCCCATTTTATGGGATGGATTATCTTAATAAATTATTTGGATTATTTTCTGCAGGAAAGATTTGTCTTTTCTCTGACATTTATTAATTTATTCAAACATTTATGCCAATATGGACTGATATTTATTTTATACTGTGAGTTACGATACAACACTCTTTGATATATTGTTGCTCAGATTGTTTCAGCTTCAGCTATTGGGAACTTTTATAGCAGTTGGCTCCCTTTGACATAGATCTACAATGTATATGGTGTTTCTGGTTTGGGTTTTTAATAAATTTTTTTGCGTGCACTTTTTTACTCTCTGGCATTACAAAATGCTCCAGGCTTATCTTGTATAGTTCCTTTCCTGGCCTAGAATTAGCCATTTATCCAAGTATCTCTGTTTAATTTTATTTATTTTTATTTTTTGAGAATGGTTTTAGAAACCAAGATCTGGACACTACCTGTGCTCAATTACTGGACTGCTGTTTCTTCTGGGCCCTCTGATATGGTTTATTTGTATCCCCACCCAAATCTCAACTTGAATTTTATATCTCAGAATTTCCATTTGTTGTGGGAGGGACCCAGGTGAAGGTCAGTGAATAAGTCTCATGAGATCTGATGGGTTTATCAGGGGTTTCTGCTTTTTCTTCTTCCTCATTTTCTCTTGCTGCCACCATGTAAGAAGTTCCTTTAACCTCCCACCATGATTCTGAGGCCTCCCCAACCATGGGGAATTGTAAGTCAAATTAAACCTCTTTTTCTTTCCAGTCTCGGATATGTCTTTATCAGCAGCATAAAAATAGACTAATATAGTAAATTGGTACCAGTAGAGTGGGGCGTTGCTGAAAAGATACCCAAAAATGTGGAAGTGACTTTGGAACTGGGTAACAGGCAGAGGTTGGAACAGTTTGGAGGGCTCAGGAAAAGAAAGGAAAATGTGGGATTTGTTGAATGGCTTTGACAAAAATGCTGATAGTGATATGAACAATAAGGTCCAGCCTGATGTGGTCTCAGATGGAGATGAGGAACTTGTTGGGAACTGGAGCAAAGGTGATTCTTGTTATGTTTTAGCAAAGAGACTGGTGGCATTTTGCCTCTGCCCTAGAGATTTGTGGAACTTTTAACTTGAGAGAGATGATTTAGGGTATCTGGCAGAAGAAATTTCTAAGCAGCAAAGCATTTGAAAGGTGACTTGGGTGCTGTTAAAAGCATTCCATTTTAAAAGGGAAACAGAGAATAAAAGTTCAGAAAATTTGCAGCCTGACAATGCAGTAGAAAAGAAAAACCCATTATTTTGAGGGGAAATTCAAGCCAGCTGCAGACATTTGGATAAGTAGCAAGGAGCCTAATGTTAATCCCCAAGACCATGGGGAAAATGTGTCCAGGCCATGTTAGAGACCTTCATGGCAGCCCCTCCCATCACTGGCCTGAAGACCCAGGAGGAAAAGGTGGTTTTGTGGGCCAGGCCCAGGGTTCCCATGCTGTGTGCAGCCTAGGGACTTGGTGTGCTGTGTCCCAGCCACTCCAGTCATGGCTGAAAGGAGCCAATGTAGAGCTCAGGCTATGGCTTCAGAGAATGAAAGCCCCAAGCCTCAGCAGCTTTCATGTGGTCTTGAGCCTGTGGGTCCACGGAAGTCAAGAATTGAGGTTTGGGAACCTCCACCTAGATTTCAGAAGATGTATGGAAGTGCATGGATGCCCAAGGAAAAGTTAGCTGCAGGGGTGGGGCCCTCATGGAGAACCTCGGCTAGGGCAGTACAGAAGGGAAATGTGGGGTTGGAGACCCCACACAGAGTCCGTACTGGAGCACTGCCTAGTGGAGCTGTGAGAAGAAGGTCAGCATCCTCCAGACTCCAGAATGGTGGATCCACCGACAGCTTGCACCATGTGCCTGGAAAAGCTACAAACACTCAATGCCATACCATGAAAGCAGCTGGGAGGGAGGCTGTACCCTGCAAAGCCACAGGGGTGGAGCTGCCCAAGATCATGGGAAACTATGTCTTGCATCAGTGTGACCTGAACGTGAGACCTGGAGTCAAAGGAGATCATTTTGGAGCTTTAAAATTTGACTGCCCCACTGGATTTCAGACTTGCATGGGGCCTGTAACCCCTTTGTTTTAGTCAATTTTCCCATTTGGAATGGCTGTATTTACCCAATACCTATATCCGCATTGTATCTAGGAAGTAGCTAGCTTGCTTTTGATTTTACAGGCTCATAGGTGGAAGGGGCTTGCCTTCTCTCAGATGAGAGTTTGTACTGTGAACTTTTGGGTTAATGCCGAAATGAGTTAAGACTTTGGGGGACTGTTGGGAAGGCATGATTGGTTTTGAAACATAAGGACATGAGATTTGGAGGGGTCAGGGGTGGAATAATATGGTTTGGCTGTGTCCCCATGTAAATCTCAACTTGAATTGTATCTCTCAGAATTACCAAATGTTGCGGGAGAGACCCAGGGTGAGGTCATTTAATCATGGAGGCCGGTCTTTCTTATGCTATTCTTGTGATAGTGAGTAAGTCTCATGAGATGTGATGGGTTTATCAGGCATTTCCGCTTTTGCTTCTTCCTGATTTTCTCTTGCCGCTGCCATGTAAGAAGTGCCTTTTACCTCCTGCCATGATTCTGAAGCCTCCCCAGCCATGTGGAGCTGTAAGTCCAATTAAACCTTTTTTTCTTCCCAGTCTTGTGTATGTCTTTATCAGCAGCATGAAAATGAACTAATATACCCTCTCAGCTGACAAAGCATAGATATATGAGTATGTGCTAAGTCATTTATTTATATATATCCATAAATATTACACTATGTAACCATCTTTTAGTATACTCAGATTAAACTAATATGTTTAACTCTAATCAATTACCACATGGATTATTCTAGCCTCCTCCCCTTGCTTTCCTCCAACACTGAGAAACCTGCAGCCATCCACCAGGCTTTTACTTAATTGTTCAAAGTCAATGTAGATATGTAGCAGTATTAAAATTGTTAACACCTACCTTCATGGGGAACAGCTTTATCTACTAGAGCCCTGTCCTTATGTCCAGTTCTTTTTGCTTTTAGTCTTATGAAATCCACTTATTTCTAAAGTTACTTAAGTCAGCACTTTTACCTCTATCTTCAGAGTTTCATACATTTGTAATATACTTAGATTCATTTGTCAGAGTTTGCATTCCTTCCTAATAACCTTCTAAATTTTTATTTTTTAAATTTGCAAAAATTATAGTTCTTTTTGTTTTGTAAATCTTTATGAGTATCGACAAGTGCATAATGTCATATATACACCAGTGTAATATACAGAAATATTTCACTGCTGTAGAAAACCCCTGTGCTTCACATATTTATCCCCTCCCCTGCCACCAAGCCCTGGTGTCTTTTTATTGGCTTTTTATTGACTCTATAGTTTTTGCTTTTTCCAGGATGTCATATAATTGGAATCATGCCATATGTATCCTTTTCAGATTTGATTGCTTCACTTAGAAATCTGCATTTCAGGTTCCCCCAAATCTTTTTGTATTTTGATAGCTCATTGAATGTATGTGTCACAGTTTGTTTATACCTTAACCTATTAAAGGATATCTTGGATGCTTCTAGGTTTTGGTCATTATCAATAAAGCTGCTATGCATATTTGCATACAAATTTTTAGGTAGACATAAGTTTTCAAATCAATTTGGTAAGTACCTAACAGCGTGATTTTTAGATCATATGTCAGTCTGCGTTTAGCTTTTTAAGCCAAGAAACTGCCAAATTGTCTTCCAAAGTGGCTGTTTCATTTTGCAGTCCCACAAACAAAGAATAAGAATTCCTGTTTCTCTGAATCCTTTATAGCATTGGGCATTGTCAGATTTTAAGTATGTAGTGATATCTTGTTGTTTTAATTTGAAATCCCTTAATAACAAATTATATTGTATATATTTTTCATAGAAAAATGTGATGATCAATTTTATATGTCAGCTTGGCTAAGCCACAGTACTGAGATATTTGGTCAAACACTATTCTAGATGTTTCTCTGAAGGTTTTTTTTTTTTTTTTTATAAAATCAACATTTAAATCAGAACACTTTGAGTAAAACAGATTGTCCTCCATAATGTGGATGCACCTCATGCAATCAGCTGAAGACCTTAAGAAAAAGACTGAGCTCCCCAAGGAAGAGGAAATTCTGCCAGCAGACTACCTTCAGACTTGAACTGCAACTGTTCTCTGGGTCTCCAGCCTCCTAGGCTGCCTTGCAGATTTTGTACTTGCCAGCCTCTACAATAGTGTGAGGCAATTACACATGTACACACACACACACACACATATCCTGTTGGTTCTGTTTCTCTGGAGAACACTGACTAATACAATAATTAGCTATCTGTCCCAGTGATAAACATGAAAAATAATGTAATAATTTATTGGTAAACCTGGGTCAGTTTGAGTGACAATGACACTTAGACGTTCATTATAGCACATTTTTTCCTTATCAGTGTTAATAGCTCTTGTTTTATCTTTGTTTGTTTAGTATCTGACACTCATGTTCATCCTGGTTTAAACTCAGATATTCACAGACTCCTATCACAGTTTTAGAGAAAGAATATCCTTGGTGGTTCTTAATTTATGGGACTTGTAATTTTCTTTAGAGATACCAGAAGTAATTACTATAAAGTTCAAGAGCAATTTTTTATTAGGAAAAATGTTTCGTGACATTACCTAATGCTGTCCGTTAATGTAATACTGTAAAATACCTAATTCTATTTGACTTTAAGGCAGAATGATGAAAAAGAAGAATTAGGAACTGAGAGGTAAACCAGAGAATGTCTTTCGGATCCCTATTTTATTGTGTGGCCTTCGGTAAATTTCTGTGTCTATGGGTACTCCAGCTTCTTCACTTGTTTACATGCTATAATGGTTATTTTTATGCATCAACTTTACAGGGACAATGGGTGCCCATATATTTGCCTAAACATTATTCTGGGTTTGTCTGTATGAGGTCTGTTCCTAAATTTATTTATTTGCTTGTGGATACATAGTTGTTGCAGCACCATTTGTTGAAAAATACTCTATTTTCTTTATTATGTTGCCTTTGCTTCTTTGTCAAAGATTAGTTGATTATATTTATGTAAGTCCATTTCTGGGCTCAAATTCTGTCCCACGGACAGCTTTCTTTATTCTTTTGCCAATACCACATTGTCTTGATTACTGTAAATCTTGAAGTCACATAGTGTCAATCCTTTAACTTAGTTCTTCTCATTCAATATTGTGTTGGCTATTCATCTTTTGTCCCCTATATAAACCTTGGAATCAGATTTTTGATATCTACATAATAACTTGCTGGGATTTTTATTAAGGTTGCCTCAAGTCTATAGATCAAGTTGGGAAAAACGGACCATTTGTCAATATTATCTTCGTATCTATGAACATAGTATATCTCTCCACTTATTTAGTTCTTCTTTGATTTTTTTCATCAGTTTATGACCTTACATGTATTTTGTATAAATATGTATTAGATCATATATATATTTTGTTAGATTTGTACCTAAGCATTTCATTTTTGTGGGTACTAATGTAAATGACATTGTGTTTTAATTTCAAATTTCATTTGTTCCTTGCTTATCTGTTTTCCTGTTTAGAAAAAAAAATGCAGCTCACTGCCAGTGCTCATTTAATTCTGCATAAACACACTCTTTGAGGCTGAAACAAATCTGACTGATCTTCAATATGAAAATAAAATGTAAAACCTGTTCTTGGATTTATTTCTAAACAGAGCTAACATCAGAATTGTCTATTTCAGAAAAATCAGATTCATCAAATTATTCTTTGGCAAATTACAACTCAAGAACGATGTTAATATCGTGTGTAGGAATGCTATATTTTCTAGGATTTGACATTTTCAGTGATTGAGATATACTATATTTTCTAAGTGGAAATACCACTACTAAAAAGAGAATGCAATAAATAGAATGATGTCTTTTGTTTCCAAAGCTGATATACTCGAATGATGTGAAAATAATAAAAGCAAGATACTTTGTGGCAAAGTTAGCTTGGAGTAAACGCTGCAGCTGCAAACCCCACTGGTGAATATTCTTTGGGCAAATGAGAAAAGGATTATATATAGGAAAGTGATTGACATTTGTATCTTAATCTTGTGTCCTGCAACTTTGTTATAAACACTTATTTGTTCCAGGAGTTTTAAAAGATTCATTTAGATTTCCTATGGAAATGATCGTGTCTTCTGTGAACAAAGACAGTTTTATTCTTCTTTCCCAATCTGTTTACCTTTTTTAGAAAAAGAAAATTTGGATTCAGGGATTACATGTGCAAGTTTGTTATGTAGGTATATTGTGTGATTCTGAGGTTTGGGGTATGGATGGTCCCATCACCCAGGTAATGAGGATAGTACCCAGTATGTAATTGTTCAGCCAGTCTCCTCCTTCCTTCTGCTCTCTAGTAGTCTCCAGTGTCCATTGTTTCCATCTTAATGTTCCTGTGTATTCAATGTTTAGCTCCTACTTATAAGTGAGAACATGTGGTATTTGGTTTTCTGTGCCTGCATTAATTTGTTTAGGATAATGGGCTTTAGTTGAATCCGTGTTTTTTCAAGGAACATGATTTTGTTCTTGTTTATGACTGTATGGTATCCCATGATGTATATGGAACCACATTTTCTTTATCCAGTCCACCACTGATGGACATGTAGGTTGATTCCACATCTTTATTATTGTGAATTGCACTGAAATGAACATACAAGTGCATGTATTTTTTGGTAGAATAAATTAGTTTTTCTTTGGATATGTACCAAATAGTGGGATTGCTGGAGGTAATGGTAGTTCTGTTTTAAGTTCTTTGAGAATTCTTTAAACTTCTTTCCACAATGACAGAAATAATTTACATCCCCACCAACAATGTATAAATGTTTCCTTTCTCCACAGCCTCACCAGTATCTGTTATTGTTTGACTTTTTTATCATAGCTATTCTGACTGGTGTGAGATATTATTCCATTGTGGTTTTGATTTGCATTTCTCTGATGATTAGTGACACGGAGAACTTTTTCATATGTTTGTTGGCCGTGTGCGTATCTTCTTTTGAGAAGTGTCTACTCATGCCTTTTGTCTATTTTGAAATAGGATTGTTTTTTGTTTTTTGATTTGTTTAAGTTCCTTATAGTTTCTGGATGTTAGACCTTTGTCGGATGCATAGTTTGCAAATACTTTCTCCCATTCTGTTGGTTGTCTGTTTGCTCTGTTGATAGTTTCTTTTGCTATGAAGAAGCTATTTAATTAGTTAAATAGGAGTCACTCTTGCTCAATATTCTGGAACAGTTTTACCAGCATTGGCACAAGTTCTTCTTTGTATGTCTACTAGAATTCAGCTGTGAGTCCATCTGGTTCAGGGCTTCTTTTGGTTGGTAGGTTTTTTTTTTATTATTATTAGTGATTCAGTATCAGTGCTTGTTATTGGTCTTTTCCAATTTTCACTTTCTTCCTGGTTCAGTTTTGGGAGTTTGTTTCAAGAAATTTATCCATTTCATCTAGATTTTTGAATTTTTGCACATGTAGGTGTTCATAGTAGTCTCTGAGGAACTTTATATTTCTGTAGGATCAGTTTTAATGCCATTTTTGTTATTTCTGATTGCATTTATTTGGATCTTCTTTTTTCTTTGTTAATCTAGCTACTGCCTATCAATCTGGTTTATTCCTTTAAATAACCAACTCTTGGTTTCATTGATCTATTTCATGGCCTCAATTTCGTTAAGTTCTTCTCTAATTTTAGTTATTTATTTTCATCTTTTAGCTTTGAGGTTGGTTTGCTCGTTTGTGTTTTCTAGTTCCTCTAGGTGTCATGTAAGTTGATATTATTCTAACTTCTTTATGAAGGTGTTTAGCACTATAAACTTTCATCTCAACACAGATGGTCATCTTGTATCATATCTTGCAGGGCTTCTCTGTATTTCTTTAATGTGCATGTCAACCTCTCAGTCTCTAGTGAGATTGGTGAAATTTTCATGGACTGTATACTCAAATGTTTTTCAAAGTGCCTACTCTCTCTCCTTCTCTCTCTGGAATGCCAATGAGTTGTAGATTTGGTCTCTTTACATAATCTCATATTTCTCAAAGATTTTATTTTCTAAAAATTCTTTTTTCTTTGTTTTTGTCTAACTGAATTGATTCAATGAACCCATCTTTGAACACTGAGTTTCTTTTGTCAGCTTGGTCCCTTCCGATGTTAATGCTTCTGACTGTATTTTAAAATTCTTGTAGAGAATTCTTTAATTACAGAATTTCATTTTAGTTCTTTCTTAAAATGGATATTTTGTTTTTCAGCTTCTGGATAGTTTTACTTGACTCCTTGGATTCCTTGGATTGGGTTTCAACTTTCTCCTGCATCTCAATGAGCTTCCTTACCATCCAGATTCTGAATTCTATGTATATCCTTTCAGTCATTTCAATCTGGTTAAGAACCATTGCTTGGGGATATTGTGTTCATTGGGAGATAAAGTGACATTCTGGCTTTTTAAATTGTAAGAATTCTTGTACTGATTCTTTCTCATCTGAGAGGGCTGGTGTTCCTTTATGATGTAAGATGAATTAGAAACAGTTAGCTTTGTTTGTGGGTGTTTTCAGTTTGCTAAATCTCTGTACCGGATCCTTTATATATGGCTGGATTTTTGCGATAGGTTTCACAGGCTTTGTACACTGCCAAAATATGTTATTTTTTTTAATTGAAGTAACACTTATTTTACTTAATAGCGAAATATTTTTGGTGTTGTAATTTGGGCTGAAATCCAGTAGATGGTGCTTAAGAGTAATGGCTGGCAGTTCTTAGGCAGCAATTTTGTATTTCAGCACATCCATAGTAGTGCTTTGTGATAGTGGGAAGAGAGAGACGATGCCCTCACCAGATCCACTACTGGGCATCAGAGGAGCCCCTCCCCAATCACTGGTGCCATACCCGTGTTTCCTTTGTTAGGTGTTCCAGGCCTGGGGACTTTCTCAGGCAGAGGTCACAGCTGGCAGACAGGCTATTCCCTTCCAGAGAAAGGAGGCATGCCCTGTTCCCTGGCCAGCCCACAAACCAGGTCATCTCACCTCTCTGTGTTCTGAGAATGGAGGCTCCTCCCCTGCATGGGCACCACCCAAATGGGCAAGTCTTGCCTGCTAGGAGCAGTGGCAGGGTGAGGTGGGGGGCAGTCACACAATCTGCTGCCTAGGTGTTTCCCAGGGGAACACAGAGCTGTGCCCACCTGCAGCGTTCAAGCAGGGGTAGGGCCACTCTGCTGGAAGCCCAAGCCTGTGAGTCTGTCCCAGCTAGTTAGCAGCAGCAGGAGTGGGTGGAGTGGCACAGACTGACCTCCAGGTCTTTCCTGGGGGAACAGAGAGCTGTGCCTGTTGGCGGAGTTCATGAAGGGGTGGGGCTACTTTGCTGGAAGCAGGAGCTGAGCCTTGTCTGGCAAGAAGTGGAGCAGTCTGACTGCTTCCTGGCACCATGACTATGGCCTCCATCAGGGCTATGGCAGCTGGTTTTGGGCTGCCCAGGGATACAAGACCTGTGAGGCTTCCTGTGATTTTGAGTGGTGCCTCTGCAAAAAACTCCATGTGGATCTCTGTATCTGTCTAGAGGTCCAGGGGGCTAAAACTGGTTCTCTCATTCCCAGGATTGCACAGGTCCCTGTAGGGCATGTGAATCATCTGGGGATTCTTACTCCCTCACCCCTTTCCTGTGTTAGGGAGCTTCTCTTGGCTCCATGCTGGTCCCAGGTGGGTGACTGCCCAACATCGCTCGTCTCTGTTGTCTATGTCCCCTGGCTCCCTTGATCAATCCTAACATGATTTCTTAAGTGATCTACTTTAAGAGTTAGTATTTACTTTCCAGTTTGTTTCCTCTCCATGAGAGTGGCACACACTAGCTGCTTCTAGTCAGCCATTTTGAACTTCCCCTGTGTGTTCGAACTTTACTGTGTGTGCCTTATTTTCTTGTCTTATTACATTAACTAGTACATTTTCCAGTCCTTGTTCTCTTTGCTTTTCAGTTTTTGAACATTCTATCGATATATCCTGAAGTACAAAGATTCTTTTCTGAGCTATATCCAGTCTACTAATCAGTCCATCAATGGCATTTTAAAATTTTCTGTTATGGTTGTTTTTGATCCCTAGCATTTCCTTTTGGTTCATCCGTAGATTTCCATCTCTCTGCTAACATCACCCATCTGTTCTTGTGTGCTATCTACTTTATCTGTTAGAGTCCTTAGTATGTTAATCATAGTTGTTTTAAATTACTGGCCTGATAGTTCCAACATCCTTTTCATGTTTGGTTTTGATGCTTGCTATGTCTCTTCAAATTGCTTTTTTTGTCTGTTTCTTTTTTTGTATTTTGGTATGCCTTGTAGTTTTATGTTGATAGGCAGACATCGTGTACTGGGTAAAAGGAACTACAGTAAATAGGCCTTTAATAATGTGGTGTTATGATGTGGGGGAGGGGAATCATTGTACTGTGCTATGATTATGTATTAGTCTTTTAGTAAACTTATGCCTCTGACTGTTATCTTCACAAGTGTTTCTCAGCTTGCCACCCATCCTATCCCAACCCTTAGGTGGAACAGGATTACTAGAGTGGACTAGAGTTGGGTATTTCCCTTCTCACCGGTAAGTTAGGCTCTAAGAATAGCCCAGCAAATCAGGCTCTGGTAAACTAATTCTCTTGAGGGCAGGCCTTGTTAAGAACAGAGCGCTCTGATGTATTAGTATTTAAACATGGTTTCATTTTTCCTCTCCCTGCCCAAAGCATGAGGGGATTGTTCTCTGATATTTACTGTGAGAATTTGATTTCTCTCCTGGAGTTAAATCTTACAGCACTGTGTTCCCCTTCCCACCATGACAGGGTCCCCCTGGAGTTTTTGTTTGTTTATTTGTTTTGTTTTTTCTCTTTAATTATATTTTAAGTTCTAGGGTACATGTGCACAACTTGCAGGTTTGTTACATATGTATACATGTGCCATGTTGTTGTGCTGCACCCATTAACTCATCATTTACATTAAGTATATCTTCTAATGCTATCCCTCCCCCCTCCCCCCACTCAGATGTGTCCACATTAAGTCTTCAGCAATTCATCAATTACAGTTCAGATTTTCCTACCCCAGGACTGTTTCTTGCAGTAGTTTCCAGTGATGAGTCTTTGCTCCAGTAGGATGTGACTGCCTGTCTTTGCCTGTCTCTCCAGTTTTGGGAGCAGCAGTTAGCCCTATGTCCTTGCCTGTCTTACAAATGCAAGGAGAGTTGATTTTTCTGTATATTCAGCTTTTTATTTGTTGTTGGGACACAGTGGTGACTTCCAAGCTCCTTACATGCTGAATCAGAAATTATAAGTCTCATTATAATTGTTTAGGATAATAAAGCAATCTATTTTATGGGTAATTTGTTTCAATTAAATTAACATATTTCTATTACCATAAATATAAAGACTGTTGTATCAGATATCCTTTTTTTTTTTTTTTTGGCCAATAGCAGGTTAAATTTACTTATCCTACCTCAGAACCCACTGCAATATGTTGATATAAAATTGAACTGTGAAATATGAACACCCCAGTTATAATGACAGTCAAAATCATATACCATATAATCAATAAATAAGATAAAGTTATCCTCTCCTAGCCAATATGTGCTTTGAGCACATCCCCTGCATGTCCCTTTCCAAATCCCTTCACAAACTTACTACAATGCTTTTTGCAATGTCTTCAGTTTTTGCTTAGAAGTTGTGAGGTGCAAATTAATATCTTCTATTGTATGCTATGCTATACAGCCTATTCCATCCCATCCTATCCCATTCTATGCTATTCTGTTCTATTCTACCCATTCCATTTTATTTCAGCTCCATTTTTTAAAAGCAGTAGTCACAACTCAAATATATTTTATAGCCCATTAATTCCCTTTGATTTGCAGTTTTAAAAATAGCATGGTGTGTATGCTAAAATAATTCAAGCTGTTTCCAAATCTTGGAGTAAGAGCCATGTAATTACTTCTAATAGAAACTTTTCCTTATTATTAAAATAACACAGAATTATACCTTTACTGTACAGGTATCAAAACAGCTCCAGTGTTTGTTTTATAAAAATTACTTTTATGTGACTCCAATATGTATGATTGCTTCATTTCATTATTCATTGTTTGATCTACAAAATTTTTCTTCAAAATTTAAAAGAAGATAGAAAAAGACTGTTATACTGTCTTGGCCAGTTCTAATATGAATTGGGCACATTTTGCCACAATTCTTTTTTTTCTAGATCATGTATTATTCATATCTGTACCAATTAACTAGCCCCTCTCTTTGAACATGTACAATGTTCTTAAAAGGGTGTCATATAAAATTAAAAGAAAAAGTCTTGCTCTGTGCTCTGAAGAACAGTTCTGGAAAATAAATGTCAGCAATATGTGAGAAATGATTTTTCTAACTGAATTATAAGATACACTTGCTGAAAGTTCTCTGAAGATTTATTTATAATATAATAAGATAGATGCTTAGTGAAGAGATAGGACCTATTTGTCCATGGATTGCAGATTTTGAAATCAAACAAATTGGTTTATTTAGGTTATTTCTTTAGCATATTTTATTAGCCTGTGTAAAAAATAATATAGGATATTTTATTGAAAAGGGAGAGTTGAGGCATACTAAATTAGAAGGATTTGTTAAATATATTCTGATAATATATTTATTAAAATTATTATCACAAAATTAGATATTCTATCATTAAAATTATATAACAAATTGTACTGTTATACTTAGAGGTTTTTTTTCAGGGAGTAGTTACTTTCTTTGGTTAAAATCTTAAAGAAAACTAACTAAATAAATAATAAAGCTTGTATGAGGAAAGAAACTATAAGTTCAGCTGACAGTGGAAGAATTATTTTATTTTTACATTTTTCATTCATTTTTTTTCTTTTCCTGACAGCTTGTGGTCAGAGTTGTATTATTGTTTGTAAATTTTTTTTTTAATTTTAGAAGCAAGACTCATTGAAATAAATTTCCTATGAAGTATAGTTTCCATGGCAACTGTAACTGTCTTTTATTTTCACATGTACCATTTAGAATTAGTTGACAATAATTATAGACCACTTAAGCTAAAACATTTTCTGTACAGCAGAGACATGTATAAAGACAGGGTTTCAGAAAAATAGTTCTGGTTTAGAGAAACTTAAATTACTTGTTAAGAAAGACTTGATTTTCTTACTTAAGTAGATGACTGAAATTCTATCTAAATATCCAGTGTGAAGTTTGAGATGACTATTGAGATATGTCAAGGGACATTTTCCCTACTATAATTTTAAAATTCCATTTGTTACCAAAACTTTTCATTTCTCTTGTGCTGCGTATGTTTACATGCACATTCCTGACTTCTCAAATCTTCTTTAGTTCAATTACTACTTCTTTGGAAACAATTTGGGTATTGGGCAACAGAATAATGTAGAAAGTATGTGCATTAAAATTAACTTTTTTATTTACCAAACCTCTTAGACCATAGTTTTCTAAAGAAGGTAAAGCAAGGTTTCATATAATTGAAAGAACTGCCAATTAACTTGAGAAGGAAATCCATACGTTAATTAATTAAGTTGCATCATGCTATTGAAAGTGAATATATTTATTTATCTCAATGGCCTTCCAGAAGTTAATTTGTAAACATGAAATTATTTTTCAGTCATTGGATTATTACTAGTGTCCATTGAAACAATATTTCTCTGGGTGAGATGTTACCAGTTTAGAAAAGAAAAAAAATGAGATTTAGATGGTTGTAAAATCTCCCCCTGAAATACTTTTACTCATGCCATTTCTTTGTTCAATAATAAAGGTAAATAGCATGACAATGACAATCTTGTGCAGGAAAACTATGCTGTGCTTTAGTACACAACAAAAAGTGTGTTCTAGCATGTAAAATTATTCTCTGAGGTTAATATAGGCAGGCTAAAATTTTCTTTATAACTTTTTTACGATGCTGGGGTATAGTGGAAGCAATTATGTGCTTTGATGGAGTACTGTGGACAGTGGAAGAAGGAGCAAATGACCACAAGCTGCTGTCCAGAGACTAACTGCAACAATGAGGGCTCTAGTTTATTTCGCAAGCTCTTTTACTAAGCTTCCTCTCAGAAGAGGCCATGGGATTCATGGTGGGGCTACTTCTGAACCTGCATTAGCTCTATGGATTACCTGTGGTGGCAATAAAAAGGTACTTTTCATATCTCCTGCTGAATGAAGTATAATTGACTGACAGCCTGAGCTGTAGACCTTTTGGAGTATTAATGTAGAGGCATACCTTATTTTATCGCACTTTGCTTTATTGAGCTTCGCATGTATGTCAACAGCATGTGATCACATCAGGTCTCTGTGTCCAATTTTGGTAACTCTCACGATATTTCAATTTTTTAAATTATTATTATATCTAATACAGTGATCTCTGGTAAGTGACCTTTGATGTTATTATTGTAATTGTTTTGAGGCTCCACAGACCTCATCCATATAAGATGGCAAACTTAATAAATGTGCGCATTCTGACTGCTCCACCGACCAGCCGTTCTTCCTCTCCTTAGGCCTGAGGAAATGACAATATTAAAATTAGCCAATTAATAACCCTAAAAGGACCTCTCTAACTGTTCATCTCTCACTTTAAGTCAAAAGCTAGAGATGATTAAGCTTAATGAAGAAGGCATGTTAAAAGCTGTGATGGGCCAATAGCTAGGCCTTGTGTGCCAAAAAGTTAGCCGGTTGTGAACATGAAGAAAAAAACTATTGAAGGAAATTAAAAATTATATCCCTGTGAACACACACATGATAAGAAAGTTAAACAGCCTATTGATGATATGGAGAAAGTTTTAGTGGTCTAGGTAGATCAAACCAGCCACAACATTCCCTTAAGCCAGAGCCTAATCCAGTGCAAGGCTCTCCCTCTTTTCAATTCTATGAAGGCTGAGAAAGGTGAGGAATCTGCAGAAGAAGAATTTGAAGCTAACAGAGTTTGGCTGATGAGGTTTAAGGAAAAAAACTGTCTCCAGAAACTTTAAAACCTTTAATATAAAAGTTCAAGGTGAAGCATCAAGTGCTGATATAGAAGCTGCAGTAATTATCTAGAAGGTCTAGCAAAGAAAATTGATGGAAGTAGCTACACTAAACAATAGGTTTTCAATATATATGAAATAGGCATGCATTGGAAAAAGATGCTATCTAGGACTTTCATAGCTAAAGAGGATAAATTAATGCCTGCCTTCAAAGCTTCAAAAAACAGGCTATCTTTTTATGTATGTAGCTGATGATCTTCAGTTGAAGCCAGTACATATTTACCATATGAAAAATTGTAGGGCCCTTAAGAATTATGCTGTATTTATTCTTGCCATGCTTTATAAGTGAAACAAAAAAGCCTGGATGACAACATGTCGGCTTGTAGCATGGCTTACTGAATATTTTAAGCCCACTGTTGAGACCCACTGCTCAGGAAAAAAAAAATCCTTTCAAAATATTATTTCTCATTAACAATGCATCTAGTCACTCAAGAACTCTGCCGGATATGTACAAGGAGTTTAATGTTGTTTTTATTCCTGCTAACACAACACTGATTCTATATCCCATGGATCAAGGAGTAATTTTAACTTTCAAGTCTTATTACTTTAGAAATACATTTTATAAGAGTATAGCTGTTATAGTGATTCCTCTAATGGGTCTGAGCAAAGTAATTTGAAAACCTTCTAGAAAAAATTCACAACTTTAGATGCCACTAAGAACATTTGTGATTAATAGGAGGAGGTCAAACTATCAATTTTGATGGGAGACTGGAAGAAGTTGATTCAAAACCTAATAGATGACTTTAAGGGGTTCAAGACTTTAGCGGAGGAACTAACTGCAGATGGGGTGGAAATAGCTAGAGAATTCAAATTAGAAGTGATATCTGAAGATGTGACTGAGTTGCTGCAATCTCATGACACAGCTTGAATGGATGAGGATTTGCTTCTAATGGATGAGCAGCAAGAAAGTTGTTTCTTGAGATGTAGTTTACTCTTGGCAAAGATGCTGTGAATATTGTTGAGATGACAACAAATGATTCAGAATATTACAAAGATATAGGATAAAGCAGCAGCAGGGTTTGAGAGGATTGACTCCAATTTTGAAAGAAGATCTACTGTGGGTAAAATGCTATTGCACAGTATTTCATGCTATGGAGAATTCTTTGTGAAAGAAAATGTCAATTATCGATGTACATACTTCATTGTTGTCTTATTTAAAGAAATAGCCACAGCCACCCCAAGCTTCAGTAACCACCACCCTAATCAGTCAGCAGCCATCAATATTAAAGCAAGACCTTCTATCAGTAAAAAGATTTCAACTTGCTGAGGTTCAGATGATTATTAGCATTTCTTAGCAATAAAATATTTTTAAATTGTTAATACATTGTTTTTTAGACCTAATGCTATTGCACACTTAATATGCTATAATATAGTGTAAACACAATTATATATGCAGTGGAAAATCAAAACAATTTGTGTGACTCACTTTGTTGTGATAATCTCCTTATTGTGGGTGGTCTGGAAATTAACCTGTAATATCTCCAAGATGTGCCAATAGTCCCATTTCTAAAAAAAAGTAGGACTCCTTAGTGGGCTACTTTTTCTCAAGTGTTCTCCATCAAACTGGCTGAAGTTTCTTAGGAATGGGATGTAATCAGTGCTTTTCCCACCCCCCCCCCCCCCCCGCCAATTGTCCTCCTTCTCCCTCTTCTTCATAGCTGTCAGACCTGCATCATGGTCTGAAGATTCTTCCCACCTTCAATAGTTTCCTTCTCTTTATTATTCATAACCATTTTTCCACAAGTAAATATCTTGCACATAATCAATATTGTAAAAATCACCTGTATTGGCATCTGCCTCTCAGAGGACTTGAACTTAGAGTTTGGGGAAAAGATAAATAATTTGATATTGGATGTGCAAATTGCGAGATGTTTATTAGACATCTTTTGAATAGGCAGTTAGTTCACAAATCTAGAAATACAGTAAGTGAGAGGAAAGTTCTAATCTGGATGTAGGAATTTGGGAATTGACCGAGAATCAATGATACATAAGCCATGAAATCAGATGATTTTTGTCAAGGGAGCAGAATAAATGAAGCATAGAAGAGGACTGATGATTAAGCTCTGATTTATGACCTCAATTAGAAAAGATGACTGAACAGTGAAGTGGGGATTAAATTAGGAAGGCATGAAGGGCTGGAAGTCAAGTAAAGGAATTGTTTTAAGGAAGAATCTGTAATTAATCTTGCAAAATGCTGTTGATGAATCTGGCAATATGAGTTCTAAGAAATGATTGGATTTGGCAATGATGGACTCACTGCTGACCTTAAGGAAAAGTTTTACAGGAGTTGTAGGGGTGGTAGACTTATGTGAATTTTCCAGAAAGAATGAGAAGATAAACAGTGAATATACAAAGGGAGAGAGTGAGTATGGATACTGCTGTCAAAGAGTTTTGCCATAAAAAAGAGAAGAGAATTCGATGTTTTCTATTCTAGAGGATGAAATAGATTCAAGGAATTTTGACGGCTTGTTTTTTTTTTTTTTTTAATTTTAAGATGGGAAAAAAATCATGTTTGCGTGCTGACAGGAAGTAGGAAGCGGAAAATTTGATAATACAGTAAGAAGAGGGGAAAAGCTCTCTGTAGCAGCGTCCTGGAGTCGGAGATAAAGTGTGGATGGACGATCCAACCCTCGTAAAGTGAGGAAAGGCAGAGTTAATAGGCACAGATGGAGGTAGGTGGATAAATGTGGGTGATGACTCTTTTTTAAAAAATCTCTTCTGATTCTATTTTCTGAGTAAAAGCGGAATCCAAGGGAGGTGTTAGAGGTTTTTACTTGTCTCCGGATAGTGAATGGACTCAGGAATTGCCGTATGAGATTGCCTGGAAGCTTTAAGAACCCATTTGGGGTTGTAGGCATGAATGTAAAGTGAGAGCAGTCTGCAGGCATTGTGTTTTTCTTTGTAGGGCATGATCTGCTCTACAAGGGCAGGCACAAGAAGGCAGTGGATTGAATTTAATTAGGGTCAGGGTATTGCCAATTTAATACCAGGAAGGAAGAGAGGGGCACTAGAGTTGAAAAGGCAAGCAAGGGAGTGATTATAATATAATATAATATAATATAATATAATATAATATAATATAATGTAATATAAGCACAGTGAGAACATAAGGATGGTGAGTATCCAGGTTTCCCTGTCGTCCCTAAAAACGTACCAGGTAGGCAACTGCCGTTGATGAGTAAAGCTCTCCCTGTGTGACATTTGTCTTCCTTATATTAGTATGGCTTGGAGAGAGTTCTGGGGTGGTGATGCTTTGCAAAGAAAAATCATGAAGGAGATCATCAGAACACATCATTTGCCTGCTATCCAATATCTTGTTGGATCTGAACTGAAGGATTCATAAGACAGTTATTAATGGCTAATATTTCAAAAGAAGAGACTTTTCTTGTTAACATAATGTATCAATAAAAATATTTCTCAAAGTATTAAGCTTATCCAATGACAATGTTTTGCTTAGATAAATTGGGTCAGCATATATATTTTCTGCAACAGCTAATCAAAATATTTTAATAAGCATAAGAATTCCACATTAAAACACAGAACTGAGATTCCTACCTCAGTTATTTTTGCATCTAATCCATTATACTTGATACTACTTTGCATTAAAATGATAAATGCAACAATTTCTTGTATGTTATAGAAATAATATATACATAAAATAAAATATGAATATGTCACTCTTAATAGAGATACCTCAGTAATTTCTTAAAATTGCTTTTTTAGGTACTTAAGCATTGCCTATATGCATTTAAATGTCTGAAAGTAGTGTTTTCTAACAGGCAAAGATTTCATGATGAAGACACAAAAGGTGGTTGCAACGAAAGCAAAAATTGGCAAATGGGATCTAATTAAACTCTAGAGCTTTGTCAGAGCAAAGGAACCTATCAACAGAGTGAACAGACAACCTACAGATTGGGGGAAAATATTTGCAAACTATACATCTACAAAAGTCTAATATTCCAGCATCTATAAGAAACTTAAACAAATTTACAAGAAAAAAAAATCCCATTAAAAAGTGGGCAAAGGATATGAACAGACACTTTTCAAAAGAAAACATACATGCAGCCAACAATGATATGAAAAAAAGCCTCAATATCACTGATCATTAGAGAAACGCAAATCAAAACCATAATGAGATACCATCTCACACTAGTCAGAATGGCTATTATTAAAAAGCAAAAAAAAAAAAGCAGATGCTGGCGAAGTTATGGAGCAATTGGAACGCATATACACTGATACTGGGAGTGTAAATTAGTTCAGCCATGTGAGAGTGTGGCAATTCCTCAAAGACCTAAAAACAGAAATACCACTGGATCCAGCAATCCCATTAATGGGTATATACCCAAGAAATATAAATTGTTTTATTATAAAGATACATGCACACGTATGTTCAATGCAGCATTATTCACAGTAGCAAAGACATGGAATAAACCTAAATGCCCATCAACTGTAGACTGGATAAAGAAAATGTATGTATACACCATGAAGTACTATCCAGCCATATGAAAGAATGAGATCATGTCATTTGCAGGGACATGGATGGAGCTGGAGGCTATTATCCTTAGCAAACTAATGCAGGAAGAGAAAACCAAATACCACATGTTCTCACTTATAAGTGGGAGCTAAATGATGAGAGCACATGAACACATAGAGGGAAACAACACACATTGGGGCCTATCAGAGGGTGCTGGGTAGGAGGAGGGAGAGAATCAGGAAAAATAACTGGTGCTAGGTTTAATACCTGGGTGATGAAATAATCCGTGCAAAAAAACTCTCATGACACAAGATTACCTGTATAACAAACCCGCACATGTATCCCTGAACTTAAAATAACAGTTAAATTAACAAAGAAAGTGGCTAACACGGTGAAACCCCGTCTCTGCTAAAAATACAAAAAATTAGCCAGGCGTGGTGGCGGGCGCCTCTAGTCCCAGCTACTCGCGAGGTTGACGCAGGAGAATGGTGTGAACCCAAGAGGTGGAGCTTGCAGTGAGCCGAGATCGCGCCACTGGCACTCCAGCCTGGGCGACAGACGGACACTCCGTCTCAAAAAACCAAACCAAAACAAAACAAAGAAAGTAGTGTTCTCTAAATAGCTTAGAGAAAGACAATAATTCAATTATTTTATATTTTAAAAAATTAAATATTGTTTTATAACAATAATTCTTAGATGTTTAAAAAGTGTTTACTGTTTTAAAATAATGGGTTATAAAATTGGCAGAGTTCCTGCCTTGATTTTTTTACCTAAATGAAATTTGGTTTGCTTATATATACATTCATTGAATAAATAAAATGATATTTTATTTAACAGCAAAATTGAGTAAGCAATGATATTTTAAAACTTCTTTCTGAAGACCTACATCTTGACAACATTTATATAGCTAACAGCACATTTGTAGAGAAGATGTTTAGGATCCTCCATGATAAAAACATATATACATATGTATACACATAGTTTTTAATTTTTTTTATTTCCAACTACTATTTACTCTAAAGATAATATATTTTTAATCTAATAATGACTATAAGGTGTCACCACAGCCTTTTCTTAAAAGCACCATTCCACCTCTGAGAATAAGCTGATATTTTACTTAAGGCATATTGAACTTCTCCATGCACAAGAAGTTGGCTTGCCTGCCTAAAAAATAAATTTCTATGCAGAGCTTGTGTAGGAAGAATGAAATCTGCAATTTGACTTTTAGGAGTGTCGTTTTCCGGGTCAGGCAGATTGGTATTCAGCGCTGGCTCTGCCATCTATAGCCTGTGTGAATTTAGGCAAGTTTATACCTTTTAATGTTTCAGTTTCGCTGTCTTTTCCTCACACACCTTTGAACAGAATATTAACTACAAGAAAACAGGACCTAGTCTTGTTTAAGAAAGACTCCCTAGTCCCCAGAACACCAAAGATCCTTAATAAATATTTGTTGAGTTAATAAATATATAAAATATGTATTTTGAAGAGTATAAGAATAGTAATTATATAATAGGGATATTTTGAGGATAAAATGGCATAATACATGATGAATACAGAGCATAGTCCTGGATCAGAGTAACTATTCTTATTAGGGAAAGTTCTAGAAAAGCTGGAGTAAGTTTACCTTCTGTGTCTAACTTCTACTTTCCCTTCAGATTGTGGAAGGGATTTATACTATGACTAGTGGCCCTGTGCCACAATCTAGCACCCATGTATGTGTGTAAGAAGTAAAATATTTATCTTACTAATATTCATATCTCCTGAACCTTTTATAATATTTAGGAGAAGTGGAAACAAGTTAAATGAATTAAAGTACTTTAGCACACAATCTAAAACTCATGCCATCAGTGAAAATGTTTTCAGAGCTTAACCATGCATACCAGAAAACAGGAGGTAGTACATGCGATATTTCATTGATTTTAAGGTGCTTATTTTAAATTTTTACATATCTGAAATCCGGATGCATTTTACAGTTAATGGCATCTTACAATTGACTGGCATCTTTCTTTCTTGGTAGTGCATAGCATAATATGATGTCTTAAATAGAGTTTATGAAATACCTTATAGCTATATATTAAAGCAGTCCTCAATGTTTATTTCTTATCACCATTCACCCCTGGCAAAGAGCCTTCTAGGCTTTTTTCCCTAACATCTCACCCCCATGAAATGTTAATACCACAGATATACTCAATATGCTTATCTGTGTTTTGTAAATGAAGTGATAAGATTTTTTTTTCCTCAAGAACCAATTTTCTTCCCCTTGGGGGCTCTATTATATTGGAAATGTAGGTATTAAAGTGATGCATTCCTTGTTATTCTTAGGTTGTAGAATCTCATTTACTAAAATAATGGGAATCATGAGCTAGTTCTTAGCTTTAGAGGTTTTGGCTTTAATTATATAATACAATGTCTAGGAATTGTGTTGTTATGATGAATGTCAAAATGCCTGCAAAGTTTGAACATTTGCTATTTACCCCAACAATCAGAAAGCTGTCCATAGTATTTTTTTGTTAACAAGTAAAAGATCTTCAAGTTCATCCAGTGATGTCATTTAACATATATTTCCCATTTTATGAAATAAGATTATTTAGTAATTCCAGTGTAGAAATTTAGGATGTTCACTACCTCACTTTTACATATTCATTATTTTAAAGCCATAATGTGAACAATACATCCATAAAGAGACATTTAAAGACCATCTGATATTCATGAAATACTAAGAAATATGCTGTTTTATGCTCCACATACTACACTCAGTTGGGAGAATGAAGATGTGCAATTGTTGAAGTCTTTGTGTAGACTCATGTACTGCAATCTAAGCAGTTTTGGGATTCCCACCTCTTATAGTAATAATGGGATACAGAGATCAGTTCATTTGTGACCAGTGGTTTACATGAAAAAGAAGATAGGGATATAATCTCTGCCCATCAAATATGGGTTTTCTCTTGTAAAGCTAAGTATTATATTCAATAGCTTTAACTGATAGAGAACGGAGTAATTTATGTACTTGGATAATATCTTTAAATAGCAAAGTTGTTCAATATGTTCTTAAATATTTACTTATCTTTCTCTGGGCTATGCAGTTTACCTTCCATTTTTAAAAAATTAGTGGTGCAAAAAACTTCTAATGTTAGTGATACATAAAATCTTTAACTTTTTTGTATGTATTGCAATAACATTATTTTATATTTGACAATTCAAACATGTTTATATTGGCCCAGTTGTATTTGGTTGTGTTAATTGGCTATTTTGGACACTCAAATGTGTCAGAACACTGTGCAGTTGTTATAGGTGATGTGAAATATTCTAGTAGATGAAGCAATATATCAGCAAAAATTAATTAAGATGAGCAGTACTCTGAAGAGACTCATCATCAGAATACAGAAATCCACATCACTGCTTTATCATTTTAGTTAATTGTACATAGCTTTTGTAAATAAATTGAAAATTAATTCAAAACCAGAAATCATCTCCCCCGCTGCTCCTAGTACTTGCTCTTTCTCTGCCTTTCAGTCGCAGCATCTCCATGATACTCCGGGCATAGACATCTCTCAAGTTAACACTGATATATGAGTCAGTGGCTATATTCTTGGTAAGCTTCTTTAGGGCTTCACGCTGTCTAACAGCTGCTTCCTTGAGTTTCAAGGTGAAGTAGCAAGCAGAGAAGCGATCGTTAATAATAGCAATAGGCAAGGCCAAGACAAGAATTCCCGATAATATACACATGAAGGCCACGATTTTGCCTGTGGTGGTGTCTGGTCTAATGTCCCCATATCCCACAGTAGTCATAGAGGTGGTGGCCCACCACCATGCACAAGGGACACTTGTGAAGGTTGTGTCAGGAATGCTTTGCTCAGCAAAGTATTCTACAGTTGAAAATATAGAGATTCCCACGGATAGAAATAGGAGCAGTAGGCCGACTTCTTCGTAACACTGGGTGATTGTCATCCCAAGGGAGCGTAATCCTGCAACAGAACAAATGCTGTCAGTCATTGGCATCCCTCTTCTCTCTCTTCCTTCCCTCCCCTCCCCTCTCCCTCCTTGCTCTGCCACCCACAAACTGCACTGCACACTTAAATGTCCCCAGCACTGGGCAATGTTCTGGGGATACAAAGTTGATTAAATCATAATCCTTGTGCCAGGAAGTTCACAGTCTAGTTGATGGGGCCAGGTTGAGAAGGCTAGAGAGAAATATAATTAGATTCATTAATTCACCTATAGAATTATTGAACTTCTACTATTAAAAAGAAGGCGAGAGGTAAGACTGAAGGCAGGCAGGGGTGGTATGATAGGAGTTTTGTACTTTAGTCTGTACAATAAGAGGCCTTTGCGGTGTTGCATGTGGAGGGCATATTTGGTCACACCTGCATTTCAATGCATCATTTTAGCACTTGTTTCAAATGCCAGTTTTATGTTGTCTTGTATTTTATGTGTCTGTTTTTCTCACCTTCCTTGTAAAGTTTAAGACAATCAGGAACCTGATTACAGGAAAGCCAGAAAAAGTAAACAATGGGCACCATAGCAACAAAGTGAAGCAGCAGAAGCAAGTTAGGCATTGGTGATAAAATTGACATGAGAACATCACATGTATATTCAGGGGACATTCTCAGCAGTATGTCAGGAGGAGGTCTGAACTCCCAAGACACCCACTGAAACCCTACTCCTTAATACCAAAGCTGTAAGAAATTATCTCCCTTGAGTACATAAAATTTCTGCTTTCCTATAATAACATAGACCTGAATACAGAATATTCCTCCATTGCAAAAAGGTATGGGAAATGGAACCACTAGAGAATTTACTCTTTATGAAGCATTGGCTGCTTTTCCATTCCTAGATCTGAGGATTTATTAAACCCCAGGGAGACAGAACCACGATAGTCCAATTCCGTCTCTGAAGACACTAGGCCTAAGGGGAGTAAGAGCCCATTATGGGCCGGGCACGGTGGCTCACGCCTATAATCTCAGCACTTTGGGAGGCTGAGGCAGGCAGATCATGAGGTCAGAAGTTTGAGACCAACCTGGCCAACATGGTGAAACCCTATCCCTACTAAAAATAGCAAAATCAGCCCAGCGTGGTGGTGCGTGCCTGTAATCCTAGTTACTCGGGAGGCTGAGGCAGGAGAATAACTTGAACCTGGGAGGCGAAGGTTGCAGTGAGCCAAGATCACGCCATTGCAATCCAGCCTGGGCAATAGAATGAGACTCCCTCTCAAAAAAAGAAAAAAAAAAAAAAAGAAAGAAAGAAAAGCCCATTATGGAACCAGGCTTTGAATGAACCATAAGATTTATTCCCTAATACTAGAGAGGTGGTTATTAAAGTTTGTCCACATTTTGAAATTATATCAACATGATGTCAAAATGATATTGCCCCAGAAGTCCAAAACAATACCTCTTAGAATCATTTTTTGTTTTTATTCACTCACTAGAGACTATTTCAAAGGCATTAGCATACTAATCATACTCTTAGGATTTTGAATTTTGCTCTTCAAATTTTGAGATATTCTTGAATTATTAACCAGCTATTTTTAAAGATCATTGAGTATTTTGAAGTTTAACTTCAAAAGAGTATCTTTCAGAATACCTTTATAATACCTTTACTTTTATAAAAAACTGGCCTTGATGTGTCTACATGGAATTATGTTCCTTAAATAAATTCACAGCATATGAGGAGATGCATAGCATTTGTCTGGGAACACTGTTTTAGTTTAAAGGCAAAATGTTCAAAACAATTTTGTAAAGGAAAACAAAGTGGGTGGAATTTCTAGCATGTTATCTCTATTAACTCAGAGAATCTTCAAAAGAAAGGATATAAGAGGGACATGGTAATTGTTATGCCATTATACAGACGAGGAGGCTGAGGCATAAAGAGATAGCTTATCTAGTAGAAAGCTACAGAGCCAGGATTTAAACCTAGTTTCTGGCCAAAAACCCATTATCCTATAACATCTCTCAATTTGAATTTATAATTAATACATGGGGAAATAGGTCATCTATGTGTACATTTTAATAAATGTAGTGTTGAGGCAAAATTGTCAAATATGCAAGTCACATATTTTTTAATAATTAAGGGTTTACTAAAACTTTATACTTGTTTTAGAATGGTGAAAATCTTTGAAGAGGAGACATTGTGGAAATCACTGTTATTTTCCTTTTCCTTTCTTTTGGAAAAAAATGTAGTTTTTACTGGGTGTTTTTAAATTGAGTCTTGTGAAGAGTTTATAAATACTTGAAGAAAGCATCCCATTATCTGTGTCAGAAAACAAAGAGTGGTACTTGTAAAAGTTATTGGAAACCCCATTATCAAATTCCTGGTATGTGAGACTAGCTAGGAAAATACACTACCAAAATTATATTATAATAAGTTCTAATTGTCAGAGAAATGTTGAAGAAAAACATATCAGAAGTAATTTCACCTGACATTTATAGGAAGGACAACTACCATCAACCTTTTTTAGGTGGTCAGTCAGGGCACATATCTAGGGAAATAAAATAAGGATAGTGATATCTAGCCAATTTGTTTGTGCTAATATGTATTTGTATCAACATATATAAAATTAATATGGCATCATACTCCAGTGTTTCTCTAGGTTTGGTCCAAGAACCACCTACATCAAAGTCATTGGTGAACTTATTATTTATAAAATGTGTGCTCCTAGACCCGATCTCAAGCTTTCTGGGGGTTGGAGCCAGAAGCTGTATTTCAACAAGCTTGCCTGGGGATCCTTATTTTCATTAAGGTATGTCATAAGGAAACTCATATACTCCACAATATCTGACAGCTGCAAGGCCAGCCACTGATAACTACTACTGTTGGGGATGCAAGAATCATTTTTAATCAGTTCCTGTGATTTTCACTGATATTGATTATAATTTTCACGTATCTTATGTGTTTGTGTGTGTGTTATATGGAGACTTTTCTAGGAAAATATTAATTAGATTTTCAAAGGCTCTGTGATACACAAAAAACTAAGGGATTTCTGTATTCCCCTCTCTCATACATCCCAGGTTAGGGACAAGAAAACCTTCAGATACTAGATAAAGCATTTAATTAGTTTATTTTGCTTTCTCCCAAAGCAAAATATTTTCATTGCTTCTTTGAAAATTTTGGAAAGGCCACCTGCACCTAGTCATTTCTCTTTCTGCATGGCCAGAGAAGGCTCTGAAGGGCTGACTTTCTCTTCTGCCAAGGAGCATATGTGGCAAGCACTTCTCGGATACTGAAGAGAAATTGGCTTATGTCCCTATATATCATATATAATTTATGTGTATCTTTTTATGTGTCATTTATGCCTGTTTTGTCCAGAACCTTGAATAGGCAGAGTGCGTTTAATTTTTGTATATCTTCTGGGTAATGGTTTCAAATAAACTGAGGTTAGCAAATGGTCAAATTGTCTCTCAACATTTCTCTTATGGAGAGGAGGTATGTGAGAGCTCATTTCTCTATACCTGTGATAGCAACTTCAATGTTTTGCCTCCCAATATCTCCTTAGAGGTCATGATCAGGTAAAGTATGGGAGTTGGTAATTTTGAATATCAGTTCAGCGTTACTTTCCTTGTACTGTGGTCAAAAAACGAATGCTTACATGCAATGGCAAATTAAAAGGCATCAGTGAAATGTGAATACCTGTGGAATGTCTGCCCAGCTTTAGCATGCGCAGAGCCCTGAGCAGCCTCAACACCTGGACAATGCGCCCCACGTTCTCCAGCTCCTGCGTGGTCTGGCTCCCACTTAGGCTCTCTACCAGAAGAGTGATGTAGAAGGGCAAGATGGCAAGGAGGTCTATGATGTTTGGCACCTTTCTTAGGAAGCGACACCTGTCCCGCACACACAGGAAGCGGAGGACAAACTCCCCGGTGAACCAGCTAATGCACACATACTCCAGGATTTCCAGCAGCTGCAGGTCCAGCCAGCTTAACTCAGCTGACATCAGGGCCATGTTAATGATGGACACCACCACGAAGATAATGGAGATGACGCCAAAGATACGGGCAGCTGTGGAAGATCCAGGTTTCTCCAGGATATTCCAGAGCTTCTGGCGAACAGTGGGACAAGGTCCTTGGGAGAAGTCCTGTTCACTCTCATGTTGACTTTCCTGGTCTTCTGTGTCCTTCTTGAAGTCTAAAGTTTCACTCAGCTCTTTCCTTCTGAAGTATCTTTTAGAGAAAACAATTTGGTGATTAGTCTAACTTTATTAAAATACAGAAGTATAAGATAATTAAACATGGCAGGGAGGTCAGACTTTTTCATTCAACAAAATGCAGAAAAATGTCTATTCATATTTTACTTAGGTTGTGTCTTACCCACAGTATTCAGAATTTCTCCCTTAGAATTATGATTATTTTTCCTTTTTTTTTTTTTTTTGAGACGGAGTCTTGCTCTGTCGCCCAGGCTGGAGTGCAGCGGAGTGATCTCGGCTTACTGTAGCCTCCGCTTCCCAGGTTCAAGCGATTCTTCTGCCCCAGCCTCCTGAGTAGCTGGGATTACAGGTACGCACCACCAGCACCCCCGGGTAATTTTTGTATTTTTAGTAGAGACAGGGTTTCACCATGTTGTCCAGGGGGGGTCTCGAACTCTTGGCCTCAAGTGATCCACCCGCCTCGGCCTCCCAAAGTGCTGGGATTACAGGCGTGAGCCACCACGACCGGCCTGGATTATAATTTTTAAAATGACACTTTCTTAGTAGAAGTGTATACATAGTAAAGCTACTTTGGATTAATACATTTTATTACCCATTTTCTGGTAAGAACAGATGTTTGGCAGGTGGAACTTTTTTGTGTGTGTGTAAAGGAAATGTATTCATGAAGAAATGGTAGTAATAGCAAGGTAACCTCAGAGTTCCACAATCATTCAATCAAGGGACCAACCTTTTATCTTCTATATTTAAAACAATTCTCCATTCAAGTTTTTCAAAGTCAGTGTTCTAGGTTTGATAAATGATAATGCTGCGTGCCAAATCTTTTATCCCTATGCATGCATTTTTGGAGCATGGCGTTTCTGATTCATTTATTCAGTCACCAAATATTTATTGTGGGCCTGAAGTCCCTTGCCTTATACGTTAAATTAGCATACTCAAAAAAGGGAACAAAGAGATTCAAAAAGTTCTATTCAAAAGTTGGCGTTGATGCTTTCCAGTCCCCCACCCCCACCCCACCTGTCAGCCCAGAAGTGGCCACACCTTATTGCTAGGCCTGGCTCCAGCGAAGCTTGTGTAAAGCCTCAAATCTACCTGTGCCTTCCTCTCTTTCTCTGCCGCGCCCGCCTCCCCGCCCAGCCGCCGCGTGCCTCCGGGGTACCTGTCCCTGCAGCAGGAATCGATGCTGAGCTCATCGATGCCCCAGTACTGGATCTCCTGCAGGAAGGAGAGCGCGCACAGCTGCTCCATGACATGCAGGCGGCCGGTGCGGTAGTAGTGCAGGACATATCGGAACGCCTGCGAGCTGCGGTCGAAGAAGTACTCGTTGTCCACGGGGTTGGCATCGTCGCAAAGCTCCAGAGGGCTGGGCACGGCGGCCAGGGCCCCGGGGCGGCGGTAGGAAGCCACCACCACGGCCAGCTTGCCAAGGCGCGTGTGCGGGAAGCAGGACAGCGCCTGCTGCGAGAGCACGAAGCGGCTGCCGCCCACGTTGACCGTGAAGCAGTCCCCGAGCGCCAAGGGCTCCCCTTCACCCTCGCTGCAGAAGACACTAGAGTCCAGGGAGGTCAGGGAGCCGCTGTCCAGCGGCGAGTCCAGCAGCGCTCTGCCGCTGGAAGGCATCTCTAACCCAGTCGCCGCGGCCTGAGGGCGCCACAAAGTTGGGGACACGCCGGAAGCTTTGGTCCCGCGAGGGCGGTGGCACGGCCCCTGGTGGCGGCCGGGATTCCCCGGGCTCCCGAAGGGGTTACCTCTCCTTGGCGCACCCTCTCCACCCGCTGTGCGCCTTCCTCCTCCTGCCGCTAGGGAGCCGGGAGTGCGCGGAAGCAGCGCACAAGTGGCAGAAAGAGGAGACAGGGAGCAGAGGAAGGGTCGCGCTAAGAGAGAGGATCAGGTGAGGTCCAAGCCCGACACAGTCCCTGTGCACACTGCCGGTCGCCCTGGCCCTTCCCAAACGTTGTCACCCCGCCTCCCAACTTCGCAATTGCGATTCCCAGCCCAGGAGGTGTACAGATTGAATGACTCGCTACTTGGTGGGTGGAGGGGTTGGGGAAGGGAGGAAGGAGGGAGATGTGGGGCGGAGGAGGAGGAAGAGGAGAGAAGATGACTCTTAGCTGAACGCAAGCAAGCAAGCAAGCAAGGGGGATGGCGAGACTCACTCCTGCCCGCAGGAGACCAAAACAAAAAGTTCAGAAAGCAAAGGAAGTGGTAACCGGGTCCCTTCCAACTTGAGAATTTATATTCCTCCCTTTTCTTTTACTGCTGCTTCATAGGCCTCCCCCGGGGTGTTCGCTGGGGGTGTGAGCAGGTGGGGGAGGGTTCTCTGGGTGAGGGGGCCGCACCATTTTCTCCCAATTCACTCTCATTCTAGTCTGATGATCACTGACGCTCCATTTTCTTCCGCCGTCTCCCTTAGGTTCTGACCTCCTGGTTGAGAAACAAGAATAATTAATGATGACTTTTTATTGAAGACCCAGTGGGTCACTAAGAACTAGGAGTGTCACTGTCAGCTCCCACCCTGTCGAGGGTCCACCTCGTGTTGAGGCACTTTTTTGAGGCACCCTTCCTTTTAACCATTTCTGTCCCTACAAGTTTCCCGGAGAGCAGGTGTTCTGAGCACAGCGGAGCTCTCATTTTAGAAGGAAAGGCAAAAAGACAAGGAATAGAACAAGCGTGGGCTGGGGCAGGAATTTAAATAGTAACGACGGCCTCCCTCGGTAAAGGGAGAAGCCGAGGCCAGCGCCCAGGTGAGACTAGAAGTGTACCCACGGGGCCCCTGGAAGCTGCGCTCCAGCCAACCTGTTGGACTCGGGGTGAGGAGGTGGGGGTGGGAGGGAAGAGCAAGTGACTCACCTGCAGCTCCCGGCACATCTGGTCTGCGCACAACCGGCGCCGCAGGTAACGTACTCTTCTTTTGATCCTCTTAGTCTACACGTGAGGTCTGACTCGACCGGTCCAGGAGGGAAACTGTGTTCCAGCTGAGCTCTACCCAGCGCCTGCTGCCTTGCCTTGCCCCGCCTCCACCTCCCTCCGGGCTCCTGGCCCCTGCGCTTACGCTAAGCGTGTCCGCCCCGCCCGCTCTAGCTCTGAGAGCCACTCGCCCAGTGCTTCCAGCACCAGCAGAGGGGAGTGGCAGGATCTAAGGGAGGGAGGTGAGACGGCGGGGGTGGAGGCGGGGGGTAGTGAGGTGCCCGGTGACACTCAATATTACATTCATCCTGAATACACTTGCAGAATTACTGCATTTGATTCCCGTTTCCCCGGATCTGTGCTTTTGTAAATGCTCCAGAGCAAAATTTCCAACTGGATCAGTGTGCTAAACTTGAGGTTAGGGCAGTTATATTAACTGCTTCATTTGGCATGGTTCAAGGTTTTCACATTTTCAGCAGGCATCTCAGAATCATGCATTTTTCAAGTCTTTGCCAGAGAGAGTGAACCACACTCATCTTCGTTGTTTTCTAGTATGTATATATAGAATACATATTGGAAAGCATATATTATGGATACACTTACATATATAAGTATATATTAGAAAGCATACACACACACACGTATTAGGTAGTATATATAAAGACATAAGCAGGCAGCCTGATGTAGTAGAATAAGCTTTTTCATAGATTGGACAGAAACGTGACTGTTTAGTTCTAGCTTTGCCAACTGGCTGTGGGACGTCTAGCTATCATTTACTTTGAGGGTCTCAGTGCCTTCCTCAGTGAAATTTCAAGCTTTAATGAAAACACCCAACATTTAATGGGTGCTTACTTTATGCCAGGAAATTTGTAGGCTCTTTATTCATGCAGTACCTTATTTAATCATAATGACAACACTATGAGGTAGCATATATCCATTTTACAGAAAGGAAAAGTGAGGCACAGGGAAATTAAGTGATTTGCAAAGGGCCACACAGTTCAAATCAAACCCAGGACTACATGTCAGAGGCTGCCTTCATAAACAAAATTCTAGAAACATTATTTTTTGTTGATAAATCAGTGTGATTGTTTTTATTTTCTTTGTTTACAAGTTTCTAATGAAGGACAGGAGTTTAATGAGGTATTTTCATCACTCTTTCAACAAAAGTTTACTGAGCATTCACTATATACTGGCACTATTCAAGGTACTTGCGATGTATCAATGAAGAATAGACAAGATCTCTGTTGTTGTGGAGCTTATAGTAATCCTCTGAGAATAAATGGGGGACTTCAATAAACTTTTTTAAACTATAATATTTATAAGCATGGTTCTTTTGACAGCCATCCATTTGGTTAACTTTTCTCCTTAAAGAACTCTTCCATACAGTAAATACAGAAATGCTAGAATTATCCCAGTCAACAGTTCTTCATTCTGTATAGGTACTGTATCGTTATTATTTTTTAATGTAGCAGAGCTTTCCCCTGCACAGCAAGAAAACTCCTCCAGCATCTCAATTGTAGATTATATAGGTATTGAAAAAAAGCAAAAGGCCATAGTTCTGTTAAGGCTTATTCATACCATGATTAGCAATGAAAGTCTATACTAGCTTTACAGATTATGGTGAGGAAAGAGGAAAGCATTCAAAGGAGAATGCCAGCTTTAGGTGAGGAGAGAGATCTTGGACAGGTAACCAGAGGTTAGTGAAAGATGACTGAGGCTTCCAGGTCTCCTCCCCTGCCAGTAAGCCACTGAACCTCAGTTATGATGAATGTTGTCCTGTAGAAGTAGTTATAATAACCTCTCCTTAAGAGTCAGGCTGTTTGCTACACATCTGACTTCTCACAATGATCCTATGAAGTAAGCATTGTAATCCTTAGTTATAGATTTCAACTTGGATGCTTATAGGCACTAAGAAAGTAACTTTCTACCTTACATAGTGAATATGTAAAGGGGTATGTGAAAGGCTTGAAACAGGCCCTTTCTGACTTCTGACTCTATCTCAACTGCTAACAGCGTAAATGTTTCAATTGGGCACTGATTGTAGTTATAGCAATTTACACTCATCAAGGCAATCATAACTAGAGGGATGATTAGTCAACATGGAGTATATAAATATAAATGACCCCTTTTTAAAATATAGAGTCTTGAGTAATACAAATCCCCACCTGTGCTCTGTGCCCTTCCCTTAAGTCTGTTGATTTTCCTTCCTTGATGGCCCAGATTTTAGTAAGAGACTCCAAGGAAGAGCATAACATAGAATAAGAAGGGAAACATGTCCACTTGAAAGATACTTCTTTTAGCCCTAATCCTGACCTGAGGTATAACCTGAGGCATGTCAAAGGAGAACTGCTGATAAGTAGTTGGGGGTGGTGAGGTCTTGCTTTCCATTTCATTTCTACATAGCATAGGAGGAATGTGATTGTCATGTGGGAGGTTGCTCAGTACTGCAATGTGAAAACTCGACAGTCTAAAGGCTTTGGGTATATTCCCTAGTCATCAGATGTTATATTCGAGTGATTTTCCATTAAGACTCTTGTTATGAAATACTCTACTTGCTTTTGGCTTCATCTATCAATTCTACATGTATTGACTTGAATATGGAATCTCCAGCGACAACTAGTATTTTTAATTCTTTCCATTTTTATGAGTATTTTAAGTTTATTAATGAATAGTGTATATTCTTAAAAGTTACAAATAAGATCAAAAGAAAAATCATGGCATACTTTAAACGTCTAAATAACAGTTATGAAAATAAAAGTTAAAAGTCATTTTAAGCTTATTAGAAAATCCTACTGTTAAAAATATGTAACACTTCATTTAGGTTTTGAAGAAATCATGATGATATTTATGTTAATATCATATTCTGTTTAACTGTGATACTTTTGAACAATATATTATAATATTTCTGTGAAATCATTAATGATTATCTCTAATATGAATGTTTAAAACAATTACACAGCTATGTCATTAAACATTTTTAGGAAAATGTACATTCATTATTAATTTATATCCAAAATACTGCAAACTTTTTTTATAATTAGGTAGACATGGGAAATATAATTAATGGATAATTTTGAATAAACAGCTTTATAAAATTCAACTTAAGTAAAATCTAGATTTTTATTTTTAATTCCTTCACTGTAGTTTCATAGATTTACACTAAATTCCTTTAATTTTTATCATTCATCAACAATGCAGACAATGTTTTGTGTGAGGTATGCGTATCTTTGGCTCTGTCTTTGATTTCTCAGGAACTGACAACCAGATAGATGTACCAATTGTGATGATGTTTAAAAATGTCTTTGTGTGTGAACAAAGTGGCTTTATCTTTTTTTCCTTCATTGCATTGGGATATGTTTAAAGGTAAAAGAAAATATGACAAATTCTATCTATTCATCTTTCATGTGCCTTCTAGGCGCTTGGAATAAATCCTTCCAACTGTATGACAGCCCACTCTAATGCAGAATTTAGCTTAATGTGGGCTTGTTCTGGATTTCTTCCAAGGGAAGGCAATTATCTTTGGAAGTACCCAAGAAATCATTTTTATAGCCTAGTCTGCTACAGAGATAGCATGATGGGTTGATGACGGTGATGGTGAGGATAATAATATGATAATAATAGCTGTTGCCTTTATGTATTTAGTCCCTGTTCTGCCTTCTATAGGCTGCATGACCTTAACAAGTTTCTTAAACCCTGTAAATCTCATTTTCCTCATCTGTAAAATGGGGATAACAATAGTACTTTATGTTATTGTTTTAAACTTAAATGAGATAATCCATGTAGAATGTATAGTGCAATGTCATTCTTATCACTTTTATTATTGTTACATTTCAGGAATTTTTTTGTACTTCCCCCTACCCCCAAGGTCCTAACTAAAAACCTGCGAGATGATAGACATTATGTTAAGAACTTTACAAACATTATCTCATTTCCTTTATATTTTACATAACCCAACAATGAAGGTAATATTATGATTTTGGTTTTCCAGATGAGAAACCAGGATCAGAGTGTTAAAATAATTTTCCAAGTGTCAAACAGATAGTAGATGTAGATTTGAACACATTTGTTTGACTCAAAGCCTTTATTCATTGAAGGGCATTGATATAAAAATAATGTGATGATGAGAAATCACTGTTGGACATTTTCTTCTCTTCTTTACAAATAATTTTGAGAAATGAACATTTCTATTATATGCTCCAAATAATTAAGAAATGACTATACTTATCAGCAATAACCAACATATGACTGTGATTTCACATTTAAATAATTCAATTTTTTAAATCATCATTCTCCAAAGGAGATAGGCGATTGGATTGATCATTAAATGATTTTTCACTTTGTCACTACTATATACCAAAGACATTTTGAATTGTTCTTGAATTATCGAGAAATGCATAGACTCAGGACACTTATTGTTCACCAGATTAATTATTATAATTACGTTGAAATTAAACTTTTATAAACAAGATTTAGAAGCAGTGGAGCAAAAGCATCTCAAGTTCTCTGCTCATCATGTTCTGGGACCTGTTATGTGAACCCAATATTGAAGTTGAAAATTCCAATTAAACACTTTTTACTCAGCTCTATAGAGTTCCCTTATGTTGATAAAGAAAGGTGGAGTCATACGGAACCATTAAAAACTGTGGCTGTCATTTGAGTGTATATGATTCATTAATACTAGAAGTAAAATTGCCTTTAGACTTATTCTATTTAGTACTTTCCTTCATTATTAAGGAACTCATTAAACTTGAACTTTATCTTGTAATTGGAAGAAAGGCAACCTTTGCACTCCATACTGTTATGAGGTTTTTGTAGTTGTTGTTTTGAGACAGAGTTTCATTCTTGTCGCCCAGGCTGGAGTGCAATGGCGCGATCTCAGCTCACCGCAACCTCCGCCTCCCAGGTTTAAACGATTCTACTCGCGAGTAGCTGGGATTACAGGTGCCCGCCACCATGCCCGGCTAATTTTTTGTATTTTTTAGTAGAGACAGGGTTTCACTATGTTGGCCAGACTGGTTTTGAACTCCTGACCTCATGATCTGCTCGCCTCAGCCTCCCAAAGCGCTGGGATTACAGGCGTGAGCCACCGCGCCCGGCCCGCGAGGTTTTTAATGTTAATTTTCCTTGGTTTTCCCTATGAGAAGTGTATCACTCAGTAAATATTTATGGACATGTACTTTTACAATATTCAGGGGGTAGTTATGAGAATACACAGATAAAATATGTGTATAAAGTATCATATATCATATATACAATACATATGAATATACACATTCAACACACACATATGAAAACTAACATTACAGTTTATAATGAATACTAGTTTGGTTGATTACATTTTCTTACTCTATGCAAGAAAAGTAATGAGCAATCATTGACAATGCAAGGAAAATAGTAAAGACAAGCAAGAGGAAAGGCAATTTTTCTCTGCAGAATGGTTCTTAGATATATGGTATAGTCCTTTTAAATAGCATCTCCATGGCATTTTAAACATATAATCTAATAAAAGAAAAAAATATGAAGTAACTTTTTAGGACACATATGCTAAAATCTGTGCCGAAATATTTTTGTTAAACGAATTGTGAAACTATATAGAATACCTATTATTCTAATCTCAGTTTAAGCACATAGAACACTAATGTAAATATTATACATATTAAATCATTGCACACAAATGGGATAACCTCAATTCTGTTTTAACTCCCAAGGCAATGCTTTTTAAACTTAGCAGCATGTTCTACTTTCTTACAGTTTTCTCTTTGGTACCAAGAAAAAAAAAAAAAAAAAGGAATGTACACACGAATCTTGTTTTGTTGTTTTAAAAAAGAGCCCAGAATCAGTGCATGTATTCCAGAATATATTTTCTCTACACCGTATAATTATATTGATGGCAACTGAATATACAAATTTGTCATTCTTGCAACATGAAGAGTAGCAATGAGCCATATGGCTTCTCCTTTACACCACTGCATCTGATTGACATCTCAGTTATAGACTCAGCCTCACAGTTCTCCCACAAACAGATTTCCCGGAAATCTAAACCAAATGAGAATCCAGAGGGAAGTCAAAACATAGTAAATTTGTCACAGGCCTGCTTTTTTTTTGATTGCTATAAGGTCAAATTTATCCATTTTAGTACAAGCGAATGTTTTATTATTAAGGTGACAGCAAGAAATATCACGTTATACTTATAATTTTTTAAAAAATGGAAATAAATCTCAAATAATTTGTAAAAGAATAGAAAAAAATAAATAAGACTTTTTAAATAAATTTAAGAAATCATCAACGTAGTCATAGGTTCAATATTTATGATGACTCTGGGCCCCTTACTTTTAATAGCAGAAGCTTATGAAAAATTAAGAACAGATAATTACTGACTAAACAAGTGGAAAATTTGAGTATGTGTTTATATGTGTGTGGAGAGCAAGTATTTTAATTTGATTTTTAAAAATTAAGACATTGCCAGGTGGAGTGACTCACACCTGTAATCCTAGCAATTTGAGAGGCTGAGGTGAGTGGATCGCTTGAGCTTAGGAGTTCAAGACCAGCCTGGACAACATGGCAAAACCCTGTCTCTAAAAAAAATTTAAAAAATTACCTAGCCAGGCATTGTGGCATGTGCCTCTAGTCCCAGCTACTCAGGAACCTGAGGCTGGAGGATCACTTGAGCCCAGGGCGGTCAAGGCGGCAGTGAGCCATGATCGCACCACTGCACTACTGCCTGGGCGAAGAGCGAGACCCTGTCTCAAAAAATAAATAAATAAATAAATATAGGTATACTAAAATTGTATTTTATTACTTAATATTGTTCAATAAATAGGAAAGTATCAAAACAATTTTAAGCATAAGTAAGAAAAAAACACTTCCTATTTGAAAATGGTTAACTTTTGGCCTGCTTCACTTTTTTTTCATAATAACGTGTTAATAGCTGGCAATGTAGCTGTTTGTAAAATATTTATTGATGACTAGATGTAAAACAAAAAGCAAGTTTGGGTGTATTTGAACATACAGGTGCTTGGATAAGACTGTAGAAAGCAGTGTGTGGCCTCTGACAATGTCAGCATGGGCAAACATTGCCTGACATGGAAGCCATGTTTGCTTGTGAAATTATGATCCATGTTCATCATTTTTAAATCGTATTTGAATCAGCACTTGTCCCTGGAGCAAGAAGACTCCTAAAGTAAGTGCGCCTCTCTCCAATAAAGTGATAGAGATCACTTTCTTATAGAAGAAAAACTGGATGAAAACAACCATTTTCTTAACATCAAAGACCCCTTAAAGGGTCTAATCAAACCCCAGGGTCTATAGAGCACACTTTGAAAACTATTATTATAGAGAATGTACTTATTTTGACAATTTAAGTATAAGAATTAAAATGTTTACATTGCTCAGGAATGAAAGAAAGAAGTATAGAACTTGTACTCTACTAAAAAAGTTGTTCTCATGGCTTTAGGTTTTGAAATTATGGCTGTTATAGAAAGCAGCAGCGTTGAGACCGCTTTGCCCTCTTAAAAATTATTGAGGGCCCCAAAAAGGTTTTATTCATGTGGGTTATATCTTAATATTAACTATATTCAAATTAAAACAGAAAAAAATTAAAATATTCATTTATTAAATTATTTAAAAATAATAGTAACAAACCCAATACCTGTAAAGAAAAACACATTTTTGAAAATAAATATATTTGTCCCCCCTTAATTAGTGAGAAGAGTGACGTTGTTTTACAATTTTTCATATCACTTTCATATTTGACTTAATGTCTGCTTCTGTATTCAAACTGTTGCAACCTGGTATTTTGGTTGAATCTTATGCAGAAAACCAGTGTCACACAGATATGCAGTTAAAAAAGAGAGGGTATTTTGATAACTTTGGCATATATTTTACATAAATTTGTCTTTGATACTACTCCAGAACCTGACAGATTAGTTACAATATGAAGTCTGAAACTGTATCAATGAATTTCTCATACCCATTTACATTAAAATCCATGATCTATCCTGTCCTTGGAATGATTTCTTTTGAATCCATACATGATTTTGTTATGTCATGCACTGGTCACTTAGAAAATGGTTGTTTCTTAGATATGCAGACCTTCCCAAAGGTGACATATTTTACTAAACAACAACAAAACAATTACTTTTGTTAATGTTACCAATTTAATCAGACAATTTTTTAATGATTGGGAAGTTATCAAGCATATGGTAGTACAAATGTGTTTTCCAAAACTCGACTTTTCACTTGGAAGCTCAAATTTTATCATCAGCAGAAAAATATTGTTAGATTTCCTTGACGGTGACAGGTTCCATGCATTCATTTTTATGAAATTATTATAAACCTCTGAATAACCGTAGTTCATCTACCAGCCTTTTTTTTTTCAAGTGAAAATGGTGATCCATGGAAACAGTGGCTAACTCATTGTGCAACCCAAAACAGCCACACTAATGCTTTGTCGGGAGATAAGCATGTTACCGAGATATGCTGCAGAAGGCCTCCAGTGTACTTCCAATTTAGTCAAATAAAACATTAAAAAGACATGTACTCCATTACGAAATGTAATAAAATTTATTTTTCTTATTGTTCATTGGTAACATTATTAAGTGAAACTGGAATTTTATTTCCCGAAAGTATGTGAAGAACAGAGTGGCAGCTAGTATAGTTTGGTGCCACTGCTTTGAGGTGTGCTAAAACACAAGCAGTTGTACCAATCATTGATTTTCATCATCAGTGAAAACAGACTCAGTGAAAAACACAAATATTGTCTTAAAATAAAAAGAAATCAACCATTTTCTTAACATCAAAGACCCCTCAAAGGGTCTAATCAAACCCCACAGTCTATAGAGCACACGTTGAAAACTATTGTTATAGAGAATATACTTATTTTGACAATTTAAGTATAGGATTTATAATGTTTACATCATTCAGGAATGAAAGAAAGATGTATAGGACTTGTATGTTTTTCTTTGCGTGGTTTCAATAAAATGTTTCTTGTATCTAATATATCTTATTTAGAGATATATACACACACACACACACACACACACACAGAGAGAGAGAGAGGTGAGCATATGAATATTTACATATTGTTAGGCAGGCAGAAAAAATATGATTAATTTTACCTCCAATTGATCAGCTATTTCTTATAAACTTCTTCACCCTAGATATCAGGTAAATCCTACATTTTTAGTATAATTAAATAAATATAATCTAATCCAACAATTTAAATATTTCCTTTCGGTAATGCATAGTCTTGTGGGAAAAAAATGTTCAGTCTCTCAGATTTTTGGTATCCTTTCTACCCTTCTCCAAATGGGCAGTGAGTGGCCCAAAGAGATAATGTTTTCTAGTCTAGTCTAAGTGGGGTCAGTTGGATCACCGGTTAACAGGACTATTAGTCCAGCCTTTCTGGACTAATAGCTACTGGGGTATTTATGGGTATGAAGTCTAGAGGCCATTAGCTTTTGTTCTCTACATTCTTCCTCACTTAGGCCTGTTGCCATCGGCTTCAGGTTATAAATGGTTTATCAGGCCTCTCCAGCACCTCAACTCTGTATCTCCTTAGCAGTGTAAAGGGCCACTTCTATCTATCTTAGGTTTATCTATCTGTAATCTACTATTGCTTCCACAAAATGACAACTGCTTCATTGTGGCAGGGTATGGAGCATCTCCTAAAGCTTATAGCTTTTCACTAACACCAATTGCAAAGTGTTAACTCACATGTTCCTGGGCTGGCCAGTACCTTCTGGAAGTTTCTAAAAGCCCCTCCCTGACTTGCTGGGGTTTCCCATCAATGTGTATTTGTATTTATAGAGGATACATAAGTCCTGTAGCTGAGCCATAGAAAGACAAGTCTTATACGTCTTTCTTTCATTCCTGAACAATGTAAACATTATAAATCCTATACTTAAATTGTCAAAATAAGTGTATTCTCTACCTCTTCCCATCACCTATCTTTTTAAATAATTAGTCACGTGTTTTTTCCCTCTGCTTCTAAATTAGGGGTCCTCAATCAGGGTTAGTACTGCCATCTTAAAGACATATTTGGAAATGTGGTCATGGTGTTGATGGTGGGTGGTATCTTTACCTGTCACAGTGATTGGAGAATATTATTGACAAGTACTACCCTGGATCTATAGATGCTAAACATCTTTTACTTTATGGGCAATAAAGAATTGACATTTCCCAAATGCTAATAGCACTCTCATGAAAAACACTGCTCTAGGATACAAATTCCTCAGACTCCAGGGAAGAAAGCCTCACAGCTTAGCCATGGTCTCTATAACCAAGGCAACACGAATTAGTCAAACCTTCCCACAACCCTCCAGATGAAAGCCTTAGACTGACTGCAAGAAAAAAAAGTCATGGATCAGAAAAACGGAAGGTATTATGGTCATTTTATAAAGTATGTACATACATTAGACTTTTGAATTTGTAATCTTTTTTCTAGTATCGTTGCATAGAGATGACACATTAAGCACAAGAAATAATATATATATAAATATGCATATATTTAAAATCTACAGTAAAATAACACTGTTTTATTGTGATAACTGTTGAGAAGGTACAGACCTGGTTTCACTGAAGTAGACATGCTAATGGATGGACTGTGGCACACATTATAGAGATAATATGTCATACATACTCCGCAGCTGAACTTTTATCTAAAGATTCTGGGAAGACTTCATAAAAAGCTTAAATAACTCTTAAAATATCTTTGGTGAGCCTTCTCAGAGACAGAATATCTTGAACCATCTCCTTGCTAGTTGCCAGCTTTATGTCCAAAAGGGCAAACAAGATTCATTGTTTTCAGAATGGCTTTGCAGTGCTTTCATATCCACTTCTCTATACTTTATTCATCTGGTTCTTCTTTTATTGATTTAGTTTCTGACCACCTTGCATGTGAGAAGTTTGCATGTAAAAATAACTAAATGGAGTGCAAATAATTAATAAAATGTCCCTTAGTTATTTTTTGATATAGTTCATTCAGAATATTCCAAATCTTACTCTGTTTAATAAAATGTATATCATATGCATAATAGTCATATACAAAATTCCTAGAACTATTGATAAGCTTTGTGTTTTGGAATCAGAATTCTCTATAACTTATATGATATTGATTCTTTAGAAAATGTATAATATTGAAAGAATTCAAATTGCATATTTTTCACTGGAATGTGAAAAATTTGCCAAGGTAGATCCCCCCATAACTATCCTATAGTTTGCATTTAATTTTACTATTTTTTTTCTTAAAAATACATTTAGTACTGGGCATATTTCATGTCTGCTGAGAGCAACACATTTAATTTGACTTTTTCTTGGTAGAGAAAATTAAAGAAGTTGCATAATGAATATTTCTTGAGTTGTGAATTAATATGGAGTGATTCAGAATCTGTGAAAGCTTTGGAGATGTTTTAATTTCAGAAAAAGGCAATGATGTGTGAGTTATCACACAAGTTACAAAAACTATAACAATTTCCAGTACACTGTGTATACTCTAAATGTCTTCTGCCTCACAGCATGCTTGAGGTGAATTAGCTATTTTATTGACACCAGTATCATAAGAGAAGCTCATGTCATCTTTTAGAATTTTTGTATTTGATTGATCTCTTTTTTAGCTTTTTTGTAAAATGTCAAATTGAAAATAAAGATAGCCTCTGCCAGAAGTTGCGTTACCGTTGAAGTTTGTTTTGATTCTGTAGTGTAGTTTTTCTTTTGTTTTCAGTATTCACAATTTTGGTTACTATTTTACTGTTCATGATCTGTTACCCTTAATATGAATTTAGTAAATTTTGTTTGACATTTTGGATTCAAAGACACTGGTAACTCTGTAAAATGATTGTTTTTTTTTAGCATACTCTGAAATTATAACATACAGTTCAAATTTTTCATGAGCAATGCAGAACTGGAAACTCGTTCATACATTTTGCTCCCTGACACTTGTTCAGTAATCTGCAATGAGAGACAGATTAGATAGTTGAATCAGAAAAGTCACAGAAGTTTTTAAAAACTGACAAAAAAAAAGGAATGATAATCTAGCAAAGTTTTGTTTATTCACTGGAGTACAAGGACCAAGCTTAATGGACAGATGAAAAGGTTAATAGATGAAGACTTAGATGGGGTGCTGTGAATAGGTTGCTAAGCAACAGCATTTGTAGAATGTTCAACTAAGTATCAATCTATGAAACAAATGAAATAGGAGTGTTTTTCCTAAAGATAGGTAAGGAGGAAAAGGCAGAGAGCAATAAGGTCTATAAATTAAGACATCCAAACTTTTTTGTGGTGAAAGTTTGTTGTGTTTATGGGAATCAGCATATCGGAGGATTAAGTGAGGTAATTTGTGAAATATTTTGAGATGTAAGATTTATTTTCATTTTTACTTATTTATTTTTGTTTTCTTTCCTGGGCATAAAATACAAAGTGTTACTAATATTTAGCAATTGCTATTTGTGTGTTTGACTGATAAGAAAAAGAAGCAGTAAATTCTCAATAGTCATTTCTCCCTGGAACACATTGTAGACACAAAAGAGTCATTTTCCTTTTGATTTCATCCTCTATTCCAGAGACTGTCTTTCTTTAAAATTCATTCTAGACACAAAAAGAGCCAGTTGGTCTCTGATTACTGCACACCTGGCTTGCTTGATTGTGTTTCCTTGTAAGCATTCAGCGAATCTTATTTATTGCTTGAAACTGAGCTTCAGCACACTCTTAACAATATCTGTTCTCCATTTCTTACTTCGGCTCTTGCTGTCTCTGCTTCTGTTCACCATAGATATCACATGTCTGGGCATCCTTACCTTACCCATCATTCTCATATTCTTAACCCAGTGGGGTCTGAAGGTAGATCAGAGCTGCCTATCTTCTAATTTTAGTAACAGACTATTTTATTATTGATGAGGGTTATTTTCAGTATGTAGAATGTGTTTGACAACGACAGTCCTTCCTACTTGTTTTTGCTGCTCAGTGGTATGAGGTGGAAAAAGTTTGGATGAACTGCTTCTGTTAACATTTCCCAAGTCTTCTGGAACTCTATCAGGCTATTAAAAGATGTTCTGTAAAATATTTTCTTAAAAAATCAAATGTGTGTTTGCATTAAACAAAATTAAAGAGCTTCGTTTTCTCTCCAAAATATTTTTCTAATCCATCCTCTTCTCTACTTCCCCACTGTTATTCTAGTCTGAGAATCAACTCTTTGTGTCCATTAAAAGCTTCAGTGCTTCCACTCTTGATATCTATCAAATTCCCATAGGCTACATCATGACATTTGCACAATTTAAATTATGTAACACTGATCCCTACTTAAAAGCCTTTAATTCCTTTTCATTGCACACAGAATAAAATTTAAATTACTTTCCATGACCTTCAAGGCTTCTGCTCTTCTCATTGACCTGTCCCACCACTTATTTGTAACCACATGGTCTGGTCATTTTGATCTTCTCCTGCCTATCCCTTCTGTCTTATTTAGGATCAGTTATAAGATGGGGAAGAAAAGGGTATTTTTAATACCTAATGCCTCCTCATCTCTCACCAACACAACCATGTAAGCTCCAGGAGGATAGTGGTCTCACCTTTATTGTACACCACTGTGTTTTCAGAGCCTAATACAGGGCCTTTCACATAACTGGCACTCGATAAATGTTTACTGATTGCATAGACAATTATTTATTACAATTTTAATATGTTACTCTGCAATGTAGCAGTTCTTAAATTCAGGATTGGAGATATTTGTTTATGTGTGTGTGTTTATGTGCATATATATATAAATACAACAATTTACAAATAGATACTTCATATATATGTGTGTTCATATATATATACACATATATTAAACCAAAAATTGCAGCATACCAGGGGCCACTGTCTTCGTTAAGACTTGCTTATTGTTCTCTCTTAGAATATCGCAAAGATACATTATCTCTTCCTAGCAATGCTTTTTTTCTGGTGTAAATAATCTCCAGGAGGCTTTAAAGATAAGATTTATGTTATATCAATTATAATAGAATATAATCTGAAGCTCAGTGCTCTTAAATATCTTTCAGGAGCTTAGCAATACTGAGAAATATATTTCTGGAAATTTTCTTGAAAAATATTCAGCCCATTGTTAATCTAGTTATTCCATATTTTATACTTTGATTTAGTCAGGTCATTATCAAGACATTCACTGGGATCATACCAAATTGGTTTGATGCAGAATTTATTTTTAACTGAGTTACATTTTGGTTTATCATTGCTGCCCTATGTCAATGGGCCTTAAAATAAAGAGTCTTAAGCAGGTCATTGTTGTATTTATGAAATGATGTTGTTGAGGATGAGACCCATTCCATTACGTACTGTCCTCTCTGTTAGGATCTCCACTATACAACTTTCTTCACTCTCAAATAGAGGAATACTTGTTATCAATGGATTTGTTTTGCTCTATGAGCTTTGGAGCATAGAAGATTTATTCATGGAGGTTTGTTTTTTAAACATGATTAATATTTATGAAGTGCTTACCACAAGGTAGTGTTGTAGAAAAAAACGGGTTCTTGTTACGTGACAGACTCACAGACACTTTGAAGGGTGAGGAGGAATGGAATTTATTCAGCTAAAAGGAAAAAACTCAGCAAAGCAAAAGCGGTTCCTGTTAACAGGCCCCCATCTCACAGATTGAATCCCAGGTTACCACACAGGAACAGGAGAGGCCAGGCTTCTCCCCCATGCAAAGGGAGCAAACTTCCTGAGGCTCCACCCCATCCTCCCAGTGCATAGGCTATTGGGAGAACCTCTGGGGACTCCTTTTTACTTAGCTGTCTCACTAGTATCCTATAAAATATTTTATATGGATTATTCCATTTAATTCTCAGAATCCTATGATATGCATATTGTTATTAATCCTATTTTACAAATGAAGAAACTAAGAACAGAAAGAATAAATAATCATCCACAGTCATATAACTAGAAAACATTGCAACCAAATTGTGAACACAGCCAAATTCAGTAGATTGCCTTCCACCTGCATCTAGCTTATTTTTCTAAACTTTTTTTCTTTTGTCTTATTTTTTATCTGTTTAAGCAATCTTAAATATTTTTTGGAAAATGTGAAGTATAATGAAATAAAAAAGTGAGATACTAATCTGCCTTACCTGATGAGTATTATGTTCTATCACAAAGCTCAAATAAGTCTATAGGTAGGAATCGAAGGAGGAAGTATGAGAAAATACATCTTTGTTAATAAGCTATTTATCAACTATTATTCTTTTCTATGTTCATAATTTCAAACTTGACTGTGTTGTAAATTAACTTTCATTTCTCTTGGATTACTTTTTCAAACTGTACCCATAGGAAATCTAACTTGTTATGTTAGTAAAGATTAAACTATGCCTTATAGTCTTTCATATTTAGTCAATTATGATGAATGTTTGGTTTTCTACAGACTTTATTGAAATTAACAGTAACAAGACGTTCTAAGACGTACTAGAGAGTTAATTATCTTTTCAATTTATATCTACAATTAAGGCTTGCATTGACATTTAGGACTTCTTGTTTCTTAGTTTGCAAGTCACAAATTTTAATTGTATGTATTATATATGTAATTCAGCCTCAGTTTTGGAATATAAAAGCATTGCATTAAATATATGCGTCATTATTAGTTCAAACTGCTCAAATTATGGCTAGAAAACTTTTCTGATTTATCGATAAGACACCTACTATATAAAAATTTGAGAAGGTCTATATGTACATAAATCCCACTAAAATTCACACTACTAAAAATTCCAGCTACTGCATATTGAATATTCATCTTTAATAATAAAAAGTACACCCTTTTGTCTGAGTGCAGTGGCTCACGCCTCTAATCCCAGCACTTGGGAGTCCGAGGCGGGCGGAACATGAGGTCAGGAGTTAGAGACCAGGCTGACCAACAGGTGAAACTCTGTCTCTACTAAAAATACAAAAATTAGCCAGGTGTAGTGGCACGCGCTTGTAATCCCAGCTACTCAGGAGTCTGAGGCAGGAGAATCGCTTGAACCCGGGAGGCAGAGGTTGCAGTGAGCTGAGATCACGCCATTGCGCTCCAGCCTGGGTGACAGAGCGAGACTCTGTCTCAAAAAAAAAAGTACACCCTTTCAAAAGTTCTATTAGTTATGTTAATATCTGACTAGATCCACCACAACAGCACAATAAAAAATGAATCAAAGATATAGTAAATTTATCTTTATCTTAGGGCTCACTGCCAACCTTCTTCCTTTAAGCTGCTACTATATTTTTCATGGATTACCACAAAAGTTTTCTAACTTCTCTGTCTAAAATTTCACTCTTTGCCAATTTCTAACCCATTCTTTGCTTAGCAATCAGAGCAGTCTTTTAAAATGGTTTATCTGGCGATGCCATTCTGCTTAAAACTCTCCAAGGGCTCTGCATAACTCTCAAGATTCTTGCTTAATTTCTTGTCAAGACTCAAATAAAGTGGCTTAGGATCTAGAGTCTTCTCCCAGTCTCATCTCTTATTTCTTTTTTTTTTTTTTTCTGCCATCCTAAGCTGCCCCAATTCTGAGAATGAGTCCTGTTGTCTTTTGCATCTAGGCCTTCACACTCTCTAGGTAGAGCAACTTTCCTCTTCATTTTTACCTACCTGACTCTTTATGTTTCAACCTAGGTATTTCCTCCACCCAGTCTAAGCTAGGTGCTCCTTCTTTGTTGTCCCATATCCCCTATGAGTTTATCTCACCAGAGTGATTGCTTATTTACCCATCTGCTGTTTTTCATGGGAGACTGAGGTCCACTGTGGAGTCCTGATAAGATAGGTAAGCAACAACAAGGAAGGGGTCCCAGGTAAGGGAAAACAAATGCTCTGAGAAATGGCTAATTGCAAGCAACCTACTGGCACAACATCCTGTTCCCAAACACCTCTTTCTGCACGTAGCCTCTTTAGCACAGGCCTACAAAACTTCCCTCCAGCCCCTGCCTCTTTGCAGACAACCCCTTCTCTGCTGTGCTGCCTGTTGTTTCCCTTCAACATACTTTCCCTGTAATAAATCTTCCTTTCTTCACCTACGAATGTCTTGGTAAAATCCTTTACCACCCACGACGACACTGGCCCCAGCCAGTCGCACCTGCAACACCCACTTTAAAGGGAATGAGTGTTTTTAGTTCTTATTCTTTGCCTTTACTCTGGAGACAAGCACTTAATAGACACTCAATAGGCCCCTAGTATTTTTTTCAACAAATAAAGGGATTTTCAGATATTATAAATAGTATTTTAATACCTCCTTAATTTTTTTCTCTAAATATATCAGATTATTGATATAGCTGCCACTTGCACTGTCTCAACTTGAGTTCAAATCCTAATTCTTCTACTTAACAGTTGTTAGGAATAACGCTCAAAATCCTAAGGAAATTGAACATTCGTTCAAAGGATTCTTAAAAAAGCAATTTTACTTCTGCGCAGAGGGGTGCCTCCTTGGCCAGTCGCCATGAGAGCACACCTGAACAAAGGGACATGAGAGCCTTTATTCCTGATGCAAGTCCTGCCCCTGTACCCTTTCCTCGTTGGCTGGGGTCCGGTCGTACAATCTAAAGTAATCCCGGCTGGCTAAACATTTGATTTTTTTTTTTTTTTTTTGGATAAGGTGGGCATGTAAAAGAAAGTGGAGAGGAAGGGGAAGGGATGTCTGTAATGAGCTAGAAAGTTAGTCCTCTTTCCAAATAGGGAAAGGAAGGTGAGCTGGTACTGATAACGCCTGGTACTGTGGTGTGCCTGGGCATCTAACAAAGAAAAAAAGGAGAAAAAGGAGAAAGTGGGGCATGAATTAAAGGATAAAAGATTGATCAGATTATTCGAAGAGAAACCTCATCATATCCCACACAGTTCTGTATCTCTGGGCAAATCAACCAGTCTTAGTATTCTCATTTTAAATTCTAGAAAATAATGGTGCTTCCATATGTTAAAATAAAGTTTAGCTAAAGCTCCCGTCTTACATATTTTAGCTGGATGATGCTATGTCACATAAATCTTTAGTCCAAAATTTTGGCCTAACGATTTCTCCATACATAGTAAACTGTAACCTAAATGGACGTGTAAAGAGCCTGTAGCTTACTCTTGTACCAATCACAGAGTTTCAGTTAATCACAGGTATCCACCTGTTCTAAGCATATTCAATGATGTCAAATGCTGAACTGTAACCATCCTAGATGTTACTTTACCTAACTTCACTCTCCTTTTTCTGCCCTTTCATGTTACCTGATCATGCAGTAGCCCCAGAGTCATTCTGAACCTATTCTTCTTCTGGGGACTGCCTGATTTGAGAATTGTTCTTTACTCAATAAAACTCTGTTAAATTTGCCTTACGTTTTTAACACATAATAGGGTTGCAATGATTAGTGCTTGTGGTAAGACATAAAAACACTTAGCACACTGCTTGGCAACTACTAAGCATTTTTCTTATTATTATATCAGTTTTATTGTATGGCAAATAGTATAGCACAGGCTTTAAGAACTCTGACTTCGAGAACAGATGCATGTAGGTTCAAATTCTGGGCTGGGCTTCTACTAGATATGTGACTTTACTCTTTGGAAGTTTTCTCTTTTGTAAAATGGGAATAAAAATAATGCCCACATTGAGGGGTTGCTGTGAGGTTTAAAAAAAGGTAATACAAAGAAAAGCTTAGCACATTGCCTCACACACAATAGAGGCTTAATAAATGCTAGATACTGTTATTATTGTTAACAAATCGATGTCTCTCCTAAAATGGGGAATTCACTGAAGTCACAGATTTTTGTTTCATTCATCTTTGAATTCCTAGTGTAACCCAAAATAAAATTCTAAGGCACCCCAACCGTCTGAATGGACTTCCCCCTCGACCAGGGCACTTTTAGAATTTAACCTGAGAGACTGGTTCAGGCCATGATAGGAAGTGGGGTTCAGACAAGCCTCATTATACTACTCCATTGTTAACATCAATACAGACCTTTAAGTCTGATAAGAAGCATTTACAATCTATTCTGTATGATGCCCTTACCTGAAGGCTTCATCTGCATGATTAAACTTTGCTCTCCACAACCTCTTATTGCAACCCAGACATTTCCTTTCTGTTGATCCCAGGTCTTTAGATAAACCCAACCAATTGTCAACAAGAAAATTTAAATCTACCTATAACCTGAAAGCACACCACCCCTTCAAGTTGTCCTGACTTTCTGGACCAAACCAATGTATAAAACCAAGCTGCTCCCTAACCACCTTCGTTCCATGTTCTCAGGATCTCCTGAGGGTTGTGTCATGGGCTGTGGTCTCTCATATTTGGCTCAGAATAAATCTCTTCAAATATTTTACAAAGTTTGACTATTTTTGTCATCGCTAGCATCAGTATTTCACATTGGTACCTTGCATACAATAATGTGTCTACTTAAATAATAAAAATAGCCCCAAGAAGAGGAAAGCACTGAAGTGTCATTGTCCATGTACAGCTTTATGTGACATAGCATCATCCAGTTAAAGTTGGGGTACCCTAGAGATGGAAGCAAGATGTGGAAATATAATTTTGGAATGTAGAGACATTTCCAGTTAAAATAAACCTCTCTGATGACATTATCTTTAGAGAAACGAGTGTCAGGAGTTAAGAAAGAAATGCAGTGAGGTTAATTGAGAGAGCTTCAAGGGCAAATTTAATCTAATTCAAAATTTTAGCTATGATTAACCTTGGTGTGTAGTTTCAGTGCTAATCAAAGGAAACAGAAAAAAGGAATTGTCTAAGTAGGCTAGTTTTGCTGGTATTATTGTTTGATGACAGGAATTTCATAGAATAAGATAGTATGGCAAATGGGCCCAGTATGTTTTTCAGAGCTGAAGTCTATCTGATAGACTAGACGCCCCAGGGGAATATGCATTAATTAGTAAGCTATTAGTGACAATTGCTGCTAATTTGAGTCTTGTAATTGAAAGACTACAGAATGGTGTTGACAGCACTTTGGGGTAGGAGGAAATTTGAAACAGCTTTTCTATAGCTCATCTTTCTGTGATAGGAGACACGGTTATTTCATTTGAATGCATTATCCTTGTGATGGAAACTTCCTGTCTTCCTTTAAAAATGACAATCATGTATGGTCAAGAAATTAGTGAGAGATCTCTTCATAATTCAGTTTTGAATTTCCCATACATTTGTATATAAGAATACAAAATATACTTTTTTAATGCAGTCAGGTAAAAACTGAAGTTTTTTTGTGAGTTGAATCACATAATTACAAAAAAAGAAAATGCGCTTCTTTTTTTTTTTGGTGAGCTGACAGAGGACAAAACACAATAACTCAACAACGATACATGATTTTAAAAATCATACCTATAGATGTCATTCTTGCCACATAATGAAACAGAAGGTGAGTTCCAGTTCACAAAAGATAGTCTGAGGAGCTCCATGGATGACTTCTAGGGAAGCATCTAGAACAAGTGAAAATTATTTTAAAAATCAAGAATTTAATGTCTATGGAAATTGTCTTAAGTTCATAAAACAAATGGAGAAATATTTATTGAAAAAAATCTAAATCTTTGTAACAACACTGTTGAATCTGTGGCATTTGAACCACAACGCCCTTCCTCTCTGTCCCTTTCCAGTCCAGTGTGATGGAGGCTTTACTCTGGCAGGTATGGCCAACAAGATAGGGGCCCTCTGTACTCTTAGGTTCCAGTCAAGGGCTATGGTATCTCCCCACGAAAGGCAGGGCACCAGCATTTCTCATTACCCACAGCTCTGTGTTACAGAGGCCAAATTCCAGGTGACAGCATAGTCAAGAGTTCAGGATTTCCCTTCCTTCACTCCATCCCCACTTATAGAAGGGAAGCTTCACCTTAGTTGCCCCTGCAAAGCAGATTGAGAACACTGGAACCCCAAACACTCTTGCCACAGCTCACTTGTAGGTAGAGGTTTCATGCTGGGAGATACAATCCTAGAAGAACAAGGCTACTACCCCTGGATCATGCCCTGCTCATAAAGCAAGGATGTTGCTCTGAGAGAAGCAGGCTCTTTGCAGCAGTGGTTCAGAGAGGCAGTCCATAAGAATGTTATCTTTAGAGAAGATAGAAGAGATCCGAGGTACCCCGAGTTACTGGCAGGTCTGAAGCAACTTCACTCCTTGCCTCTTCGGAAGAAAAATTCACCTGAGGGGCATAAAGCAGAAAAAGAGACTAAGGCAAATTTCAGAGCAGGAGTGAAAGTTTATTTTAAATGGATATATATATATATATATATACATTTTTTATATTTTAAATTTTTCAAGACTAAGTCTTCCTCTGTTGTCCAGGATGGAGTGCAGTGGCACCATCTCAGCTCACTGCAAACTCCGCCTCTCGGGTTCAAGTGATTCTCCTGCCTCAGCTACCTGAGTAGATGGGATTACAGGTGTGCGGCAACCACGCATGGCTATTTTTTTTTTTTTTTTTTTTTGTATTTTTAGTAGAGATGAGGTTTCGCCATGTTGGTCAGGCTGGTCTCGAACTCTCGACCTCAGGTGAGCCACCCACCTTGGCCTCCCAAAGTGCTGGGATTACAGGCATGAGCCACCATGCCTGACTATATTTTTAATTTTTTTTTTTTTTTAGATGGAGTCTTGCTTTATTGCCCAGGCTGGAGTGCAATGGCATGGTCTTGGCCCACTGCAACCCCTGCCTCCCAGGTTCAAGCGATTCTCCTGCCTCAGCCTCCCAAGTAGCTGGGATTACAGGTGCCCGCCACCACGCCCAGCTAATTTTTTGTATTTTTAGTAGAGATGGGGTTTCACCATGTTGGCCAGGCTGGTCTCGAACTCTGACCTCAAGTGATCAGCCCGCCTTGGTCTCCCAAAGTGCTGGGATTACAGGCGTGAGCCACCGCGACTGGCATTTTTAAAAATTTTTGTATTTTTATTTCATTATTTTTTGAGTACATCCCTTATAACTTTTAAAATTTTATTTATTTATGTATTTACTATTGGTTATTGGAGTACAGGTGGTTTTTGGTTACAAGACTAAGTTCTTGAGTAGTGATTTGTGAGATTTTGGTGCAGCCATCACCTGAGCTGTATACACTGCACCCTATTTGTAGTCTTTTTTTGTTTCTTTTTGAACAGAGTTTCACTCTTGTTGCCCAGGCTGGAGTACAGTGGCGTGATCTTGGCTCCCTGTAACCTCCCCGTCCCAGGTTCAAGTGATACTCCTGCCTTAGCCTCTCAAATAGCTAGGATTACAGACAAGTGCCACCACACTCTGATAATTTTGTATTTTTAGTAGAGACAGGGTTTCTCCATGTTGGTCAGGCTGGTCTCGAACTCCAAACTCCCAACCTCAGGTGATCCGCCTGCCTCAGCCTCCCAAAGTGTTGGGATTACAGGTGTGAGCCACTGCACCTGGCCTGTAGTCTTTTATCTCTTGCCCCCCTCTCACCTTTCCTCCCAAGTCCCCAAAGTCCATTGTATCATTCTTATGCCTTTGCATACTTATAGCTTAGCTCCCACATATCAGTGAGAACATATAACGTTTGGTTTGCCATTTCTGAGTTACTTCACTTAGAATAATAGTCTTCAGTCTCATCCAGGTCGCTGCAAATGCTGTTAATTCATTCCTTTTTATGGTTCAGTAGTATTCCATCATATATATGTATATATGATATATATCACATGTATGATATATATATCATATTATACACACACACACATATTCCACAGTTTATTTATCCACTCCTTGACTGACGGACATTTGGGTTGGTTCCACGATTTAGAATAGGAAAGAAAGGAAGGTATGCTTGGAAGAGACCCAAGCAGGCACATGAAGATTAAAAAGAAAAAATATTAAAAAGATTAAAAAGAAAAAAAAAAGGGTGTTCAACCTTGATCCTAAGGCATTATAGGCTCATTTATTTCCCATGATTCTTCCCTTAGGGTGGGCTTCCTGCATGTACAGTGCTCTCTTTACCCTTGAGAACTGAGCTCATGCAGTGTGTTTAGGACGTGCCTGTCTGAGGCTTTCTTCCTTTTTCTGGTGGAATGCACCCAGAAGGTCATACTTCACCATTTTATCTCTTAGTGCTCATGCCCAGGAAGTTTTTTCTCCCTGGTATCTGCATTCAGTTAAGGCTTTCATGTTAGTAGCTGTGGATCATCAGGAAATGGCCTCTCTCTGGCACCCTGGGTGGGCTGCCAAATTATCATTTTTAGAGAGGCAGTGTGATAATTGTCAAACAGTAACCTGACATTCCTAATGGGTTGGGGGAGAGCCCTCTCCTGCCCAGCTCATGCTTATCTACTACCTGTAACAAGAACAGGGAGCTCCAAAGCTCACACAGAGTGTGAGAAAATTCAAACATAAAAGTACCTTAAAAAATAGTTGTGGGAATTGAGATGAGGCTGATAGATCCAAGAGAGCAAAAACCTAAACCTAAGGCTCGCTAGTTGACCAAGGAGAACCAAAGAAAGAGAAATTGGACCCCTCATTTGTGCTGGTGGGAATGCATAATGGCAAAGGTGCTTTGGCAAACAGACTAGCAGTTCCTAAAAAGATTAACAGAGTTACCCTGTGACTCAGCAAGTCACTGTTGTTACAGATGAAAAGAAAGAAAAACATGCCCACACAAACATTTTCATGTGTATGTTCATAGACATAAACAAAAATCAGTTAATCAACTGATAAATGGTTAAAGTAAATGCAACATATCAATACAAGAAAATATTATTCAATAACAATAAGGAATTAAATATTAACATGAATGAGCCTTGAAAACATGCTAAGTGTAAAAGTAGTCACAGAAGACCCTGTATTGCATGACTCCATTTGCATGAAATATCTACAATGGGGAAATTTATAAAGACAGAAAGTAGATTCTTGCTTGCATAAGGAGGAGAAATAGTGGGGAAAATAGGGGGCAGTTGATTTCCAGAGAGAATGGGGCTTCTTTCTGGGAGTGATGAGTGTGTTCTAAAATAGACTATAGTGATAGTTGTACAACTCTAAAACCCACTGAAGTGTATACTTTAAATGAATGAATTGTAAGTAATAGAATTGTATCTCGAAAAAATGTTATGAAAAAGAAGTGGAAACATATTCTTAAAGACAAAATGAGTTAAAATGGATTTTTTTTTCTTACCTGGTCAATAATTAATTGAGAGACCTTGTTTTTTCTGTAAAATCACACTGCTGAGGTCAATTTGTTTTTGTTTTTGTGGTTAGGGTAACTCTACAAGTTGGTACAGAGTGTGTGTATGTTTCTATTACCATAGGTTTGTTTGCATTTTCTAGATTTTTATATACATGGAATCATACAGTATGCATTTTTTGGTTTGTTTGGCTTCATTCTATAAGCATACTGTTTTGAGATTTGTCTATTTTGGAGAGTGTATTCACAGTTCATTTCAGTTTACTGAATAGTATGCCATTTTATGGATATACGATTTTTTATCCACTCAAATTTTTTTTAAAAAAAGGTTTATTTCTTACTGCTGTAATAGCATAAGCATGAACATCCTGCAGTTGAAATTGCAACCTTGTGGTGTGGAATACCCATGTGCTTACAATAGTGTTGCTTGGCCATATCCACTCACTTTCTGATGAACATTTAGATTTTTCTGATTTTTAGCTAATATAAATAAAGCAGCTTATGAGCAGTAGCATACAAGTCTTTATGTAGCTATATGTTTAATTTCTCTTGTTTCCAGAAGACATTCTACGTAGATAATGTTACTTATAAATAAAGAATGTTTTACTTTTCTGAAATGGATGTCTTTTCCTTTTTCTTGACATACTGCACTGGCTAGAACCTCTTGCAAAATACTCAGGAGAAACTAAGAGTGCAGACATCCTTAAATTTTTCTTGATCTTGGGGAGAAAGCATTCAGTATTTTACCAATAAGTGTGTGATAATTGTAAACTTTTAGTTTTTTAATTTATGTTTTTATTTTTAATTGATACATCATAATATTTATGGGATATGCATGATATTTTGATACATGTATACAATGTGTAATGATCAAATAAGGATATTTAAGATATCTATCACCTCAAACATTTATTGGTTTTTCTTGTGTTGGAAACATTTCAGGTCTTCTCTTCTAGCAATTTTGAAATATACAATATATTATTTTAAAATATAGTGTACTATTGAACAGGAAAACTCATTTCTTCTATCTAACTGTAATTTTATACCTATTAACCAACCTCACTTCATTCCCACTCTGATAATTATTATTCCACACTCTACCTCCATGAGATCAATTATTTTAGCTCTGATATATGAGTTAAAACATGTGCTATTTGTCTTTCTGTGCCTAGCTTATATTCTTTAACATAGTGATGTCTAAGTCCATCCATGTTGTTACAAATAACAGGATTTCATTAAAGTTTATGGCTGAATAGTATTCAAATGTGTCTACATACAACATTTTATTTATCGATTCATTGATGGACACTTAGGCTAATTCTATATCTTGGCTATTGTGAATAGTGTTGCAATGAACATGGGGGTGTAGGTATCCCTTTGATATACTGATTTCCTTTCTTTTGGACAAATATGCAGTAGTGGGATTGCTGCATTGTATGGTAATTCAATTTTTAGTTTTTTGAGATGATGCCATACTGTTTTCCAAATGGCCTTATTAATTTACAGAGTATAAGAGTTCTCTTTTCTCCACATCCTCACCAGTATTGGTTATTTTTTGTCTTTTTGAGAATAGCCAGGTAATGTGATGCTTCTCCCTTCATTCTATTTGTTCAGTACTGTTTTGGCTATTTGGGGTCTTCTGTTGTTCCATACAAAATTTATAATTGTATTTTCTATTTTTGTGAAGAATGTCTTTGGTACTTCAACAGGAATTGCATTGCTTGTATAGATTGCTCTGTCTAGTATGGCTACTTTAGCAATATTAATTGTTCCAATCCATGAGCATGGCATGTTCTTTATATTTGTTTGCTTCTCTTCAATTTCTTTCATCAGTGTTTTGTAGTTTTCCTTGTAGAGGTCTTTTATCTCCTTGATTAAATTTATTTATAGGACTTTTTTATTGTAGCTACTATAAATTGGATTGCTTTCTTGATTTATTTTTTAGCTAGTTTGTTATTGGTGTATCAAAACACTACTGATTTTTGGATGTTGATTTTTTATCTTTCAACTTTACTGAATTTGTTCATCAGTTCTAAGAGTTTCTTGGTTGAGATTTTAGGGTTTTCTATATAAAAGATAATGTCCTCTGTGAAGAGGAACAACTTTAATTTCTCTCTTCCAAAGTGAATGCTTTTCGTTCTTTTGCCTGATTGCTCTGGCGAGGACTGCCAGTACTATATTGAGTAAGTATGGTGAAAATGGGCATCTTGTATAGTTTCAGTTAGTAGAAGAAAGGCTTTCAGCATTTCCCAGTTCAGTATGATGTTAGCTGCAGTTTTGTCTATATGGCCTTTATTATTTTGAGGTATGCATTTTCTATGCCTAATTAGTTGAGAGTTTTTTTTATCATGAAATGATATTGAACTTTATTAAATGCTTTTTCTACATCTATTGAAATGATCATATGGTTTTTGTACTTCATTATGTTGATATGATGTATCACATTTATTGATTTACATATGTTGAATCATCCTTGCATTCCTTGGGTAAATCTCACTTGATCATGATGTATTATCTTTATGATGCTGTGTTGTCTTCAATCTTCTAGTATTTTGTTGAGCAATTTTTTGTCTATGCTTTTAAAATTTTTTATGGATACATAGTATGTGTATCTATTTATGAGGTATGCGATATACTTTGATACAGGCATGCAATAAGTAATAATCACACAATGGGAAATGGGGTGTCCCATCCCCTCAAGCATTTATCCTTTGTGTTACAAACAATCCAGTTATATTCTTTTAGTTATTTTAAAATGTAAGATTAAATTAGTATTGTATGTAGTCACCCTGTTGTGCTATCAAATAGTAGGTCTTATTCATATTTTCTAACTATATCTGTGTATTTTTGTGCCCAGTGACCATTTTCACTTCCCCCTCACCATACCACTCATCTTCCCAGCTGCTGGTAACCATCCTTCCACTCTCTATCTCCACGAGTTCAATTGTTTTGATTGTTAACACCCACAAATAAGAGAACATGTGAAGTTTGTCTTTCTGTGCCTGACTTATTTCACCTAACATAATGACCACCAGTTCCATCCATGTTGTTGCAAATGATAGGAACTTATTCCTTTTTATGGCTGCATAGTCCTCCATTATGTATATGTACCACACTTTCTTTATCCAATCATCTGTTGACAAAATTTAGGTTGCTTCCAAATCTTGGCTATTGTGAACAGTGCTGCAACAAACATGGGAGTGCAGATATCTCTGATATACTGATTTTCTTACTTTTGGGTATATACCCAGCAGTAGAATTTCTAGGTCTTATGGTAGCTCAAATTTTAGTTTTTTGAGGAACCTTCAAACTGTTCTCCACAGTGGTTGCACTAATTTACATTCCCACCAACAGTATATAACGGTTCTCTTTTTTCCACATCTTTGCCCAGCATTTATTATCTGAGAGATTTCATCATGAAGTGATTTGAAATTTATATTAAATGCTTTTTCTGCATCTGTTGAGATGATATGGTTTTTGTCCATCAATATGTTGATATCATATATCACATTTATTGATTTACATATGTTGAATCATCCTTGCATTCCATTTTAACTGGCATCTTTGTCAAAAATGAGTTTATTGTAGGTGTATTAGACCTTTATTGCATTGCTATAAAGAAATACCTGAGACTAGGTAATTTATAAAGAAAAATGTTTTAATTGGCTCATGGTTCTGCAGGGTATGTGGGAAGCACCATGCTGGCATCTGCTGGGCTTCTGAGGAGGCCTCAGGGAACTTACAATCATGGCAGAACATGAAGGCAGAGCAGGCTTATCTTATGTGCCCAGAGCAGGAGCAAGGTGGCCAGGCAGTGATACATACTTTTGAACAACCATATCACATGAAAACTCACTCACTATCATGAGGACAGTACCAAGTGGAAAATCCATTCCCATGATCCAATCAACCTCCCACCAGGGCCCACCTCCAACATTGAGGATTACAATTCAGCATGAGATGTGGGTAGAGACACAGATCCAAATGATATTCCACCTTTGGCCCCTTCCAAATCTCATGTCCCTCTCACAGATCCACTAGGCAGTGCTCCATAACACCACAAGGAAGACACCTAGGCTATGGCTTGCACCTCTGAATCAGCAGCTTGAGCTGTACCTGGGCCCCTTTGAGCCATGGCTGGAGCTGGAGTGGCTAGAATATAGAAAACAGTGTCCCAAGGCTGTGTAGGGCTGCAGGGCCCTGGGCCTGGCCTACCAAACCATTTTTCCTTCCTTGGACTCTGGGCCTGTGATGTGAGGGGCTGCCGAGAAGGTCTCTGAAATATCTTCCAGGCCTTTACCCTGTTGTCTTGGTATTAGCACTTGGCTCCTTCTTTTGACTTATGCAAATTTCTGCAGGCTCCTTGAATTCCTCTCCAGAAAATGGGCTTTTATTTTCTATCACATTCCAATCTTTTATGCTCTGCTTCCCTTTTAAATATAAGTTCTAGTTTCAGATCATTTCTTTGCTCATGTGTATGAACACAGGGTGTTAAAAGCAGCAGGCCATATCTTGAATGCTTTGCTGCTTATAAATTTTTTCTGCCAGATAACCTAAATCACCACTCTCAAGTTCAAAGTTTCACAGATCTCTAGAGCAGGGGGACAATGCAGCAAAGCTATTTGCTAAAGCATAACAAAAGTGACTTTTGCTCCACTTCCCAATAAGTTCCTCAACTCCATCTGAGACCACCTCAGCCTGGTCATCTCTGCCCACATCACTATCAGCATTTTGGTCACAACCATTCAAGTCTTTAGGAATTCCCAAATTTTCCCTCATCTTCCTGTCTTCTTGTGATCCCTCCAAACTGTTCCAACCTCTGCCCATTACTCAGTTCCAAAGTTGTTGCTGCATTTTCAGGTATCTTTATAGCAATATTCTACTCCTCAGTACCAATTTTCTATATTAGACCATTCTTCCATTGCTATAAAGAAATACCTGAGACTGGGTAATTTACAAAGAAAAGATGTTTAGTTGGCTCATGGTTCCGCAGGATATACAGGATCATTGCTAGCATCTGTTTGGCTTCTGGAGAGGCCTCAGGGAACTTATATTCATGGTCGAAGGCAAAGGGGGAGCAGGCCTATCTTATCTGGCCAGAGCAGGAGCAAGATAGAGGAGGGGGAGATGCCACACACTTTTATACAACCAGATCTCACAAGAACTTACTTACTGTCATGAGAATAGTACCAAATGGAAAATCCACACCCATGATTTAATCACCTTTCACCAGGCCCCACCTCCAACAATGGGGATTATAATTTGACTTGAGATTTGGTTGGGGACACAGATCCAAACCATACCAGTAGGTGTGTGGATTTATTTCTGGATTCTCTATTATGTTATATTCGTCTATGTGTCTGTTTTTATGCCAGTCCCATACTGATTTGGTTACCATAGTTCTAAACTATGATTTGTAGTTAGGTATTGTGATTCTTCGAGTTTTGATTTGGTTACCATAGTTCTAAACTATGATTTGTAGTTAGATATTGTGATTCTTCCAGTTTTGTTCATTTTGCTCAGAATAGTTTTGGTTACTCTGGGTGATTTGTGGTTTCATATGTGTTTCAGGATTGATTTTCTATTTCTGCAAAAATTGTTATTGGTATTTTGATAGGGATTGCATAGAATCTATAGATTGCTTTGTGTAGTATGAACATTTTAACAATACTGATCCTTCTAATCCATGAACATGAGATATCTTTCCATTTTTTTGTGTGTGTGTCCTCAATTTCCTGCCCAAGTGTTTTATAGATTTTATTGCAGATATCTTTCAGTTCTTTGGTTAATTTTTTGTATTTAATTTTATTTGTGGGTATTGTAAATAGGATTACTCTTTTGATTTCTTTTTCATATTGTTAACTATTGTCATACAAATATGCTTCTGATTTTTGTATGTTGATATTCTATCCTGAAACTTTACTGAAAGTGTTTATGAGTTTTAATAATTTTTTGTTGAAGTCTTTAGGTTTTTTCAAATACAAGATCATATCGTCAGCAAACAAGGACAATTTGACTCATTCTTTTTTAATTTGGATGCCCTTTATTTCTTTCTCTTGTCTGATTGCTCTAGCTAGGACTTCCAGAACTATGCTGAATAATAGTGGAGAAAATGGGCAAGCTGGTCGTGTTCCAGATCTTAGAGGAAGGGCTTTCAGATTTCCCCTGTTCAGTATAATACTACTGTGTGACAGCTACATATGTATTGTTGCATTTTGTTCGTTAGTATTTTGTTCAGGATTTTTTATTTTTTTCTGAGACAGAGGCTTGCTCTGTCACCCAGGCTGGAGGGCAGTGGCTCAATCTTGGCTCACTGCAACCTCTGCCTCCCAGCTTCAGGCAATTCTCCTGCCTCAGCCTCCAGAGTAACTGGGATTACAGGCACGCACCACTACACCAAGCTTATTTTTGTATTTTTAGTAGAGAAAGGGTTTCACCATGTTGGCCAGGCTTGTCTCAAACTCCTGACCTTGTGATTTGCCCACTTCGGCCTCCCAAAGTGCTGGGATTACAGGCATGAGCCACCGCGCCCAGCCCTATTGATGAATTTTGCATCAATATTCATTAAAAACATTGGCCTGTAATTTTCTTTTTTTGATGTGTCATTGTCTGGTTTTGGTATCAGGATAATACTGGGCTTGGAGAATGAGTTTGGAAATATTCTGTCCTCTATTTTTTGGAATAGTTTGAGTAGGCTTGATATTAGTTTTTCTTTAAATGTTTTCTTTAATGAAAGACTTTTTATTATGGCTTTGATCTTGTTAGTTGTTATTGATCTGTTCAAGTTTTGGATTTCTTCCTGGTTCAATCTTGGTAGGTCGTATGTGTCTAGGAATTTATCAGTTTCCTCTAGATTTTCTAATTTGTTGGCATATATTTGCTCATAGTAGACAGTAATAATCTGTTTAATTTCTGTAGTACCAGTTTTAATGTCTCCTTTTTCATCTGTGCTTTAAATATTTGGGTCTTCTCTCTTTTTTCTTAGTCTGTCTAAAGGTCTTTCAATTTTATCTTATCAAAAACCAACTTTTAATTTCATTGACCTTTTGTATTGTTTTATTTATTTCAAATTTATTTATTTATGCTCTGATCTTTACTATTTTCCTTTTACTAATTTTGAATTTGATTTCCTTTTGCTTTCCTAGTTCTTCAAGATACATCATTACTTTATTTGTTTGGAGATTTTCTTTTTTTTTGATGTATGAAGTTATAGCTATAAACTTCCCTTTTATTACTGATTTCACTGTATGCTATTGGTTTTGGTATATTGTGTTTCCATTACCATCTATTTCAAGAAATATTTCAATTGTCTTCTTAATTTCTTCATTGACCCACTGGTGATTCAGGAGCATATTGTTTAATTTCCATATGTTCATATATTTTCCAAAATTCCTATTATTGGTTCCTAGTTTTATTGCTTTCTGTTTAGAGAATATGTTTGATATTGTTTCAATTTTCTTTGAATGTTTTAAGACTTGTTTTTGTGGCCTATCATATGGTCTGTTCTTCGGAACGATCCATGTGCTGAAGAATATATATTTTGCACATTCTTTGAATAAAGAATGATGCTTGAATAAAGTGATCTGTAAATATCCATTGGGGCCATTTGTTTTATAATGCAGATAATGTCTAGTGTTTCTTTGCTGATTTTCGGTCTGGAAGATCTGTCCGTGGGTGCTTCAGTGTTGCATGCATATATATTTACAATTGCTATGTGCTTTGGCTGAATTCACTCCTTCATCATTATATAATGACTTTCTTTTTCTCTTCTTAGTTTTTGTCTAGAAATCTGATTTGTATGATATAAGTATAGCTACTCCTGCTCTTCTTTTTTCAATTGGCATAAAATATATTTTTCCATCTATTTTCAATCTATGTGAATCTTTAGAGATGAATTCTGTTTCTTATAGGCAACAGGTCATTAAGGTTTGCTTTTTAAAAAATCTATTCAGTCACTCTATGTATCTTGATTGGATAGATTAGACCATTTACATTCAATGTTTTTGTTGATAAGTGAGGACTTATTTCTGCATTTTGTTATTTGTTTTTGGGTTATTTTGTGGTCTTCCTTCTTTCCTTTCTTCCTTTTAGGGATGGTGATTTTTTCTGGTGGTAAGATTTAATTTCTTGCTTTTTATTTTGGTGTGTGTTATATGTTTTTCAATTTGAGGTTACCATGACACTTGCAGGTACTGTCTTATAACCTATTATCTTAAAGTCATGACAACTAAACACTGATTTCATAAACAAACATATAAAAAGAAAAGTAATAAAAACAGTACATATTAACTTCATTCCCACACTTTTTAACTTTTGGTTATTTCTCTTTATGTCTCATTGTACTATCTATGAACTGGAAAGTTGTCATAGTTGATATTTATACTTGGTTCATCTTTCAGTCTTCCTGCTTAACAGTATTTTACACACTATGATTGGTGTATAATATTCTGTGTATGCTATTACCAGTGAATTTTGTACCTCCGTATGATTTCTTAATGCCCATTAATGCTGTTTTCTTTCAGACTGAAGAACTCCCTCTACCATTTTCCTTTTTTGTTTTAAGACAGATCTGGTGGTAATCAAATCTCTCAGCTTTTGTTATCTGGGAAGGCCTCTATTTCTCCTCATGTTTAAAAAATTTTTCATCAGACTATTCTAGGCTAAAAGTTTTTGCTTTTAGCACTTTAAATATGTCATGCCACTCCTGGACTTAAAGTTTTCACTGAAAAGTTCACTACCAGATGTATTGGAGCTCCGTTGTATGTTATTTGTTCCTTTTGCTGCTAAGATTTTTTTTTAACCCTTGACCTTTGGGAGTTTGTTTTTTAAATGCCTTGAGGTAGTCTCCTTTGGGTTAAATCTGCTTAGTGTTCTATAACCTTTTTGTACTTGGATATTGATATCTTCCTCTAGTTTTAGGAAGTTTTCTATTATTATCCCTTTGAATAGACTTTCTATACCTTTTTCTTTCTCTACCTCCCCGTTAAAAAGAATAACTCTTAGATTTGTCCTTTTGAGGATATTTTCCAGATCCTATAGGTGTGTTTTATTCTTTTCTATTCTTTTTTTTTAATTTCCTCTGACTGTATTTTCCAGTAGCCTATCTTCAGTTTCACTTATTCTCTCTTTTGCTTGATCAGTTCTGCTATTAAGAGTCTCTGATGCATTCTCTAGTATGTCAATTGCATTTTTCAACTCTGCAATTTCTGCTTGATTTTATTTAATAATTTCAATCTCTTTGTTAAATTTATCTGATAGAATTCTGAATTCCTTCTCTGTGTTATTTTGTGTGTCTTCTTTTGAAAAGTGTCTGTTCATGTCCTTTGCCCACTTTTTAATGGGATTGTTAGTTTTCCTTTGTAAATTTGTTTAAGTTCCCTATAGATGCTGGATATTAGATCTTTGTGAGACAGATAGATTGCAAAAATTTTCTCCCATTCTGTGGGTTGTTTACTCTGTTGATAGTTTCTTTGGCTGTGCAGGAGCTCTTTTTAGATCCCGTTTGTCATTTTTTAATTTTGTCACAACTGATTTTGACATCTTTGTCATGAAATCTTTGCCCTTGCCTATGTACTGAATTGAATTGCGTAGGTTTTCCTCTAGAGTTGTTGTAGTTTTGGGTTGCACATTTAAGTCTTTAATACATCTTCGGTCAATTTTTGTATATGATGTAAGGAAGGTGTTATGGTTTGGCTCTGTGTCCCCACCCAAATCTCATCTCAAATTGTAATTCCTATGTATCAGGAAAGGGCTTAGTGGGAGGTGACTGAATCATGGGGGCAAATTTTTCCTTTACTGTTTTCATGATAGTGAATACGTTCTCATGAGTTCTGGTTGTTAGAAAGTGTGTGGGACTTCTCCCTTTGTGCTGTTTCTCCTGTCACTATGTCAAGAAGGTCCTCGTTTCCCCTTCTTTTCATGCCATCATTATAATTTTCCTGAGGCCTCCCAGTCATGCTTCCTGTTAAGCCTTTGGAACTTTGAGTCAATTAAATCTCTTTTCTTTATAAATTACTCAGTTTCAGGTAGTCTTTCCTTCCTTCCTTCCTCCCTCCCTCCTTCCCTCCCTCTCTCTCTCTCTCTTTCTTTCTTTCTTCTTCTTTTTTTTTTTTTTTTTTAACAGAATCTCGTTCTGTCACCAGGCTGGAGTTCAGCGATGCGATCTCGGCTCACTGCAACCTCCAACTCCTGAGTTCAAGAGATTCTCCTTCTTCAGCCTCCTGAGTAGCTGGGATTACAGACATGGACCACCACATCTGGCTAATTTTTGTAGTTTTAGTAGAGACGGGGTTTTGCCATGTTGGCCAGGCCAGTTTCAAACTCCTGACCTCAAGTGATTCACCCACCTTGGCCTCCCAAAGTGCTGCAATTTAAGGCATGAGCCACTGCACCTGGCCCAGGTAGTTCTTTATAGCAGTGTGAAAATAAACTAATACAGAAATATGGTACAAGGAAAGTGGGACATTGGAATAAAGATAACTGAAAATGTGGAAGTGACTTTGGAACTTGGTAATGGGCAGAAGTTGGAAAAGTTCGGAGGGCTTGGAAGAAGACAGGAAGGTGTGGAAACTCTTTAGAGACTTGTTGAATTGTTTTGACCAAAATGCTGACGGTGATATGGACAATGTAGTCCAGGCTGAGGTAGCCTCTGATGGAGATGAGGAACTTCTTTGGAACTGGCGTAAATGTTATTTTAGTTTTGTTTTAGCAAAGAGACAGGCAGCATTTTACTCCTACCTTAGAGATTTGTGGAACTTTGAACTTGAGAGAGATAATTTAGGGTATCTGGCAGAAGAAATTTCTAAGCAGAAAAGCACTCAAGATGCGACCTGGCTGTTTCTAAAAGTGTACACTTATATGCATAAAAAAAGATGGTCTAAAATTGGAAATTATATTTAAAAAGGAAGTAGAACATAAAAGTTTTGAAAATATGCATCCTGACCATGTGGTAGGAAGGAAAACCCATTTTCTGGGGAGAAATTCAAGCTGGCTGCAGAAATTGGTGTAAGTAAAGTGGAGCCTAATGTTAATAGCCAAGACAACCAGGAAAATGTCTCCAGGTCATGTCAGAGACATTCATGGCAGCCCCTCTCATCACAAGACCAGAGGGCTAGGAGGAAAAAATGGTTTCATGTGCCAGGCCCGGGGCCTCACTGCTCTGTGCAGCCTTGGGACATGGTGCCCTGCATCCCAGCCACTCCAGCTCTAGCCATGGCTAAAAGTGGCCAAGGTACAGCTCCAGCTGTTGCTTCAGAGGGTGCGAGCCCCAAGCCTTGGTGGCTTCCATGTGGTTTTGGGCCTGCAGGTTGCACCAAGGGCAAGAGTTGAGGCTTGGAAACCTTGGTTTCAGAGGATGTATGGAACCTCGTAGATATCCAGGCAGAAGTCTGCTGCAGGGGCAGAGCCCTAATGGAGAACCTCTACTAGTGCAGTACGGAGGGAATAGGTGGGATTTGAGCCCTCACACAGAGTCCCCACTGGGGTACTGTCTAGTGGAGCTAGGAGAAGAGGAACCACCATCTTCCAGGCCCCAGAATGGTAGATCTACTAACAGCTTACACCCTGCGCCTGTAATAGCTACAGACACTTAATGTCCACCTGTTAATATAGCTGTGGGGGCTGTACCCTTCAAAGCCACAGGAGTATAGCTACCCAAAGCCTTGGGGCCCACCTCTAGCATCAGTGTGCCCTGGATGTGAGCCATGGAGTCAAAGGAGATAAAATGAGATTATTTTGGAGCTTTAAGATTTAATGACTGTCCTGCTGGGCTTCAAACTTGCATAGGAACTGTGGCCCCTTTATTTTGGCCAATTTCTCTTATTTGGAATGAGACCCTTTACCCAATACCCAATGCTTATACCCTAATTGTGTCTTGGAAACAACTAACTTGCTTTTGATTTTATAGGCTCATAGGCAGAAGGGTCTGGCCTTGTCTCAGATAAAACTTCGGGGGACTGTGTTAAGGCATCATTATGTTTTGAAATTTGAGAAGCACATGAGATCTGGGAGGGGCCTGGGGCAGAATTATATGATTTGACTCCGTGCCCCCACCCAAATCTCATCTCAAATTGTAATCCACTTGTGTTGGGGGAGGGGCCTGGTGGAAGGTGATTGGGTCATGGGGGTGGACTTCCTTCTTGCTGTTTTCATGATAGTGAGTATGTTCTCATGAGATCTGGTTGTTCAAAATTGTGTGGCACTTCCCCCTTTCATCTCCCTCTCTCCTGCCACCATGTGAAGAAGGTCCTCACTTCCCCTTTGCCTTCTGTGTGATTGTAAGCTTCCTGAGGCTTCTTAGTCATGCTTCCTGTTAAGCATGGAATTATGAGTCAATTAAACCTCTTTTCTTTATAAATTACTATCTCTCACGTAGTTCTTTACAGAAGTGTGAAAACAGACTAATACAGAAGGCGTCTAGTTTCAATTTTCTGCATATGGCTTCACAGTTATCCCAGCACCATTTATTAAATAGGGAATTTTTTCCCCATTGCTTGTTTTCATCAGGTTTGTCAGAGATCAGATGGTTGTAGGTGTGCAGTCCTATTTCTGCGTCCTCTATTCTGTTCTATTGGTCTATGTGTCCTTGTAACAGTATCGTGCTGTTTTGGTTACTGTAGCCCTATAGTATAGTTTAAAGTCAGGTAGCATGATGCTTCCAGTTTTATTCTTTCTGTTTAGGATTTCCTTGGCTATGCAGGCTCTTTTTTGGTTCCACATGAATTTTAAAGTAGTTCTTTCTAAGTCTGTGAAGAATGTCAGTGGTAGTTTAATGGGAATAGCATTGAACACATAAATTGCTTTGGGCTGTATGGTCATTTTTAACATATTGATTATTCTCTAACCATGAGCATGGAATGTTTTTTTCATTTTTTTGTGTGTCATCTGTGATATTTTTGAGTAGTGGTTTGTAATTCTTGAAGAGGCCCTTCGCTTTTCTTGTTAGTTGTATTCCTAAGTATTTTATTCATTTTGTGGCAACGTGAATGGGAGTTCATTCATGATTTGGCTGTCAGCTTGCCTATTCTTGGTGTATAGGAATACTAGCAATTTTTTCACATTGATTTTGTATACTGAGACTTTGATGAAGTTGCTTATTAGCTTAAGAAGCCTTTGGGCTGAGAAGATGGAGTTTTCTAGATATAGGATCATGTCAGCTGCAAACAGGGATAGTTTGATTTCCCCTCCTCCTATTTAAATGCCTTTTATTTTTTTCTCTTGCCTGATTGCTGTGGCTGGAACTTTCAATACTATGTTGAATAGGTGTGATGACAGAGGGAAACCTTGTTTTGTGCTGGCTTTCAAGGAGAATGCTTCTAGCTTTTGCTCATTCAGTATGATATTAGCTGTTAGTTTGTCATATATGGCTCATTTTGTTTTGAGGCATGTTTCTTGAGTACCTAGTTTATTGACAGTTTTTAACATAAAGGGATTTTGAATTATATCAAAAGCCTTTTCTGAATCTATTGAGATAATCATATAGTTTTTGTCTTTATTTCTGTTTATGTGATGAGTAATGTTTATTGATTTGCATATTTTGAGCCAGACTTGAGTCCCGGGGATGAAGCCTACTTGAAGCTTTTTAATGTGTTGGTGGATTCGGTTTGCTAGTATTTTGTTGAGGATTTTCGCATCCATGTTAAACAAGGATATTGGCCTGTAGTTTCCTTTTTTGTTGTATCTCTGCCAGGTTTTGTTATCAGGATGGTGCTGGCCTTATAGGATGAGTTAGAGATGAGTCCCACCTTTTCAGTTTTTTGAAATAGTTTCAGTATGAATGGTACCAGTTTTTCTTTGTACCTCTGGTAGAATGTAGCTGGGAATCAGTCTGGTCCTGGGTATTTTTTGCTCGGTAGGCTATTTATTAGTGCTTCAATTTCAGAACTCATTATTGGTCTATTCAGGGATTCAATTTCTTTGTGGTTCAGTCTTGGGAAGGCGTATATGTTCAGGAGTTTATCCATTTCTTTTAGATTTTCTAGTTTATCGTGTATAGAGGTTTTTATATTGTTCTCTGATGATTGCTTGTATTTCTATGGTGTCAATGGCAATATCTCCCTCATCATTTCTGATTGTCTTTATTTGAATCTTCTTTCTTTTTTACTTTATTAGCCTAGCTAGCAGTCAATAAAAAAATCAGCTCCTAGATTCATTGATTTCTTTGAAGGGTTTTTCATTTCTCTATCTCTTAAGTCCTGCTCTGTTCTTGGTTATTTCTTATGATCTGCTAGCTTGGGGTTTGTTTGCTCTTGGTTCTCTAGTTTTTTGTTATGATGCTAGGTTGTTAACTTGAGATCTTTCTAGCTTTTGGATATGGACATTTAGTGCTATATGTATATTTCTCTTAACACTGCTTTAGTGGTATCCCAGAGGTGCTGGCACATTGTCTCTTTTTTTTTCTTATTAATTTCAAATAACTTCTTGATTTCTATCTTAATTTTATTATTTATCCAAAAGTTATTCAGGAGCAGGTTGTTCAATTTCCATGTAGCTGTATGGTTTTGAATGAATGTCTTAATCTTGAGTTCTAATTTGATTGCACTGTGGTCTGAAAGACTGTTATGATTTCAGTTCTTTCGCATTTGGGGGAGTGTTTTACTTCCAATTATGTGATCAATTTTAGAGTAAGTGCCACGTGGCAATGAAAAGAATATATATTCTATTGTTCTTGAGTGGAGACTTCTGTAGATATCTATCAGGTCTACCTGATCCAGAGATGAATTCAGGTTTTACATATCTTTGTTAATTTTCTGTCTCATTGATCTGTCTAATAATGTCACTGGGGTGTTAAAGCCTCCCACTTATTATTGTGTGGGAGTCTAAGTCTCTTTGAATGTTTCTAATAACTTGCTTTATGAATCTGGGTGCTCCTGTATTGGGTGCATATATATTTAGGATAGTTAGCTCTTTTTGTTGAATTGAACCGTTTACCATTGTGTAATACCCTTCTTTGTCTTTTTTGATTTTTGTTGGTTTAAAATCTGTCTTTTCAGAAACGAGGATTGCAACCCCTGTTTTTTTCTATTTTCCTTTTGCTTGGTAATTTTTCTTCCATCTCTTTATTTTGAGCCTATGTGGTCTTTGTATGTGAGATGGGTCTTTTGAAGACAGCATACTGGTGGGTCTTGATTCTTTATCTAGCTTGCCATTCTGTGTCTTTTAATTGGGGTATTTAGTCTATTTACATTTAAGGTTAGTATTATTATGTGTGGATTTGATCTTGTCATTATGATGCTAGCTGGTTATTTTGCAAACTTGTTTATGTTTTGTTTTTCCTTTGCTTTTTACATTTTATGTATAGTTATGCTTTGATTCTTATTTTTTTCTACTAATTTTTTTTCTTTTCTAGTTCCTTGAGGTGCATTGTTAGGGTTGTTTATTTGAAATCATTCTACTTTTTTGCTATAGGTGTTAATTCCTATAAAATTCCCTGTAGGCACTGCTTTTGCTGTATCTCATAGGATTTAGTATGTTGTATTTTCATTTTTGTTCATTGCAAAAAATTCTTTTATTCCCTTCTTAATTTCTTCATTAATCAAATGGTTATTTAGGAGCATGCTGTTAAATTTCCATGTATTTGCAGGTTTTCAAAATTTATCTTGTTATTAACTTCTAGTTTTATTCTATTGCAGTCCTAGAAAATACTTAATATAATTTAGTTTTAAAAAATTTATTAAGACTTGTTTTGTGGCCTAACATATGGTCTATCCTGTTGAATGTTCCATATGCTGGTGAGAAGAATGTGTATTCTTCAACTGTTGGATGAAATGTTCTGTAAATATCTGTTAGATCTACTTGGTCTAAAGTGCAGTTTAAATCCAGTGTCTCTTTGTTGATTTTTTTTTTTTTTTTGGTCTAGGTGATCTGCCCTATGCTAAGAGTGAGGTGTTGAGGTCCTCAACTATTATTGTATTGGTGGCAATTTATCTCTTTAGATCTAATAATATTTTCTATATATATCTGGGTGCCCTCTTGTTGGGTACATTTATATTTAGAATTGTTATATCCTTTTGCTAAATTGATTCCTTTAACATTATATAATATCCTTTTTTTGTTTCTTTTTACAGCTTTTGAATTGAATAATTTTTTTTTTTTTTTTTGAGACAAAATCTCCCTCTGTCGCCCAGGCTGGAGTACAGTGGTGCGATCTTAGCTCACTGCAACCTCTGCCTCCCGGGTTCAAGCGATTCTTCTGAGTAGCTGGGATTACAGGCATGCGCCACCACCCCTGGCTAATTTTTGTATTTTTAGTAGAGATGGGATTTCACCATGTTGGTCAGTCTGGTCTCAAACTCCTGACCTCGTCATCTGCCCGCCTTGGCCTCCCAAATTGTTGGGATTAGAGGCATGAGCCACTGTGCCCAGCCAGTCTGTTTTATCTGATATAAATATAGCTACTCCTGCTCACCTTTTGTTGCTATTTTCATGAAATCTTTTTATACCTTTTCACTTTCAGATTATATGTGTCTTTAGAGGTAAGTGAGTTTCTTATAGGCTTCATATAATTGTCATTTTTTTTAAAATTCATGCAGCTAGTCTCTGTCTTTTAAGTGGGAAATTTAGTACACTTACATTCAAGGTTATTGATAAATGAGGATTTACTCCCATCGTTTTGTTATTTGTTTTCTGATTGTTTTATATATCCTGTAATTTTTTCTTCCCTTTTTATTGTTTATCATTGTGGTTTGGTGGATTTATATAGTGGTAACATTTGATTCATTCCTCTTTCTCACTTGTGTGTCTGTTTTACCGGTGGGTTTTATGCTTTTGTGTGTTTTCATAATTGTAAATATTATCTTTTTCTCCACATGCAAAATTCACTTAAGTATTTCTTTAGGGTTGGTTGATTGGTGATGAATTCCTTCAGTTTTTGGTTGTCTGAGAAAGACTTTATGTCTTCTTCATTTTTGAAGGTAAGCTTTGCAGTGTATTGTATTCTTGGCTAGCATTTTTTTTTTCTTCTCAGTTCTTTGAATACATTATCCCATTCTCACCTGGCCTGTAAAATTTCTGCTGAGAAATCTGCTGTTAGTTTGATGAGGATTCCCTTATGTATGACTTGACATTATCTCTTTTATAATAATTGCTGTTTTTATAATTCTCCCTTTGTTTGACTTTTGAAAATTTGATTCTAATATACCTTGGAGAAGATCTTTTTGTGTTAAATCAATTTGGAAATTTTTAAGTTTCCCCTATCTGAATGTCTATATGTGTTACATGACTTGGGAAGTTTTCTGCTATTATTTTGTTTAAACGATTTTATATGTTTTGCCCATTCATCTCTTCTCCTTCTAGAACACCTAGTTCAAACATTTGGTTACTTTATGATGTCCCCTATGTCACGTAAGATTTATTTATTGTTTTTTATTGCTTTATTATTTTCCTCTTTATCTAACTGGGTAGTTTTATTTTACTTTATTTTTTATCCATCCCCTCAAACATTTATCATTTGAGTTTAATAATTCAATTACATTCTTTAAGTTACTTAAAAATATACAAGTAATTTATTACTAACTACAGTCACCCTATTGTGCTATCAAATAGGAAGTCTTATTCACTATTTTTTTTTTGTACTCATTCATTGTCTCCACCTTCCTCCCACCCCCGCTTCCCAGTTTCTGGTAACAATCCTTATACTCTCTATATTCATGAGTTCAATTGATTTGATCTTTAGATTCCACGAATAAGTGAGAACATGTGATGCTTGTCTTTCTGTGACTGGCTTATTTCACTTAATGTAATGATCTCTGTTCCATCCATATTGTTGCAAATGACTGGATCTCATTCTTTTTATGGCCAAATAGTTATCCAGTGTATATATGCACCACATTTTCTTTATGCATTCATCTGTTGATGGACACTTAGGTTGCCCCAAACTTTAGCTATTGGAAACAGTGCTGCGACAAACATAGGAGTGCAGATATCTCTTTGATATACTGATTTCCTTTCTTTTGAGCATAATTGGGTAATTTAAAGACTTGTCTCCAGGTTTAGAAATTTTTTCTTCTGCTTCATCTAGTCTATTGTTGAAACTGTTTATTGTATTTTAAAATTTCATTTATTAAATTCTTCAGTTCCAGGGTTTTTGCTTCATTTTTCTGAATCTAACTCTTTGTTAAATTTCTCCTTTAGATCATGAATTGTTTTTCTAATTTCTTTGTATTTTTTATGTTTTTTCATTTCCATCTCATTGAGCTTCTTTTATATCATCATTTTGAACTCTTTTTCAATTTTTTCATAGATTTCTTTTTTCGTGGAACCTATTGCTGGAGAATAATTGTGTCCCTTTGGAGATGTCATGTTTCTTTGTTTCTTTTTCATGTTTCTTCTGTCCTTATGTTCATATCTGCACATTTGGTATAGCAGGTATCACTTCTTCAAATTTTATGAATTGGCTTTCATAGGAATATATATTTTCTTATGGACATATCTGTAGAGTACATTGGATATGGTACTTTGGCTTTGATTTTGGGTGGGCTCAATAGTATATACTCCATATGATCTCTTCAGCTGTTATTGAGTATCAGTGGTATCTAAGTTCTTCGGTGGCTTAGAGTGTGATTGTTAATGAAGGGTGCAGTGGAGCTTTGCTGGGGAGAGGGGTACCAGGTGGGTCAGTCCTTAGGTATTAGTGGTGGCAGCAGTGGTGTGCCAGACCTTGGGCCCTCAAGTAGTGTATGTGGACTCCAGTGGTAAAGAATCTGGGTGGGCTGATCTTTGGGCCTCCAGGTAACTTGCTTAGGTGCCAGCAGGGGCAATTGTGGACTGGATGGGCAGGCAGGTTCTTAGGCCTCTGGGAAGCAGGCATGGCATTGGTGATGGCAGTAGAAGTAGTGGGTACATCTTGGGACCTTCCTGTGGCATACATGGGCACAGTAGTGGCAGCAGTGGACTTGGAAGGCCAGTTCCCAGGCCTCCAGGTGGCACATGAAGGTGAGTACTGGCGGCAGTGGTGGTGACAGGCTCAGTGGCCTCTCCTCAGCTCACAGGAGGCATTAGTGGGCTCTGATGGCAGCAGGTGAGGCAGAACAATCCCCAGTCCCCTTGGACAATATACCCAGGCATTGGGAGGGATGCTGCCAACAGGGTGGGTCTTTTCTCAGGCCCACTGATGATGTGTGTGGGCATAGGTGCTGGTAGATGGGATATGATAGGTGCAAGTTTTTTTGCATGATTCACTTCATGAGATTGAGGGTGTTTCATTTTTTTTTTTTTGTAATTTCCTAACAGTATGTTTTTGTTTGCTTATTTTTAATCGGTTATGGGTATTTTTTTTCAAATGCCTTTCTGCCTCAATTTGGATGATCTTATGGTTTTTCTAATTTAGTCTCTTGATATGGTAAAGTTACATTGACTGATTTTGAATAGTAAACCAATTTTGCATTATTGTGCTAAATTCTACTTGGTCATTATATATATATGTATATATATGTGTATATATATACACATGTATATATATGTGTATATATATACACATGTATATATATGTGTATATATATACATGTATATGTGTATATATATACATGTATATATATGTGTATATATACATGTATATATATGTGTATATATATACATGTATATATATGTGTATATATATACATGTATATATATGTGTATATATATACATGTATATATATGTGTATATATATACATGTATATATATGTGTATATATACATATACACACACACACACACACACACACGTATATATATTTGATTTGCTTCTCTATACTCCCAGCTCTGTTTAACTCTGGGTGAATGTTTCTTTTCCTGCCCCACAGCCTAGAAACTCTCTAGGTTGAAAGCTGAAGTTTAACGTATTTGATTTCTATCTTTCATGCATCACAGAAAAGAAATGCAAAATTTTATTGAGAATGGAAATATTGTACATTTTGATTGTGGTGGTAGTGTGGGAAAATTGTGAAAGAATTTTAAATGGATTAAAAGATTGCCGAATTTTCAATGGAACTATGGATTGTTTAGAGAACATTATTCTGAGTTATTTGGCTGTATAAGGTTTCTGTGACTTTCAATTTTTTAATATATTTTCCAACTCTGTAAGTTGTAGAAAACTACTAATAGGGGAAATAGTTCTTATTAATAGAAATGGAGACTTGTCTCATGGATAGCAATTGATTATTGCTTTGTGGATATTTACCAGTTTTGATATCTTTTCATTTATTAGCAAATTCAGTTTAACATTCCTGATGTGCTCACATGATTTTTGTATTCTCCTTTGAATGGGTATAGTGTGTTTCTGGTTCTCTTATTAATTACTGAATTAAATAAAATCTTTGACAAATGTTTATTTTATATTTGTATGGGAGTCATGAATTTACCATTTAAAAGTCATTCTTTATTAGCAGTTACATGTCTGTATACAATTGCCAAAACATGTCAGACTGTACAGTTAAAATGGCTGAATTTTGGCCGGGCCCAGTGGCTCATGCCTGTAATCCCACCACTTTGGGAGGCAGAGGCAGGCAGATCATGAGAACAGGAGATTGAGACCATCCTGGCCAACATGGTGAAACTCTGTCTCTACTAAAAATATAAAAATTAGCTGGGCGTGGTGGCACGTGCCTGTTATCCCAGCTACTCCGGAGGCTGAGGCAGGAGAATTGCTTGAACCAGGGAGTTGGAAGTTGCAGTGAGCCAAGATCACAACTGCACTCCAACCTGGTGACAGAATGAGACTCCGTCTCAGAAAAAAAAATAAAAAAGGCTGAATTTTATTTTATGCAGCTTATGCCCCAATAAAACTGGAAACATATTATCTTCAAGGAAATCTTACAGAAAATAAAGGACTTGCGTTACCATTTCTCTAGAATTTGCTGCTAAAACAGTTGGCTTTTTATGACATTAGCATTTTCAATCTTTCTCCTTAATTCTTCGAATATTTCTTATTAATAATCTCTTCATGGGACCTGTTTCCCAGCATCAATTCTTTCAATGTTGAATAATTAAAAAACCTCCCTTAGGTCATCTTCTTACACTAGGTACTTTCCCTAGATGGTCTCATCTCTTTATCAATATATGAAAGTTGACCACTCTGTAACTTAAAAAAGTCATCCTGATAATAATTAATACTAATTTAATATTTATTATATCTCATGCATTCTCCTATAAAGATTATGACCTTAACTCACTAAGTTCTCACAATAACTCAGAGGTGCTTTTATAATCATCACCACTTTATAGGTAAAGAGTCTATGACCTAAACTTTGTATGCCCTCCACTAAAGTCACAGCAAATAACTGATAAAGATTAGATTTAAATTTAGATAGTTTCATGCCAGTACCCAGATATTCAACCACTAATCAATACTGCCTTTCATCACCATTCCTGCAATTCCAATCCTAGTTTTTTACTGTCTTCATGAAACTTTTAAAAATGCCTTTCATTTCTGGTTTCCTGAATTATACCCCTTTCTAAATTAATTAGTATTTATTGTGGTCAAACTCCAACTCTGCCACTGACTGGTTGGGTTAACTTGAGCATGTCACTTGCCCTCTTGGGGCCTCAGTTCCTTTTTAAAAGGATTTAAAATATTTAATTGAAAAATAAGGATTATATATATTCAAAATGTACAATGTGATTGATACACATATACATTGAATATGAAAATATTATATTAATTATTACAATCAATTAACACATCCATCACCACTCATGCTGTACACTAGATCATCAGAACTTGTTCATAACTGAAGATTTGTACCTTTTGATTATCTATAACATAATTATTATCATCAGTTTATTACATTCAGCTAAATTAGTCAACTATAGAAATGGAAAACTGCTTTCAATTGTATCTTTTTGTCAGTGAAAATATTTTTCCATAGGATGGGTTTTATCTGTATTCCATGGCAAGATTTCTTTTTAATTGAAGGGTAAAAATAAACTATTACACCAAGTTTTTTTTTATATCTAATGTAACCCTTTCTCTTTCATCTATACAAAATAACTTACAAGAATGCAATAATTATGGTTATAGAAATGTCATTTACACTGACCCCAATTTTAATCATGTTTTGCTCCTAATTCAACAGGATGATAAAAATGTGTAACTCTTATGGCAATGAAGATTTTATGAGCTGTTACTAATTGTTTCAGTCATAAGTTCATGATGTACCATAATTTCCAGTAAAATACAACTTAGACCCTACTATTTAACATGTGTACAATGTAGTATGATAGTGCTTTTTATAACCTTCAAAAACTGCATGTCACTTGGACTTTAGTGACTCAGTGCCATCTGTTGAGGTTTTGCTGAATGATGTAGTGAGCTCTTAAGGGCAGAACCAGGGGAAAAGTCCTGGCTCTTCCACTTCCTTGTTCTGGGATGGAGGCAAATTATTTAACCTCTCCTAGCTTAGCACCATGAACTGTTAACTAGAAACACTTTTTTTTAGTAGTCATAATTAGGAACAGATGACATAGTGGATATGAAAACTACAAGTCCAGCCACTAATTAGGTATTAGAACCATGCCTCTCTGCTGTTCTTTTAAATAAATGTGATACTAATAGACTATTGTTTAATAAATCTAATGTTTTTATATCATACAACTACAAATTATTACGACACCAAATACTGATATTCTACCCTGTCAATTCCTTTTTGGCTTGAGTGTTTTACATATGTTCTCTATTTATACATTGGGAAAACTTTTTAAAAAATCTACTTAATTCCATTCTTAACTTTAAGAGAGGTGATATAGAGTAGTATTGAGTGTGTAGACTCTGATGCATGCTTCCTGAATTCAAATTATTGATGTGTCACATATAGCTATGCTACCTTATTCAAGTTAGTACTCTCTCTGTGTCTCAGACTTTTCACTTATGAGACTTAAATAGTTATCAAAATCAAAGGTTTTTATGAGAATCAAATGAATTACTACATGAAAAGTGCTTAGGACAGTGCCTGGCATAAAGTACTTATTAGAGGTTATTCTTTCACTATTACTATTATTATTATCATTATTAATGAATACAACATTTCATAGAGAGGTAAATTGACTTACCCATGATAACCTTGTTAGTGCTGGGTGAAAACATGTTTTAAACACAAATTTGCTGACTCCAAATATGCATTATTTTATCTTTATCTCATGAGATAATTCATCATGCTACATATGATGCTATTTTTTATATATAGCATGGGGGGGGGAAATGTAGAAATCAATAAGTTAGTCTTTAATATTACTCTATTACTGACCCAAAATAACATGTTACAACATGGTTATGAATGTAGATATTTCATATAAATATATTATGTATTTATTTTATCTAAGTATGTAAACATTTATTGGGCTAAAATAAGTGGAAAATATTGCTCATAAAGATAAATTTCTACTGTGCTAAGAACAGGTAAAATGGCATAATGACTTGGTATAAGACTTAATCATGTGAGGCAGAAATGAACTTCAATCAGTTATCTAAAGTGCTGTACATCAAGGCACATGTTTGCTGCATACTTTGACTAAATGAAAAGCTTATGAGAAACTCAAAAGATGTGGTTACTGGAATTTCTTAACCCACAGTAGTGATTATTCATCCAGATTCTGCATCTTGTAATTTCTGCTGAGGCAATATCTTTCTCCTTCTGTAACAACCCGTGATTCCAGGGAAATCATTTTCCTTAGTAAGTCACAGGGTGAACTGGAAGAAAGAATTTTATAGGTCAAGAACTGACTATCTGTTCTTGGTCACCCTTTGAAGGTAGTGTAAATATAAAACTGTCATTGCTACCTGAATGTCGGGAAAAAATAGAGGCATCAGGAAATATGGGGAAGGAAACTTTGATTAATAACAAAGATATTATATTTGAACATAATATACTGTACATCAAATTCTGCTTAGAGGGATGAGGCTTGGTGGTAAAAGTAAGACAATGAGAATTCTCACAGCTATTTTAATAACAAGGAATGAACATATGACATCCAGTACTATACCCAGAGAGTTTTCAGATTTGTTTCCAGGTGACACAGAGAAAGTGTAATGTAAACACAGCTTCATTAGATCTAATAAAAATATTCAATTCCTTGTCACAATTTCTACATCCAAGTTATTGGATTCTCCAGCTTGGGGTCACAAACAAAATTTTCTGTAGGAGAATAGATCAGCATTCAGTTACTTCACATGAGCCTGAGGGATGGAGGGTTGAAATCATTTCTTCACAGGATGGCCTGTAGGTGTTAGAGGTAATTGGATTTCGCACAATTCAAGTGGCTTTAGGGTAACAATGGTCTCTCATGGATCCACTGAAGATCTTCTGGTGCATATGACTGGACATGATATTTGTACCTGAATACAAGAAAGTTCGCAAACCAAATACTTATAGCTAGCTGCCAACTTAACTTCGAAGGTTTCATCTTCAGTGATGATACTTTTAATGAAATGTCAATGCTTTGTTTAAAACTGGATGCTTGTATCATCAAACCCAATGCTCATTCAAATATTTGACTTGCAAAAGATGTTGGAGGAATTATTTGCAGCCTCAACGAATAATCATGTATTGGAATTTAGCTTGTAATCATTCTATTTTTCTAGTCATTGGTAACCTCTTCCTGGTCTACAAAACACTGAACCAATTTAGGTGAGGTCTGAACTTCTGCTATTTTAGATATAGCCAGAGTCAGGACATGAATTTCTTTGGGAATTATTTTGGAAAATGTTTGCATGCCTTTGAGGAACAGATTTATTTTAAAATTAGGGTAATATGAAGAGTTGTAACCTATTTCTCAAATCCTCCCCCAAATTTTAATTTTTACCCAACATATGAATTCACGTAATTGAAATAGTTATATAAATCTACATGATTAGATACAAAATACAACATTCCCTGCTACACTCTTTTCCTGAAGGTGATTACACTCACCTCATTTTAATGAGGTTTAAGGCATAAGGTCATTGTGTAAAGTGGCTGCTAGGATTCTTTTGTTATTTACAGGTAGACAAGAGTAAAGGATGGTTTCTAACACATGAAAGTGTGGGTAAACAACCCAAGGGGAGACTAGCGTAAAGATTTATTGTGTCCACTCTACAGTTGTTATGCATTTAGGTTCAAATATTTTACTATTATAAATAATGCTATAATATAATATCCTTGTAAAGAAAACATTGCATATTTGTGTATTAATACATCAACGTTTATGATTAATTTCAGAAATTAAATGCCAATTCAAACAGAATGTATGTTTTCCAATTTTATAGAAAGAAAGTTTAGGCCTGTTTATGTTGTCATCAGTAGTGACTGGGTGTGAATGAGAGTGCTTCTCTGCAAAGTCTCCAAAATTAAGTGTTATCAATTTTTTAAGTCTTTGCCTATCTAACTGGTAAATGTATTTTGATAAGGGTAAAATGTATTTCATTTTAATAAAGTTTATATTAGTGATTAAACATTAGGAAGTTTATGTATTTCAATGCTGAAATAGGGTTTCTCAATAGAAAACTATTTAAAGGCAGTCTAACATCCGTTTAGCTTTCTTGCACCCACACACTAGTGGACTCACCCTACCCTTGTTAAGATTACATTTTAAAAGAAAACCATGACTAATTCCTAATTTGAAAAGCTTACACATTAAACATGCAGTCAACCTCTCTTCTTTCACACTCTTACCTTGCTTTGAATCTGTTATATTTGTTGGATATATATAATTCTCATTAATTTGTTCACTCTTTTTAAGACGGAAATTATATCTCATTAATCTTTTTTTTTAATGAAACATTTTATTCTGGATAATTTTTTTTAACTCCTAGTCATTTCTCTATGTCTAGAAGTTTTAACAAATTATTTTTATAGTTAAAGTTGACAGATATTTTGCTTTGTAATTTTTTCTCATTACTTTTATATACAAAAGTGTTTCTATCTACAGATTAGAGAAATTTCACTTGGTTATTTCTTCTAAATTTTAAGTACTACATTGTAATATATAATTTACCTGCAATTTATGTTTTATAATGTATAATGGGAGTATAATGGGATAAAGGTATCTATTTTGCTTTTGATTTTTTACAGATAGTTGTATCAGTATCATTTTTAAAATAATGCATGCATTCTTCATTTGTTTGTTAGGTCTCAGCAACTATAGGTGGTCTTTCCACAGCACTTAGGCAACTCGCAGGAGGGTAAGCAGATTTTAAAAGCAAGCATCCTGAAAGCAAACATTCTAAAAGGCTCAGGTGGAAGCTGCTTGACTTCATAACTTTGGAAGCCAGGTTAAGGAAATCCCAAATCCCACTTTCACTGCCTTCTATAGGCCAAACAAGTCAGTAATGCCAGGCCAGTCATGAAAGGAACCAAATTAAGCTTTATCTCTCAATATGAAGACTAGAAAATAACTTTTGGCCATTTTTAATTTACCAAACCCTGCACTCTTGCCACATATTGTTTACATTTTCCCCCACATTCTGTGAAGGCTCACCCCTTCCCAAGAGCCTCAGAATGGGATGAGATTCTGATTCATCTTTATATCTTCCCTAAACCCAGTGTCTCAACACAATGCTCAATACACTTTCGTTATGTAAGCTTTTTGCCTATATGGCTCAGGAGAGTAGGCTTTTTTCTTTGAGCAGATCTGGATATTTGGCCTGGGCACTATACCTAGCTCTATGTCAGGCAAGAGCTTTTTCTCTGGACCAGTTTTCCTATACATACAACTGGAAAGTTCAACTAGATAACAACTAAAGGTTTTTTTTTTTTTTTTAATCTAAAATCCTATAATACTTTGCCTTTTTATTACAAGTGAACAATTTCTGTTTATATTATAAAATAGAATTTAAATAATGTTGTCTAATTGCAAAGTTTTACCTAACAAATCTACAGAGTATATTTCCTTTCAAATGCAGTTATTACTTACAAAATGGAAGTTTAGTCATCACCTCTCCACAGTGTGTTAGCCCCATCTAGTGAATGATTAATGAATTCTCAAAAGCCAATAGCATATGAACTTTTTTAAAGCTACTGCTGAATCATATGTCATCTTGTTTCTAGACTTGTAGCAGCCTTTGCTATTTCAGATGTAGCCAAGATTGAAAGAGGAATTGATTGTGAGATTAATTTTAAAAATGTTTGTATGCCTTTGTAGAATAGATTTATTTTAAGAATAGGGTTACATAAAGAGCTATAATTTATTTCTCAAATCCTCCCCCACGTTTTAATTTTTACTCAACATTTAAATGCTTGTAGTTGTAATAGTCAAACAATTCTATATGATTAGATACAGAAAACAGAAATCCATGCCACTCTTTTCCCCTAATTTCTTTCCCTAAAGGCAATTACACTCACTTAATTTTAGTTATTTTAATACTTGCTTCTATGCCTGAAATAACATGCTTATTATTACTCCTTGATGTTTTTCAACTTTAAGCCACAGAGAAGAAGAGGAGTTAATGCTTTTTGTTTTCTTTTCTGAGGATATATCATATATGTGAGTAGAAATTTCGATAACTTTCCTTTCCTGCTCACTTTCCCACCACTCCCCAACCGAAACTGTCATGTTTATCATTTGCTTAGTTTTCAATGTGTTTCTCATTAATCCAGTCTCAAATTGGTTATTCACTAAAACCAAGACTGCAGACACCTCAGGTATTCTATTTGTTCCATCTTTCTGAACAAATCTTTCTCAAAACTTTCTCACTTGCTCCAATGCTAGTTTGCCCTCCTTGCCTGGGACACAGCTGTTATCCTGGATTTGCCTGGGAGGTCTTCTCATCTTCTGCCCATGTTGTTGTGTCTCTTGTTTTCTGTATATGTCTTACTGTCTCTAGGTTTAGAGAGATGAAATGTGCCCTCCAGCAACTTCAAGAGAAAGAATACTTGGGAAATATGTTTTTGAGACTTTGCATCATGGGTACAATGACTTGTTATTCAGCATGAATTCCAAATGTCTTTTAGTGTATGGAAAGCTAAAAATCATATTTTCGAGACTTCCACACAGTGGGGTTCTAAAAGTCCTGTAATTTGTACAAATAAGATACACTTACACAAATTTCAAATTTATTAATGAGGAATCACCAAGCTTTGTTGGAAAGCACCACTGTGGACAGGTGTATTTTGATCATGGAGGCTTCCTGAGTGTGGTAACTTTTGAATAGACGAGGAGGTAGTAGTCCTTTGGTGGCCTGGTTTGTTAGCAAAGCTCACAAAGTCATTCCTGAAAGCCCAACATAAAGTCTGTTTCTTCAGTCATTTGATACCCTGCCATACTAGTTAACACTAACTATGGTTGTCTCTGTTTCCTGCACTGAGCCTTGAATGGGATATCTTACAGGTGCAAGTTTGGTTAGATATAGAATTTTAAATTTAAAATAATTTTTGTGTATATATTTTAGTTTTCTTGCTATGAAATATGAAGCCTTACTAGTCCCTCATCCAATGTATGTGACTTTTTTTTCTCCTTTTGTGGAAGCTTAGGTGAGCTGTTCTTTGTCTTTAGTGATTTGAAAATGAAAGATAAGTTCATTGTAGATTCTGGATATTAGCCCTTTGTCAGATGAGTAGATTGCAAAAATTTTCTCCCATTCTGTAGGTTGCCTGTTCACTCTGATGGTAGTTTCTTTTGCTGTGCAGAAGCTCTTTAGTTTAGTTAGATCCCATTTGTCAATTTTAGCTTTTGTTGCCATTGCTTTTGGTGTTTTAGACATGAAGTCCTTGCCCGTGCCTATGTCCTGAATGGTATTGCCTAGGTTTTCTTCTAGGGTTTTTATGGTTTTAGGTCTAATCCATCTTGAATTAATTTTTGTATAAGGTGTAAGGAAGGGATCCAGTTTCAGCTTTCTACATATGGCTAGCCAGTTTTCCCAGCACCATTTATTAAATAGGGAATCCTTTCCCCATTTCTTGTTTTTGTCAGGTTTGTCAAAGATCAGATAGTTGTAGATATGTGGCATTATTTCTGAGGGCTCTGTTCTGTTCCACTGATCTATATCTCTGTTTTGGTACCAGTACCATGCTGTTTTGGTTACTGTAGCCTTGTAGTATAGAAATTTACAAGAAAGAAACAAACAACCCCATCAAAAAGTGTGTGAAGGATATGAACAGACACTTCTCAAAAGAAGACATTTATGCAGCCAAAAGACATATGAAAAAATGCTCATCATCACTGGCCATCAGAGAAATGCAAATCAAAACCACAAGGAGATACCATCTCACACCAGTTAGAATGGTGATCATTAAAAGGTCAGGAAACAACAGGTGCTGGAGAGGATGTGGAGAAATGGGAACACTTTTACACTGTTGGTGGGACTGTAAACTAGTTCAAGCATTGTGGAAGTCAGTGTGGCGATTCCTCAGGGATCTAGAACTAAAAATATCATTTGACCCAGCCATCCCATTACTGCATATATACCCAAAGGATTATAAATCATGCTGCTATAAAGACACATGCACATGTATGTTTATTGTGGCACTATTCACAATAGCAAAGACTTGGAACCAACCCAAATGTCCAATGATAGACTGGATTAAGAAAATGTGGCACATATACACCATGGAATACTATGCAGCCATAAAAAATGATGAGTTCATGTCTTTTGTAGGGACATGGATGAAGCTGGAAACCATCATCCTCAGCAAACTATCGCAAGAACCAAAAACCAAACACTGCATGTTCTCACTCATAGGTGGGAATTGAACAATGAGAACACATGGACACAGGAAGGGGAACATCACACACTGGGGCCTGTTGTGGGGTGGGGATAGCAGGGAGAGATAGCATTAGGAGATATACCTAATGTTAAATGACGTGTTAATGGGTGCAGCACACCAGCATGGCACATGTATACATATGTAACAAACCTACACATTGTGCACATGTACCCTAGAACTTAAAGTATAATTAAAAAAAAAATGAAAGATAAAATGGCTGAGTTAGTCTGTTTTCTTCCTTCATGCTGGGCAATAGATGGGTCCTTTCAATGTACAAACTCATGGTCTTATTTGTGGAAGATCTCTTAATTGTTTCAGAGAGTATTTCTTTTCCTCAGTTTTTGCTGTTCATTTGTTTTGGAACTGCTATCTTTTGGCTACTGAAATTTGTGCAATGGTCTGCTGATTTAGTTTTATCTTTTATCTCTTATTTTCATCCCCTTTTAAAAACTTTTAAAAAATAACAGGTGTCCTAAATTCTGCCTTTTAACATATGAATATTTTAAAACCTTTTGCTATAATTTTCTTTAATTTTCAAGGGCACTTCTTTTTTATTATCTTAATGCTTCATTTTGATAGTATCTGGGTCTAATTTTATTATTATAATATTTTCCTTTTTAATATATGCATACTAACACTTCATGGTCTCTGTTCCCTTTAAATTACCCTTTTCTGTTTTTACTCGGCCTTGATTTTTTCGTAGAGGCTTCCTTCAAGTGTCTCATAATCTATGATGCTGCTCGCCTGTAACAGCGAGGAACTTAAAGGCTGGCTGAGGACTTTGAGAACATGATTGGATTTGTTCACTGCGAGCTTTACTACAGGATGTTCTGGCAGGGCTGTGTAGCCATACTGTACATATTCCTCAAAGCAGAAACTAACTAGTTTTCTTTTGAAGGGCAAATGCCTAGATGTCACTTATTAATAAGAAATAGTTCTTTTCTCCACAGTCTCTAGAAGGACTGGAAGCTACCAATTCCACAGCACTTTGGTAATTCTGGATGGTAAACTGAGTTGCCCCTTGAAATTCCTCATTGCAATTTAAGCTTTGGCTTACTCAAATGCATCTGCATTTCGACGTCTAAATCTGTATTACTGGTTTGCCTCTGCTCTCTCCTTTGTGGATTGGCCTTTTAAAACAATTTCCCTTTCTGAGGAGATTTGGAAAAGAGGAAAAAGAGGTGTGTTCTCAATACTCATAATCCATTTTTAATTTTGGATTTCATTTTTTTTGTTCTGATATAATTCTTGAGGCAATACACCATTTCATAAGTGAATGCAAGGGTATGTGTATATGTGTGTGTGTGTGTGTGTGTGTGTGTGTGTAATGCATATATACATCTATCTATCTATCTATCTATCTATCTATCTATCTATCTATCTATCTATCTATCTATCTAGTATCTATCTGATTTGCATGGTCAACTGTGCTGTCAGTGAATACAGAACAGGAAAGTAGTTTGGGGGAAGGGTTTGTGAGGCTGAGTAGTGATAAAAAAGTAAAAATTAGATAACAAAATAAAATTTACCTCTTTGTCTTAGCTACTCCCTGTCAGGGACGTAGAGACTTTTGGAAGAAGTTGGTTTTTGTTTTCATTGCCACAAGGGCACAGTTCGATAAATTAGTCCCTCAAAGTATTTAAGTATTAAACCTATAAAAATTTACTGAAAGTGTAATTTACTAAATAATTCAGGTGATTTTGAAAAGTAGTGTAGCTTCTTAGAATGTAGCTAGACAGCAAGAACAATCTACTGCAAAAAACTGTATTTAGGCAGAAGAAGAGGGAAAGTTAAAGTCATGACTAGTTTAAATTTTGTCATAAAAGTATTTTCATATTTGCCATATAGATAAAGATCTTATGAATCCAGGGAAAAGTAGAATTAGGTAAGACAACTAATGTGGTCATAGTGGGGAAAGAACACACATTTATTTATCTATTCCTGTATTTGACAAATATATATTGACACTTATGAGAGATATAACAATGAACTACAATCTAAAAACTTTGCTTTCTACAGGATCATGGCAAACAAACACAAACTTATAAGAAGTACAAAAGTGAAAATGTTATGTACATCAATGTGGCCAGGCCAGAGCCCTCTGTGTTGGTGACTGTTTTTACTTAGAAATCCAAAAGGGATGTGAGGAGAATCCATGTAGATATGTGGGAGAAGAGGAGTCAGGGGAAAAGACACTTTTGTTGATAAGCCAACTAAAACTAGCTCCAGCAAAACAAAACAAATAACAAACACAAAATATAAGCCTCCTCAAAATTAGGAGATCCAAAACTTAGGCATGATACAACTAAAAGGAGTCAGTTGATGTCATCAGAAATACCTGTTCTCACCATCCCCCCACACCCCTCAATACAACTCTTTTTCTCAGTTTTAGTTTCATTTCCTTTTTTGAGCATGCTTTCTCCATGTAACAATAGGATGATCCCTGGTAGACTAGTATGTATATGTATATCATCCTTACACATTGTGATCTTACGGAAAAAGAGCACAGCCCTTATTGGGCCAGAATGTGTGTCAACCACTCAAAGGGCTTATGGCTGGCCTTGTTTAGGCCCAGTGCCTGTCCTTGTGTCAACTATGTTCTTCTCATAGTAATGTACTCTGACTGGCTAGCCTGAGTGACACCCATATCCCTTTTTGTTATTGTTATTATTGTTTTGTTTTAGTAGAGATGAGGTTTCACTATGTTGCCCAGGCTGGTTTCCAGCTCCTGGGCTCAAGCAATTCTCCCGCCTTGACCTCCCAAAGTGCTGGGATTACAGGTGTGAGCCACCTAACATTCCCAGCCAACATGATTGACAGCTAAAATCTGTTAGAATTGGGGAGGAATCATTCTTAACAGTTCCCCAAATTAAGAAAATGCAATGAAGGCTAAACACACACACACACACACACACACACACGATTAAATTTAAGTATGGACACTTCAAAAGGAAATTGTTGGTGGGACCAACTCTGTTTTTCTAAGACATACTTTGAAAAACATTGTTTGTTTGTAGAGTGATTAGTAGGATTTAATGTATTGTTATCTTAGGAAGTGACTTCAGCTTTAGAAGCAATGCTAGAAAAGGACTATGCTCTGAAAAATAATAAAAGAAGTCCGCTGGAACTTGGTCCTGGCCTAATTTCAAGGGAGATGGACAAAGGGGTGATTATAAAGCCTTTATGATGTGCAGCTTACCTTGCTAGATTAAGACTGGGGACCAAGGCCTGAGGAAGGAATTGAAACTGCACATGGCTGGAGTAGGTTCAGGCAGGATAGGTTCCATTACCTTGAAATAATAAACAGTCCAATTATGATTAGCTGAAAACAAAGAAGATTTCTTTCTTCCTCAAGCTACATGTTCATCATAGATCAGCTGGTGGGCTCTGCTCTCGGTGGTCACTCAGAGACCAGGCAAACAAAATAGCCACCATCTTGAAGCTTTGCGGTCACTATGGCAGAAATAAAGACAGCTCTAGGTGCTTTCATGTATGTAATACATGCTTTGACTTGAGAGGGTGACATGTCACTTTTACTTATGACTCAGTGGCTAGGATGTTATACTACCTTGCTCTTCCTCAAAGGGACCAGGAAGTACAATCCTACTAAGTGCCCGGAAGAGTAAGATCTGGATGGTTTTGGTAAAAATCATGAATGGCTAACACAAATATTTATGCATTGTATTCGCTGTAAAACATGTCAAGGAATTATGGGACAGAAGCACAGTTTAGCAGAAGAAGGGAAAACCTTGACATTGATATAATCAAGGAGTTAGAACAAAAGCTTGTGGAAACTACTAATGGCATACTATGCAAGGTACAGGAATATTAGTGTTAATACTTTTTCGCTTAAACTCTAAAAAAGTATTTAGAATTTATTTAAATTGGATATTAGAAATTACCTATGCTAAGGTAAGCTTATATATAGAGAAGATTAAACTATACAAACTTAATTTATGATAAATAGCTCTTGGATCCTGGACTGAATCCATTTTTCAGATTATCAAATCAATAAATAAAATATAATTCATGGCCCAGTGCAGTGGCTCACACCTGTAATCTTAGAACTTTGGGAGGTCAAGGAGGGAGGATTACTTGAGCCCAGGAGTTTGAGATCACCCTGGGCAACATAGTGAGAAACTATCTCTACAAAACATAAAAAATTAGCTGGGCATGGTGGGGCATGCCTGTAGTTCCAGCTACTTGTGAAGCTGAGGTGAAAGAATGCCTTAAGCCCAGAAGTTTGAGGCTGCAGTGAACTGTGATTGATTGCACCACTGCACTCCAGCCTGGGTGACAGAGCAAGATTCTATCTTAAAAAATATATGTATAATAGGCTGGGCACGGTGGCTCACACCTGTAATCCCAGCACTTTGGGAGGCGAAGGCGGGCAGATCACCAGGTCAGGAGATCGAGACCATCCTGGCTAACACGTTGAAACCCCGTCTCTACTAAAAATACCAAAAATTAGCTGAGCATGGTGGCAGGCGCCTGCAGTCCCAGCTACTCGGGAGGCTGAGGCAGGAGAATGGCGTGAACCCGGGAGGCAGAACTTGCAGTGAGCCGAGATCATGCCACTGCACTCCAGCCGGGGCAACAGAGTGATACTCTGTCTCAAAATATTTATATATATATATATATATATATATATATATATATATATATATATAAAATATTTATAATATTTTATTATAGTTATATATAATGATTATGATATTTATTTATATATAATATAAATATATATAATTCAGGATAAAACATTTAGAATATTCTTAAACTGAATAAATGTTAATGAATATAGTAATTCCTTTCTAGTTTTATTTGCTTATAAATTAAAATGGGCGAATTAAAACAATGTCTGCTATAACATACAGAGACTTCTGCAGTTTTCTGTCTGTGGCATCTCATGTTTTTTAATTAGATTACATTCTAATCACCTTAAACCACTAAAGCCATTGACTTTAGTAGGGATTAAAAACAAGTGAATTGCAGGCAATTTGCTCCAGGTATGCAGCTTTGTGGTCATCATGTGAATAGAGCGTATCTCTGTGAAATCCTGATACTTGCTGAGCATAATAGATCCAGGGCACTTCTTGAGCCTGTCACTGCAAATTTACCTGGTTCAGTGCACTGGAGATTCATTGCAGGTATGGAAAGAGAAATGGATGAAGACACATTTTCAGGAGGGTCCAGCATTTGGTCTGGATAGTTAAAAGACTTCACAATCATGTTTTTGTTATCTGTATGATTGTTAAAAATAATTTAGTGTAAACAATGTTTTGCAGGTGTGTAATAATAAGTAAGATCTCTAATAGAGAGGCAATTATTTAATATTTGAAGACCCTTAAACAAAAATCAACCTTTTGGTGCTCATGACTTGGGAAGTCTTAAAATCTGTATCAGAGGGCATATGTTGTCATAAGAGATTACAGATTATTTTTAATTAATGAAATGTATGGCATTTAACATAGGATCAAGAAGATGGATTAGGAAGATTGTGCATATCCCACTCTCTTGCAGGAGTGGTTTTCATCAATCGAGCAAGCCCAGCAGTATCATGTCAGTGGTTTAGAGTTCTGTTTGTTCTATGTGCTTCGACATCACAGAGGATTTTGTCACCTGATTTTAGTACATACTTGCTGTTTCTGCCCTCCATGCTTCCTTGCATCTGCCCAGAGTGGTCCTTTTATGCAAAATGCTAAATGTGTTGCTTAGAGAAGAGGGTAGGTTTCCCTTAACAAGTTACATGACTGTTTTTGTGCTTGTTATCTCAATGTTTAGATGAATGGCAGAATTTGACCTGAGAGATTATTTTACTACAACATATATGGTGAGAACTTGAGGTGAACACATGTATCGCCCTTATCAATGACTACAAGTGATATTCAGTTTTTACGTGCCATTTGGCAATACATTACTACTGTTAAACTACTGAAATACTTTTATACCTGTTGGTCAATAACTATGACCTTGAATTCCCCCACTGCCCCTAATGTTAGGCCCCAGTTACGCATCCCCTCTTCTTATGATCCAGCAACTAAAAGTTTAAGTAACACTTTTCTAGCTCTGTCCACAAGAAAAGCAATGTGACAAACTGAGCTATGCACTATTATTCCAATTTTAGATATGTGAATCCTAGGTTCAAGCCACTTCAGCACTCTACCCAGGGTCACATTTTTCAACAGAGATTAGATTTAAATTTAGAACTTTCTGGTCTCAAAGTGCTTGAGCTTAATTATTACACTTTATGGCACGTTAAAGGGGGAAGAATGCTTTCTCCATCACCAGAATACATATATACTAACTAACCCAAAGGAAATAGCAACTTCAATGGGCTCAAGTCTCAGTGCTAAGAAGCCGGCCCAGCGCTCTCACTTTGAAAACCTTTCCCTTGTTTCCTAATCATTTATGTAAGTGTCTCTCACTTAAGAATCCATCTAATATCTATTGAACACCCATTGTGAGTTACTTTTAATTACAGAATGTAAAAAAGGAACACTTTTACACTGTTGGTGGGACTGTAAACTAGTTCAACCACTGTGGAAGTCAGTGTGGCGATTCCTCAGGGATCTAGAACTAGAAATACCATTTGACCCAGCTGTCCCATTACTGGGTATATACCCAAAGGACTATAAATCATGCTGCTTTAAAGACACATGCACACATATATTTATTGCAGCACTATTCACAATAGCAAAGACTTGGAACCAACCCAAATGTCCAACAATGATAGACTGGATTAAGAAAATGTGGCACATATACACCATGGAATACTATGCAGCCATAAAAAATGATGAGTTCATGTCCTTTGTAGGGACATGGATGAAACTGGAAATCATCATTCTCAGTAAATTATCGCAACGACAAAAAACCAAACACTGCATGTTCTCACTCATAGATGGGAATTGGACAATGAGAACACATGGACACAGGAAGGGGAACATCACACTCTGGGGACTGTTGTGGGGTGGGGAGGCGGGGGAGGGATAGCTTTAGGAGATATACCTAATGCTAAATGACGAGTTAATGGGTGCAGCTCAGCAGCATGGCACATGTATACATATGTAACTAACTTGCACATTGTGCACATGTACCCTAGAACTTAAAGTATAATAATAATAATAATAATAATAGTAATAATAATAATAAAAAGGTAGCAGGGGAAAAAAAAGTTGGTAAATAAAAAGGAGAAAATTAGACTCCAAAAAAAAAAAGAGAATGTAAAAAAGTAGGTGTCTTTAATCCATCTTTAATAAAGAGAAAAATAATAAATAGCCTTTAAAAATTCATGATTCTTGCCTTCAATTTGCTTTCAATTTGAGGAGAGATGGCACAGAGCTAAGGCATGTTATTTTAGGATGGCAAGGAACATTGGTGCTTATCTTGTACAGAGACTCTTAAAGTTTTTGGTTCCAGGAACCCCTTACACTAAAATAAGGGGTTAAAAATATTGTTAAAAATATTGAAGGCTCAAAAGAGCTTTGAATTTTATGATTCACACCTATCCAGTTTACTATATTAGAAGTTAAAACAGCAATTTTAAAAATATGTAATCATTAATTCACTTAGAAATAATAGAAAACACATTACATGTTAAAATAAACAGCATTTTATTTACAATGACTATGTCTTTGAAAACAAAATATATTTTAGAGATTTGCAAATCAGAAAAAGAATTGTTTTAGAGGTTTGCAAATCTCTTCAATAGAAGAGATGTTCTCTTATGTTCATTTGTGCTCATGCATTCAATATCTTCCTGTATGTTGTTTTGGTTGAAGATAATTTGAACTCACATAGATATACAGTTGGAAAAATGTGGACTTCGTTGATTTTCTGAGTGGGTCTCAGAGACCCCCACCTGAGGGAACATAAGGCCATGTGTTGAAAAACTGATCTAATAAAGTTCTGACTTCAAGCAGTTTATTTGTTGGGTCTCAATCATCCAACGATATAAGTCAACTGCTAGTTAGCTGTAAGTAAACATAAATTATTCTAAAGAAGCGTGTCCCCACCATTATACAATATATTCATGTAACAAACCTGCACATCTACCTCCTGAATTTAAAAAAAAAAGAGTGTAACAGTGTCACTGTCACTGCTGTAAAAAAGAATAGACTAAATAACGTAGGAGTGGAAACTAATGGTATTATGAGAAATGTGATGTGGATAATTCACTTTTACAGGAAAGAGGAAATAGAAATGTACTCCTGAAGAGGCGTAGACCGTGTTCCCATCCAACCCAAGGCCCTAGCTCACCATAGGGCACTGTCTTCTCTGACCTGAACAAGACACTGAACCTGAAATTCTCCCTCTCTAACCCTCATCAACAATTGCCTTGATATGATTTGGCTCTGTGTCCCTACCCAAATATCACCTTGAATTATAATAATCCCTATGTGTCAAGGGCAGGACCAAGGTAATTGGATCATGGGGGTGGTTTCCTCCATGCTGTTCTCATGAGAGTGAGTGAGTCTCATGAGATCTGATGGTTTTATAAGGGTCTGGCATTTTCCCTGCTGGCACTCATTCTCTTTCCTGCCATCCTATGAAGAGATGCCTTCTGCCATGATTGTATGTTTCCTGAGGCCTCCCCAGCCATGTGTAACTGTGAGTTAATTAAACCACTTTTCTTTATAAATTACCCAGACTTGGGTATTTCTTCACAGCAGTGTGTGAATGGACTAATACACCCCAACCCCGCCCCCGTTTTCTGGATCATTCCCATTACCAAGAAAAATGTCTGCAATATTTTCCATTAAAAAATCCTCCTCTGACCTTATTTCTCAGCTCCCCTTTATAAGAAAACTATTCAAAAGCTTTGTCTATTCTTGTCTATACTTTCTTATTTAGTATTCTTTTTCACTCAATTAGGCCTTTATCTTATCACTCTACTGAAACTGCTCTTGTCAAGATCAATCATTACCTTGATATAATGGTCAGTTCAGTTTCCATCTCACTAGGGCTCTAAGCAGCATTCAACGGAGTTGCTCACCACCTACTTGAAACCATTTCTTCACTTGGCTTCCAGAGTACTTCCAGATTCATGTTTTAAATTTGTGTTATGATTTTTGTTTTGGCTTGTAACTCATAGGCTGATCCTTCTCGGTCTCTTCTGCTGACATTGTCTTTCTGGCCTCTAAGTTTTTAGAATGCTCTTGGGCTCTGTGCTTGGATCTTGATCCTCTCAGAAGTGAGCTCGTTCAAGCCCATGACTTAAAAAATAGCATTCACATTTCTATCCTATTGTCCTCATGAAACTTTAGATGTAGATCTAAGTGATCTCAATGTCTATGTGTTAGCTCTTTGGATATCAAATAAGCATTTCAAATTTAACCTATCTAAAACAGAACTTTGATTTCTTATTCTTCCCTCAAAATGATGCTGCTCATTTATAGTCTTTCTCATTATTCAGCTCAGCTCCTTAACGTTGGGTCATCTTTGATTCTCTCTTTTGCTGAGTCTACATCAAATCTACCAGTAAATCTGTTTAATTTTCCTTTGAAATCGATGTGGAGACTTGTCTTTGCCATTACTGCTAGCCTTGCTGAAACCACCTTCCTGACTTACTGTAACATGACTCTCTGGCAACAGCTTCCCTGTTTCTACTGTTGGTTCACACAAGTCTGTCCTGCAACCTCACAGCAGCAAGAATTATGTTATAAATCATTTGCTTATTCTAATATATTTGCAATAAATCATGAGTCCTGCATGCATATATATTATGTAAATAAAATCCACAGCCACATATCAATTAACATTACACATTTTACAAGAAAGATACACCCAACACATTACAGTGGATGACTTGGGGAGATGGGATGCAAATGAGGAGTGGGAATGAAAGAGAAAAGTGAAACAGAAGTGGAGTCTTACATGGATCGATGAGGAAAATGTTACTTGATGCAGGAAACATGCTTAACTCCACTTTTTTGAACTTGATATTCAAAAGAAAAAAATAAGCAAATAAAATAAACACTGTCTATTTTTTAGTGAATAGTCTGTGGCATTCAATATTTTACTTGAAAATATTACACCTAAATAGGCACACATTAGCTTTGCTATTATTTTTACCTCTTATCTCAGGTTTCTACAGCAAAATACCATAAACTGGGTGACTTTTAAACAACATACATTTATTTCTCACAGTTTGTGAGGCTGGGAAATTCAAGATCAAGGCCCCATTAGATTCAATGTCTGATGAGGGTTTGCTGGTTCATAGATGTTGTATTCTTGCTGTGTCCTCCCATAGTGCAAGAGGTAAGGCAACTCTCTGGGGCTTCTTTTATGAGGGCACTACACCCATTCATAAGGACTCTGGCCTTATGACTTAATGATCTCCCAAAGGCCCCCTCTAATATCATCACGTTGGTGATTAGGTTTCAAAACATTATTTTGGCTAGTCAAATATTTAAACTATAACACTGCATTCTAATTGTTCTCATTCAAACCAGATATACATTGATGGAATAAAGCAGTAGAGAGTATATATTAGTGACTCTTTCTTCATTATTAAAGCAATGGGAATCTCACTCTTAGATATATGGCAGATTTAGAAGCTTCACCATTCAATTTTGCTTCAATACTAAAATTTTCAAAGTTGGGCATATACTTTTAATGAACTAGAGTATAAGAGTAGAATGTGACATTAAAAAGTAAAAATTAATTAAATTTAAAAGCATGCTACATACATCCTTTAAAGAATTACAGGCACAGAATGAAACACTGGATAGTACTATGTACAAATTCATATGAGTTAATCCAAGTTAAAAAAAGGCAAATTTGTAATGTATTACCTTGTGTGTGACAGATATGATAAGCTACTTTCTTTAATTCTGCAATAAAAATGTATAAAATGTTTAGTCTATGTATTTAGGGCAGAGGAAGCTACGTTTTAGGCATTTTAAAAATTGCTAAATATCACTGTCACAAAATGTTATTAACAAATTGAATCCATTTTGTTTCAAAGTAAATGTGAGATGGAGTTATTGGCTTTAAGGGGAAAACAAATCCCTTTTCCTAGCAGCAATTTGGTATCTATTAAAGTGTTTATAGGCACTCCTATACCTATTACTTTATGAATGGAACTGTAATGAATAAAAGTTCATGAGTTGGAGATAGCACAGCCTGTTATGTTTACAAAAAGGAGGCTTGACTTACACAGGGTAAGGCTCCTCATTTGCTAGATGTGGCTTAGCTTAGGATGAACATCATCTTCAAGAATCTCTTGCTTCATTGTAGGATATTGTGTGAAAATTGAAAAGAGAAAATAGCTTCAAGGTGGAAAAACACTGCCATTTATTTGAACTTCTAGTATGTGAAAGCTTTGGTATTAGGTACCTAATAACAGTGCCTTCAATTCTGTTATCATTTAATAGTGGTACTTGAATCAGTATTTTACTGATACAAGTGAGTTTCTCCAGTTCAAACAGTTAGAAAAATGGAGGCAAAGGTTAAACTCATGTTTGTCTGGCACCCCAACCCTATCACTAAATTCTTTCATACCTGAATCTGAACATTCTTATCTACCTTTGTTAGATATATATTTGTGGTTTTACTTTTCTTCAATTTTATTTTAGCTTCAGGGTTTATGTGCAGGTTTGTTATACAGGTAAATTGTGTAACATGGGTTTGGTATGCAGATTAGCTCATCACCCAGGTAAGTAAGAAGGATAGTACTGGATAGGTAGTTTTTCAATCCTCACCCTCCTTCCACTCACCACCCTCAAGTAGGCCCAGTGTCTGTTGTTCTCTTCTTTGTATTGTCCATCAGTACCCAATGTTTAGCTCCCACTTAGAAATGAGAATATGCAGTATTTGGTTTTCTGTTCATGTGTTAGTTGGCTTAGGATAATGGCCTACAGCCCTATCCATGTTGCTGCAAAGGACATGACCTTGTTCTTTTTATAGCTGCATAGTATTCCATGGTGTATATGTAATGTATTTTCTTTATCCAGTCTACCATTGATGGATATTTAGGTTGATTCCATATCTTTGCTATTGTGAATAGTGCTGCCATGAACATATGCATACTTGTGTCTTTATGGTAGAATGAGTTATATTCCTTGGGGTATATACTCAATAATGGGATTGCTGGGTTGAATGGTAATTCTGTTTTAAGTTCTTCCACAAACTGCTTTCCACAATGGCTGAACTAATTTACTTTCCCACTTGCAGTGTAGAAGCTTTCCCTTTTCTCTACAACCTTGCCAGCATCTGTTAATTTTTGACTTTTTAATAATAGTCATTCTGACTGGTGTGAAATGGTATCTCATTGTGGTTTTGATTTGTATTTCTCTAATGATTAGTGATGTTGAGCATTGTTTTATATGTTGTTGGCCATCTGTTTGTCTTATGAAAAGTGTCTGTTCATGTCCTTTGCCCTCTTTTTAATGTGGCTATTTGCATTTTGCATGTAAATTTGTTTAAGTTCTTTATAGATTCTGGATATTAGACCTTCGTCAGATGCATAGTTTGCAATTATTTTCTCCCATTTTGTAGCTTGTCTGCTTACTCTGTTGAAAGTTTCTTTTGCTGTGCAGAAGCTCTTTAGTTTACTTAAGTTCCATTTGTCAATTTTTGTTTTTGTTACAATTGCTTTCAGAGTGTTCTTCATGAAATCCTTGCCTGTTCCTATGTCCAGAATGGTATTTTCTAAATTTTCTTCTAGGATTTTTATAGTTTTTGTTTTAGATTTAAGTCTTTAATCCATCTTGAGTTGCTTTTTATATATAGTATAGGATAAGGGTCCAGTTTTAGTCTTCTGCATATGGTCAGCCAGTTATTCCAGCATCATTTATTGGATAGGGAGTCCTTTCTCCATTGCTTGTTTTTTGTTGACTTCATTAAAGATCGAATGGTTGCAGGTGTACTGCATTATTTCTGGGCTCTCTGTTCTGTTCCATTGGTCTATGTGTCTGTTTTGATACCAGTACCATGTTGTATAGTATAGTTTGAAGTCAGGTGATGTGATACCTCCAGCTTTGTTCTTTCACTTAGGATTGCTTGGATATTTGGTTCCATATAATTAAAACAATTTTTTTTTCTAATTCTGTGAAGAATGTCATTGGTTGCTTGATAGAAATAGCATTGATTCTATAAATAGCTTTGGGTAGTATGGCCATTTTAACAATATTGATTCTTCCAATCCATGAACATGAGATATATTTCCATTTGTTTGTGTCATCTCTGATTTCTTTGTGTAGTGTCTTGTAATTTTCATTGTAAATTCTTGAAATTGTATTCTTTTTCCTTCCTTCTTAGCCATATTCCTAGGTATCCTATTTTTTGTGGCTATCGTGAATGAGATTGTGTTCTTTATTTGGCTCTTAGCTTGAATTTTGTTGGAGCATAGGAATGCTACTGATTTTTGTACAATGATTTTATATCCTGAAACTTTGCTGCAGTTGCTTATCAGATCAACCCCATAGTCTCTGTCCAAAAACTCCTTAATCTGATTTTACTTTTGATTTGCACAAAACATAGCTGTGAAATAAAAATGGTCTCAGAAGATGGTATTGGTGATGCCAAATATTTAAATAAAAATAATTATTTATTATTTGAATATTTTATTAGTATTACATATTAATATCCAGACATTTCCAAATACCTTTTGAGGTTACATATGAACAATCATAGTGAATGGAATTTAGCATTTTTGTTAAGTATATTTAATTGTTTAATAGCCTTAGGTATATTCTCATACATATTTTTGGCTGACAAAACATATGAATATTAATTTTACAACTTTACTATCTTACTGTATTATAAAAAATGTAAAAAAGACTCTCACTAGCTTTACCTTTTTAGACTAAACATAGCTCCTAATTTCTAGAGCTCACTCAGTGATACAACCCTTTTATAAGATCCATCTGTGGGTCTCCAGAAAACTGTGAAAATGCATTGTGTATATATCTCTAGGTAAGAGTTATTTTGCAACCAAAACATTAAGAGATTCTCTAAAATTAATCTAATGAGGAAGAAAAGCAGAAAGGCTATCAGCAAAAAAAACAAAACAAAACAAAACAAAACAAAACAAAACAAAAACTGCTGTTGGCAGCAGGAAAAGGATAAATGGCTCAGAGAAGCGTGAAAGAGTTAATTTGGTGGCTTGAGCAGGGAAAGGCAAAATGAGCAGAACTTATCAAGAGCCAGCTGGAAAATAGTGTTGGTGGGGAAGGAGAAAAAGGGAAGAATTTAGACTCATAGGGGTCTTATAAGGGATTGTAGCTGCAGGTGCACTGCCACTAAGAAATGGCTGGAGATGTAATTGAGTTTATTACTCATTGTAAAATGGAAGTTGAAAGTGTGATAAGTTGAAAATATGATGCCATCTAGAGTCTAGTAAATAATAAGTTATTGCTGTGGTCTGCTAGATGTTAGCAATATGAGCACTGGCATTATTTTTATAACACAGTAGAATTGTATTGCAACTGATGAAAATAGTGGAATAGATATGTAGATACTGCATTCAAGACTTACTCCTGTACATTCTCTGTGTTGATGCAGTTTATTCTCATGATCCTTCAAAAATAGAAAAGAGCAGAATTTGTATTGTAGAAGACTATTTTACATATTATTTTAATTGACAAATCATAATTGTATACACTTATGACATAAAATGTGTTTTGATATATGTATACAATGTGGAATAAATAAATCAAGATATTTAACATATCCATCAACTTGCTTACTTACTATTTTTGATGGTGAGACATTTGAAATTTATGAACTTAGTTATTTTAAAATATACAATACATTTTTATTAACTATGGTCATCCTACTGTGCAATAGATCTCAAAGCATATTTTTTTCTGCTTATCTGGAATTTTGTATCTTTTGACCAAGTTCCCATTCTCTCCCTGACACTCCAGCCTCTGGTAACCATTATTCTACTCTCTACTTCTATGAATTTTACATTTTTTAGATTCCCTACATAAATGAGATCATCAAAAATTGAAATCAATATTTGAAGTGATATCTGCTCCCTTATGTTCATTGCAGAATTAGTTCCCAGTAGCCAAGATATAGAATCAACCTGTGTCTATCAACATATGAATGGATAAATAAAACTAGTATAAATAGTATATATACACAATAGAAGGATATTTTTGATGGCATCAAGTAGAAGGGAATAATTTAGTGTGGGAGATGAAGAGGTGAAAATCAACTGAGAACATGGCTATGTTCCATGCATTAAAGGGACCAGGCTGTGTTTGCTAAAGGGAGCCATATATTAGGTTGGCAATTACTTTCAGTGGCAAAAACCACAGTTACTTTTGCATCAACCTAATACAACCCAGTGGCTATGTCTAAGAGTTGAGGTGAAAAATAAGCACTTAAATAGCCTTAGGTTTTGCAAAACGGATTCTTTCTTTTGGGTGCCATTCCACAGAAGGGGGTTCCTGGAAAACATCTTTAACTCAAATCTTCTGTTATTATCAACAACAAAGACTTAAATGCCTCCTTTTTCTGGACCTTAGTTTAGCAAAGGATCATTTGAATAAATCCATTTTCTTTTGCCAGTATTTGGGATTTTAGGCAAGAGGAAAAGAGTCCAGTGTTTTCATCTTTTTATGCTCTGAATGGCACAGGGAAGGACCTTGTGCAGTATTCACTTAAGATTCAGGTTTGTGGGTGAATGCTCACATGGGGGATGACAGACAGTGTCCTGGTAACAGCAGTGGGCTGTGCATTGAGAGATCTGCTCCTGCTGCCATGTGATGTCCAGTGCTACATTATGCTTATTTGTATCTGTGTATCTCTTTGCTCATTTGTACGATGACAGGAATGGCTCAGTACAAGTGATTTTTCACATATGTAAAATTTTAAATATATTAAATAAAATGAAGACCTTATAACAATCACAGTAGATGTTATTGATGTTTTGATAGCATAGTTATTTTACTCGAAATTCTAAAAATATAAGTCATAGCTTTTCTTATGTAATAAATATAATATTTTAAGAATCTTTAAGAATCAACTCCACAAAATGACCATTTTTTCTTGCAATTATGACCAGGTAAAAATTCTGATAAGATCCACCATGAAAAAAGATATAAATACAACAACAACAACAAAATAAATAAATAAATAAAAAGCTGCTTTGAGGACATGACATGAAATTTAATGAAAATCAATCAAAAATTTGAAGCAGTAATAATAGGAATGTTTCCCATGTAATTTGTGGACTGTGTACAACAGAATCTCTTGGAGCAGTGGAGGAAAGAGTATGAGTCAAAATGTAAATTTTTAGGCTCCACTTTCGAACCATTCAGCCAGATTCTCTGAGTAGTAGGACCCAGGACTCTGTATTTTAAAAAGCCTTGGAGGTGATCCTTATGGTCTCTTATGTTTGAATGTCAATGTCAGCTTTGAGACTAATCCACCAAAATTCTTAAGAAAAAGGAGTGAGCATTTTTAGTTTACCTGTTATAAAGCATTCTCTGATCTTGAAAAAAGTAGCTTCTTTATTGTTAGGTAAACAGATTTAGAATAAAATTTCAGTTTTATAATAGTGATGTATCAGGCATACTTGTATTTACTATGTAGCTCACTAAACACAGAGAAAAAAGAATGGTTCTGGAGGCAGACAGGGGATTCAGAATGCCTCTCAGAGTCTGTTTCTTTTCTTATTAAATACAACTATTAATACCAGCTTAAGGAGTCTGTAAATGTTAACTGAAATGGAGTATGTAAAACTCCTAGCCTAGTGTCAAATACACAGTAGACATTTCATAATGACAGCTATGTTTATCCTATTTCCTTTGTGTTCAATGGTGACATCATTGAAATAGCCTTATCCACAGTGAGTGAATGTGTTTTTTTTGGTCTGCACAACACACACAGGTGGCCATTCTTGGATTTGTAGCTATAGTGACTGTCTGAGGATCCTGCTGATATGCACATCACTTACTCGGTTTGAAATATGCCACAGACATTTAATCAAACCTATATCCCTAATTCTAGGTTTCTGTCAGTCTTTCTCCCTCCTTGATTTTTCCGTAGTCATATTACATTTCCCATTGTCACATTATCTAAAATTACACATCAAAGCTGTCTTAACTTTGCTATCTTTTTGCTTGGTAAGATCAGTCACACCATTAAAAAACACATTTATGTGATGTTATCTGATTCTATTTCTTCTTATTAAAACTTTAAAAATGTTATGCCCAGGATTTCAGTTTCCTAGACCTCTATCTTATTGCAAATATTATTTGATTGACTTGTGGCTGAATGTAGTAGAACTGCTCAGAAAAAAATAATGCGAAGTTAATAGTGTGCTGATATCTCAATATGATACAATAAAATCTCATTCATCAGAAGTCAATGTATACTTTATGTGTGTTATCTTAGGTCATAGATAAGACTCAAGGGATTCTGCAACTGTTTTTTTTTCTCACTGCCCTGTCCCTTATAGGGCAGAGGCTCAGTTAACAAAGAGTGCAAGCCTCCAGTATTTTTAATAATGATTTTCAACATTAAGAAATAAAGCAAAAGATATTTTCAAGTTTATTTTTGGTCAAGCAAAGACCATATAAAGCTAAAATAAACTATTTTGAATTAGTTTTCACCTTCTCTTAACAATTTTAATATTTTTTCATTGAATGTTTACATAATAGAAGATTCAGTTATGTAACAGTGTAAGTTGATATTTATACCAATCTTTAGTATTTATTCATCATTACCAAACATCCATCATTCTGAAAGATTTCAGGATTAATGATAATTCATTTCTCATATAAAAAATAGATTTAAGGATTAAACAAAAGCTGATATGATTCTGACTCAGGATTTGTCCTAACAATCACAACATTTCTGAAATGTTCTAATTAAGTATGCCTCTGTACAAATTCCTTTGAGTAAATACATACAATTGTTATTTCTATTTTATTTGAACATACAAAGCGTTTTAATTGGAGTGACAATTCTCTGCTGCCTTAGTTTCCTTAGAAATGTAGCTTGGTTATTAAAATGTGTCTCACTCATAAAAGCCTCTTACAAGTTCATAAGGGGGAAAAAAAAGCCTGTTCTATTCTGTTTGAAAATATTGACAGATATTTTCTGATGAAAAGAAATTGACTTTTTGAGCCTAATTTGGTTGGATGAAATATAAGAATTTAAAAATGGAATCCAATTATCTCTAACTTGTACACTTTGTTGAAGAGCTATTAAATTGGAAACTTTTTGAGCTGTTTCAGAAGGCACACTTAAGCTTTCTGCTGACAGTAAATGCAAAATACAAATAATTTAAAAGAAGATCTTGACAGATGATTCGTGTCTCCTTCACAACTGAGACCTTATATACACACAAAACTAGCCTCTGTTCCTGACCTAGCCATTTATATCTTTCAGTCTGTGAACTTGCTGTTTATGGCCAAATGTAATTCTATTAACACAAAATTCTGTCACTAGGTGGCTCCATATCGCTTTTTAAAAGTAGTCTTCTCTGACAATATCTCTGTTTTTAGAGCATTTCTTTTTTCTTATTAAATTTCAGATTTTTTTTTTTTGCCATTGTTTCACAATCTGTGTAGCTTAGTTGCAAACCATTAGCTGCATGGAATTAGAGTCTACGTCCAATGTGCTGCCAACTCCTCTCTCTAGTCAACACATGAAGAAAGGTGACAGATGACAATGCTGCAGGACTATGGTTATTGGCTGGATGCCATTGTTCAATGTCTGGATCTTTAGTAAAATTATGTCCAAGCTTATTTTGTCTCACTTCAAAGCTCCATTTCAGTACCAAGTCACATTCCCTGTAGTGGGAGAAATCCCAAGAAAGGAATATGGATTTTTTTTTTTTTTTTTTTTTTTTGAGACAGAATCTTTCTTGCTCTGTCACCAGGCTGGAGTGCAGTGGTATGATCTCAGCTCACTGCAACCTCCGCCTCCTGAGCTCAAGATATTCTCCTGCCTCAGACTCTCGAGTAGCTGGGATTATAGGCACCTGCCACCATGCCTGACTAATTTTTGTATTTTTAGTAGAGACAGAGTTTCACCATGTTGGCCAGGCTGGTCTTGAACTCTTGACCTCAGGTGATCCACCCGCCTCGGCTTCCCAAAGTGCTGGTATTACAGGCATGAGCCATTGTAGACCGGCCCGGATTTTTTTTTTTCTTTTTTAATGTCTCTGAGATATTCCTGACCTGAGAGGAATATTGTGGCTTAGTGCCCTGGACTGGGAGTTGGAACACTTGGGATCTAGTTTGGGCTTTTGAAGGTAGTTAATTTAACTACCTTTCCTGAATTTCAGTTTCCTCATCTATAAAGTGAAGGGGATAGATTAGATGATGTTTATAAGCTCTTCTAGTTTTAATATTTTAAAACGCATGATATTCCCAAGGAGATTTCTTAAGCAGAGGTGTTCCTGTATGTAGATATTACTTACTCTTAGACTGTAAGATACTGAGGGAGAGGAAATATTATTTCTTTAGCCTCAGTGCCTGTAACAGTGCCTGACATACAGTAAAGACTCAACATACATATTTAAATGAATAAATAAACTGCATCATAGTACTCCATGATGGAGATCACAGGGAAGTATCAGTTCTCTAAATTCCTATTCATCTTATTCTCCCTGTGACTGGACATCCAGTTTCTATATTTAGAATTACTGCTGCCCAGTAATGAAGCAATGTCACTTTGGAATGCATTCATTCTTTTTAGGAAGAAAGTGAAACTTCTTAGGCTTTCTTTATTAACATTGTTTATTATTTTAATGGGATAGTTGTCATCTTAGATGCTCTAGGAGGCAAAGCACATCTGTAGCGATAGATTTGAAGTTTTGGAGCATAGCAGTGACAAGCCCTGTATAGATGACACTGGTTAATTTGGCTGGCTCTGAAGCTGCTGGGCCCAGAATGGAGGGAAGGGTCTAAGAAACAATGTCCTTAGTAAAACTGGATTTTTGAGAGAGGGAGTTAAAAACTGGTAAAGAAGTGAAGGGAATGTTTAGTAATTTTTAATAGTACAGTCAATGGAGCATAGATAAAGGCAAAATATTTAGCATGCAAAGGAAAAACGTTATTAAAATATCATTTTTGTGGGGAGTGCTAGAATCTTGAGAGCAGGCATTTAGGGCAATATTGATTAAAATGTCTAACTCTGAACTATTGAAGAAGACTTCTTGATAATAGCAAAAGCATTAAGAATCTTCAAACTCATACTATAGAACGATAACAATGTAGCATTCTCAATATAGTTATCTTAAACAAATATATATAGCAAATTAAAATGCTGTGTAATGTGGTTTGTTATATATTTTTCAAGTATGGTCATCTCTCAGTTTCTAATAATCTGGAGATAGAAGTATTAATAATCTGGAGATAGAAGTATTTATGTGACATTACAACATTTTACTTGATATTCTTTTGAGCTCCTCTTTGTTCTACTGTGCTATAGAGAATTGAAATGGCATTATTCTGGTTGATTTTTGTCCAGAAAAAGAAAAAATTTAACTGGGCTTGATCAACCATTTCACAAATGCTTGAAAGTCCATATCTTTTACTGGAAAATACTATTTAATATCCCTGTTGACTGAAGCAGGGATAGATTCACCACTGAATTATGCTTCCTGGCATGTAAGTTACAATGGAAGTACAATACAAGGAAACACTTTTTAATATTATTGCTATTTTTGTAACTGGAAAGATATCCGCACATTGACAGAATTTTAGGAATTTTTCTTACATGTTCTTAATAGAAAGCATTTGGGAAATGTTAATCTCACATCAAGCATGTGTCTTCTTTTGATGCAATGATATTTGTGTTTGGCTTATGGGATTTTTATATGCACTATGACTGAAGTGCTTTGTTATGATTGGAAAGAGTAGAACAGAAGACATTTCCCCTCCCTTAATTATGAGGAACAAAAGTTATTACCTTCTTTGTAAAATTGAGATGTCAATCTGCAGCAAAATGAAAAAAAGTATGTATTCTATAATGTTAACATAAAATACAGAGTATAACTTTCTATCATATATACAAATATATATAAGTTGAGTATGTCACAATGATAGGAATTAGGTGCTATAGACATACACAATCTTGATTTTGTTTATTTGTTTTGGACTATGAATGGTTTTCTAATTAGATTTCTGTTTCAGTATAATCTTGATGCTAATAACTTAAACTCAGACTCTAGTCTTAAAGGCAGGAAGTTTTATTGGAGCATAACACATTATCACATCAGTTGATGAACACCTTGTTATTCTCATACCATAGCCTTTAAAGATAACTCAAGATTTCTCTAATTTTATTTCTTCTTCAAGGGAAAGAAACTTGTGTATGGCACAGTGGAAACAATGAAGTTGAAGGGTACGGCTTAATGGATGATGAAAATGAGATGTTCGGGGGACAAGAGAGGGGTAAGTTCTGTCTTCAATGAACCTTTGCATTGCTTTGTTTGGGATCATTCTATCTCATGCCCTGCTTTGAAACAATGAGTTTTGAACAATATTCAAGTTGAAGAAAACTTAGCTTTTGGAACTTAGCTTTTTGATCTGGATAGGTTCATGGGAAAGAAGGCAAGAAGCCATATGTGCCTGCCTCTACTGCAGGGTGGGCAATTAGCAAAGGGCCAGGATAAATGAGTCTCTGGGTTATTTAAATATGATTCAGTCTAGTTCCTGTGGGCAGGGAATCTTATGAGGATTTCTCTCTCTCTCTTTCTCTCCCTGTGTCACACACACACACACACACACACACACACACACACACACACACACAAACACACAGACAGCTGGAGTAGCAGTGGCTAAGTTACCTAGTCAAGTATTTGGGGATTTTGGATCTGGGACATCTTTTATTATTACCAGATAATACTTTCCTACTGAAACGAAAGCTACTTTTGCATATGTTAGCTGATATTTTTGATCCCTCTTACACATTACAGAGCTCCCCTTAATAGTGATACTTTTGACTGTAGATAAAGTTATCACATATATTTACTGTAATTATATTAAAAAGACATATGTTTTGATGTGTAACATCTTTCTGTGAAAAGTCAAGGCTATGTGATTTTTATCTTGAGAAAGTTATTAGAAAAGCAGCATAATGTGGAAGAAAAGGCAATGGAACAGGAGATAGGAAAGGCTGATTCTCATCTAATCATTGTTATGACCAGCATGGCCACTTTCACTTTAATGACTCAAGTTCTCTCATAGACTAGTTGATCTCCAAGGACAGTGATCCTACAGGCTCCTTTGCTGGAGACAGTCCCGGTTTACATCTGTTATCCCAATGTAATTATTAATAGCACCCTTTTCATTCTCAAAAGTGTCCTGGTTTGGATGATAAATTATATGGTTACTTTATCTCTAAAGATCCTTTCAACTTGAGTATTCTTTGATGTTGCCTAGAGATGAGATGTGGGATCAATTGTGTGAGAGCTAGTCATTGAAATTCTAGTCCTTTATTTTGAGCAGTGGTGAGAGATGAAGGTATTGAGTTTGATATGGCCCAGATCATGAAGGTCTGATATTCAAAGACTTAATTTTATCCTGAAGCCTATGGGGAAAATTCTAATCAGAGAAGAAACTGAGACATCGCTTTGGCTCATGGTAGAAAACGGATTTTAAGAGACTGTTGCTAGAGACAGAAAATCTGCTAAGAGTTTATTACAATAATTCAGTTAATGAATAATAATCTTAACCAAGAAGTGGCTGTGGAAAAGGAGAAAGAAATGTCAATTATCAAAATATTCTGGGGGTAACCTCTATAAGATATAGTGACTGAATGTGGGGATTAAGGGAGAGGCCAGAGCCTAGGATGGCATTCTCTTACCCTACCATAAATTTATTAAATAACTGGATAAATAGTGATACCATTCATGAAAAGTAAGACTGCAGATTAGGGCTTCTGTGTCAAAGATATGATGGGCTCATGGCTAGACTTGTGTAGTTTATTATGTTGGTGGTACAGACAAATAGAAATACACAGTAGACATGTAGATATAGGATAAGAACCTTAAAATATTTGGTTTTGCTCTGCTAATGTAGATTTGGGAGTGATCAGCACATTCAAACCTTCGGAAAAGTTCTGAGAGAATAGAGAATGAGACAAAACTGAACTAAAGAAAGAATCATGAGAGTCCCTAACACTTAAGGGAAGAGGAAATAAAGAGGAACACTGGAAGGGGAGAGTGTAAGGGGCTACTAAAGAAGTAGAACGACATCCAGGAGAGTGATGACATATAACCTTAGGAGTTAAAGATTCCACTTTTAGAGCACACACACTATGCTTCAATTCAGCGATACTCAAACTTTTTAGTCTCCGAACTTCTTTATATATTTAAAAAATTTTGACGAATCCAAAGCATTTTTGTTTATATAGATTATAACTATTAATATTTATTATATTAGAAATAAAATTGAGAAGATTTAAAACTATTAGTTCATCTAACTAAAATATTTATACATTCATTGGATGTTACTAAAATAACATACTTTTGTCAAAATGATGATTTAAAAACATTTAGTGAGATGGGTGACATTGTTTTATGCAAATATCTTAAGTGTGTATATTAATAGAAGGTAGCTGGACTGTCATATATACTTTTGCATTTAACCTGGTGCAGCATATTGTTTGGGTTAAGGTATTTTGGGACACACATACGTATTCAGTTGGAAAAGAGAGGAGTATTTTCATAGCCTTTCATGATAATTATGAATTTTCTCTTTAATGATCGTTTCTTAAATGTTAGTTACAATATGGAATTTAAACCATATTAATTAACTTTTTGCACTTTGTTACATTAAAATCCCTCAGTATATTTAAACTTTAAGTGAATCTTTAACTCACGCATAATTTTGTAGTATCTCTCATTGGTCATTTGGAAAATAGTGGCTCACTTAGTTATACAGATCTTCCAAATGTTGAAACATTTCATTATATAATATAAAAAATTGCATTCATCAATATAACTGTTATTCATATTAGAAAAGTGAACGTGGAAGCTGTCAAGGTACAGTGGCAGACACTAGTTTCCCAATATTTAATTTTCTCTTGAAAGCTCAAATTTGATCATTGGCAACACATACTATCAGTTGTTTGTAGCGAAGGGATAGGTTTACTAAATTTATTTTTAGCAAAATATATGCCAAATACCCAAGTCTCAGTAACCATGGTTTAACTGTCAGCGTTCTTTCAAGTAAAAATTATGTTCCATGAACAAAGCAGCTAATTCAGAAGCTTACAACTCAATTGCATAAGCACTTTCCTTTGGTATTCAACTGATTTGCTTAATATATACTTCTCATTTTGTCACATGGCATATTACAAACACATTGTATTCAAGGGTTGAGATTTAATAAAATTAATAATTCTCATTACTTCATCAAAGATGTTATTTAGTGAAAATGGCTGTTTTTTTTTTTTTTTTTTTTTTAACTGTGAGCATGTTGTAGTGAAGAATTACGGAAAGGTTTGGGGCCTCTGCCTTGATTCATGATAAGGTACCAGAAGTTTTACTACCATTGATTTTGCACAATCAATACAAATGTCAAAAAAGCAAGAAAGACCAATAATGACTTTGTGTTAGTGTGAAAATTGTTTTGATTTTTCAGACCTCCAGAATGGGTCTTAAGGTCCCCTAGGGTTACACAGATCACACTTTGAGAATTGCGACTTGAAGTTTGAGAAGCCTGCCTCATCAAAGGCGTCAGAAAAGTTAGGAGGAAAAAACGCCAAAACCTAAAACCCCAAACAACAAAAAGTACTCCATTGGATTTTTTAGCAAGGAGAACACTGGCGATATTATTGAGACGAGTTTCGGTGTTCATGTTTTTCAATCTAATGTATCTTAAACTTTAGCAATATTTACTTGTGTGAAGTGATTTAAAGAAAAAATATACTCTCCTCCACTTCAATAGATGTATTTTGTCCACCCTAAATGGAAATGCTTAAATGTATGGAGGCATTAATTATGGTTGTCACCGACCTGGAAGAGCATATTGAATTTCTCTGACTAGGAACTAAGTGTATTTTCCCTCTTTAAATTATGGATCTAGCATGTAAAACAATTTGACATGCCAGGTATAACAACTCAAGGGGAAACAAATTCCAAGTATGTGATAGTCAGAAACCTCATACCCTCTGGTTACAATGTAAAAAAGTCAAATGAAATGGTTCAATATTTTAAAAACTTGCTTTAAAATGACTTGAGTAAAAGGTATGGGGTCATTTGGTATATTGGAGAAGGTATGGGGCTCACCGTCAGAGTGATACGCATAGGAAAGGTAGACAATGTGCACAGAAAGTATTATTTATTGAGCATCTTCTATAGGCCTTTATCTGAGTCAGAAATACTGTCTGTCTGTTCTTACGTAAGCCTTCCAAAGCCTTTAAAGCCCAGTAGTATTAGCCCTTCCTTAAAGACCATTAACCATATCTAAAACCATTAACCTATCTAAAACCCTATCTAAAAGTGATTTTCATCTAGATTAAAGAACTTACAAAGATAATGGGATTTTGATTTTCTGGATTAATTTTATTAGAGTAAAATCAATGTCTTTATGAAGTATGAATTTCTTTTTCATTCAAAATATTTGTTAAGCTTTGGCTTCTACATGCAGGATAGTGTTCTATAGTACTAGTCTACATAGTTGCAATTTATAAAGCACTTTTGCAAATGCAACTCTAAGGAAACTGAGGCTGATAGGTCAGGTATTCTTTTCATCATTTCACAGTACTGTGTGACTTGAGCAGCTCTGGAAGCTAGGAAACACATACTGTGAGGGGAAAATAAGTAAGAGACATACTTTGCTGTTCTCAGGCCATAATTACTAGTATTTTCATAATTACTAGTATTAGCAACAGTAAATTCTAGAATATTCCACCTAATCAGTAATAGATATATTTAAATATGTATATCAGCATTTATATTGCCATCTAGTGCCTATTTTGTTTTACTACTAATTCTGGTTTAGTTTCAGACCAGATGCAGTTTCATTACTGAACATTTTTCACCAATATTGAATAAATGCTCTCAACATTACCTGACATCAAAATTTAATAATTCTTGGTAGCATTAACCCTCCATTAACTTTTATTGTATCTAAAATAATGATTTGCCTCTATGGTATCCAACAACTAAGTTGTCATCCAGGTATCTGGATGAAATATTTTGCTTTTAGATTCACTACCATCTTTTTTCGCTGCACGATTCAGTGTTGCCTTGAAATCTAGTATATATGTATTCTAAAACTACTTTCCTACATGGAATATCATGGCACTAATTTCTTTCTGAGAACTTCATTTTCAACTTTTACTATCAGGTCAGTATGATTTTGAAACATGTCTGTATTTATCTTTCACACTTTCCAGTTATTTACCTCTTACCTATATCTAATTTCATGTTTTATGTTTCAGTTAGCCCATAATCATCTTACTCTTATGCAGTTAGTATTCCTATGACTAAATTAGTATCTTCACACTGATACCACAGCATACATTAGCAATTATGCAGCATTTTTATGTGCAGAAGAGTAAAGTACATAGAAAAAGTGACTGGCATTTCAGGAGTTTGGGAGGAATGAACTAAAGAAGAGAGACAGAAAAGATGAGACTGGTACAAAGATGGGAAATTCACTTAATTTGAAGAAACTTATGTGATTCTAAAATTAGTTTAATTAGTCCCAAGGAATATTTTAACCCTATGCTTTCCTATCTTTCCCATTTGCCTATGAAGCATTAACAGGCAATCAGTTACAGCACATTTGAATCCTTAATAAAGCAGAACACATAAATTTAAATTACATGTTTTGATTACTTTATTCTCTCACTGAAAAATGAACATCCATGTATATATGCACCCAATAATTTCTTCCCAAAATATTTTTCTGCCTTTTCTGGAGTATAAGGGAATAAAAAATGAAATGCCATGAAGAGGAGAGAGTAAAATATTAGCTACATATAAATACAACTGAAAAATATTTGAGAAATCAATGTAGTTTATAAGCCGTATATGCTCTTGAGGTGGGTTTGCTTCATTAAGAATGGAAACAAAATACATACGCGTTCAGCATTGCTCAGGCCCTAATTAAAATCCTCTTGGGAATTTAAGTGTGGGCTCCACAACGTTCAAATATGGAAACTGTGGGACCTTATAAGCAGTCAGTGAAAGTAACTGCAGGAAACATTTTCTAGAGTAGAAGTTTGCTTGATGTCAAAATAATTGCTATTAAGGACTAAGATTATTATAGCTAGTTTCCTATTTTGAACTAATCAGTAACAGTGGTGAGTAGAAATAAGAATTTAAAATAAAACATTGTTTAACTTTTACATTATGGCTGTAATAGTAGATACATGAAAATGAAACTATGGCCACATGCAGTATCCATTTGTTACAAAAGAAGGAAAATGCTTTGTGTCAGGTTGCTTTTGAAAACCCCTGTTAGTCATGAACTGTCAGTTTAACTAAAGACTGATATTTTTTTCAAGTGGAGAGACCATTATTTGTAAAGCTTTAAGACACATAGCTAAATGCCAACCAGTCACCATAAATTTTCGGCTTTATTTAAACTTTGGTATACATTGACAATTGCTTTGATCATAATTTAATTTGAGAGTCAAGATGATGATCAGAACATGTTTGAGGTAAATATGGTTAAATATTTTATTTAAAAAGAACAATGTTTTCAGTAAGAAGCCTGGGGGTGAAACGGACTATATTTTCTTGCTTTTGTAAACTTTCATGGATAATTATAGACTTCGGGTTAATGTCACCAGAAAAGAATCTGTCATAAGTTAGCACTTCCTCATTTCCTCTCCAATGTGTCTATGAAATCTTAAATCAAAAGTGTAAAAGTTCTGTAACATTACTCAGACAACTAAGTGTTGAGAAGAGTGTTATTTAAGTAACAAACATCATTTACTGAACATATTATGTGCTATTCGTGTTATATGCACAGTATAATATTGCTTGCCTCAACAATTATGCAAGGCAGGTATTTTTATTTAAGTTTTACATATAAGAAAATTGAGACCCATAGAGTTTCACTGAGTTGTCCAATTTAATACTAGTAGTACCAGAAAAAGCTGAGACTCACATTCAGTCCCATTTGAAGTTACTTTTCTTTTCTCTCAAAACCCCATACTGCCTTTTTAGGTTTGCCCTGTAATCTAAAACCACTAATATTTACCATTAAGTCTATTAAACTGTATTAGCTATATTCACAGTTATTTAAGATGTCCATTCCTTAGCACTTAATCAATCACAAAAGGTGTTTTTGATACTGAATGAGAAAGTAAAAAGGATCATTACTTAGTTAAGCTGTTATTGCCCAGAAACAACAAAAAGCAAATGGAGTGTAAATTTCTTAAGGATTAATGGTGTCCTGCCTAATATAAATTAAATAATCACTTGAAGTTTGTGAATGTATGTTTATGTCTCTCTGTGTGTAAGTAAAATTTCAAAGACCTTGTTCTATTGCCCTACTGGAAGGACTATGAACTTTGGTACGGGTCAAAATTACATTATACCTCCTAAGTAAAAAATAATTACGCAAAATTACTTGGAATTACTGGATAAATTTCTATAAATCACATGGTAGCAGGAGTCTGGTGGGACAGCTAGGTGGTGGGAAGAAATTATATATACTGGAGAGGGCAGAAATAGCAAGGTATGTATAAGTTTCTACTTTCCCATTTATGAGGCTTTTTCTTCCTTAATCATTGTGTAACTTTCATCAGTGGTGAGGTAGAGAGTTATTGATTGAGTTGGTGTGCCACAACTTAAAAACATGTCTTTTGAATAAATTATCTTGGCCAATGTACAAAAGATGATTCCGGAAATAGAGATATAACATCTTATAAGACTGATCAGAATTTGTGCTGTAGAACTGTGTGTCACACACAGGAAGACCTTCTTTCTGTCCTTTCTAAAGCTGTATTTTGTGATGAAAAGCACAGTGCATTTGAAAAGTGAATGAAAATTTTAATTTTTCTTTATTTCAAGGTTTATTTTATTCAGTTTTGCCTTGCAGAGTTAGAGGGCAATGTGCCTGCTGTTATGGGGCCTCATTTTCAACAGAGAAGTGAAGAGAACCACAAACATTACATTATAATGAAAAGAACCACAGGTTCAGTGATATTTCTAAAGATGAGATATTAGCATTAGCATGATGACACCAAAATTCCTCAACAGAGTTATAATTGAGACAAATTAGAGAGTAGAACTTCAAGGTATAATGTGACAGGTGGTGGGCTTTTAGAAATAATAAAATATTTTAATATGCAATGTCTGTGAAATAGAGACATTACTCCCCTACTCTCTGGCTTGAAATGATATTATTAACTTCCTCAGTTATTTGTTTCCACCCTCCACATATAATCAGTGACCACATTTTGCTGATCCTTCATAATATTTTCTTCCTTTTAATTCTCACCATATATTAATTTCCTATTTCTGCTGTAATAAACTGTCCCAAATCTGGTGGTTGAAAACAACAAATATCTATTATAGTTAAAAGTGTTAGACGTTTGAATGGGTCTTACTAGCTAAAATAAAAGTGTCAGTAGGCCACTTTCCTTCAGGAAGCTCTAGGGGAGTGAGTTTTTCTGTGTTTTCCAGCTTCTACAGGCTGACTAGATTCCTTGGCTCATGGCTCATTCCTCTTGTTTACATCCAGGAGCTGGAATAATCAAATCTGTCTGTTTACCCTAACACAATACTTTCTTTCACTTTTATAAGGGTCCCTGTGAATCTACCCAAATAATCCAGAATCATTGCCTTATCTCAAGGTCTTTAATTCCTCACATCTGCAAGTTACTTTTGCCATATAAGGTAACATAGTCATAGGACATGGACATTACTGGCGGGGCATTATTCTGCCTATCGCAGTCATCTGCCCCCCAAAGGGCCACATTTGTACAACTTGCAAAATACATGTGCTCCATTCCAATATCCCTAAAAGTCTCAATCCATTATAGCATCAATTCAAATTTAAAGGTTTTTCCTCTTCCATATTCCACACTGACTTCATCATCAGCCATTAACATTCACATTTCTATTAGTAGCCTGTTTAAGAAAACCCAGGCTTTTAAAATCATGCTTCTTCAAACTTTTTCCAGCCTCTTCCAACTGACCAATTGCAAAGGCATTTCCATGTTTTTAGGTATTAACATGTGTATTGGTTTCCTATTGTTGGCATAGCAAACTAGCACATGTTAGGTAGATTAAAACAATATATCTTTATTATCTTACAGTCATCACTACCATTTTATATAAGAATCTTATTAGACTACTGAAGAAATGTTCTTCTAATTGTTTTTCTTGCATCTGCATATTATTAAACACGTTCATTACCACCATCAACAAAAGCAACAGCTGTTGCTTAAAACTGTTAATAACTGTTTTAAGTGCTTATAATGTGTCAGAGACTTTTCTAAGTGTTTTGTAAAGATTATCCAATTTGTTCCATACAATGGCCTTATATGGTAGATAATACTGAGATGGGAGGCAGGCAGGGAAGTGCTGGGTAGAGAAGGCCGGGTCCCTGGCTAAAGCTCCATCCCAGGGCCTGTGCCCACTGACCTAGGTGAGGACAGTCATTTCTGTTTTCATGCCCAAATGTTGCATTTCCCAAGACCACCCTGGGCCATGATGCCCTCATCCTGTTCCTTTAAAAACCTTGAGACCCTAGCAGGCACGCACACAAGTGGCTAGATGTCAAGAGAAACACACTGACGGAAGAACACACTGACAGGCAAAAGCAGAGGCCAGCAGGCCATCAACTGGCGCAACGACGCGGAGTTTGGCCAGGACATTTGGAAGAGAGTCTGGCTGCTGAGTGGCCGGACTCCAGGGGAAAACCACCTTCCCACTCTGTCTCCCTTCTGGCTCCCCCATCTGCTGAGAGCTACTTTACTTACATTCAATAAAACTTTGCACTCATTCTCCAAGCCCATGTGTAATCCGATTCTTCTAGTACACCAAAGCAAGAAACCCCGTCATACAGAAAGCCCTCTGTCCTTGCAATAAGGCAGGGGGTCTAATTGAGCTAACACAAGCTGCCTACAGTTGGCTAAACTGAAAGAGCACCCTGTAGCACACGCCCCCTGGAGCATCAGCTGTAAACATTCACCCTAGACCTTGCTGTGGGGTCAGAGTCCCACAACCTGCCTGTCAGCATGCTCCCCCTAGAGGTTTGAGCAGCGGGGCACGGAAGAAGCGAGCCACACCGCCCTCACTCACCCTGCGAAGGGGACAAGGGAACTTTTCCTGTTTCTACTGGGACCTGGCCCAGGAACCTGGAAGCTGAGTGCGAATGCGAAACTGTCAGGTCTGCCTCTCTTCCAAAACTCTGCCACTTCTCTTCCTTTCCTGCGTGTAAGAGGCTCTGTTGCCCTTCATGGAGTCTTAAAAACTCTGCCCTAACCCTGGCTGGTTAAAACTCCCAGACTTCAACTGTTTTCTCTCTCTCACGGTTTGAAATAGCTCTTATCTTACTTTATAATGTTGAGTTTTGCTACTGGCTGCGGCAATGTTACTAAGTAACACGAGCATTTGGCTCAGCTGCCAAAGGTGCAGATCAGACCAACTATTTTCCTAGAGGTATCTTCTATGCCTCCGCCTCGACAGCAGCAGGCACGCAGGGCTCAGGGCACCTCTCCTTATCCTTTCCCCTCCCAGCTCAGGTGCCTGGGTGTGCCCGCAGCAGGCAAAGGCCCAACCCAACAGCCACGAGGCCGCGGGGAGAGCAATGCCGCAGCTGCAGCCGCCTGTGCTGCCTAGGACGAGGGGGCGGGAGAAAACCCCGCCACAGCTGCGGCCCCACAGGCCAATGGATGGGCGCTTCTCGCCTGCCTTGCCAATGGAATGTTTCTCCCCTGGTCAAGGAATTTCTGAACCAGAGGAAAGATATAAGGATTAGAGGGATCCACTTGCACTGAGTAAGGGGTTGTTCCCCCAGGATTTCACCTTTTTGCACCTTAAACTGTTTCTCTCTATCTTGTTTTCTTTTCATAGTGAGAGGGCTCCCCCAACTCCCAGCACTCTGTTTCTGATGGCAAAGTTAACGGAGGAACAAGCCCTGCTGGCTGATAACTGCAAATTCGTCAGGGCTTATTTGAGACACTTTAGGCGGATATAAACAGCCTCTAAAATACCTTTGCAGTCCCAAACTCAATTCTAAGCTTCAGACTGAGGCCTAAAAAGAAAAACAAGGTTTGAGGGATCCAAAGCCAGGCAACAGCCACAATGTAAATGGGCAGGACCAATTCCTGCTGACAAAACCCCCCACCCCACAGGAGGCCATGCTTCATGGCATAAACAGAGCCAGGGAACTCAAAGGTTGCCAACAGCAGGGAGAAAGGGAGGCACAGGTGAGGGCGGTCAATTCCTATTCTCCAGGTTTTCCCTGCTTCATGGGTACATACCGCATCGGTACTGATGGTCGGCACCTGCTAAGGTTGCTGGGACTCAAGAGATGAGAGGAGGAATGGAAAGGAAGGACATTCGCTTTCTCTCTCCATCACACCCTGAGTATTCACTGAAGAAGGGAGGGAATGAGGGGTGCCTCTATTCCCTGTCGTTCAGAATGGGCAGCCAGCTTTTTTCACCACCCCCAGCTTATACTCCTCTGGAGTGTATCCTGAACCATTGGGACTGCTTTGACCCTCAGAATCTGGAGGAAAAACACCTCATAGCCCTATGCACAAATATTTGGCCAAATTATGATTTACAGCAAGGATCGACTTGGCCTCAGGAAGAAACCATTCATTTTGATACCATCCAGCAGTTGGAACGTTTCTGTAGACGTGAGGACAGATGGTCTGAGGCCCCGTACGTGCAGACTTTCTATACATTGCCAGGCAATCTAGATATCTGCCAACAATGTAGGATTGATCCAGTGCTCCTGTTTGACATCTCAGGGAAGGCTGCAAGGGGCAAATCCAGGGAATTAAAGATATGGATCCCAGAGGCACCCCCAGCAGAGGAGCTAGCTCCCTCAAGCCCTGCTCCTCTGGGCCCACCCCCATCTCCCTATCCAGCTTCAGCCTCTCACTTGTCCCCTCCTAGAAATCCTCACCCTAAACAAGTCCCAGTCTCACTCTTGCCCCTTCAACAAATGCCCAGTGAATTTGGAGCCAGTAAGGTCCGGGTGCCCTTCTCCCTACAGGACTTAAAGCAAATTAAGGGGGATCTTGGCAAGTTTTCAGATGACTCTGACAGATATGTAGAGACTGTCCAGAATTTCACCCAAATATTTGAACTCTCCTGGAGAGACATTATGTTAGTTTTGAATCAGACCCTGAAGAACACTGAGAAATGAGTTGCTCTGCAAGCAGCCAGAGAGATTTGGGGGTGAGCTTTGCCTCACAAATAGTGTCAGGGAATGGGATGAACGTTATCCAACTGGAAGAGAAGCAGTACCCATGAAAGACCCTAAATGAGGTCCTAGTGATGAGATGGAAGACTGAAAAAGGAGTCACTTTCAGGTGTACATAATGGAGGATTTACATACGACTAAGTCCAAGCCCCTCAATTATCCTAAGTTGTCCATGATCAACCAGGCATTTGATGAAAATCCTACTGCCTTTCTGGAAAGGCTAAGAGAAGCCTTGGTAAAGCAAACCTCTCTATCTCATGATTCAGTCAAGGGACAGCTAATCCTAAAGGATAAATTTATTACTCAGGCAGCCCCTGATAGCAAGAGGAAGTTGCAGAAACAGGCCCTGGGACCAGATAGTACATTAGAGGGCCTCCTGAAAATAGCTACCTTGGTCTTTTACAATAGAGAAAGGGAAATACAAGAAAGATGCAGAAGCTGTAATAGCCACTGGGCAAGCCCACAAACCCCAGAATTCTCAGGCTACATCTGTTATCTGCTAAACATACGACAAGAACAATTCTAGCTCTCTTCTAAAGTTTAACCAGTCTCATACAAGGTTTAATTTCTTTCACCAGGGTGAAACAGCTCAGGGTACGATGTTATTGTTGGTATATTTCACTTCTTATCTCTGTAATCTTTGGCACTAGATTATTTCCTTGCATAATACACATGTTTAACCCATGCACACTTAGCCTTATAAAACTTGTTTTTTCTCTCACGCCTAGAAGCTATCAAACTCCAAATAGTCAGGCAACCGCAGCCTCCGACAATGGCTTCCCTGTGCTAGAAACCCTTAGATAGATCTCTGGGAGGGATCTGACTGCTGTTTTCCCCAAAACAATGCCACCTGTCAGCAGGAAGTAGCTTAAGACTGGTCACTGTCCATATCCTAATAGCAATTAGCTATACCTCTTCAGAGGGGGGAAATGATATGAGAGGGGGGTAGGGAAGTGCTGGGTAGAGAAGAGCCGGTCCCTGGCTAAAGCTCCACCCCTGCGCCTGTGCCTATGGACCTAGGTGAGGACAGTCATTTCTGTTTTCGTGCCCAAATGTTGCATTTCCCAAGACCACCCTGACCCACCACACCCCCATCCTGTGACTATAAAAACCCTGACACATTAGTGGGCATGCCCACGAGTGGCTGGACATCAAAAGGAACACACCAGTGGAGGAGCACACCAACATGCACCAGCAAACGCCAGCAGGTCAGCTGCCATTGACTGGCAAAATGGCACAAAATTTGGCCCCAGAGGTTGGAAGAGAGCCCGGCTGCTGAGCAGCCTGACTCCAGGGGAAAACCATCTTCCCAATCCATTTCCCTTCTGGCTCCCCCATCTGCTGAGAGCTACTACCACTCAATAAAGCCTTGCACTCATTCTCCAAGCCCACCTGTGACCCCATTCTTCTAGTACACCAAGGCAAGAAACCCTGGGATACAGAAAGTCGTCTGTTCTTGCAATAAGGCAGGGGGTTTAATCGAGCTAACACAAACTATCTATGGATGGCTACACTGAAGGAGCACCCTGTAACACATGCCCGCTGGGGCTTCAGCTATAAACATTCAGCCCTAAATGCCGCTGTGGGGATGGGAACCCCACAACCTGCCTGTCTGCATGCTCCTGCTAGAGGTTTGAGCAGCGGGGCACCGAAGAAGCGAGCCACACCTTCATTGCATGCCCTGCCAAAGGCATAAGGGGACTTTTCCTGTTTCAATATTCCTATGCCACTTCATGGTTGAAGGAATCGAGGCAAAGAGAGGTGAGGTAACTTATCCAAGACATCTATTTGGTAGGTAAATGGACATCTAGTTTCCTTAAAAAAAAAAAAAAAGAAAAGAATTGTATCGCTAAAATGTAGCTTTCAACTGTCAACTCAGACATTATTATTCTCCTTCAAATGGTGTTCAAATTATGCCATAATATTAACCAAATATTTGTCAGTGTACTCAACACTAGTCATGTATAATTGCCGTTCTTTAAATATCCTTGATACTTTTCCATTTTTGTATTTTTGTGTATTGTATTTCTTAGTTTGAAAGATATTCCTCCAACTTTTTCTGTCCTTCAGTTTCCATTTTAAACCACATTTCCTCCATGACCTGTTATAATGATTTAATTTTTAAGTCTCATAATGATCACTACCTGTGCCATTTACTTGATCAATAGCCATGCCTACTTAGGGATGATTTTTGGGTATGGCATAGAAGGTTCATTTCTCTTTTATATTGCCATATAAATGTTATATATCTGTTATTTTTCTAAGTATATTACAGATTTATTAAGGATTAACAGAGTGTTCTGCTTAAACATTCAATAACCATTTGATTTTGTGTGTGCGTGTGTGTGTGTGTGTCTAAGTGTGCCTGTAAAAAAAAATCAAATATCTTGTCGTTGGATAAGAAGCAAAGAATATGAGATGAAAGTTCCCCAGTACTAATTAGTTTATTTATTTAGGTTTTTTATAGATGCCATATATTGAATTGTTAGAAGAATGTTATAAACTGAAGTTGGCTGTTGCCATCCGCAGCATTATTTTCTCCATCACAGAATGGTCCTGATTGTTTCTTTAATAACAGCACACATTTTCATCAGTGCATAGGGTATCAAAAAAAAGGCAATTTTTTTTTTTTTGGCAAAAGATAAAATCACTTAAATTAATCTTCCACAGAATAAGATAAAAATTTAATTCAGTGCCCTTTAGAGCATTGATTCTCTAATCATGGCCATGACCTTTCATTAAAGGTTTTCTGCATTCACCAATAGCTGATGTAATTCCATCAATGTCTAAAGGTGATTTAAGAAAGAAATTAAATTACATATGCAAAGTCAGTAAGCTGATAAATGTTAGCTTCCAAAGTAAGGGTTTGAACTTTTGTTCTTTATCTTTATATGAAAGACCAAACATCTCAAAGTAAATTTCAATTGTAAAAATATTTATTGGGTACTCAATAATGTGGAAAACACATGTGCTGAAAGATACAAATATGTATAAACAAGATATTTTTTCAAATAACTCATATTTTATTGGAGAAATAAATGTTTATGAAACTACTTATAACCTGTTATAGTGTTTTAAGCACTATGGTACAAATGTAAGTAAAATATTATGAATGTCCCAGTATGAAAGTAGAAGGGGATGAACATGGAGTGATTAAAAAATTGTTTAATAAAGGGTGATTTATGAAGATGTGGGAAGGATGTAGAGGAAGGGAAAAGGGATGTCAAACTATTACCACCTTTGGCTTAAGGAGACAGAGGAAGGAGATTGTTACTGGAACTCAGAAAGACAGAGATAGAGGGCAATTATTATTATTATTATTATTATTTTGAGACAGGGTATTACTCTGTCACCCAGCAAGTGGTAATATAGTTGATCGCAAAAATCAAATACAAGGAAAAAAGAGGTTACTATTAAAAGGTACGTTACCCTGGCTGAATTAAAACAGCAAAAAGGAGGTTATCATTCCGATTTCTTTATGCCACAGGAAAAAAAGTCACAAAAACTTTTGAAAGAATGAACTTAGTTACAAATGACAGCTTACCATCAAAAAGCATCAGATAGACAGAATAAAGATAATCAGGAGATTAGTTGAGCCTATACAGCCCATGAGGTCAACAGAAACTATTTTAACAAACTTATGATCCTCAAGTTCAAAAACAAAGAGAAAAAAACAGAAGGATGACTGGTGTTTTCTAGAACACTTTGTGCTGAAACTCACCTTCTCAATTCATAAACAATGAAGAGCACAACATCAATAGGCAGACCCTGATGATTCCTTGGGTGATATTGTGTAGTTGTGTGGGATACTGCCTGCTAAAGGCACACAAGGGAAAGCATCGTTGTCCTACCGAGCTCTGTCTTTCTTTTGAGCAGTTAGCTGGATTGTAAGTAGGGCACGCTCAATGTGCTGTTATGATTTGCCCTTTTTTTTTTTGCAGTTCACTTGAGTCACCAAAAATTGATTTTCTAAAGAAAAAAAGTGTCATTATAAAATATAGTTATTACCTCTATTTTACTATATACCATTAGGTATTACTTAGTAAACATTTTGCAATGTATTCTTTGAGTCAGATGTGTTTTTTGTAGATGAAATATCTCAAATGTGATATTAATTCCATTTTGTTGGAAGCCATACAATACAGTAATACATTTAAATATGGTTAATCTGTTTTATTTGCTACAGATAATAAAAATATTTGAATATGTTTATAATAGTTATATTTTGAATCAACAGTATTTTAAATACACTGTCAAAATGTCTTGCTTTGTATAAGAGAATATTTCTACATGTGTTCTAAATACTATCCTATCCTTTCAAAATACAGTCATGAGCTGCAGAACATTTCATCAATGACAGACCACATATATGATGATGATCTCATAAGATTATGATAAAGTATAATGCTGTGGTTTTGCTATGCCTTTTCTATGTTGAGATATATTTAGATACACAAGTACTTACCATTGTGTTACAATTGCCTACAGTATGCAGTATAGTAACATGTTGCACAGGTTTGTAGCCTAGGAGCAGGAGGCTGTACCTAGTATAGTATATAGTATAGCCTAGGAGCAGTAGGCTATACCATCTAACCTAGGTGTGTAGTAAGCTATGCCATTTAGGTTTGTGTAGGTACACTATGAGGTTCGCACAATGATGAAATTGCCTAAGGGCACATTTTCCAGAATTTATCACCATCAGTAAGTGATACATGACCGTATATGTCCTTGTAATAACTAAAAAGGTGGGCTATCTTGTTTGATTTTTATGATTTCTTTAATCAAGAGATGAAATTAATATAGCCATATCCTTTTGCACATAATCATTGAGATATTGGTTGGACCTAAAAACTTATCTTAACTATATTCTTCATGGCTTTGTGCTGGACACGTCCTCTTCAGTGGAGAGTATCACAAAATATGAATTCTATCATTTGTGGTGTCCATCTCCTTAAAACATTCAAAGGCTGATTTGATTTTAGCCTTATTTCATTGCTTTGGATTTTTAATAGCATGTTTCATGGTCATGTTCTGTGTCATTTATAGTGTCTTAAACTTATTTAGGCATTTATCATTTGAGAGAATATACTGAATAACATATCTAAATAATAGATTTAGAAATAGTTTCAGAATAAGGGCAGTCTAAACTTTACTCAGGAAAAGGACAAAAGATACAGTTGAGAGGATCACTATTGCCATTATATGTGAAGCATTGTTATTCTGGTGCAAGTCTTATTTTAGAAGTTAAATGCTATTCCAGTTTACACGGCTCACCAGATTTTTCTGTGAATGAAAGAGGACAATTACAACCTATTATTAAGGCAGTGAATACATCACTGCAGCAGTACAACTTTTTAAGAGGAAAACTGGCTAGCCATATGTAGAAAGCTGAAACTGGATCCCTTCCTTACACCTTATACAAAAATTAATTCAAAATGGATTAAAGACTTAAACATTAGACCTAAAACCATAAAAAGCCTAGAAGGAAACCTAGGCAATACCATTCAGGACATAGGCATGGCAAGGACTTCATGTCTAAAACACCAAAAGCAATGGCAACAAAAGCCAAAATTGACAAATGGGATCTAATTAAACTAAAGAGCTTCTGCACAGCAAAAGAAACTACCATCAGAGTGAACAGGCAACCTACAAAATGGGAGAAAATTTTCGCAACCTACTCATCTGACAAAGGGCTAATATCCAGAATCTACAATGAACTCAAACAAAGTTAGAAGAAAAAAACAAACAACCCCATCAAAAAGTGGGTGAAGGACATGAACAGACACTTCTCAAAAGAAGACATTTATGCAGCCAAAAAACACATGAAAAAATGCTCATCATCACTGGCCATCAGAGAAATGCAAATCAAAACCACAATGACATACCATCTCACACCAGTTAGAATGGCAATCATTAAAAAGTCAGGAAGCAACAGGTGCTGGAGAAGATGTGGAGAAATAGGAACACTTTTACACTGTTGGTGGGACTGTAAACTAGTTCAACCATTGTGGAAGTCAGTGTGGCGATTCCTCAGAGATCTAGAACTAGAAATACCATTTGACCCAGCCATCCCATTACTGGGTATATACCCAAAGGATTATAAATCATGCTGCTATAAAGACACATGCACAAGTATGTTTATTGTGGCACTATTCACAATAGCAAAGACTTGGAACAAACCCAAATGTCCAACAGTGATAGACTGGATTAAGAAAATGTGGCACATATACACCATGGAATACTATGCAGCCATAAAAAAGGATGAGTTCATGTCCTTTGTAGGGACATGGATGAAATTGGAAATCATCATTCTCAGTAAACTATCGCAAGAACAAAAAACCAAACACCGCATGTTCTCACTCATAGGTGGGAATTTTACAATGCGAACACATGGACACAGGAAGGGGAGCATCACACTCTGGGGACTGTTGTGGGGTGGGGGGAGGGGGGAGGGATAGCTTTAGGAGATACCTAATGCTAAATGACAAGAATGGGTGCAGCACACCAGCATGGCACATGTATACATATGTAACTAACCTGCACATTGTGCACATGTACCCTAAAACTTAAAGTATAATAATAATAAAATAAAAAATAAAAATAATAAAAATTAAAAAAAAGAGTAAGTGACACAGGTAAAGACCCTAGTGGCAAATGCATGTTATTGGTGCATTTTATAGTTAGTGCTGTCTTAGATATGACTTGAATAACCCAGATGCGATAGACTATGACAAATTCTAAAGTCACAGAGGAACCTCATTACATAATTTGAGTTTAACTGTCATCTCGTATGGTCCTTAATGTTTCTTTCATAAGGACCCTCTGATATCAGTGTAGCAGATAAGCCTTTGAGAATTAGAGTATTAGGATGTAAGCTATTCAGGACCTGAGAAGAGGTACTTTGAAGATGAAACACTTCAATTACCCAAGAATGAGAAGCTGGGACTCATAAATAGAAAGAGAACAGGTACAGATCAAGTTTAAATGAATAAACACCCATGTAAAGAGGAGATGGGTAAAAATATTACAAAAGCAACTGCCCTTCTCAAAAGTTAGCTTTAATGATTTCTAACAACTACTTTGATGCAGCATTTTTTATTCTATGTGATTATTAAATTTGCAATTTTAGTGGATAATAATGGATGAGTTTTACATTTAAAATTTTAAATGGCTTGATCCTGAAGAAGGAAATAAAAAACTACATTATTTTGAAGACCTGTTTTTGAAGTACCACCTACTTTATAAAATTTTGTGCTTTAGTATTATTCATAATTCTAGTTTCTCTTCTCTCTCTCCTCCCCCCCCCACCCCCCACCTTTATTTATTTATTTATTTATTTTTTGGAGCAGAGTCTTGCTGCGTCTAATAGTCTGGAGTGCAGTGGCACAATCTTGGCTCACTGCAGCCTCTCAGGCTCAAGAAATCCTCCCACCTCACCCTCCTGAGTAGCTGAGACTACAGGCATGCACTGCCATGTTTGGCTAATTTTTTTTTTTTAAAAACTTTTGGTAGAGATAGGGTCTCACTATGTTGCCCCAAGCTAGTCTCAAATGCCTAGGCTCAAGCAATTCTCCTGCCTTGGCCTCCCAAAGTGCTTTTCTCATTTTCCAAAATACTGGTTTGCTTACCTAGCTGATCCTTGCATTTTGAGGTTTTCTAAAACGTAAACTAATGTAATAGCTTTTTTAAACTATTTATTTCAAAACAGCTAAGTATACTTAAAAGCATAGTGAATATTAAAATAAGTACAACATACTCATCACCTCTATCCAAAACTATTTTCAATATTTTATATTTGTTGCATATTTTATATATCACCTATATATTTTATGTGTTTATATATTTATTTTTAGCTATAGCATTTTATAGTACAATACAATAATGGTGACAATTCATCCCTAAATATATTAACAACTCTATGTCATTATATCAAAATTACACATAACTTCTGGAAGTTATCCGTTAACATTACTAGATTGTCTAATAACCTGACAACTGATAAGTCAGATTTCCCCAAGTCACAAAAATGTATTTTTTTTTCTGGGGGAGGATGTCAGTATCCAACCAAATATTATTGATTTTATTTATTATGTCTCTTAAATATCTTTTCATCTTCCTATTTTTTCCCATAAATATATTATTGGGAATAAACAGATCAATTGTATTTTAGAATGTTCCGCATTTTCTGAATTGATCTTATTTGACTCCTGATAATGTTATTTAACTTATTGCTCTACTTTTTGTAGTTCAATATTATTAACCCTGTAAAATCTCGTAATAATTTTGCTTATCTTTAATATTTCTACATTAAACTATCTGCCATAATGAAGATAAAATTTACTTTAAGAGACACAAACTTGCTATAATATTTTTCTTTATGATAAGGTCCAAACTCCTTAGAACCATCTTCAAGACCCTTCACAATCTGGCTTTAATATTCTTTCCTCCATGGGCAGCCTTTTTTTCCTATCTGTAATTCCTCAGGGAATGCTTACCCAAGCCAGGAAAATGTTAGGTCTTACCAGGGGGTAGGATAGAAATTACAATTTTTAAGTAAAAAATATGGCCTTAAAGTAAGAAATTTGTAACACAGTGGTTTTCAAGTTGGCCATTAAAATTTAAAACAAATTAAAAAATTACAAAGCCAACCTCCACTTCTAATCTTATATCTGTTTGGTCTTTCCCTGTATAAGATTTTGTCCTTTTTAATGGTAATTTACTCAATAATATTTTACCTTGTATCAGACCCTGTGATACAAACATGAATAAGATTGAGTGTTTTTGTAAACTCCTAAATGTGAATTATTTCCACCCTTATCACCTCAGTACACTTATGACACCTTATGTAAGCTCTGCCTTTGAGATTTTAAGCTGAATTAATCCTTACATCTATAGAAACTCCCATTACTAATTTTTTATGGACTTCAGTAACCATATTCTCTATGCCGTCTTTTGTTATTGTCTATGCTACTTATGTTATTGTCTATGCTATTTATGTTATTTATTTAAGCATATTTCTCTTTGTCCAAGGTTGGCTTGTAAACCTCCTGGGATGATTGTAGAAATTGCTTCTCCAAGGGCCTATCCAAAATCCTTAATTTCTGTATCACTCTCATTTCTATGACAGACTGACCTACCCCTTGATGAGTCTTGACACATCCCACTGTTGGTTTAGAGTATAATATGGACAAATTACATTTAGATAATTCCTAAATTTCCTTCACATGCAATGATTTTTATTCGTATTCCTCAGACTATATACATACCCAATTGATTTCTGTTGTATAAATGCAGAATGTTATATTTGACCTTCTTTGAATTTTATGTTGCTTCTTTTAAGGTAGAATTCCAACTTGTTGATTTGAGTTTTGTTTTTAATGCATAAATGTTCATATTAACAACTGTTTCCAGGATTTTTAAAATCAAAGAGTGAAAGATAATTTTTTTTACTTAATTTTTAAACTTTTATTTTAGGTTCAGAGGTACATGTGGAGGTTTGTTATAATATGTAGGTAAACTCGTGTCATGGTGGTTTGTTGGATAGATCATTTTATCACCCAAGTATTAAGCCCAGTGCCCAGTAGTTATTGTTACTGCATCTCTCCCTCCTTCTACCCTCTACCCTCAAGTAGACTCCAGTGTCTGTTGTACCCTTCTTTGTGTTCTTAAGTTCTTATCATTTAGCTCCCACTTATACATGAGAACATGCGGTATTTAAGAAGGATATTAGCCTCCAGCTCCATCCGTGTTCCTGCAAAAGACATAATTTCATTCTTTTTTATGGCTGTATTTTGTATTCCATGGTGTATGTGTGCCATATTTTCTTTATCTAATCTGTCATTGATGGGCATTTAGGTTGATCCCATGTCTTTGCTATTGTGAATGGTGCTGCAATGAACATTTACATGCCTCTATCTTTATGGTAAAATAATTTATATTCCTCTGGGTGTGTAGCCAGTAATGGTATTGTTGGGTTGAATCGTAGTTCTGCTTTTAGCAGTTTGAGAAATTGTTATATATTGCTTTCCCCAATGGTTGAACTAATTTACCTTCCCACCAACAGTGTATAAATGTTCCCTTTTCTTGGCAACTTCGCCAGAGTCTGGTTTTCTTGTTTGTTTGTTTTTGTTTTTGTTTTTTAACTTTTTAGTAATAGCCATTTTGACTGTTGTGAGATGGTATCTCACTGTGGTTTTGATTTGCATTTCTCTAATGATCAGTGATATTGAGCTTTTAAAAATGTGCTTGTGGCCACATAAATACCTTCTTTTGCGAAGTATATGTTCATGTTCTTTGCTCACTTTTTAATGGGGCTGTTTGCTTTCCTCTTGTAAATTTGTTTAAATTCCTTATAAATGTTGGATAAGACCTTTATCTGATGCATAATTTGCAAAAATTTTTCCCATTCTGTAGGTTTTCTGTTTACTCTGTTGATAGTTTATTTTGCTGTGCAGAAGCTCTTTAGTTTAATTAGATTCCACTTGTCAATTTTTGCTTTTGTTGTGATTGCTTTTGGTATCCTTGTCATTAAATCTTTGCCAGTTCCTGTGTCCAGGAGGGTAAAATATTCAATTATAAAGCAATAATTGATGAGAAATGCAGTTTTTAAAGCACCTAGTTGTTTAAATTAATTATACCCTCATTATATAAAATGGGTTTACATAATCTGAACCACTGTCAATTATCTCTGATAGGCTAAGAAAATAAAAGAGATTCCAGTAATCAAAATATCAACATATATGGCGTGAATTATCAGATAGAGGTAAGAAATAAAGAATAGAGGAGAGGTTTGGATAAACTAGAGAAAAAGTAGCTAACAAATTATGTAAACTGGAGGCCTTTGGGAAAAGTATAAATATTATGCAGATCAGTTTTAAACATATAGAAAACAATGTAATCGCTAAGAATCAATATAAGTTTTCAAAAAGCAGATGAACAAGGAGAAGATGTTCATCTGCAAATCCAGAAGTTGTGTGGTCACCAGAAACCAGATCTGCTGTTACCCTGATATTAGACTTCTAACCTCCAGAAGTGTGAGAAATAGATTTCTGTCTTTTAAGCCACTTAGTCTATGGTGTTTCCATTATAGCAACCTGAACTAAGACAGGTAGAGTGCCAGGAATCTATCCTCAGATGCTTTGACCACAAGGTTTTCTTGCATGCTCAGTACTCTGGGTGAGTTGCAGAAAGTAGAGATCTTTGTTTCCAGTTAGTAATGTAAGAAAGCACATAGTTGTTTTGGCTGTATAAGCTATTCTATGTCCTGAGTTGGCCAAGCATTTCCATTTCCCTTTTCTCTAAAATGCAAATTTGAACATCATAGTTTTCATACTGTGACTTTATTTATTTATTTTCATTTATAGGTTATTATATATTTTATCTTCTCCCTAATAAATGGCCAGATTACATCCTAGATGTGTCTTTACTGACTTATCTAACTTTCATTGACCTCGATTTCTTTTAAGTAGTATAAGTACTTTGTATAATTTGTTTACAATGTTTGATGATAAATTATTTGAAGTTTCCCTCACTATTTATATGTGTTTATGTTAGAGCTAATTCTTTCACCCTATCCTCAAAAATGTCTAAAAATATGCTACATTCGTAATGGATGTTCAGCAGTATGTTTTCACAGAAATAATTGTAATGTGAATTTTACTTTTACACAGTTATTCACAAGAAAGCTTGAAGATGAATGCAATCTGAAATTCCAAGCAAAATATCAGCTTCCTTGTAAATTGTTTATTAATTCTCTGGGTTTCAAATTTTGTGGTACAATTTCAATAGCAGAGTAGAGTGATGGGTGTCCTTCAGTTTATAGAGTAAATGTAAAAAGTGTGAAAGGGTCTGTCAGTCTTAAGATTTTGATCTGTCTGTTGTTATTTATCCATAAATATCTGTGTTACCTTTTTCATTGGAAAACACTAAAGGTAGTTAAATATAAATGTTCTATGCAAATGAACATGACTGAGAGCAGAGACATAAAACAAGCTCTCTGGTTTCTTTTATATGGACACTAATTCCATTCTTGAAAGCTCCACCCTTGTGATCTAATCACCTCCCAAAGGCCCCAGAACCTAATACCATCACATTGGCGGTTAGCATTTCAACATACGAACTTAAGTGGGGTGGAGGGGGGGCACATTCAGCCCATAGCAATACCTAACCAAACATAGGTAAGACGGAGCTAAGCAAGCAAGTAATAGGAATAGTAATGGTATAATAATAATAATGGAATTATACAGGATCACAGAATACATTACAGACAATTTGGGACACAGAGGTTCTAATGTAGTCCATAAAGGCAGCAGAATGTCATGCATGTGCCGTGAGAGCCCTTTGGTTGAAAAAATAATTTAGTCAATATTCTAGACATTATTATTGAAATTACGTACTCATTCAGCTGACATAATTCTCTCCACAAAGAAAACTTAGATTTCTGACCTTGGATAGTAGCACAAAGAGACTGAACTGTATCAGTAGGTAACTAAATGTTTATGAGGCAAAGAGTAAAATTATTAGTACCATTCTTGATAAAGAGTTCAATGTAAAGTGAATAAAAGTAGATGAGATTGGATGTAACGCAAGGTAAATTATGACTTGCTATGTTCCTTATTAAATTCAAATAATATGGGGATAAAAAGTTACATGAATTAGTATCTAAATGAATGTATTGAAGTGAAAGGGGAAAAAAGAATCAAAAACTAATTTGAAGTTTATAACAAGGATATTCAAAGTATGTTCTTGGGGAATTAGAGAAGGAAGAAAGAAAATATTTTGAAAGGAAGACTTGACTTTCATTTAAGAGAAATTTAAAGTAATACTAAATTATAGTTTAATGAGATAAAAAATGTATTTTCTCCTTTAACATAGATTATATGACCATATGACTTTTACTTGTAGAGTCTGCATTATATTACTTCACCAAAAGAAATTGATAAAAATAAAATATTCACAAAGATAATATAAATGGGATTAACCCCGTATTAGACTTACATAAATTTTATGTATAATAATGCAAGACCACCTGTGCATGAGCTAAAAATAGTAAAAAGAGCTAAAAACAAAAAATAGCTTTAAAAATGTGTTAAATGAAAAGAGTAAACAAATAAATTAGTTAAATATTTCTATTTATATAAGTAACTGTAATATTGTAATGGTATTGCCTATGTTGTCTTACAGGGTTTTTATAGTGTTGGGTTTTAGATTTAAGTCTAATCCATCTTGAGTTGATTTTTCTATATGGTGTAAGGAAGGGGTCCAGCTTCAATCTTCTGCATATAGCTAGCCAGTTATCCCAGTTATTAAACAGGGAGTCTTTTCCCCGTTGCTTTTGTCAGCTTTGTCAAAGATAAGATGGTCATAGATGTGCGACCTTCTTTCTGGGCTTTCTGTTCTGTTTCATTGGTCTATGTGCCTGTTTTTGTACCAGTACCATGTTGTTTTGGTTACTGTAACCCTGTAGTTTAGTTTGATACGTGCATGTTGAGGAGTACATCCTTAATGTGTACATTGAAAATATTTTAAATTCCTTAAAATTTTATCACCATCAAAAAAGCTTATCACATGTTTAATGGATATAACTAGATATTACAGTACAGAAACAGAAAGCAGATATGGCTATAGATATAGAAAATCAGGGAATGATAATCCAAGCCACATGTAAATACTTCACAATTTTTCTTCCTCTCATTAATGTATTTCCTAGTCACTTAAATAAAGTGATTCAGCCGCAGGTCAATTTATGTTACTGATTGCTTATTCTGAATTCTTTAAAAAATATATAGGCATTAAAATTGACTTGGTGAAGAGCACTACATTGCCATGGAATATCTTAGTAATCAATTTATACATTAAAATTTACTCGCCATTTTCCTTCTATGTTTTCAAACTCAGCATGAGAAGGTGTACCTTTTTTTTTTTCATATGATGACAGTGATAGATAATGGCTGTAAGCTGGAATCTACACAAAGGTTTCAATTCTCAAAGAGTTTCAGTAGAACAATTCTGATGATCTTCGTGTGTTTAGGAAAGATTTATACATATCATTATTTTTTCTAAATTAGCTAATCCAATTATGTACAAGTACATACAAGTCTAATGACAACAAATCACCTTCCTCAGTTTACTTCATTTTTCACTGGTTTATCAACATTTTATAAGAATAAACTATTTCCAGATCCTTGAAATAAGACTGTGAAAATAATGTTATCCAAGTATAATTGATTCACTAAAATATCTTGTCTTGAGTAATTTTCATTTAACTGAATATATGTATGAGTGAATATATATTCTTATGATTAAGTCAGTAGAAATCAGAAAAACATACTGTGTAATACTCCAATAAGAACTTTAGATTTGGGGATCCAAAAATACAGAAAATATTTTCTTTGTACCATTATTTTAATACATTTGAGTACAAATATTATTTTATAAAAACCAGTATGAGCTCTATCCAGTACTGTGATATTATGGTAATAAAATACTAATACCTGCATAATTCCTTATAAGTTTATTTAACTCCAAATTATTTATATTTCTTAAAACAAGTGATTATTACCTTTAGCCTCAGACACAAAAACTGAAAGTAACAATTAAACTTTAGTGCATTTCTTACTATTCAGTGTACTTGGACAGCTGGAATAGAAAATCAGCTGAGTCTGGCCTCAGTCTTCTGTAAATTTGGGGTAATAATAATAGTGGTGTCAGAAAGCAGCTTTAAAGCCTTGAAAAGCCACTTGTTCTACTTGGAATGAGGATAATGAAGATGACGATGGTGTGATGGTGGTGGTACCAAACACTAACATATTGTTTGCTACGTTGAGGCACTAGCCTAAGCCTTTTGTATAAATTAAGTCATTTAATGACATAACAAACCTATGAAGTGTGATTATCTTCTCCATTTTATAAAGGAAAACTGACAAAAAATAACATGGAATAGCTTGCATATGGTCACACATGTGGTATGTTCTACAGGTTTCAAATGCAAAAGGCCTGCCTTCAGAATTTATGTTCTTTCCCTTTCACACTTCTGTTTCTCTTTTTTTTTAAATTATACTTTAAGTTTTAGGGTACATGTGCACAACGTGCAGGTTTGTTACATATGTATACATGTGCCATGTTGGTGTGCTGCACCCATTATCTCTTCATTTAACATTAGGTATATCTCCTAATGCTATCCCTCCCCACTCCCCCGACCCCACAACAGGCCCCGGTGTGTGATGTTCCCCTTCCTGTGTCCATGTGTTCTCATTGTTCAGTTCCCACCTATGAGTGAGAACATGCAGTGTTTGGTTTTTTATCCTTGCGATAGTTTGCAGAGAATGATGGTTTCCAGCTTCATCCATGTCATAACTGAAGATTTTCTCTTTGCTGACTTCTCCTTCAGGGCTGAGCTAAAAAATCACTGATGCAGAGAGGCTTCCTGGCATCATCCAGTCTAAACTGGTCTTGCTGCATCCCCTTTCTCAATTCCATCAGTGTTGATTCCATTAGCTTCTTTTTTTATATCCTTTGTAGCACCCTTTCACTATTTAAATCTATCTATCTATCTATCTATCTATCTATCTATCTATCTATCTATCCATCCATCCATCCATCTAGTAATTTACTCATCCCCCTTCCGTCATGTTTCTTGAGCAAAAAATATTCTCAGTCTTGTTCAGTATTCTATGGCCAGCACATACAACAGTGACTGGCACATTACAAATAGTTATTAGGTAGTTGTTCAACTATTTAAATAATACAACAAATAACTATTACATCTGTAGAATTAACTGGATTTTTGTCAGGATTGTTTAACCTGAAACATTTCAAAACCATGGGATTTAGAATTATCTAAAACTGGGTTTGAACTTCAGTTCTACCATCTTCCAGATATATGATCTCATAATGGCTATTGAAGTTCCTTAAGCTTGGTAAATTGTTTACATTGGAAAAATAAAAGTACCTATATTATATGGTTGATTTGAATTTAAATTTCATTTAAATTCAATGGTACTTGTAAACTTACAGTATCTTTTACATGATCAGCACTCAAGTGTTAGGTTTGCATATTATGCAGACAGCGACATACCTGGAATAGAAACAGGGTGGAGCATGGAAGACATTTAATAATGAGGAAGGATCAGATTGGTAATAAGAAAAACAGCAAAAATTTGGTATCAAATTAGCCCAAAACCAGAATAAGAAGTTTACTCCAGAACCACACTCTACTAATATTTCCTAGGTTTTAGAGACCTAATAGATCATACCTGTTAATTCCTTTCTTGGGTTTAGTCCAGTAAAAAGATACACACGGGTGTCAGACAGATGGTGATTATAAGTAGAGAATGTGACTGAGATGGTGGTTACAATGATTTCCTTATAGTTTAACCCATTACAAAACTTATTGCCCCTCGCAATACTGAAGAAGTTTCTTTGAAGTGCAGGATCTACCCTAAAACATTGTCATGCGGTTGAAGAGAGATCCTGTACCTTCTGCAGCTCAGCATATCTGAAATAAAAGAAAGAAGCAAGTCCTATTCCTTTGCTTTATTTCTTTTTTAGAAAGCATTTTTTAAAAATTTTACTATCTTTTTAATTTAATTTAATTTTATTATTATTATACTTGAAGGTTTAAGGTACATGTGCACAACGTGCAGGTGTGTTACATATGTATACATGTGCCATGTTGGTGTGCTGTACCCATTAACTCGTCATTTAGCATTAGGTGTATCTCCTAATGCTATCCTTCCCCCTTCCCCCCACCCCACAACAGACCCCGGTGTGTGATGTTCCCCTTCCTGTGTCCATGTGTTCTATTGTTCAATTCCCACCTATGAGTGAGAACATGCGCTGTTTGGTTTTTTGTCCTTGCGATAGTTTGCTGAGAATGATAGTTTCCAGCTTCATCCATGTCCCTACAAAGGACATGAACTCATCCTTTCTTATGGCTGCATAGTATTACATGGTGTATATGTGCCACATTTTCTTAATCCAATCTATCATTGTTGGACATTTGGGTTGGTTCCAAGTCTTTGCTATTGTGAATAGTGCCACAATAAACATACGTGTGCATGTGTCTTTATAGCAGCATGATTTATAATCCTTTGGGTATATACCCAGTAATGGGATGGCTGGGTCAAATGGTATTTTTAGTTCTAGATCCCTGAGGAATCGCCACACTGACTTCCACAATGGTTGAACTAGTTTACAGTCCCACCAACAGTGTAAAAGTGTTCCTATTTCTCCACATCTTCTCCAGCACCTGTTGTTTCCTGACTTTTTAATGATCGCCATTCTAACTGGTGTGAGATGGTATGCCATTGTGGTTTTGATTTGCATTTCTCCGATGGCCAGTGATGATGAGCATTTTTTCATGTGTTTTTTGGCTGCATAAATGTCTTCTTTTGAGAACTGTCTGTTCATATCCTTCACACACTTTTTGATGGGGTTGTTTGTTAGAAAGCATTCTTTTGTTATGATTGACATGTAAAAAGTTGTACATACTTAATGTAAACAACTCAATGCGTTGGGGGATAAGCCTAAAGCTGTGAAAGCATCACCACCATCAAGACAATAGACATATCTATCACCTCCTGAAGTTTCCTCCCACCCTCTTTATTATTTTTATTATTATTGTTAATTTTTTATGGCAAGAACACTTACCATTAGATCTACTCTTCTGGCAAAGTTTAAGCATACATTGCAGTATTGTGAGCTATAGACACTATAGAGTTAGCAGATCTCCAGAACTTAATTTTCATGCATAACTGAAACTCTGTACCCTTTTATTTGGAATAGAAATTGGCATAGTCTTTGTGGAAAACAGTATGGAGGTTCTTCAAAAAACAGAACTTCCATATGATCCAGCAATCCTACTTCTAGTTATTTATCCAAATGAATTAACATCAGGATTCTGAAGAGATATCTGCACTTGTGTTTTCATTGCAGCAATACTCACAATAGCCAAAATATGGAAACTACCTAAATATCAATTGAGATGTCAATGGATAAAGAAAACATGATGTATGCATATTATACAATGGAATATTATTCAACCTTAAAGAAGGAAATTCTGCTATTTGTAACAACATGGATGAACCTAGAGGGCATTATGCTATGTGAAATAAGTCACATACAGAAAGACAAATACTGAAGGATCTCACTTTTACGTGGAATCATTGACTCCTAGAATCGTAAAGTAGAATGGTGGCTGCCTGTTCCTTTTCTTAAACTCACCAATGAGATCGATCATGTCTGTTTAGGAGAAATACTGACTTTGACGAGAAAGAGGACAATCTTTTCATTCTAGCACTTCCATATGATGAGAAAAGAATGGTTCCCTAATAGTTATTTGTTACAACAAATAATTATGTTTTATTTGTTTTCCTTCCAACTTTTATTTTAGGTTTGCGGGTACATGTGCAGGTTTGGTACATGTGTAAATTGTGTGTCACTGGAGTTTTGTTATTTCATCACTCAGATAGCGAGCGTAGTACCCAAGAGGTAGTTTGTCATTCCTTACCCTCTTCCCACCCCCACCCTGAATAGGTAACTATTGTTCCCTTCTTTGTGTCCATGTGTATTCAATGTTTAGCTCACACTTATGAAGTATTTGATTTTCTGTTCCTGTGTTAATTTGCTTAGGATAATAGCTTTTAGCTACATTCATGTTTCTACAAAGGACATGCTAAGTATATTCAGTCATTCATCTTACACAGTACATCTAAGTCCAATCATTTTTGCTCAATATGCTTATCGCCTGCAACCTAGTTTCTTAACTACCAAGCTTTGAGAAATCACCTACCCTCTCGGGAAGTTCTACCTCCTTGCTTAGGGCCCATGAACCTTGAGGGTGACTATACTGAAACTATACCTTACATCTGGTTCTTACTTCAGGTCCATGACTACCAAGATTGCCCACATGTTCACCTTAAATAAGACATCTTGATAAATTAGTAATTAATGATTTCATTCTTTTTAATGGCTGTGTGGTATTTCATAGTGTATATGTGCAATGATTTCTTTAGCCATTTAACTACTGAGGGACATCCAGGTTGATTCCACGTCTTTGCTATTTTGAATAGTGTTGCAATGAATATACATGAGCATGTGTCCTTATAATAGAAAAATTTTATATTCCTTTTGGTATATACTCTGTAATGGGATTGGTAGGTCGAATGGTATTTTTGTCTTTAGGTCTTTGAGGAATGGCTACACTGGCTTCCACAATGGTTGAACTAATTTACAATCACACCAACAATGTATAAGCATTCCTTTTTCTCTACAACCTCTTCAGCATCCATTACTTTTTGACTTTTTAATAATGGCAGTTCTGACTGATATGAGGTTGTATTTCATTGTGGTTTTGATTTGCATTTCTCAAATGATCAGTGTTGTTGACCTTTTTTTTCAAGTGATTGTTGGCTGCATATTTGTTTTCTTTTGAAAAGTGTCTATTCATGTCCTTTGCCCACTTGTTTTTCTCCTATAAGTTCCTTATAGATGCTGGATTAGACTTTTGCTGGATGTATAGTTTGCAAAAACTTTCTCCCATTCTGTAAATTCTTTATTCTGTTAATAGTTTCTTTTGCTGTGCAGAAGCTCTTTAGTTTAATTAGATCCCATTTGTCATTTTTTTTTGCAATTGCTTTTGGAGTCTTCATAAAGAAATCTTTGCCACAGCCTATATCCAGAATGGTACTGCTTAGGTTTTCTTCTACGTTCTTCATAGCTTTTGGTTTTACATTTAAGTCTAAGTCTTTAACTATCTTGGGTTAATTTTTGTATATGGTGAAAGGAAGTGGTCCAATTTCAAACTTGGGCATATGGCTAGCCAGTTAACACAGCACCATTTATCTAATAGAGTCCTTTCTCCATTGCTTGTTTTTCTCAGCTTTATCAAAGATCACATGGTTTTTAGGTACGTGGCTTTATTTCTGGGTTATTTAATCTATTCCTTTGTTGGTGTGTTTGTTTTTGCCCAGTACCATGATATTTGAGTTACTATAACCTTGTCATTTAATTCGAAGTCAGGTAATGTTATGCCTCCAGCTTTGTTCCTTTTACTTAGGACTGCTTTGGCTATTTAGGCTCCATTTTTGTTTTATATGAATTTTAGAATAGTTTTTTTCTAATTCTGTGGAAAATGATGTTGGAAGTTTGATGAAATAGCATTGAATCTGTACATTGCTTTGGGTAGTATTGACGGCAACAAAGACCCATCTGGAGCAGCCGCTGCCACGATGCCAGCTTCAGTGGGATAGGTGCAGCTGGGGCTGTGCACTCCCTGTAGCCAGCAGGAGCTGGCAACAGGTGGAAGCCCCGCCCCCTTCCAAGTTGGAGGAGTGGGAACCCCGCTGCAGCTGCCCAACCAAGGCGGTGGACCCAGACATCTCTGCACTCTCAAGAGCCTGGGAAGCCCCCCGACAATGCAGGCATGGAAGTGCCTGCTCCTACTGCCTGGTCTCTTCCTGCACCTGCTCTGATTTCAGAGCAAAGTTGTGGGAGAGCCAGGGTGCTGTCATGAACCAGCTGGGTGTGCACACGCTCAGGGCAGCACTGCCATGCCAGCACTTTGCTGCCTCGATCCCCTTTGGACTTTGGATGCTGACAACATGGGAGAAAGGCCAAGTGGGGGCTGAGGGCATCTTGGCACAGGCCTGCAGGCACCCCTCAGCACAAAAAGCCTGGGAACTGTGGGCATCATGGATGGAAGGTTAATGGTGGCAGGATGCAGACTGGCTCCTGGGTGGAAAGGGGCTGGTCCATGGTGAAACCCAATCATTAGGTCAGAGACAGCCTGAGAACTGGGGGCCAGCCTGCCAGTTCCACGGACCAGAGAGAAAACTTATAATGCTTTTTCTGGGCCTACCCATGGCTACCAATGGACCAATCAGCACACACTTCCTCCCCTCTGAACACTATAAAAACCCTGGACTCAGCCAGACTTGACAGATGATGGGATGGCCTGCCTGTGGAGAGGAGCTACCCACTGTGGGGTTCCTCCCTGCTGAGATCTGGGCTTTCATTGGGACAAACTTCCTGTGGAGAGGATAAACCCACTGGGGGTCTCCTCTGAGTGGTTCTGTTGCTCAATAAAGCACCTCTTCACCTTGCTCACCCTCCACTTGTCCCTGTACCTCAGTCTTCCTGGATGTGGGACAAGAACTCGAGACCTGCTGAATGGTGGGGCTGAATGAGCTGTAACACATACAAGGCTAAAACACACCTGTTGTTTGCGACGTCGCCTGTGATGAGAGGTAGAGGAGAGAAAAGGAGAAAACTGCGGCTCTTCGGGGACCTCAGATCTGGGAGCTCCCCGAGCCAGGGCTCTGACACCTGTGCACAGTGGCTGGACCCCACGCTCACTCGCTCACACACCTTTCACTGCTCCACACCTGGCTTGCCCTTGGGAGGTGTGGGATCCAGACGGGTAGCGCAAGCTGAGCACAGCATGACAGGCCGAGTGGGCAGACGAGCCCAGAGGTTCTGAGCAGAACTCGGGCAAAGGCATCACCATCCACAGAAGTTTCCAGCTAGTAAAGCAACACTCCAAAGGATCCTGTGACAGTAGAGCCATTTTAACCTTATTGATTCTTCCTATCCATGAACATGGAATATTTTGCGATTTGTTTATGTCATCTTTGATTTCTTTCAACAGTGTTTTGTAATTCTTGCTGTAGAAGTCTTTATCCTCCCTGTTTAACTGTATTCCTAGGTATTTTAATCTTTTTGTGGCTATATGAATGGGATTACATTTTTGACTTTGCTCTCTGCCTGGATGTTATTGGTATATTGAAATTCGATGGATTTTTGTACATTAATTTTTATCCTGAAACTTTGAGTTGTTTATCAGATCTAGGAACTTAAAGTAGAGACCGTGGGGTTTTCTACTTATCAAATCGTATCGTCTGTGAAGAGAAATAGTATGACTTCCCCAATTCCTATTTAGATGTATTTTATTTCTTTCTCTTGCCTGATTGCTCTGGCTGGGACTTCCAGAGCTATGTTGAATAGGAGAGGTGAAAGTGGACATGCTTGTCTTCTTCTGCTTCTCAAGGAGAATACTTCCAGTTATTGGGTATTCAGAATTATATTGATTATGGGTATGTCATATATGGCTCTTATTATTTTGAGATATGTTCCTTCAGTGCCTAGTTTGTTGAGGGTTTTTAACATAAAGGTATATTGAATTTTATTGAAAGCCTTTCTCCATGTATTGAGATGATCATGTGGTTTTTGTTTTTAGTTCTATTTATGTGATGAATCACATTTATTAATTTGCATATGTTGATCCAACTTTGCATCCCAGGAATAAACCATACTTGATCATAGTGAATTAACTTTTTGATGTGCTGCTGGATTCAATTTGCTAGTATTTTGTTGATGATTTTTGTCTCTGTATCCATCAGGGATATTGGCCTGAATTTTTATTTTTTCATTGTGTCTCTGCCAGGTTTTGGTTTTAGAATGATGCTGGCCTCATAGTATGAGTTAGGGAGGAGTCCCTCCTTGATTTCTTGGAATAGTTTCAGTAGGATTGGTGCCAGCTCTTCTTTATATGTGTGATAGAATTTGGCTATGACTCCATCTGGTCCAGGGCTTTCTCAAAGATTGGTACGTTTTTTTTTTAATTACTGATTCAATTTCTGAACTCATTATCTGTCTCCTCAGCGTTTCAATTTGTTGCTGTTTCAGTCTTGGGAGGTCGTATGCTTCCAGGAATTTATCCATTTCTCCCAGGTTTTCTAATTTATGTGCATAGAGGTGTCTGTAATAGTCTCTGAGGATTTTATATATTTCTGTGGGGTCAGTAATAATGCTCATTTTGTCATTTCTGATTCTCTTTGACTTATTTGATTTTTTATATAGTTTTTCAGTCTAAAACAAGTTTATAGAGAATTATAAAGACTTGGACAACCACATAATATTAGTAGGAGATTTTGACACCACACCAACAGTATTAGACAGATTATTGAGACAGAAAACTAACAAAGATATTTGGACCTAAACTCAGCACTTGATAAAATAGACCTAACAGACATCTACAAAACACTCTACTCAGCAACAACAGAATATACATTCATCTTACTTGCACGTGACATACTCTAAAACTAACCACATATTTGGCCATAAAGCAATTCTCAACAAATTAAAGAAAAGGAAGTCATATGAACCATACTCTTGGACCACAGTGCAGTAAAAATAGAAATCAATACCAATCAGATCTCTTAAAACCACAGAATTTTATGAAAATTAAGCAATGTGTTTCTGGGCCAGGCACAGTCGTTCATGACTGTAATCCCAGCACTTTGGGAGGTTAAGGCTGGTAGATTGCTTGAGCCTAGGAGTTCCAGAGCAGTCTGGGGGACAGAGCAACCAGCCATCTCTACAAAAAATACAAAAATCAGCTAGGTGTGGTGGCATACACCTGTAGTCCCATTTACTCGGGAGGCTGAAGTTGGAGGATCATCAGAGCCCACGAGGTCAAGACTGCAGTAAGCCATGATTGTGACACTGCACTCCAGCCTGAGTGACACAGTGAGACACTGTCTAAAAAAATTCAAAATAAAATAAACCAGTCTGCTTTGGAATATTTTTTCTAAATAATGAAATTAAGGCAGAAATTGAGAAATTCTTTGAAACAAATGAAAACAAAGATCAAGCTACCAGAATCTCTGGGACACAACTAAAGCAGAATTAAGGGGAAAGTTTATAACTCTGAACACCCAAATTAAAGTTATGATTATATTTTATTTAAGTGAACTGCACATGGTTTATTATAAAATGTTTGGTTTGGATTTTTCTCAACAAATGTACTTGTCATCTTCACAAATTACTTAAATTAATGAATCCAATAAGTTATTTTTAAGAAGGGCAAAGTCCTTGATCTCCAGTGAATAATTCAGGCAATCAGGCTGACAGATAAGCTGCACCCCTTGCAGAAAGCTACCTGGGCAAATCCTGCTTATGGCTTCATGCATCACACATCATAGGTACAAAATGGCTGCTAGAGAAGAACACATTTATTAATAACTGTTGATTAAATTTGTATCTTCAGTACAAACAAGTGAGATGACATAAAAATCTTCTCCATGAGATAAACATCTTCATTACTAATAGAAAACTCTCTCTGTTTTGTAGAAATCTCTGGAAACTAAAAAATTTCAATGTGCTAACAGATAAGTACATTCTGCTTCAGATATCTTCAATTTTTTATTGCCTTGTTATTAGAGTAAATATGAACAGTGTCTGCTGTAATGTTGATGGCCACTTACATGCAGTGTGGAAGTAGTCCCTTGTCTCTTTGACTAATTAGACATGAGTTGTTTGCTCTTTTTATTATTTTTGAAACTGCTCACATTAGTGTAGTGGATTTTGCATAATTCCTCTAGTTCTACGCATTTGAAAATTCTCTCTGTACCAGCCAGAGTATTGCTCAATTTGTTACGGTTCCATTACCATCTCAGGTAAAATTATCTTATAGAATGATCTATTTGTTTGAAAAATGAATCTTTCCATGAAAAATATTTTTCATATTTCAATTATTAATATTTATATTAAAACACTGTTAAATTTTAACAAACAAAAACATTACTAAAAATGAACACATTATTGATTTTTAAAATTTACTTCATTATTTTAAAAGCAAATCTTATCAAGAACAGCTAGATTTTTTAAGCCAACTTCTCCAATGAGTATTTCAAAGGTTTAAACTATTTATTATTCCTTTTTGGCACAATAAAATTGTATAAACATAAGATTCAATGGTGCAAGTGACATACAGGGAGGCTTCATTTTGTACAGTGCCAGGTTAATGGAAACCCTTGACTATTGGAATCATTTCATTTTGTACAGTTCGTTGGTAACTGAGCCAGGTAAAGCAAGTATGTCCAAGTTTCAGTAAACGTTATGCTTTGTAAAAAAAACCTTCCTGTAATTCTAACAGTGTAATTTTTCTCAGTAAGTCAGTAAGTTGGGCACAATAAAATATTTTTATTATCATTGTAGAGTACTTTTTCATTGGTGAATTATAAGATTGACTAAGCTATTAGATATGTACATCTAATATTTATAAGAAATAATGTTCACACTTTTTACAAACTTTGTTTTCTGATAATTAAAATTATCATAAATGTAGACATAATGTTATTACTTCATGTTATGAATTTGCAATCTACTTGACATTGAGGTTCCTTAGTTCTGTCCATATAGCATGTGTGTTTCTTCTCTACATTTGTTACATTTGCCTTGAAAACAACTTTAAAACATTTATCATTTCTGGCACATTCATATTTCTGAAAATGCACATCCAAATTTCAAAAAAATGAAAGAAAAAACAAAGAAAATGGTTTAATTTTAAAATTCAAGCCAACACTTGGAAACAGTTTTAAATAATAAAATATTTTTATAATTTTAAATGTGTAACAATTAATGTTTACACATTATGTTACATGTACACAATATGTAGTTAAAACTGTATTGTTTATATCATTTTTACATTCAATAAGTCACACACATTTCCCTTTTTTTTGCAATGGTATTCATATTTTAGATTTTGATAATTTTGTAATATTCCATCGGGACACAATTTGTTAATAATTTCCACTTCTGCCATTGCCATGGGAAAAACAAACTTCAGCTAGCCTGCTGTTCAAGGAATCTTGAGAAGAGCTGAGCCTACACAATGGCAAGAAGCCAAGCCTAGCCAGACCTTATCTTAAGGCACATTCACCCAGCGAGGCTGTGTCTGGATGAACCACACTGCAGTCCCTCTTTGTTGTTTTGTTTTAATACTGAACAATAATCTTGTCAAAAGAGTATTTAATTTTTTTTGTTTTTGTAAACATTACCACCAATATTTATTTCTTAGCTACAACATTCATATTAGGCATAATTTCCCTTCAATTTCTCATGAGATAGTGTTCTGTAATTGCTCTGTAATTCTTCTGTATGCTTAACCAAGAAAAAAATGCAGTGATATTAGCAGAACAACACAATTTTAAAACTCAGTAAACTAGAGAAGCAATATAGATAGACTTCATATAACTTATACAGACTGACAGAGATGGAAAACTCTTACTACCAAGTAGTCTCAATGATATAGGTCGATCCTGATCAAAGGTTTCATTATTTATATAACTAACTATTCAACAACTCATAGGCTGTGGAGTGTATAGTGGACGTTCAATGAGTGAATTAAATTACATTGACTCCTTTGTAACAAAACTTTTTGAATTATTTTGTTTCCTGAAAAAGATAAAAACAATATAAATGTTAAACAATGCAATACATAGTACTATTTTCGGATTTCAGATGAGTCTAATGAAATGACACTTTGTTCTTGCATTTATATTTTTGTTATCTGTGGACACTTGTTTCTTGGTACCTCTTTAATAGACAAATGTTGCACAATAGTCAAATTCTCTAGCCTTTACAATTTATTGTTCATATTAATTTTGACATTTTTCTCTACAAAAGAAAGAACTGTGACTGATTTTACTCTTTTGCTTAAAAATTATTTTGCCTCATGTATTAGTCCACTCTCACACTGCTAATAAAGACATACCTGAGACTACGTAATTTATAAGGGAAAGAAGTTTAATTGAATCACAGTTCAGCATGGCTGGGGAGGCCTCAGGAAACTTACAATTATGGTGGAAGGGGAAGCAAACACATCCTTCTTCACATGGTGGCAGGAGAGAGAATGAGAACTGAGTGACAGCGGAAGCCCCTGATAAAACCATTAGATCTCGTTGAGAACTCACTGTCATGAGGACAGCATGAAGGTAACCACTTCCATGATTCAGTTACTTCCCATCAGGTCCCTCCCATGACACATGGGGATTATGAAAACTAAAATTCAAGATGGGATTTGGGTGGGGACACAGTCAAACCATACCACTTTTGTAGGCAATGGCCTATTATGTAAGTTTGACATTTTTAGCATAGCATCTTGGAATTTTTCCTTTTTTAAAACTTCAATCCAATTCTAACCTATTTATTTTTTATTTTGCTTTTTTACTACTTTTATTTTAGATTCAGGGGATACATGTTTAGATTTATTATCTGGGTGTATTTTGTAATGCTAAGCTTTGTAGGATGAATAATCTTTTCTTCCAGATATGGAGAATAGTACCCAACAGTTAGTTTTTCAACCTTGTCCCCCTTTCTGCCTCTTCTCTCAAGTAGTCCCCAGTTATGTTATTGCCATCTTTATGTCCATGAGTACCCAATATTTAGCTCTCAGTTATACATGAGAACATGCGATATTTGGTTTCTGTTCTTCAATTAATTTGCGTAGGATAATTATCTCCAGTTTCATCCATGTTGCTGCATAGAACATAATTTCATTCTTATTTATGGCTACACAGTATTCTATAGTGTATATGTACCACATTTTCTTTATCCAGTCCATCACTGATGAATACCTAGGTTGATTACACGTTTTTGCTGTTGTGAATAGTGCTGCAATGAACATGTGAGTGCATGTGTCTTTTTATTAGAACAGTTTGTTCTTTTTGATTTTTGCAAAACCTCCAAACTGCTTTCCACAATGGCTGAACTAATTTACATTCCCATCAACAGTGTATCAGCATTCTCTTTTCTCTGCAGCCTGACCAGCATTTGTTGATTTTTGACTTTTTAATAATAACCATTATAATGGTATGAGATAGTATTACATTGTGGTTTTGATTTGCAGGTCTCTGATGATTATTAATATGGAGCATCTTTTCAGATGTTTGTTAGCTGCTTGTAGGCCTTTTTTTGAGAAATGTCTGTTCATGTGTTTTGCCCATTTTAAATTTTTTTCTAATATCCAGAAACTATAAGAAACTTAAACAACTGAACAAGCAAAAAACAACCCCAATCTTAATCTATACTTTTTTTTTTGCCATCTTTCCTAAACTCCCACCACAAGGAATGCCTTCATTTTGAGTTATATTTTCTCTCTCTGAAATGACTTTTTTCTATTTTATCTGCCAGGGACATGTCTATACATTATTTGAAACTCAATGCAAATATCATGTTCTCCATGAAATTGACATGCACATACTCTACGTGGAGAAAGTTCCTCTTTTATCTGTGTACCCATAGAAACGTGTGCATATTTTTATTATATTGCTCATCAAAGGATGTGTTCATTTCTTCGCAATTCCCAGTAGAACTTATATATTACTCAAGGATAATAGTTACTTCTTCTTTGTACATCTCCAGAGAATTATCAGAGCTCAATGTAAAATAATTATTCTGTAAGCATTTTTAAAATTTTAAATAAGTATATTGCTTTGAGATCAGTAATAACTGAAGGACACTACTAACTTGCTAATTATTTGTTTTCATGACACAATTTTCATTATAAGGATGCTGCTTGAAGAAAAAACGATTTGTTGTTATATTTCCCAGACTCATTTACATACTCATTCAAAATACATAAATCTTATTCCCCATGGGAATTTTGTTAAGTAATTATTTAAAATAATGTAAATAAATATTTCCATTATGTTAGTAATAATAACTTATTATGGAAAATTTAATGAATACTGAACGGTAGAAATAATAGCCCCCAAAATCACTCCTGTTGAAAATTTTCTTCATTTTGTCTTTAGTTTTAGTTCAAACAGCATGTGGAGCTCATGTATATACTTGCTATTAAATTCTACATTTAAAATTTTAAACATAGTCAAATTTCCTTATTACATTTAAAATATCTTAATGTTTTATTATTACAAACATAATACAATTTATTGCTACAATTGAAAACAAATAGAAAATAAACATTTAAACTTACTCATAATTGCTTTACACAAGGTAGAGGGAAACCCAATCATTTAACATTTATGATGTGTCTACCTTTATTTGCCACTGTCTATTTAACTATATTTTGTCAAATATTGTATCATTCAGTATACATTCTACTGGAATGTTTTTAAAACAAATATCAAGGTCTTTACCATATTATCATATATTACATGTAATTCCATAGCCCTGCTACTAAAAGCGTGGTCCATGGAATGAACAATGTGGATATCAGTTACTTTTAAAAATCTATTATCACAGATGCCACTCAAATTCTACTGAGTCAGACTCTGAATTTTAATATTATCTTTGAGTAGCTGCATTCAAATTAAGAATTGAGAAACTTTTCTATACAGCATCGTTTTTAATTGCCACATAGTATTCCATTTTGGATATATTATAATTCATTTAACCAGTCTCCTGGTTGCTTTTTTTTTTCTGTTATAACAATACTGCTGGAAGTAAATCATATTTTCACTGGTTATATGATTCCATGGGATGACTATCACATTATTTTCCGGCACCTCTAAACCATCATTTATAGAGAATCATTTCTCTTCTAAAAATTTTCACATGTAATTCTAAGCCAAAGGTTGTGTTTGTGTACGTTTATATGTATAAGTTTTAGAGAAACTGAAATAAACTTGTGTAACTGGAGCCAAGGTGGGGCAAAATGAGACTGTAGTGGAGGTGAAATAATAGCATGGAAATGCAGCTATGTTCAGATTCAAGTCATGTTGCTCATAACATTAGGGAGTTGTTGAAAGACTTTAAACAGAGGAGTGTCATAATCCTATTTGCATTTTAAAAAGATCAATCTCACTGTAGTGTAGTGAAGTAGATAAAAAAAAGATGCTGATAGCTTGGGTAGGGTGTTGATAATGGAAATGGAAGTGAAGGATAGATACTTAGGAATTAAAATTATTAAAATTTAGTAATGAATTGAATTTTAGGGTGAGATGGAGGTGTCAGGGATGGATCCTGGACTTCTGTCTTGAGGGACTTGGTAGATTGAAGTATGATCCAGTGAACACTAGTGAATTAATGTTTAATATAGAAAACAGAATTTATGAATTTACTTTATGTCCTGTCAATGTTGAAGTGCCTTTGAGACAGCCAAAGAAATCTCCTCATTTACAGACCTTCCATTGCAATCTGAGGTTTTAATCAGTGCTATTATTGAGCATTTTCCCCTTTTTTGACCTTCTTATTCTGCTATCTGGTTTACTTGTGCTTTCTAAGTACTCCCTATTAGTACAACTTTGGAATATGCTCCTGAGAATTCTCATTCCTTCCAAGCTATTAAGGCTCTTCATTAAATCACAATATGAATGCCTAGTCCAAATGCCTTGGTTTCTTGAATATAAAACACCCTAATCACACATGTATTCCACTCATATACATTGTCTATTTAGAGGGTCTCAGAAGTATATTCATTTTTTTCTTCCGTAAAGTACCTTGATATTTTCCTCCAGTCACTGACTTTAGCTCTATTTCAGTCCAAACAATGAACTAAGATATGTGGTACAACCAGTCAATCAAACTATAATTATTACTTCAGTTCAGAAACTCTGGGCCATGACACACTACTCACAAGGGTCAGAGATAAAAGATCCATAGCATCCAGGGTGAAAATGTGCAAATTTTCTCTGTATATTGGGTCTTTAGGTACTGAACTAGCTTCACAGTTATGATAAACCATGGACCTTCTCATCATGCCCTAAGTTTTTTTGTTGTTGTTTGTTTTATTTCAGCCTTACTATAAAGGCCACATTCTTCATGGTGTAGCCTCTGCGGTTTATTTCTTGTACATTTGAAAATTAAAGACTGCCAAAGAGCTTTCTAGCTACAAATTTCTAGCTACAAATTTAATAGAGTTTCTGGTACAGAGTTCTTAATGAGTATTTATTAAAGTAATTGAATGACTGAAGTTACATTAAGTTGCACATGTAAGTTACAGAATTTCACATACCTCCAATGTAAACTAAGATTTTCAGGTATGGTATTGAATGAGCAAGCAGAAAGAAGGTCATGATATGATTAGCTCTTCTAAGATATTAAAGCACAGTGACTTCTTTGTATTGTGGCTCAATGTTATTGACATGACAGATGCAATTATTGAGGCTCCTTTTATGGCTCTTAGGTAAGCAATTATGGGTGTGAACAAATTCTTGTTATGTGAGAATGAGAGAGATGTCTTTTCCCTGTTGTATGTAAGAAAGAATTCATATTGATCCTCTTTGGGTGATTTTTGATACGAATTGGCTAGAATAGTCAGTAGTAGCAAAACAATACAGATTTGACAGCCTGATTTTGGCTCTGAAAAACTCTAAACAAGAAGGCAGACACACTTTAATGGCCAGTTATATGAATAATGTATTATCACTAAAAAGGGAACAACTTAAGGTAAAATTATGATACTCTCATTATTGTAAACCTCATTATAGCATAAAAATAGAAGTTTTCACCTAAAAAATAACAAATTTTCTTTCTTGAAATTCACATGTAAGAGGTTACAGATTCCTAAAATTCTAGTTACAGTTCTGATTCTCAGAAGAATGTATTTGATATACCTCTCTATAATATTAAAAATAGTTTTGAGAGGCATGTGTAAGTTCCATATGCAATCTATATTATATGAATTTATATGTTTTTATATTCCTAAGAAGTTTTTTGTCAATACATTCCAGCTTTTATTATTTTAGGGGAACTAGACCAGACGCAGTGGCTCACGCCTGTAATCCCAGCACTTTGGAAGGTCGAGATGGGTGGATCACTTGAGGTCAGGAGTTCAAGACCAGCCTGTCCAACATTGTGAAACCCCATCTCTACTAAAATTACAAAAATTAGCCAGGCATGGTGGTGGGCACCTGTAATCCCAGCTACTCAGGAGGCTGAGGCAGGAGAATGGCTTGAATCCGGGAGGCAGGGTTGCAGTGAGCTGAGATTGCACCACTGCGCTCCAGCCTTGGTGATAGAGCGAGACTCCATCTCAGAAAATAAAATAAAATAGAGAAACTAAAGATAAAATGATAATAGTTCAGACTTTTAATTAATGGATCCTGAGATTAAGTAATGTATATTTAAGTTTAATTTCAAAGTTTTACCTACAGATTCATTTTGTTACTAATGAGATATCATCAAATTACCTAAATTATTTATTTGAAAATAAGACTTTAAGCTGCTTCAACTATATAAGAATGAGTATTCTTTGTGCTATTTTTTTCTGAATTTGAGTTGGCCATTAATAGCATATGCTTTTCTTTTTCTTTAACAAAGTTATTCATTCGCCAAGACTTTAAATAGAAAAAAAGTCATTACAGACCTTTTGTTTCATCTTGTTTTATTTTCAGCCAAATCAAAATATGCTCTTTGATAGAGAGAAAATATATTTTAGATAAAAAATGTTTAACTACTGCTATTAACATTCTAGCAAAATGTTTCATAAACCCACATACATACACAATCACATAAACCTGGATCACTCCCTCTTTTCTGAGAAGGATGACCTGCTGGAAATAAGTACTGAATTTCAAATTAGGGCAACTGGAGTCCTATCCTAATTCTACCACCATCTTGTGGTACTTTGTGGTCCTACGTAAAACACTTTATCTTTGATATGAGGTTCCCAGTGTCAATACAGAGATAGTATTTAATTTTTAGTTGTCTTTCTGCTTTACTTCAGCTCTGCAAATATAATATTTTACAAATATCATTTTATATTGGTACATTGAATACAGTTATTGCTTGTATATGTGTTTATAAATACAGACTTTAATAAGCAGAAACTGCTACATGCCAAAGGAGAGAGAATGTAAAAAAATGAATGGGAAAATGGACAAATAATGTAAATAAGCAAGGCAAGGAAGAAAAAATTGTATAGTTAACAGGCATATGATAAAATGAATGTTTAGACACATTACAGAGGAATTCAAATGGAAAAATAATGAACAAAGATAAAGAAAAATAAATAGAGGTTGATAATTCTGGCAGAAGTGAGCAGGAGCCTGAGATTATGCTATACACTGGCTGGCTTTTGTACATATTAGACTTGCTAATGTATTCTGATTAGTCACATGGGTTACGCTTCTGAATTAGAGAAAAATAGCCCCATTTTTTTCCTTCTTGGTTGTTTTGATTTCAAATATTCATCTTCTCAAACTGTAAATATTCTACTCTACCATTATCATGCTGGTTTCTTTTCTTTCTTCTTTTCTTTTCTTTCTTTCTTTTTTTTTTTTTTTTTGAGACAGGGTCTGGCTCTGTTGTCTAGGCCAGATCGGAGTGTAGTGATGCAAACACAGCTTACTACAGTCTCGACTTCCTGGGCGCAAGTTTTCCTCCCATCTAGATCTGCCAGGTAGCTGGAACTACAGGCACTGGCCACCATACCCATCTAACTTTTGTATTTTGTATAGAGACAGGGTTTTCACCATATAGCCTAGGCTGGACTTGAACTCCTTGGGTCAAGTGATCCACCTGCCTCTACCTCCCAAAGTGCTGGGATTACAGGTGTGAGCTGCCGTACTAGCCCATGCTGGTTTCTTGATATGACTGTCCTTGGTATTTTCTCTGATAGTCTTAAGTTTAGGATTTAACCAATGCATAGTGGACAGGCTAAATAACAGAATGAGGAGGACAATTCCTGGGTTTACAACATGGCTCATCATTTAATCCCTTTGCAACATCGGCATTAATCTTTTTGTGTCTCAATTTTCTTATTTGTAAAATGGGGATGTAATAATGGAAATATTTCATAGAATTTCCATTAGGGTTAAACGAGTTAAACACAGGAAGCTCAGAGAGAGATTTGTTATACAGTTCAAGCTCCTAGTAAAACAACTATTGCTACTGAGAACATTGTATAAAGTTTATTTCTCAGAGATTCAGGGAAAACTCTGTCTTACCCCTCAAATATCCACATTTTCAAACTCTATATATTTCAGCTTCAACTATCATTGAACACATATGAATATAATCAGAACTATTATTTTTCAACAGCTGATTATATTTCATGATAGTATATATTTTCATGCATTATCTCAATAATCTTCAAAATAATTCTATTATACGATTTTGCTGATGAATGCATGGTAAGTCAAAAAGGTAAATTATTTTGATATTTATGTGGTAAATATCTCGATTACCACAAAGAAGAAGAAGAATCAGAAGGAGGGGAGAAAAAAAGAAGAAAAGGAAGGGGGGAAGAGGAGGAGGAGGAGAAGGAAGAGAAAAACTATGATTGTAACAATAACAACAATCATAAGAGGAGGGCAAATAGGTGGAGGAAGAAGGGGATCATGAGGAAGAGAAGAAGAGCACAGAAAATTAGATACCTGAAGGGATAAGTAAAATAGTAATAGAAGCAGATGAATGCGACTAGACAAATACCCATAATCATGTTAGCTGGTCTTTCTCTCTTTGTCTCTCTCTCTCTCTCTCTCTCTCTCTTTTTGAAACAGGCATATCACCACACCTGGCTATTCTTTTTTTTTTTTTTTTTTTTTTTTTTTTTTTTTTTTTTTTTTTTTTTTGTAGAGACAGGGTCTCGTCATGTTGCCTAGGCTGATCTTGAACTCCTAGCCTCAAGCAATCCCCCATCCTTGGCCTCCCGTAGTGCTGGGATTACAGGTGTGAGCCACTGTACCAGGCCTGGTCTCCCTTTAATTCAGTAAAAGGTAGCTCTTTATGCTGCCTAGGGATTCCACCATATTTCCCTTGGAATATTGTTCTCTACTATTTTTTGGACCTTACTTCCTTACCCTTTGTACTCTGGCTACTCTGGCCTTCTAGTAATTCCTAACATGCCAAGCAAACTTTCATCCTAGACCTTTGCACCTGCTAATTCTAGACATTTGCATAACGGATTGTTGTCTCACATCCTTCAGGATTGCTCATCTAGAAGTCCTCTCTGAGCACTATACTAAAATTGTACTCACACACTCTAGTTATATTTTATCCTCCTCATATATATAGACAGTCTTTTATTGGTCCATTTATTCTGTAAATATTAAACAGAACTTTTACCTGTCTGTAATTTTGTATTAATGTCATTTTTAATAATTACATATTCAGTTGCCTTCCATTTAGAACCAGAAATGGTTATCTAATAGAATATTTTTTATTTGATTTGGAAATACTTTGCAGGCCTGTTTTCCCACAATGAACTACTTGAGGGTAGTGGCTTCATTGGGTTCACTGCTCTATCTCCAGCACTTAGATAAATTCTTCATTTATATAGTAGGTGTTCAATATTTTTTTTATGATATAAATGAATGTTCTTATTTCATGCCAAGCATTGCAGTAAGTGCTTTACATATATTATCTCATTGAACTAAATGAGAAGTATCAGCAAGAATTTGAGAGTAAGTACTATTATTATTTGTATCTTACACAAGGCAAAACTAAGTTATAGAGATGTTAACTATGTTTCTCCAAATCCCTTAGCCAATAAGTGTTGGATAAGATAACCTCAAATCAGTGCACTGCTAGTAACCCACTGCAAGACATGAATCAATATCTAATAGCTAAGTTTCAGAATGCAAATTTAAATGTTTAACTCTACCATCAGTCTTAGTCAATTCACCTTTCTAGATATTGTGCTAGAAGATTTTCATACATTTTCTTTTCTATTCAAAACAATAACCTTTACACTATCATTATTCTCTCTGATTTGCAACTCATTAAACTAAATTTCAGAAAAGTTTTGTCCTGAGAAATGAGTTGAAATCAGGTAGTTTAAAAAATACCTCTGTTCACAACTAATTCAAAGAAAAGCATGAACTGAAATCTTCCTTACATTTTGTATGTGAGAAGAAGGGACATTGATCTATGTCTTCCCTCAAGGTTTTCTTGCTTTTCTTAAAATTCAATATATCTCTTGAAATGAAGCTATTTCTCAATAGATTTAAGACAACAGCTGTGTGCGTGTGTGTGTGTGTGTGTGCACGTGTGTGTAGTCTTTTATTGGTCCATTTATTCTGTAAATGTTAAACAAAACTTTTACCTGCCTTTAATTTAGTATGAATGTCATTTATAATAATTACATATCCAGCTGCCTGCCATTTAGGACCAGAAAATAGATTCATTCTTCTCTGAATTTTCTGTATTACATGTAATACCAGTAAATAAGATAATTTTAAAATATCCACACTAAAGAATATCACTATATGATTAACTTAAATTGACAAAGATTAATGAAAATATTATTCTGGCTGCCACTTCACTCTTATTACAACTCATTATGGTTAGAAAGCTTAAAGCATTGGGTTATTTTATACAATATTTCTAATACAATCCATGGGGACATTTAGAACAAGCCTGGTTGAAGCATTTCAAAGTGCATTGAAGAGAGTAATTTTGCACAGGCAGAGAGATTTATTTAGATTCAATACATCTTCTTTTCTACTATTGCTTCTAATTTTTAAAGGACTATTGTAAAAACTATAATGTACTTATTTTCATAATTTACATGTTTTTTTAGTTATCAGGAACTGCATATTTAGTGGAATGAGTGAGAGGAGAGTGTGGTATACATACTTTGAGAATAGACTACTTGTTTCCAAAATGGTTTTTTTTTTTTTTTTTTTTTTTTTAGCAATTCTTAGTTTTTGACCTTATGTCCTCTGCTCTCTGCCCTTCTCCTCATAATTCAAGCCCAGGAAGTAAGGTTCTATACTAGTAGAGAACTTAGGGGAAAGATGCAGAGTAGGGAAGATACACAGTGGTCTCTCTCAGAACAAATACACACCGTCCTTTTTTGGTGTGGCAGTCCAGAACCACAAAAATGGTGTGTAGGCTGACAGCATGCAAAACAATCTTAATAATCAGTGGATGCAATTATGATTATTTTATGACATTTAAAGATTTTTCTTACAACATTAAACACTCTTGATGTCTGTTATAGATTTATAGAAAAATGGAAAAATAATTAAACTAATATTTATTTAGCACACTATTTTAAAACATTAGAAACATTAACAGGTGTTTGTAAACCTCTTGTTAAAACAGTTTGAATAGTGCTTGTCTTTTTCTTCTTGTTGCATAACTTACAATATGGAGCCAGTATCTCTTCAATGCCTTGGCAACAAATTGTTATATTCTTTTAAAATTTAGGTCGGCTTCCAAAATTTTACCCTTGGTACTTTCAGTGTGTTACTTCCTCTGGGACATCTTCATTCTTTTTCTCACAATCACGTTTTCATTTCCTCTGACTTTGTGTCTGGAGTTTCTGGAGTCTTTTGCATGCCAATAATGTCAACATTTCCAAGATTAGGTATAGCTCCAATTACATTAATTTGTATTTTATTTTCGGTAGATTTTTGTTTGTTCGCGTCACTTTCATTTTTGTTGGCCAGTTCTCTCCTTCGATTATTTATTCTCTGCTTCATGGTATTTGGGTTTCTCACTAGGTGATGAGTATGCTGTACAACTAAATGCTTTGCTGTCTGTACAGAGACTGAATAATAGACATGTAGTGACCAGTCACCAAAAGACTCCAAAAAAGTGATGTGGTCACTAATTATAATGTGCATCGATTATTTATGATTTTTAGACCAAAGATTTAACAACAAAATTTATATTTTATGTAATTAGTTAATAGACTATAATAACTAAAATTTGAACCATGATGTTGGGAGAAATCGGTTATTTATACATAGGTAGCTAGTGGTAAAACTGAAATTTGAGCATATTGGAACTATGAAAATCAACAGCTGACTCCCTGTTAACTTCATTCTTACTCTGGTTAACTCTTTCATTGAATGCTTATTATATGCCAGGCATTATTTGGTTCTTTCTAAAACTTACTCCATTTAATAATTCTCCTATGAAGTTTATAAAATATTGTAATCTATATTTTGATAATGAGAAAAACTTGATGAGAAACAATGACATTTTTCCCAAGGAGCAGTGAGGAGCTGGAACTATGCCAATATAATTCCAAAGCCTAAGGTACTTTTGAATTTCACTGTCACTCCTTTTAATTTGGTCAATTATAGTTTCCTATAAACTATAAATTATAGTTTCTAATTTATAGGAATAGGTTTATAGTTTCCTATAAACCTTATTTTATATAATTTCAACTGGGGGTCACAAGATAATTTTTCTTGGGATAAGAAGATTCACTTATTTACCACTGTCTTGTGTATGGAACTTATCATAACCAAAATCATATATTAAGGTCCAAATGTAATTACATTTTATTAAAGCTTGTTCCAATACTATTCATTCTGATCCTTCAAGCCAATGTTATAAAGAAATTGCTATGCATTTTATATCACAAAACATGTAACTTGAACCATTAAGGGGCTGCTCAGTGTCTCTCTCTCCAGAATTTGAAGTCCACTGAAATGAAGTTATTTGTTTTTCTTCTGTGTCCTGCCAGTGTAGATACAGAGTAGTATAGAAGGTGGGATGAACTCAGAGAAGTGTGGTTTATTCAGGGTGGTAGTCATGTTAACTCTGTGCTGAAGTTTCTCAGACAGGAATTTTAGTAATATAATCATCATTTAAGTTATTGCAGCCAAGAAAATAGGGCATTAGACTTAATAGAACATTTCTATGTTTTACGTCCTACCCATTTGTCTTTTTGCTTTAATTCAACATTTATAAACTATGTATTTTATTTTTTTGTTTTTCTTCTTAGAATTCTGAGATGAACTTCCTATTAGCTAGATTGAGCACTTTTGCAACTTAAAAGAATGATTTAGATGATAAATATTTGTTTTTTAGAATGCTGTTTCCATTTCATCTTTCCTTAGAAATTATAGGAAAATGCTAAATGTATGACCATGTGTGAGACAATCTAGAAGTTTTTCTGACACCAAATTTTTTTTTAATTCACCTTCTGTAAATGCAGTTGCTTTTTCTAGTAGTAAATGCATACTTTTGTGGTTCAATTTAACTTGCTGAAGCTGTAAAGCCCCTAAAACATAGTGGGGACCTCCAAGAATCTTCGTCACCCAGCTAGTCACCCAGCTTACTGAGTGTGATATGTGCAATGACAGACCCTGAAAGAGCTGCCTCAGACTAAGTTTACGGAAATGATAGATGGATTTTGTTTCCTGGGTCATTGTTCTTGAAGAGGTTATTGTTTGAGATCAAGTGTATGAAATAAGACTTAACAAAAATGAAAAGTTAAGAATACTTGGAAAACACTCAAATAAAATAGCTTCTTAAAATCAATGTAGTTAAAGTCTTTGAATTGATTATAGCACTGTGTGGGAATGGTTCCACTAAAATATTCCTCATTTTGTATTTTAGAGTGTCATGTAAAATTCTTTGTTAATACATATCTCCTGGCATTTATTGTCACATTCAATATAACAAGGTAGTCATCTTAAACCAAGCTGATGTGTATTTTGAGTATATATGCAATCACTTCAGATTTTATGCTTCTGCAATAAGACTTCTTTCTTTATTACAATCTATTCCTGTTTTTATTTTTATTGTAAGCTGCTTTATTTTAAAACACTATTCTTACAAGGAATTATTTGCTTGGATGACTTAATATTTTTAGTTCATAACAGGGTCTCTTAACTTGGGGATTATATTCATGGAGTTGTTTATAGTTGTACTTTAGGGCAGCTTTGATCACCCTGTAACTGAATACAACATTTTGTGTGCCCTTATGTATTTTTCTGGACAGAAATTTCACTTGGTTTTCAGAAAGACTAATAAAGACTTCTTACCAGGACCTAATTTTATTCTGTACTTTATTTTATTCTTTTACTCCTAGCAGGGTAGCTCCACACTGTTGACCCAGTTGCTGGCCTTCCATCCTCAACTGTCTACCATGGTCCACCACTGTTCCCTTAGGGGACACTTGGAGGCTGTGTCCCGGAAATGCTAATTTAGGCTTGCCTGTGCTCGGTAGCCTGCATGCAGGAGCCCCGTTTCCATTGGCAAATGTTTGTTGTCATGTGGCCTACCCTCAGCAGGATCTACACCACTTTTCTGCTTTGCTACAGTTTAAAAAATAGGCAGCAACTTTGCTATGCCAACCTTAAATTTTATATGGTTTGGCTACATTTGCTGTTGTTGTTAGTTTTTTTTAAAAAAATAAATAAAGATATTCTGTACATTAAACTCCTTGAGGTCTTTGAAAGAACATTTTAAAGTAGAAATCTGAGAAGGAAGCACATAGAAGAAAACTCTTCGTTAGGAAAAAAATCCACATTTATAGTATATTCTACAGAGAAAAACTTTCCACTAGACATAATAGAGTTTTCTATCCTTTTGTGACACAGAGGTAAAGTTATGAATTTTATCCAGGCTCCCAGCTGGAGATGATAGGCCAGTAGTCAGCCTTCCAGGAAAATAGCCTTTTCCCTAAAACAAACAAACAGTCTATAAGATACATCTTGGATACCTGGTGCTGACTTCCTCAGCATTCATTGCTCCTTTGTCAGATAACACACAGTCAATTCACAATGAGAAACATTTTTTTTTCTCTGCTCTCTATCCTCATGGTTTGGGTGAAGTTGACCCTGTGCCTAGTTCCAAAGACATAAGCCCATTAGCATCCTCATACTTCTGGTCACAATGTGACCCTATTCAGGACATAAAGAAGCACACACAGGATTTTTGTTTAACTACTAGAAGAGAGAAGCTGTCTCTACTTAAGGTCCCTTCTCTCTCCTTTCTCCCAACCTTTGACTTTGCCCCTGGAACTGCTGTTCTCTAACAGAGACCTGGTTGCACAGATCTTGAACCTTGAGGGAGAAACCCATATGTGAGTAAAACTAGCTTTTAGGGCAGAGCCGTATTCAGTGGAGAGAAATAAAACAGGATCCTGATGCTGTCTTTTGAGCCTTTGAATCAAACTGCACCTGAAGCTAGTTTTACTCATGCATTATTCAGTTACTTAAGCAATATGTTTTCTGTTTTTCTTCTTAAGCCAATTTGATGGAGTTTATCGTGTAACATGGATGGAGTCCTAGCTGTCTGCTAATGCTCCTGAAAGATCTTTAAAGAATGTGGCCCTGCTTCAATTGTCTTGTATATTCAATATCTGATATTGACCAGAAATTAATAAACACCATTTGAACTATTAATTTTTATGCTATTTTTAGATATTGAGGTGAATTACTGTTTTTCAACAATGTTTGAGAAGTCAACTAACATGATTTTGGGGATGTAATCCAAAATGGACAGAGCCAGAATTAGAAAGTCTACACCTGTAGTGTAATTGCACCATCTCTATTTTATACTGTCTTTGGAGCTGATACTGGTTTGTGGTAGAAACCAAGGCATAGATATGGAAGAAAGATCCTGTTTGTTTGCTGGAAACAGACATACATGGTGCTCCAGGTACCCTTGGATGAACACTGCCTCCTGCAGAATCTTAGTGAACACCAGTGGATTGTTTATTCTACATTGTTTCCACATACATAATACTGACCGGCCTGGCACAGTGGCTCACGCCTGTAATCCCAGCACTTTGGGAAGCCAAGGCAGGTGGATCAAGGCTTGGACAACATGGTGAAACCCTGTCTCTACTAAAACTGCAAAAATTATCTGGTGTGGTGGGGCGCACCTGTAATCCCAGCCACTTGGGAGGCTGAGGCAGGAGAATCACTTGAACCTGGAAGGTAGAGGTTGCAGTGAGCCGATTGCTTACTGCATTCCAGCCTGGGCAACAGAGTGAGACTCTGTCTCAACAAAAAAATAATAATAATACTGACCCTCTCTTCTATTAATTCACAGAGTGATCAAAGTATGAGTTAGTGAAGGAGATGAAATGGCGATCATCCGAATCTTTGGTGTTTAAATGCTTCTTCCTAGAACTGAAACATCCTAGAGCTGCTAAGAACTCTTAACTGCATTTCTACATTGGTAGTAAATTTATTCTCAGAACATTAGGATATTTTTTTCAATCACTTTCCTTAAATACATTGCATATTTGAGGTCTCAGGCTGTGAAATTTCAAAAATGTTATCCCTGCTGAGTTTCTCTCTGGATAACCACTTAGTCCTTCCCATTTTCAAGACGGCAATTGTTTTTCAGTAAGATTGGCTGAACTGAAATGACTTCAGTTTGCTAAATTGCTGCCGTTGATTGGTTTATTGTTTTGGCACAACTTCTTATTCCTATGGAAACAATAGTTTCTTACTCTGTTCCATCTCTCAACTACCCTGCATAAAAAACTGCCGTGTTTCTCTGGATAACCAATCAGGGAGAATTCACTGTTTATCCTTACTGGGAAATTAGTTCATGTATTCTTCCCTTTTTTGTTTTACTACTTTGTGAAATATTTGCAAGGATCAAATAAATTAATTTATCTAGTTTGAATAAAAAATTTCAAAGCTATCTTGTTGAGAAATAATAAAAGGTATTTTTAAAATGTCATCAAGTCTCTATATATATGTGCATGTGTGTATATACATATATATATATGGCACTGTGTCAGACATTATTCAGAATAGATTATTAGCAGTTTTCTAGTTTATATGCTTAAACTCTTCCTAGGATATAGATAATTTTTTAATAAACTGATGTTTATTTTCAACCATCTTTGTTTCCATCTTGTTTAAGAGACTGTGGAAGAACAGCTTAAGACCACTCAGTGGTTGCTCATATTTATTCAGTGTCCTGAGCAGTGGGAGCTGCACACCCACTGCAGTGGCAAACTGAGTGCTCTAGTCTGCAGTGAGGACCTGTTGAATAAGTACAGTGGGCACCTGAATGCCTTCAAACCAGGTTGAGTCGAAGTGAACTCAGGAGCTGAAGCAGTTCATTCACCCTGAAACGTCTCCTTGGTCACAGCTTTTTTTTTTTTTTTTTTTTTTTTTTTTTTTTTTTTTTTTACAGTGACCAACTCTTCCTCTTCAATCTTTTCAGGATCTCTACAGAAGCAGAGATCAGGCATGACCTCCCATGTATGTTACTGGAGATGGTGCCACCCATGCACAGAACTTCCCAGGTTAGCATTCCCGATATCAGACCCACTGAGTGAACTCCCTATTTGTTGTATGACAAGTCAATATGCACATATTACAGAGTCTGCGTTACACAGAGCAATGGTAGGCAGACTAACATAAGATGCCTCTGAGAGGCTGGTGCTCAGCCCTGGGATCAGTAATCACCAGCAGATGTGGCTTCTTGGATCTTGGTAGTGAAGATTCCAAGAGTGAAGCAGCCAGTAATAGGAGTGGCTCCAGTGGAAGCAACAAACATCATCACAGCTTGCTGGCCAGGATTCCTGGAGGGTATAACACTGACATCACCAGAGTTTTCAATGGCAACAATGGCACAAGCTGCCGGCAGAAGCTTCTCCCAGTTCCTCTTGACATTTGTGTCATAGGTGCAATCACTTTTCATTTTGTAGATACACTGTTCAATTTGTAAGTCAAGGTTGGCACCACCTTGAGTGGGTTGCTACTGCAAGGAATTTAAGAACATCCTCCTCCTTCATTTGCAGGACCTCAAGGGCTCCAGACATTGTGAGTTCCCCTTTTTGTTACAATGGGAATCCAGAAGGACACTATAGGAACCCTTCTCCAGGTAGTGTGGAAAGGAGCCATCTATTTTCAATATAAGACAGTTTTTTTTTTCTCAGTTTCTTGGACTAACTGTGCTTTTGAAAATGTTGGTCCTTCTCTGTGTTCAGTCTGTTTTAAAATCTAAATATTTCTTCATAGGAAAAGAAAAAATCTCCATCCCCTGGTGAAAGATCTCTAAAAGGAGAAGTACAAAACATTGCTCAGAGAAATCAGAGATGATCCAAACAAATGGAAAAACATTCCATGCTCATGAATGGGAAGAATCAATATTGTGAAAATGGCCATATTGCTCAAAGCAATTTATAGATTCAATGCTATTCCTATTAAAGTACCATTGACATTCTTCACAGAACTAGAAAAAACTATTCTAAAATTCATATGGAACCAAAAAAGAGTCTGAATAGCCAAGACAATCCTAAGCAAAAAGAACAAAGCTGGGGGCATCATACTACAGGTCTATAGTAACCCAAACTGAATGGTACTGATATAAAAACAGATACATAGATCAATGGAACAGAATAGAGATCTCAGAATTATGACCACACATCTATAACTATCTGAACTTCAAAAAACCTGACAAAAACAAGCAATGGAGAAAGGACTCCCTAATCAATAAATTGTGCTTGGATAACTGGTTAGCCATATACAAAAGATTGAAACTGAACCCCTTCCTTACCCCATATACAAGAAATTAACTCAAGATGGATTCAAGACTTAAAAGAAAAACCTAAACTATAAAAAACCCTGGACGACAACCTAGGCAATACCATCTTGCACATAGGAATGGGCAAAGATTTCATGATAAAGATGTTAAAAGCACTTGCAACAAAAGCAAAAAATTGACAAATGTGATCTCATTAAATTCAAGAGCTTCTGCACAGCAAAGGAAACTATCATTAGAGTGAACAGACAACCTGAAGAATGGGAGACAATTTTTGCATCTATCCATCTGACAAAGGTCTAATATCCAGCATCTATAAGAAACTTAAACAAATATACAAGAAAAAAAAAACAAGTAACCCCATTAAAAAGTGAGCAAAGGACAGGAACAGACACTTGTCAAAAGAAGGAAGACATGTGGCCAACAGTCATATAAAAAAAATCAACATTGCCGATGATTAGAGAAATGGAAATCAAAACCACAATGAGATACCATCTCACACCAGTCAGAATGGCTATTATTAAAAGTAAAAAAAAATAACATATGCTGAGGAGGCTGCAGAGAAAAAGTAACACTTAAGTACTTCTGTTGGGAGTTTAAATTAGCTTAACCATTGTGGAAGATAGTGTGGCAATTCCTCAAAGACCTAAAAACAGAAATACCATTTGACCCAGCAATCCCATTACTGGGTATATAACCAAAGGAATATAAATCATTCTATCATAAAGACATGAACATGTGTGTTCATTGAAGCACTATTCACAATAGCAAAGACATAGAATCAACCTAAATACCTGTCAGTGATAGAGTGGGTAAAGAAAATGTGATACATATACTCCATGGAATACTATGCATCCATAAAAAATGAGGTTATGTCCTTTGCAGGAACATGGATGGAGCTAGAGTCCGTTATCCTTAGCCAACTAACATAGGAAGAGAAAACCAATACTGCATGTTCTCACTTATAAGTGGAAACTAATTATGAGAACACCTGGACACATATAGGGGAACAACACACACTGGGGCCTATTGGAGGGTGAAGGGTGGAAGGAAGAGGATCGCGAAAAATAACTAATGGGTAGTAGGCTTATTACCTGGGTGATGAAATAATCTGTACCACAAACCCCCATGACACAAGTTTACCTATAAAGCAAACCTGCACATGTACCCCTAAACCTAAAATAAAACTTAAAAAATTTCATCTATTTCCTTGCTTACTTGTTTCTATTTGTTATAATTATTTGCTACAATTTTAAAATTTAATACGCAATATTTTTATATGATTAAAATATAATATTTGTTTTGGAGCTTTATGTAATACTACAGAACTAAAAAAATTGAACTAGAAACATAATACTGAGGCCAGGCTGGGTGGCTCACACCTGTAATCCCAGCACTTTGGGAGGCCAAGGTGGGCGGATCACTTGAGGTCAGGAGTTCTTGACCAGCCTGGCCAACATGGTGAAACCCTGTCTCTACCAAAACTACAAAAATTAGCTGAGGGTGGTGGTGGGAACCTGTAATGCCAGCTACTCAGGAGGCTGAGACAGGAGAATTGCTTGAACCTGGGAGGTGGAGGTTGCAATGGGCCCAGATTGCGCCACTGCACTCCAGCCTGGGTGACAAGAGCAAGACTCCATCTCAAAAAAAAAAAGAAAAAAAAAAAGAAAGAAACATAATACTGAAAAACTCTTTTGGTGCCTTTTTTGGTGAATCAGTTATGCTACTGACTACCATTTTGTCTGTGACCATAAATAATATACTGGTATATATGTTTTTAAAGTTTCCCCATTTGCCAGAAAGGACTTTCAACTACTGTGGCTCAGCCTGCTTCCTTAACATGGCCGTATGATTTTCATCATGGGAAAAGGCAGGGGAATTAGAGAATTGAACTCTCATATTTTACCACGAACACTTTCAATTCTTAAGAATCATGTCTGCAATGTAAGTGTTGGCTATATATTATTTAACATTTAATTTTTAATTGATAAATAAAATTAGAGATATTTATCATATACAACATGTTGTTTTGAAATATACATATATATTATGGAATGGCTAATTCAAGGTAATTTATTTATTACCTCACATATTCATCATTTTTGTTGTGACAACACTTAACATCCATTCCATTAGCACTTTTCAATAATACAATATATCGTTATTAACGGTAGTCACTATGTTGTACAGTAGGTCTCCTGAACTTATTCCTCCTATTTATCTAACTGAAATTTTGTATCCCTTAACCAATATCTCCCCAACAACCCATCCAACCCATGCTACTCTCTACTTCTATGAGTTTAAATTTTTTAGATTCCACATGTAAATGAGATCATGTGCTATTTGTCTTTCTGTGCCTGGCTTATTTCGCTGAACATAATGCCTTTTCAGATTCATCTTTGTTGTCAGAAATGATAGAATTTTCTTCTTGTTATGGCTAAATAGTATTCTGTTGTGTGTATATGCCCTATTTTCTTTATCCATTCATCTGCTGATGGACATATAGGTTGATTCCGTGATTGTGGATAATGCTACAGTGAACATGGGAATTTAACAATCTCTACAAGTGGCTGATTTCATTTCCTTTGCATATATACCCAGGAATAAGATTGCTGGAACATATGGTAGTTCTACTTTTAGTTTTTTGAGGAATCTCTGTACTGTATGCAATGATGGATGTACTAATTTATATTCCCATAAACAGTATGCAAGTGTTCTCTTGCCTCTATATCTTTGTCAATATTAGCTGTTTGAAAATTTTGGTTGAGGATAGTTTTATAAATTTTATTAATATTGCTTTTTATGAAACCTAGTATCACAATCTTTTTTAGCATTTAATATGTTCTAAAATACACTCATAGCATTAAAACCAGAAAAGACTTTAAAGATTGTCCTTATTTTTCTCATTTTTAGAATGCAGAGTGTAAATTCCCACAGCTCATGGTTCATGAATCACTGGTAACGAATAACTATCTGAAAGTAGTAGAGCCAATCACTGAACTAGTTTAAACCAAACTGTTTTCCTTTTGTGATAGATGTTTAATTTTGTTTACGTGGGCATATCTCTGTGTCTAATAATTACAAGAAGTAATATTGTGTTCAAGGTGCTGTTAAAGAATTGAAAATATCAATTTTGATAATAATAATTATAAAAATCCGAACAGCTATTATTCATTGAGCCCATACTAGGTATCTTGTTTTGTCCCAAGTTGCTTCCATTTATTTGCTTGAAACTACTTTGTGAAGCAGGTACTATTATTATAACTATTTTACAGATGAGAAAACTGAGCAAAATTAGGAAACTTGCTGAGGTCATGTGCATAGTGAGGCTGATCTAAGATTCAAACCCAGGTAGTTTTATAACAGAGTTCTCTAGCTGATATGGTTTGGCTGTGTCCCCACTCAAATCTCAACTTGAATTGTGGTTCACTTAATTCCAAGTTATCCTGGGAGGGACCTGGTGGGAGGTAATTGAATCATGGGGGTGGTTACCTCCATGCTGTTCTTGTGATAGTGAGTGAGTTCTCACGAGATCTGATGGTTGTACAAGGGGCTTTTTCCCTTTTGCTCAGCACTTCTCCTTGCTGCAACCATGTGAATAAGGGTGTGTTTTCTTCCCCTTCCGCCATTATTTTAAGTTTCCTGAGGCCTCCCCAGCCATGCTGAACAGTAATGAATTAAATTTCCTTCCTCTATAAATTACTCAGTCTTGGGTATGTCTTTTTTAGCAGCGTGAGAAGGTACTAATACACTATCTTAACCAACATGATAATAAAGAGATTTCAAGAGTCATTTATGAACTGCTGTGTTATCTTAAGTAATTAAATAATTAAAATTAAAATCTTGGCCTTATACCTGAGGCTGAGATTTGTCTTCAATTGGTCTGTGGTTGACTCCAGACATCAGAATTTTAAAAAAATATTTTAAGGTTTGTAATATATAGTTAGGATTGTGGCCCCCAGGGATGGAAAAACACTTCCTATTTTAGTATGAAGCTCATGGTAATATATTTGCTTTCTAGTTTCTCTATTTTTCATTCTGTAGCCTTCTAATGCCTTAGAGTTCAAAGTTTAATCTAAAATTATATGTGAGTAGTTATGGAAACCAAGAGAGAAGATATTATAAATCCTAATGGGAGATAGTACAGCAGCTTCATTTATGCAGTGACATTTTACTATTAACATATGTTAAAATGCAAGTGTTAATGATGTACTCTAGCAGGTAAATTTTTCTTGTACAATAATCACCATCATCCTATAGAGCAGGTAAATAGACTGCAATGAAACAATTGATTCCAACTTGTGCCTAAATTTTTCTCTTTTCTGAAATGCTTTCTGAGTTGAAGTCATTGACATCTATCCTAAATGACTCCATAAAGGGAATATATTTTATACTCTGATTAATTTATATTAATTTTAACTTCTGTTAACAAATAAAATGATGCTTTATCTTTCTACCAGTTTCCATGTTGGAGCTCCAAAATTAATATTTAGAATTATTTTAGTCCTCACTTACTGAGTATTTTTATTGCCACCTGAAAAATATCTTATGGCCTAATAAAGTACAAATAATAATAATGATATAGAAAATGCATGATTAATGTTAACCTCAGAAAATGAGAACAAGAAATTTCAGATGCTGGAAATTTTTTATAAGGCAGTTGGTAAATCTTCCCCCTTTCTCTTCTTGAAGGTAATTCTCTTCATTGTTTTACAGTTCATCAATTTTGATTCTGTAATAAATTTCTTTATTCACCTACTACTGAGTCAAATAGAAAAAAGGTTTTCTGCATCTTTTTAAACATTTTTTTCCAGAGAAAATAATACCAAACCAGTGTTAAGATAAATGAGTCTGTGAATAGTTCCATGTCTGTAATGCTATGATAATATGAAGCCCCAAACCTTTTGCCAAAAAGTTTGCTGCTGCTGTTGTATAGTAGAAGCAAGTGAAAATCATTTTCTCCTCGGAAGACGTTTAAGCTAAAACCCTTTAAAAAATGGAATTACTTTTCTGGCTTACAGCCAATATTCACTTTATTTTAACTAACAAAGAAATGTTGAAATCATGTAGGTATGTTTCAAACCTCATAAAAGGAACATTTTTCTAAGAAATATATTATCTTAACCATCATTAAAAAATCCCAGTGATTTTTCTGTGAGTGCACAAAATAAAAGGATACTTTTCTCTTTCTGGAGGTGATTGTTTGGTGATTCTTGTTAAATCATAAATTTGTTCAGCAAGTATAGCTCTCTTTAAATTTTAGTATTCATATGCATTTGATACTTTATAGGTTACTAAAACATTTATGTATCACGTAAAAAATAATTTGTTTTATAATTAAAATTTCACAGACACCTAGAATATTTTACTGCGCTGCTTTAGAAGAGAAAATGTAGGTGCTATCCATTCTGTTATGTTAGAAACACAGACTATCTATATTGAAGAAACATAGTTAATACACAAAAATGAAAGCTGCATTTGGTTTTCATTTTATCCTATGTCTTTGTTTCATTGGTAAGGTCTGTATTACTCCAGATTTGCGAATATTCAAAATATGCCCTGTTTGATGGCTCAAATCTCATGAAAAAAACTAGCCTATGGCAGTATTATTTGCTATGCATAATATAGTAATATGATTTTAAAGGTGTGTTAGTGAGTTAAAGAGAATTTTGGAAATAATTGCTATTCCAAGTGTAAAATCACATATCTTTTTGACAGTACTCATGGTGTTGGATAACATTGGTTTCTTCCTATTTTTCTAATATCTGCCAAATGTAAGAGGAGACAATAGAAAAATATTGAGAGCCATTAATACCATATGCAGCGAAGTGTGAATCTTTTGAGTCTACCTTTTTTATGATCCGTGATTGTGAATGAATGCCTTTCTATAAAAACGCAATGATGTATTAAGAATAAAATCTCTCATTATTTTTATAAGTGATTTTATTTGCTTTGTTTATGTCTATATGACCATATTTACTTGATTTGGGGAGAGATCCCAAATTGACAATTAATGAAGTCAGTGAAAATAGGATAAAATATGGGACGTTTCAAACATGATATTAGGCAAATTTATAGAGCTCTTTGTTTTCCATCCAGGTGTCATTAGATAGAATGCATGACAGATGTAATTGTGGTATGTAGGTAAGACAATACATTATTTAATTTATTTTTGAGGGCATTAGAAGGGAAAAGGAAGAAAAACAGTCCCCAAATCATGGAAACCTTCAATATCATGAGATCTTCCAGGAAGTATGGAACTTTCATCAGCGTTCTCCCTGAGGGCATTGAGGTGAGATTGAAAATATGAGTAACCAACAGTTTCAGTTGAACAATTCTTAAAATCTTACTACTAATACCTAATTGTGAAATTTGGAATCCTGACCCCACCTTAATCTATAAGCCAGCAAATAAATATGAAGTATCTAGTTTAGAATTCATTTCTCTTTTCCAGGAGAGAAAACTGTTAATTTTAGAATGGGTGGAATATTTATTCTAATCTTTCCACAAGATAAAATTTATAATTTTATAAAAATGGCCTAAGAAATGTTTTACTTTTAATTAAGTTGATATCTGTATTTTTATGCTTCATACATTTTTTGTGTATCTTGATGTTATGAAGATTCTTTGCCACTTCTTTAAAGATAAGCATAATTATCTTTCTCGAGAGTATCATCTCTTTTTATATGGGCAGAGTAAGATTGGGGTAGAGTATTGTAAACAGCTGCGGATTTTGGTTTTATAAAAACTTTTTAGGGACTTGTATAATTAGGTAATTCCAATGATGTGATAGATTTGTGATAATCAAAACTATAACACACGTTTGTGGATGTGCCTTTTCCCTGTGTATTTAATATCTAAAAGTTGTTTTATATAGAATTCAAATTTACCCATAATTATATGAGGAAATACAAAACTTTTTAAAATGGCTATAATAATTTTAGTAACATGGATATCATGTGCTTTGTAATTCACTGTCTATACAATTTGTTTAGTGAATTTGATAGGATTTCTACAGTTGGCCACATACATGTGGCTCCACATATGTGGCTCAATAGAACTTGTCTACATCTTATTTTTCTGTTTATTAATTTTGTGGTTAGTGTTGTCTATATTATTTTTACTGCCTGTCTGTGATTTCTTCTTTCCCAAATCCATTTAGTCTCTCAGGGTTGAGGAGCATGGATTTTCTCTCTTTATTCATTTTTTGTCTGCAATAGTACATACTTATTGCATCATTTGTGAATAAGTGGACAAAAATATTATCTTAGGACTTTACTAGAATATCATTTATGGTAAGTGAGAACAAATCAAGGTCAGTGAAGAAATTGCTTTGTTTACAGAAATCTCAATTTCTGAAAATTATTTAGAAACAAAAGACTTGAGTGACATTAAGTAATTTAGAATCTATTGCACGTAAAATGAATATGATGGAAAAATAATTCTCAGGTAGTTTATATGCAAATGTAATAGGTAGATGTACATACAGTCTTTGTGTGAATTTGTATAATCGAAGGTTTTGATGGACACTCTTCAAATCAGCTTATCTTGAGATAAAACAAAAAGACATTAAATATTAATCAGATAGTACTCATATCAATAAGATATGACAGATATCAGATATGATATTAAGTAAATTAATATCACTTGACTAAATCTGTAGCCAATACTTTAGAATTAGAGATAGAATTTAGAAATTATTTGGTATCTTTTTTATGGAAAAAAATAGGTACTTGGTCAAGATTATATATCTAGTTTATGGTAGATCTATGATTGATCCTCTAGACCTCTACTCTGGTCATTTAATTACTAGTTTCCTCAATGAATAATGTTTAGTAGCGCTGTGCTCTTCCATTTTGCTTAGGGCAAATCCTTGTTACCGCTCATTATGAGAAAAATACTCCTGTGTCCACGTGTGTGTATGTGTATGTATGTGTCATGATATTATTGTGTCAATAAAATGGTTTGTGTAAGTTATTTTTAATATAGTGTGTTATTTTAATATAGAATAATATATTTATAATATGTCCTATTTTCTCATTTTTTTCTTAGTATTCAATATATTCAAGAGAAAATTTACAAAATGGATAATTAGAATTAGGAGTGTGGTCCCATTTTACACCATTGAACTAATCTATATGGCCTCTAAAGAGAAGAAGCAAAGAAGCTAATAATACTGGTGTTATTAGCATCAGAATGTTACCGGGTAAATTTACCACGTTTATAAATGCCAGAAAAGAAAAGCTCTTGTGGATTTAAATTCCTGTTCATCACATAATTTTGCGCCTATGATTCTTATAGACAAATTATCAGTAGGAGTAAAATCGGGAAAATGAGAAGGAGTTACTAGAGTTTTTCTACTTAATGTGAATAGGTACATTCAAGTTCTGAAAAGGACAAGGTATTTAAATGTGTAGCATATATCAAAATTAAAGGGAAATATGCATAATGAAGGACAGAATTTGTTTCTAATTGTACAAATTATATAAAAGCCTCACACGCATTTTTGCATAATTCAAAGAGTTGATGAGTAAAATATCCATTAGAGTAACTTATCTAATGGTGTGGAATTATTACCTTAGGCATGTTTTAGTAAGTATAATTTTACATCATCCAAATGACTATTTTTCCTGTGCTTTCTATAAATGGTGGTGGTAAAACCACACTGAAGATTACTTAATATTTCTTTATTCTTGGCTTCTCGGTATTTCATGTCCTTTGACACTCAACAGCTATAATTAAAGTGAAGGTAGAAATTTCTTAGACAAGAGGACTCTTCAGCTTACCATTGTTAAGTGTCCTTATTTAAAGCTCTATTACTTACCTGTTATTGATATGGGAGTGCTGGGAAGGGAAAAGCATGGTCCCTTTAAATGACACAGAAGAGGGCAAAGGGAAGTGCTGGGTAAAAGAGGGCGTGGTCCCTAGCAAAGGCTCCACCCCCATGGACCTAGGTGAGGACAGGCACTCCTGCCTTCATGCCTAAATGTTGTATTTCTCAAGACCACCCTGGCCTGCCACATCCCCATCCTGTGCCTATAAAACCCCTCTGAGACCCTAGCAGTTAGACACACAAGCAGCTGGACTTTGTGAAGAACACATTGGCAGAAGAAGATACAAGTAGTCCGTGGTCAAGAGCGCGCCAAAAGGCACCTACTGGTGGAACAACCTGGAGTCCGGCCCGAGCAGCGTGACTCCAGGGGAAAACCATCTCCCTTCTGGCTTCCCCATCTGCTGAGAGCTACTTCTACTCAGTAAAACTTCGTGCTCACTCTTCAAGCCCACTTGTGATCCGATTCTTCTGGTACACCAAGGCAAGAAACCCCGGGATACAGAAAGTCCTCTGTCCTTGTGACAAGCTGGAGGGTCTAATTGAGCTGGTTAACATAAGCTGCCTATAGACGGCAAACTAAAAGAGCACCCTGCAACACCCACCCACTGGGGTTTCAGGAGCTGTAAATATTCACCCCTAGACACTGCCATGGGGTCGGAGCCCCACACCCTGTATGTCTGTGTGCTCCCCTAGAGGTGTGTGCAGTGGGGCACTGAAGAAGCAAGCCACACCCCCATCACACTTCCTGTGAGGGGAACAAGGGAATCTTCCCCGTTTCATTATGAGTCTGAAAGGAGAGAAGAAATGATGCTGTGACTTTTCAAACTGTGAGAGCAACGGTGTTACTTCTTTTTATTATAGTTTGTTACACTTTTCGCTATCAAATTTTAAAAGTAACTTGATCACAGTCTGTGTCATATATTTTGAATAATTTCATCATATAGATGACAAGCATGAAAAAGATGGTTCACAGATAATCAAAAGCCGAAACTTCAATGTTGCACAAAGCTATATGCTGGGAAATCAAATTTCATCATCAACGTATTCATCTGGGTTTTCCATTAGTAAAATGAACCTAACTGTTACTAAAGCTGAGGTATTTTAAAAGTATTGTAGTATACAGAACATCAAACTAAACATTTATCAAAGAAAGTAGATTAATAAAAAGAGCCTTTCAACATGATTCTGCATTACTCAATTAAAATTAATTACTTTAAATGAAACTCAATTTCAAAATGCTCTGTGTCACTGACAATGGAAAATCATATCCTTTTGCCATTTTTTCAGTTATGTAAAAATCTAGAATTTGATCATCATAAGTGAATTCTATTAACTTGACCCTCTCATCCTATTTTCAAAACACATTGTGTAAGCTTAATACAATAGATTTACCTCAACCAAATACATAACTAAGTGTAGAAGCTCTTTTTAAAAAATCACATTACCCAAGATTAATGTAAACAAGTGTTAAGTTTTGACATGAAAATAGTAACTTGATCATATTATATATCTGGTGGTGGAAGGGACCTTAGGAGGATAAGGTAGTACAGTAACTCTACCAATTTTGTGGAGGACAAAATATACTTATATAAGTAAAATTGTAGCTAAAAATTAATCAAATTCATTTTTCTGATTTTAATCCTATTTATAATGTGTTGTTCTCTCTTCAGCATGGAAATTGGTCTTTCCCAAATTAAAAGAATACATTTTTTGTTTCTTTTCATTGTCTACTATTTTGGAAAATTTTTCCTAAACCTTATAAACACATAAACACATAATATAAAAATGTGTCTGATGATATGTCTCTACATCCTTCACTCTTCAAATGATTGTGTCTTATCATCATTGCTATTCACATGTAAAGGATGCCTATAACCTCATGCATTAAAAGAAAAATAGTAAAAACTTTAGAACTGCAACTGAGTGAAACTTGAATATTCAACAATTTGGAGAAAGAGCCATTTTTTATTTAGTTTGGTTTTCTGTCTGTTTTCTTATCAGCAAGAAAACCTACCATTTAGAATTTTTTCACTATTCAGGGTGAGAAATAATGCATTTATTTTATTTGAGAAACCATATTGAAATGCCTTTATTATTTTCAAGGAACTGCAGCAAGGTCATAAAAAATTAAGTAAGAACATAAAATAGTGTAGTATTTATTTGCTAATTCAGTAATAGTTCTTTAATAAAAAATAGGCAAGACCACTTACCTAATAAACAGAATAATATAGGTTAGTGTTAAGTCAGAAATTGTGAAAGTCCTGAGAGTTAACCCTATTTAGAAAATAAATTAGCTGGCTAAAATTATTTATATTAAAATATGTATATTATATAAGTATTTTAATATTAAAATGATTCTAAATAGGGTTAAATATTTTTAACTACTATATATAGTATTTTTATATTATATATAATAGTATGTGTATAAATATACACTCATAGTATGCCAGTAACGTATATACATATACATAATATGTGTGTATATTATATATATTATTTCTGTCAATAATATATATGTACACATATAAATAATATATGTACATAATGGTATGTATAAAATATATATTATGCTAATTATATGTATATAAAATAATATATGTATATGTGATATACATATGTATATTATACATGTATACATAATATACATATGCTGTGTATAACTGACAATATGTGTATATTTCTAGCATAATATATATGTACATATAATCATGCACACTATATATGTCATATTAATATATTTGGCAACTATGTATAACTAACAATATGTGTGCATATATCTAAATATATAAAACTGGCATAATATATGTATATTTTGTATACATATCATTATGTATATACACACATACATATGTAGATAAATATTACTGACAGAAAACAGAAGGCCTTTAGGTCAGAGGGAAAAAAGTCATTTAATTACCCAATTACTCATAATAAAAGTGGCATCCAGAGTACTGTCCCAATCAACCCAGTGTTATTTGCTGAGAGCAAGATGGTACCTGTACATGAGACATATTACAGGAGAATAACCTAGAAATTAGAAATAAACAACAACTCTGATCATATATGGTATTTCTTGTCACCTGTCCATCTTCTCCACAGAGAGTAACCTTATTTTTACTCTAAAATACAAGCAGATCCACTATGCAGAGGAGAAAAAAGCCGTCTTTGTCTTTACAAACTTGGATGATTTCTGGGGAGGGAGGTACATCTAAGATTTACTGTTCCGTAATGTCTCCTTACACAAACATTCCTACGTGTGCAACACAGGACTTTGCTCAGAGAACTCAAACTGATGCAATGTAAGGCATTCATGGAGAATCACCATCTCCCAAAAGCTGGTCTTGGAGTTTTCTAAGTTCTGCATTAGTGCGTCCTCCTCTCGGGTGGTGCCTTTGCTTTGGTTGGCATCTGTTACATGAGGTCTTGATGCCTGACTTGCAGATGAAATTCAACTCTGTGCTTACTTCTGTTTCCAAATGTAACACCCTGGAGAGTTTTCAGATCAATGTTTTTTTTTCGTCCTTCTGGTATCACTCATTTTGTGTTTGGCTCTTTTATTAGAATTCCACATTTAGTAATGATTGTCTCCCTTTCTAGGTCAGCTAAGATTTTTTAACTTTAATTCTCTCCTTTTAATTAAAAAGTGAGCAATACTAGGGATCCAAAGTAAATAATTAATTTACTTTATTTGCTAGTTTTTAAAATTAACACTCAGTGTCTTGTGTGTGTGTGTGTGTGTGTGTGTGTGTGTGTGTGTGTGTATATATATAGCCAGCCACTGAGTATACAGAGATAAATACATTACATTTTCTGCCCTAAAGAGGTTATAATCTAGTGTGAAAAGACAAACTTACAAAGTAATTGCAATGTGTTAACAAGTATATGCTGGAAATCTATAGGGGTTGAATCAATTAAGGTGAATTCAGTTTTACCATATGAGACAGCAAGGCTCCAAAGAGCTGAGAATGGTGAAGAAAAGGGTATTCCAGGCACAAGAGCGATGTGATCCACAACCTGGAGGCAAAGGTAAATGTAGCAGGAAGCAGGAATAACTCCGCATGCAGGAAAAAGGTTTTAAAGAGAAGTTAGAGAACAGATAGTAACACTTCTATTTATTGACATATGTCAGGTTATGAGGGCCTGACATGCTATACTGAGAAGGCTCTATTTTATTCTTGTGGACAGTGGTTTTAAGACTTATTTTCTCAGTAAGGACATTCTTCAATGGAAATTGTCTTAGTTAAAATGTAAAACTATTGCTATAGGTAATAAGAAGCTTAAAGTGATGGTGATTGGGAATGCCTCATAATAGCTGCACTTAATAGCAATTACTCTAAAAATGGAGAATGCCTTGAAGGAATATAAATATGGAGGGAGAAAGAATTGCAATATTTCAGGTAAGAAATGAAGAGAGCCTGGATTAGGGCAATATTAGTAGGGATAGAAAATATGGATACAGGTTAGGGAGTAAGATTGCAGAATAGAAGCCTATACCATTTGTGCCCCCTGCCCTTTCCTTCTCAAACACCAAATTTTAACAAAAAGATCCCAAAATCATGTGAGCACTCACAGCACCTGGTTTAAATATCATATCACTGAATGAGGCACTAGACAAGGAGAGGAAAGACAGTTTTGAATCACCAATGGCACCCCTCCCCATCCCCTGGTAGCAGCCCTGACATTCGAGAGTCTGGGCATTTGGCAGAGCCCTCGCCAGAGGGGAATCACCCCTCCAAGCAGTTGTAACTTGTGTTTCTTGGCAAGTCTTGCTACTGCAGGCCAAAGTTCTCCGGGGTCCTAGGTAAACTTGAAAGGCAGTCTGGGACACAAGGACCCAATTTCTAGGCAACTTCTAGCTCTGGGGTTGGCTCAGAGCCAGTGGACTAGGGTAGCATGGGACCTAGGGAGACATTGGCTAGGGTGGCTGAGGGAGTGCTTGTGCCACGAATCCCCCAACTGCAGGCTGCAGAACTTGCAGCAACAAAAATGACTCCTTCCTTCTGCTTAAGGAGAGGAGAGGGAAGAGAAGAGGGAACTTTGTCTTGCATCTTGGATATCAGCTCAGCCACAGTAGGACAGGGCCATAGGCAGAGTCATGAGGCCCCTTTTTCAGGTCCTACTGAGAAGTGAAGCCAGCTGGACTTCCTGGGTGGAGTGGGGACTTGCAGAACTTTTCTTTCTAAAGGTTTGTAAAGGTACCAATCAGCACTCTGTAAAATGGACCAATCAGCACTCTGTAAAATGGACCAATCAGTGCTCTGTAAAATGGACCAATCAGCAGGATGTGGGCGGGGCCAAATAAGGGAATAAAAGCTGGCCACCCCAGCCAGCAGCCGCAACCCACTCGGGTCCTCTTCCACGCTGTGTAATCCTTGTTCTTTTGCTCTTCATAATAAATCTTGCTGCTGCTCACTCTTTGGGTCCTCACTACCTTTATGAAATGTAACACTCACTGCGAGGGTCTGCGGCTTCATTCCTGAAGTCAGCGAGACCACGAACCCACCAAGAGGAAGAAACTCTGGACACATCTGAACATCTGAAGGAACACACTCCGGACACACCATCTTTAGGGGCTGTAACACTCACCGCGAGGGTCCACGGCTTCATTCTTGAAGTCAGCGAAACAAAGAACCCACCAGAAGGAATAAATTCCGGACACACTACCTCCCAGGTAACATTTCTAGACACACCCTGAGCTAAAAGGGAAGCCACTTCCTTGAAGGGAAGGGCTCAGTCCTAGCAGGATTCGTCACCTGCTGTCTAAAGAGCCCTTAGACCCTGAAAACCCGGTGGCAATACCCAGGTAGTACTTTGTGGGCCTGGGGCTCAGATATGCTGACTTCAGGAGTGATTAGCAAACTCATAGCTGTGGTGGTTATGGTGAAAGACTCTGAGAAAAGCAGAAGAAAAAGTGAAGGGTATTTTTTCTTATACTTTAGGTAACAGCTTGACCACAGTAGAATAACAAACAGGCTCCTGGGGTCCCCATGTTCAGGCTTAGGCTCATGGTCAGCATTTATGAAGCTTCCCTGGGCCAGAGAGGAACCCATTCTCTTGAAAAGTGAGTCCCATGCTTGGCAGCATTCACCACATGCTAACTGAAGAGTACTTGGGCTTTAAGTGAACATCAGTGGTGGCCTGGCAGAACCCCCCATGAGCTGGTGATGGTGGTGGCTACAGGCAGAGGCTGTGCCTATGGAAAGGGGAGGAAAGAACAGGACGTACTTTGTATTGTGGAATGAGCTGATTGCAACATACTCAAGCAAAGATGTGGTAAACATTTTGGCAGCAGTGACTTGAGATCAGAAACCAAACTTGATATTGATACAAAGAAAATAAGCTTACATGCTGCAGAGCTATTATCAAAACCTGGAGCAGATACTGGGCTTTCTTTCATTTTGGGGGAAAATTAAGGCCTGACATAAAGGGCATTTAGGATTTTCAGGTGTTTTCTCAAGACACAGAAGTCTTAGAAACACCTTATTCTTGAAAAGTGATATTTTTTCTTGAATTTGAGAATTTGCAAGGCCATAGATGGGAGGATTATATTCTTCAATATCTTTAATGCTATGATTTACAAAAACAAAAACAAAAACAAAAAACAGAGAGAAAACCTAGGGAAAATTTGACTTGATTTACTGAGAATTGAATGATATGTAAAATATCAACCATATGTTTTTGGAAAACAAATACAAAACACTTTGATAAAGAACGTTTCATTTTTCCCTTTTTGGTTACTGTTTTTGTGGCAGATGCAGATTGAAGTAAGACAGCTCTCTCGAAAAGGTTGATGAAAGAAAATGGTTATTTTCATATAAACAAACTAATATGAAGTAATGCTAAATTTTTTTACCTTTATAATGGAATCAGAATGATTTTAGGTTTTAATTTAGAATTTTCTTTTGGTTCATTATGCAAACATTAAACTTTAAATTCAAGATGCAGATCAGAAAGAGTTCCAGTCCCTAGCCTCAGAGCATCACATGGTACTTGATTTCAAGGAGCATTTAAAAACAACCACTTGGAATTATTGTAACTTGGTATTTTCCTTGAAGAAATAGCAAACTGTTTTTGAAAAGTTTACTCCATTCTATTGCTTACATAATAATGTTTTCACAGGAAAAGGATTCAGGGACTATGGCAATAAAACAGGTTTTCTATTTCACCTTTGGTCTGTCTAGGAGAACAGGCTTTCCAAATATACTGACTGCCCTTGAAACTTAATCACATAGCACCCAAGCTAATCATGGCACCTGATTACTAACGGCTAAGCCTAGCCTAGGATCAGTAATTGAGTTAAGGAGAATGCCCAGGTTTATATTTATCAGAAGGCTCATGCCTTCCTCCTTGGGCATAATTACAATGGGCAAAAAGTTCAATGTGAAAGAGGTGAAAGGAGGGCTATTTCCTGGTTCTAACATCATTCTGTTGGAAGAGGGGTTATAGTTTTAGCCTGGATTTCCACACATCTTTACCACAAAACAGGCAGCTGTTAAAAGGTGAAGAGTAGGACTGTAGGTATATCTACCCTCTTCCAAAGTAATGAGTTTTGGCATTATGTACTTCAAAAGAAAATCCTATTAGGAAATTGAGCTTAAAGGAGAGCTCTGCTTTAACATTTATTTGGAGTGTGTGGACAATAGGCCTATCTACAAGTTGAAAAATTGGACAATCAAAAGTATATGGGAAAGCTTTGAGGGTTAGAACAATGGTGATCATTTGTGGTGAAAAACATTTAGAAAAGTGATGGACAAGTTAATCTATTAAAATGTTTTTCTTATTATAACCATAAAATGCAAATGAAACCTAAGATATTTTTCTTCTGATTGGAAAGTATACAAACATTTTTTAAAAGACATTATCAGCCAGTGTTTTAAAAAAAGTAGTCTCATACATTAATGGCGGTTGTGTTAAATAGTCCAATTTCTAAAAGAAACTGTTATAATAATTACTAAAATGATCAATGCATGTGCACTTTGATCTAGTTATCCCACTCATGTCTTTATAAGGTAAATATATTCATATGTGTGAAATTATATAGTTACTATGCTGAGAAATATATAAACAAACCTACAATGTAATAATATGCAGCGTCTAAAAAAGCACTAAAGACATAATAGCTCACAGTGAGCTCCAAAAAATATAGTTAAGTGAGTAAAGCCAAGTGCCACATACACATCAAGTCAGTGTGTATAGTATGTTACCATGTGGTTTTTAAAAAGGGGATATTTGTTATATACATCATCTTTGAAAGGATACCCAGGACACTGAATAGATGTGATTATGGAGAGGTCAAGCTTTCACTGTTTTGACTGTGATACCTTGTGGATATTTCTACCCCCAAACAAATTAAAAATAAAATATAAGTAATACATAAGTGAAACTAATTCTTGGCCATTCTAATATTTGAAACATATAGAAAAAAATAAAAATAATTAAAGTGATAATATATCTACCATCATAGAGTATTTCTGACAGTTCCTCTCTGAGCATATGTATTTTTTCACATAAATTAAAACTGTATATTTAAGCTTAATGCTTCTTTCAGTTAATGAACCAAAAATATTTCCCTATGATATTTCAATACTTCACAAACATGGTTTTTAATAATTGTAAGTGTAATTATATTGATGTAGAATAATTTATTTCACCTTCTTAATGTTGGACACAATTTAAGTTTTTCATCATTATCATAAACATTTATGGAACCATTTTGGTACATTTTACATTATAGACTTAACAATAGCCTCTTTAAAATAGAATTATTTAGTCAGTTTGTGTGCATTTTAGGATACCAGCAAAATACAAACATAAAATAGCTATTGTTAATAGTGCCTCAGTAAATGTGGGACTGTAGATCTCTCTCCTATGTAATGATTTCCTTTCTTGTGGATACATACCCAGCAACGGGACTGCTGGATAGTATAGATGTTGGTTCTATTTTCAGTTCTTTGCGGAACATTTGTACTATTCTCCATAGTGGCTGTACTAATTTATATTCTTAACAATAGTGTATGAGGGTTTCCCATTCTCCACATCCTTGCTAGCATTCACTATTGCCTGTCTTTCAGATAAAAGCCATTTTAACCAGAGTGAAACGATATCTCGTTGATATCAAATCAGTTTGATTTGCATGTCTCTGATAATTAATGATGTTGAGCATTTTTTTCATTTAACTATTGGCCATTTGTAGCTCATCATTTGAGAAATGTCTATTTAGATATTTTGGTCATTTCTAAAGTGGATTATTTTTTTTTTTCCATTGAGTTGTTTGAGCTCCTTATAAATTCTGGTTATTAGTCCCTTGTCAGATGGGTAAATATGGAATCAATCTGTGTGTCTATTAATCAATGAATGGATAAAGAAAATGCATTACATATACATAATGGAATATTATTCTTCCATAAACATAAAATAATGAAATCATGTCATTTGCAACAACGTGGATAGAAATGGAGGACATTATGTTAAATGAATTAAACCAAGCACAGAAAAACAAATTTCACATGTTCTCAGTCATACGTGAGAGCTAAAATTAAAAATCAAACAAACAAACCGTGAACTCATCGTGATAGAGAGTAGAATGATAGTTATCAGAGTTTGCAAAGTGTAGCAGCGAGTGAGGGATAAAGTGGGGATGATTAATGGGTACAAAAATACAGTTAGATAGAATGAATACGATCTAGCATTTGGTAGCACAATAGGGCGACTATAATTGGCAATAATTTAGTGTACATTTAAAAATAACTAAAAGGGTGGAATTGGAATGTTCCTAACACAAAAGAATAAGTTGTTGAGATGTTGGATAACCCAAATGCCTTGATTTGATCATTACAAATCGTATACCTGTATCAAAGCATCACATGTACCTCATATATATAGAACTATTATGTATCCATAAAAATTAAAAAATGAAAATAAATACATTTTAAAATTTCTCTTTTAATAGGATAGCTCATGATACCCCTTCTAGTACTGAGAAGCAAGGTTTATCATTCATAGTTATTTTAAATTCTCAGTGAGTTTTATTTATTCAGGTGTTTATTAACTATTTGCATTTTCCTGTATGTGTGTGTGTATGTGTGTGTGTGTGTCTGTGTTTATTTCATGTACTTTTTCCACTAATTTATTAGGAGTTTTAATATTTTCTTATCAATTTATATAAGCTTACATGTATTAAAATTATTAATCATTTTTACAACATCAGTTACAATATTTTCATTTTTCTCTTTGAAAGGTCTTCCATTGTTTTTAAGTTTTTATGTTTATTCATCATTTAAGATTAGATTTATATTCATATGTGTTTAATTCTATATTTTATCATTTGAGTTTTAATAATGTAATTTGTGGAGGCTATGATGTGAGGTGAAGATCTATTGATTGATCTCTTTTCCCAAAGAGATAGCCATTTTTGATCATCTCTTCTTAAATCATTTTTTTTTGGTAGGGGGATTTCTTAACTATAAATCAGGAAAGTGGCCAGGTGTGGTGGATCAAGGCTGTAATCCCAACATTTTGGGAATCCAAGATGGGCAGATCACTAGAGGTCAGGAGTCTGAGACTAGCCTGGCCAATATGGTGAAACCTGGTTCCACAAAAAATACAAAAATTAGCCAGTGTGGTGGCGCACACCTGTAATCTCAGCTGAGGTATAAGAACTGCTTCAACCTGGGAGGCGGAGGTTGCAGTGAGCTGAAAACGTGCCACTGCACTCCAGCCTGGATGACAAGGTGAGACTGTCTTGATATATGTGTGTATATATGCACATATACATATATATATACACATATGTATATGGAGAGAGAAACTTTCTCTCATGTATATGTATATGTATATGTATATGTATATGTATATGTATATGTATATGTATATGTGGAATGCTTTATCCAGGTCCTGGCAATATTAGAAAATGCCCTTCTCCTTGGCTATAGTAAAAAAAGTGTTTTACTTTCTTTGATGCTGGCCTTGAATTTTGACAGAGAAGTAAAGTAAAATGCTTTGAAATCTCTTCTTCCTTTCTCTCTATCCATGGCTATTTGTTTCAAGCTCTAATTGTGTGTGTGCCATAGATCTGACTTTCGTTTAGCTCCATTCATGTAGATGAATTGTAGATGAAATTCTTCCAGGATCTGACAATCTGTTATTAATATTCTTCTGTTCCTGTGGGGTTCTTCCCTTTCCATGTTTTTTTTCTGATGAGAGGTAAAGAGATAGCAAATCAGATAGTGATATTTAAAAGTCATCTTAACTCATAGATTCCAAGTTTAATTTTTAAAAATGATTTAAGTGTTGGGAAGGTATTAATTGTATTCAGTCATAAATTATATTAAATATGAAGCTAATAGTAATTATTTCCATGGGATAGCTAATTATAAAGTTGGAATTCATCTTAAGGGATTATCTCATTTATATTTTATTATTTATTTTTTCTTAAAATCATTTGGAATTCCTTTCTTGTATCTTTCTGTAATTTCATATTATTTCAACACATATTTTTCATATTATTTAAATTTTTTTTTCTGAATGTTTTGTAAACGTCTGTCAATTTTAATAAAAGTTGTCCATTAGAAATGTGAATTTCTGTATCTTCTTCTGGTGTTCTGTCATCTCAGGAGAGTTCAAGGCAGCTTTCCTGACATTTCAACCCCAAGAAAGATCAGTACTTTAAAAAAAAATCTAAGATATTATGCACAGTGCTCAGATTTAGGGTTTCTAGTTTAGGGAACAAAGCAATTAATGACTCTGCTACTGTATCATCTGGCCTTTTTGGAATATTCTTTTTTGAATTCACATTTCCTCTTTGAATTGCTTTTCTGTCTTAGAACTCTATGCAGATTAAAGTTTTAGGTCTCACTCCCCCATTAGTCCAGGTAGGGTGTAGGGGACAGACTAATGATCTAGGCCATCTTAATGTGCCAAATCTACATAGAAGAATTCCTCATGGTCATGAGTTATTTGGCCAAATTCACCAGGAGATGACAATGGAGTTTGGAGTCAAAGGATACAGGAGTAACATTTATTTTATATATGCTGTCCCCATTCTACTTCCTGTATCTCCATGTGACAACAATAGGGGACCCATTATGAGTTCAGGGTGTTGGGATCTTAATTAACTAGCTTTCTATTTTATTGTAGTTCATTTTCAAGGCACAGAGACCATAAAATATGTAAGAGACTATATTTATGTAAGTATATTTAAACATAAGAAAATACTAATATTGATCATAATGCCAACATAAGCCAAATATACAAATCATGCTTATTGTCCAATTTAGCAACTTTTTATTGTGTAAATATTCTGTGTCAAATATATGCTGCTACAGCTGCTATTGCAACTGCTACCATATTGATGCCGCCTTATCATGTGCAAGGTACAGTTTCATGGACAGCATCTCATTTAAAATTTCATTCACCTATATGAGGACAATTTTAGTGTCTCCTTTTAAAGATAAGAAAATGGAGGCTCAGAAACATTAAGCAACATGTCTTATTTCACAACTATTAAGTGACAGAATCAGAATTTGAAATCAAGGCTTCCCAAGTCTAAAGATCTAGTGCTTAACTACAATTCTATACTTCTAGGTTCTGGAGAGAAAACAAAACAAAAAGAAACAAAAAATAATATAGAAGTCCTGTCCTCAAGAATTTTATAGTAAAGACAGATATATAAATATATATAGTCAATAAAGTATTATGTGTATTTGATTAATCTGTTTAGACTCTAATAGCAACACTAAATGAGCTTTGAAGAATTGAAGTATTTGAACACTTGGACAAAGGCTCATCTAATTCACCACTACTCATTTGGTCCCTGTCTAACTGCACAGCTGTGTCTTCTGTGTATGTGGTGATAGGCATCCATGATACTTAATGATATATTAGACTATCAAAGATTTCTGGAAATAAGTTATTTTTGTATAACAAATGCTCAGATGAGCTAAAGATAATATAATTAGAATGGAAAGGTCAAAAATATGAGTCATATTTAAAATTTAGAAGACAAATTATTTTATTTTTATTGATTTCAGTTATCATGCAAAGGTTAATTTATCTTTTAATTTTAAGCTAGATGTTTTCCAGTAAGATGAACTCATCATTATAATACATTGAATTTATGCAGCATTTTGTCATCTGAGGAGCTTATACAGGCAGTTACACGATTCATCAGGCAATTAGAATTTTCAGGTGTTTTCTTGATTATAGATAGACATGTTTTGGTACTTCCCCCCAACCCCAGATTGAGAAATTGGGGCTAACAAACCAGTAGTTGCCAAAGAGATTAAATTATTCCAATAGATATTATTGTCTGTAGATAGTGGGCCTACACAATGTATTGTTTTCTTACTGATAAGAAAATAGATTTTCAAAAGAAAATACTGAGACCTTGCCCAATTTTGCCATCTATCTCTGAGAAACTGAGTATTTTCTGCATATTCATTGCACTTGTTCTCTAGAAGCTGCCACAAGTTGGACTATTTTATCATTTAGCAAAAAGAGCAGGGGCAAATGTTTTTGCCACATCAAACTGCTAGAAGTTCATGTTTCTCAAATGATTATCAAAGTGTGGACCACTTGAATCAGTGTTTCCTAAAATACACATTTCCAAGCTCTCCGTGGATCTAAGAAATCAGAATTTTTTTAGGTAATTCAAGGGAATTGCATTTTTAATAAGAGTCATAATATACCTGAATTTTGATAACTAATAATATTATACTTTAAGTCAGCTGTTTATGCCATTGTTCTAGTTATTAATATTTGATTGCTGCCCTTCTTTTCCCCTGAAATTAAATTCAGGTTAACTAGAAGGGCAAGAAATTTTTATAACTCATTAAGCAGTGGGATTTACATGTAGTTTGGGTGGCTTTGTGTTTGGAAACCCCAAAAACTTTGGAATGTATGTTCTGAATCTTGGGACAAGTATCTATGTTCCGTGGACCTTCTTTTTTTTTTTTTTTTAATATTTGGGTCTTCCCCAACCCTCTGTCGATAATCAATCAACAAGACCTTCATTTTCCCATGGGGAAGAATAATTCAATAGGATGGAAACAGAAGCCAGGAGGATTCTATTAGGTTAGTCCATCCATTTAAAAACATGAGGAGCTGAAAATATGTGTAACTGATTGCATATTGTCCTGTATTCCCCAGCCTTGTTGGTAATCAGTTATCCTCTGGCAAATGTGCCCTACATTTCTAGAAGCTAATTTTTCTCTGTTCCTCATTTCTAAAGTCACATTTCATTGTGTTTCTGATTGGAATTTCTTAGAATGCTTATATTTAACTTTTCTTGCATGTTCACTGTGTTCCAGGCCTTATTTTACGACTTTTATAAATAGCTATTAATTTAATTCTCACAAGTCTATAAAGTTGGAGGTATACACCAATAGTATTATATTAGAGATTTTATAGATCAAGACATTGAGATATGGAGTTGTTAAATAAATTACCCCAGGCCAAAATCTAGTATTTGTTAAAATCAAAGTTTGAGCCCCAGAAGTCTGGTTCCAGCATTTTATTCTTAATCACTACTATATATTGTACCTACACTAAAAATAATCATAATCTATTTGTACTTCATCTGTGTTTATAATTGGTCCTTTCCCAGGGCCACCACTGCTACATATCATGTCCAGTGTTCCCATTAGCTCCAGTTCCTTATCTCTTCATACCTTTTTTACTCCCTGCCTGCTCTATTACAAGAGTCCTATGGTTGTGTACTATTTAGCCATTTACCAAAATTAAAACGAAAATAAATACCACCAACAACAAAAAGTCTATGAAGAGAATAAATTTAACAAAGGAACTGCAAAGCTTGTGTATTAACAATCACAAAATTTTGTAGACAGAAATTAAAGGTCTAAATAAATGGGGAGATATTCCATATTCAAGTATAGAAGATTTAATATTAAGATGACAGTTCTCAAGTAGATCTATAAATTCAACACAATCACTATTGAAATTACATCAAGCTTTTTTTAAAAGATATATATCCCTCAATTTTATGTGGAAATGCAAAAACACCTAGAATAATCAAAAGACTTTGAAAAAGAAGAATGTGTAAGGACTTTCACCTCTCAATTTAAAAACTTACCAGTAACCTAGAGTTATTAACACAATGTGGTACTAATATAGGTTGGACAAATGGATCAATGGAATAGCACTTAGAGCACAAAAATAAGTCCTTATAATTATAGCCAAGTAATTTTTATTAAAGGTGCCAAATAAATTCCGTGGGAAAATGATAGTCTGTTCAACAAATGGTGGAGTAATTATTGGATATCTACATGGAAAATGATGAATTTATACTTTATCTCATACCATACACAAAAATTAACTCAAAAATTGATCATATACTTAAATTTGAAAGAGCTAAAGCAACGAAATTTTATAAGAAACCATAAGAGAAAATCTTTGAGATACTGAGATAAGTAAACTCTTTTTGAGTACTATAATGAAAGCAAAGCCCATAAAAGAAAAAGATAAATTAGACCTCACTGAAGTTATAATTTTTTCCCTCAAAAGACACCATTAAAAATTGAAAGAGAATTTACGAGGAAGAAACATTTACAAAACCCAATTTGATAAAGGGCTTGTATGATATGACCAGATATTTCACCAAAAAAGACTGACAATCAAATGAGAAGATGCTCAACATCATTAGGAGGAAAAGGCAAATAAAAACCACTCTTTCATGCCCAAGAGAATGTCAATAACTAATGACAGTCAATAAAATATATTGGCAAGGATGTGGATTAACAGGAATTACCGTATATTGCTTGTGAGAACATAAAATACTGCAACCACTTTAGAGAATATCTACTCAATGAAAATGAAAACACACATTCACACAAAGACTGCTCCTAAATGTTCATGGCAACATTATTCATAATAGTAAAAAACTGGAATTAACTTTAATGTCAATCAGTTGCTAAATGGACAGGCAAAATATGGTCTTCATACAATGGCATATAATTCAGCAATGAAAAAGAAATAACTACTGGTTCATGCTGTGTCATAAATGAACCTCAAAAATGTTATGCTGAATGAAATAATCCAGATATGAGATCATATATTATATGAATTTGTTTATATGCAGTGTCCAAAAAGGCAAATTTATAGTATCAGAAAGTAAATTAGTAATTTCTTGAGGCTGGAAGGAGAATGGGAATTAACTGTAAATGGGCATGAGGGATTTTATTCAGGGGATGAAAACATTCTAAAATTAATTTATGGTGATGGTTGAACCCCTGAATAAAATTACTAAAAATCATTGATTTGTAAATTGAAATGGGTGAATGTTATGGCATGCAAAATATATATTAATAAAGCTATTAAAAATATGAAGGATCTCACCTTGTATTAACTTGATGTCTGGCTTGTGCTCAGGATTCCTTGACGTTTATTAGAATCTCATGAGTCTAGTCAAGTTTCTATATAGTTGTTCTGATTTTCTAAATATTAACAAAATATCACATTAAAGAGGAGACTGGAGCTTTGGAGTTCTGATCAAATGGTCGCAACTTATTAATGAATGTCACTGATTGAGAAAATCAGACATTCCAATTTTCTCTAGGGGCCTAGACTTAAATCTGGATTTGTCTAACTTTTTTTTTAGTTAGCTTATTCTATCCTCTCTTTCTTTGAATAAAGGTACTTGACAATTTAAAATAAAGTTTAGAAATGTATAAAATGAGTAGCTTTACAATAGAATCTAAACTGGTCCTTTGGGAGGAAACACAGGACCATAATATATTGTTCTCATTCACTTAACAGTTTCTAGCTAATTGAACAAGGTCACTCCTATGAAAATGAGATCTTAAACAGTTTGTCTCACCAGAAACTTTCTTAAAAATCATGCTTAAGATCCACTGTCGGAAAATATTCTAAGAATCTTCAAAAACAATGCAGCCTGCTGTTTTTTCTTTTTTGGATGGTAGGTGATAGCAGTAGAATTTTGGTAGTATATAATTTTTATTTATAGCTCTATAGTCTGTAACAGATATCAACTTGTAAATTATTTCTGAAGGTTAAATAATAATGTTCAATTGTGCAAGTTTCCTAAATCCATAAAAACTGTAATTACTTTATATTTTATACTTCCAATATAATTTTCATGAAGGGACTCTCTGGAGAACAATACATTTCACTGGCTAGAAAAGAAAAGGGATAAAAAGAAAATTATCCAATTCACATCAAACAAAAATTAAAGTGAGGCAAAAAATATTGGATAACCTACAATAGTCAAAATACATTGGACATGTAAAACAATAAAAAAGTCCTGAATGAGATGTACCTCATTTTTTCAAAAATATTCTCTCTGTTTTTGACGCATAGTTATGTGACTTGGTGGCAGCTGCACTTAAATTACTGTTAAGCTGCCAGTAATTACTGGGTTACTAGAATTTTAGCATGCTCTCAGGATTAGAAAGGTCCAGTAGAAGGCTCTGTTGCAGATAAGAGAACTGTTGAGACAGCAAGGCTAAGAAGAATGTGCCACAGTATAGTTTCATAGCTATTGTGAAGTGTATAAAGCACCTTTCAACCATCCCTTATTATGAAAGATCTGCTTGACTTCCTCCAAAGCCCCTAGTGCCAGAATCTAACAGCCTGGAACCCATTTAAAGCATCTGCCAGGAATTACATCAGATTCTACCCAAAGAATGTGGAAACATATGAACAGTGCATTTCGGTAGCCAAGAGACAAAATACAGGAAGGACATAAATATAAATTTAGCAGCTGTCTGAAAGGAACTATCCCTGCATATCTCCTCAGCTGCAGAGAAAGAGAGTCAAAGGGAATTTTATTGTTTCTTTATTTATAGTGCTCTTTCAAGAAACCTTGAATTTGAGCAAGGTAGCCTTAGTATGAATATAATTAAAAAGGAAATTAAACCAGCAGAAAACTAGTAGATTACAAACAAAGTAAATGGTGATATTGGCCTTAGGCACAACTCAGGTTTATGTATGACTTCTTTTGCCTATGAAACCTTCCCATTCCTTAATTCATAAATGAAAGAAATAGGAATACTTTTAACTTGACAGTGCTTACCATTTGCCTGTGTTGGTAAATATTTGTCAAAAAGCTTTGGAAATTAATTTTAAATGGAAATATATATTTCATGTTTTATGCAAAGATGTTAATTATGAATAAATGTTTAGAATTGTGAACAAGTATTATTCATATATTAGTTTGATGTTGGACCATCAGGAAGTATATTTTTAGGGAATTCTCATTGTTTTCTGCTTTTTTTAAGCAAGTATTTATGCCCTTTTAACAGATATTTGAAGAAAATAAGTAAGGATACGAGGTTATTACTGAAATTAAAGAGTATAACATTTATTTTGTAAAAGTTGAAATAACAAATCTAACTGATGATGTGTACTTTCATCCCGAGGATAAAAACTAACAGCAATAACATCGCAAAACCATCACATCTTGACTACTTTAGTCAATAGATTATATTGGGCTACTATAGTCAATAGATTAAAATGAGCTAATGTGTGTGAAGTCTGGCACACCCAGGGTACACAGGGTATGGTAATTTTCTTTCATCAAATACAGCTTTACTTTTTTTTTTTTTTTGTAGTTTGTATCAGGCTCCAGAGCCACTTACCAATGGAACTCATCTGTTCTTCTTTCCACTGGGTTGGGATTATAATCCCAAAAGACACAATCCCAAACATCATAATCCCTAATGCGGAGACCCCTAACGATCAAAATCCATAACATCTAAAACACCCAGAATCACAGTCCTGAAGGATTAAAATTCTGAATGTTGAAATCCTGAAGGCCAAATTCTGGAGAAGGGATTAGTTGTATGCAGGATAGTTATATCATGTTAGTTGCCTCATGTTAGGTGGGACTATTGTTATTGTCTTTATTTGCATTTGGTGGAAAATTCAGATGAGTGGGTTAGCCACAAGATACAGTAACAATAAAAACTTCAGTTGAAAAATGTGTCAGCTGGGCGCGGTGGCTCACGCCTGTAATCCCAGCACTTTGAGAGGTCAAGGCAGGCAGATCATGAGGGTCAGAAGATTGAGACCATCCTGGCTAACACGGTGAAACCCCGTCTCTACCAAAAATACAAAAAATTAGCCGGGCGTGGTGGCGGGTGCCTGTAGTCCCAGCTGCTGGGGAGGCTGAGGCAGGAGAATGGTGTGAACCCAGGAGGCGGAGCTTGCAGTGAGCTGAGATAGTGCCACTGCACTCCAGCCTGGGCGACAGAGCAAGACTCTGTCTCAAAAAAAATAAATACATAAAAATGTGTCATTTGCCTGCATTGGTATTCCTTTCAGCTAATGACATTACAGGACCTTTTCATGAATCAAATTCAAATTTTCCTGAAGAAGCCAGTGAACTTACTCACTGGTTCAAAAATAATTCTGTGAATAGTGGGATTAGAAGACACTATGTCTTCTTATGGTGCTGCTTCTCTATAGGTGGTATTGTTTTGGCTCATTCTGTGGTCTGTATATGAGTACATATACCACATACCCAAAACAACATAGAAGCCAGGCACAGAAGATGGAAAAATTTCATAGAGAGTGCTCATGTTGCTGTATCTCAAACCATAGAAGAATTTCAAAAAGAGCAGTGCCACATAATAAATAAATGTGAACATACTTTCCAAGGAGAGCCATGTCCAAAAACATAAAAATAAGCTATTTATTATGATTCAAGACTTCAAAATATAGTTAATGATCACGTAAGTTGGTCAGGTCTTATTGACTATCTCCATGAAATTGCCCATAATCTATTCCTGTCATATACTTTTTCATATGTCAAATATTCTTTTCGTTTCTTTTAGTTTTTTCTGTTTTAAAAAAGTTTTTTTTTATAATTTTAAATTGTCAGGATTATTTTTTACAATTCACTATGCCATACATTTCATGTTAGCATCATTTCCAGTATTGGCCTATAACTTGTGTAGGGACTTTTTGAGAGTTCTAATTCATTTTATGCATTTTTTGCAAATTTGACTCCTTGAAAGGGCATTATGACAACATTTACTTTATAAGCATTGTGTGTATATGTAAAAACATTGAGACTTCCTCAATAAATGAAGAGATATCTTTTTTTAACATCTTCGTTTGTGAAAGATAATTTTTTTGAGATCTTGGCAATTTGGGTGATTGCATATGAGGTGGTGGCCCACAAAAGTTTTTGTTGGATCTCATTGAAAGACAGGTTTTTCATTACAGCACTTCAGATAAGAGTAGTTATAACGCTGGAAACACAATTACTAACCATGGTGATATGAATTTAAACATTCCCCTTTTGACCTATTTCTTTATGACTATGGCTTATCTGCTTTTAACTATTACACCTCTGCAACCAGCGTTAGTAGTCCTGAGAGTTTATGCTTGCAAAAATATGTATGTTATTGCCTATTTATTGTGTAAAGTGGCCTATAAATTGTTCTATCCTGTTTTATATGCTTCTCAAATATATCCCTTTTAAAAACGTAAATAAATATCTTCTAAAGAATTAAAATAAATTTTCCACAATTATATTTTTGAGATTTTGATGTTTCAGGATTTCAACATTCAGGATTATTCTGTCTTGGATTGTGTTTTCAGAATTTTGATTTGTACCCCTTCCTGCCTGTCCAACCTCCTTTTCCTGCCATGATGGAGAAGTGTTAAGCAATGAAAATCAAGAGATTTAGAGCTTAGCCTTGCGACAGCCATTAGACAAAGTATGGCATGAATGTTTTATATGGACTTCTGATTATTTTTCTAATAGTTTCCTAAAGGAAACTAAAGTCAAAGGTGAAATGGAAACACTGTTTCCAAAGGAAACTGTTAGAAAAATCACTTTTCTTTTCTTTTCCTTTTTGCTTTGTACATGTTGAAGCAATTTTTTTCTTAAAAAACGAATAAGTGTTCATGTATTATGGGTTTTATGGGTTTGCCCTGTACCTCAAGCACCAACTTGAATGTACTTTTGGGGGCATTCTAGGCATCCTTCCTCACAAAACTAATCATTCCCATCTCTGTGGTTCTATTCCATTTTGTGCATTTTGATAAGAGTATTGGAGACCATCAGACCAGTTGTTTACTGATTTTCCTCTCCAATAGATTGTCTGAGCAACTCCTTTCCAGAGACCATGGCTTCCTACTTCTGTGTTCTCAGTCCTTTCCCCAGTGTCCATCCCATTCTACAAATATTTGTTGAGCTGTACAGAAAGAGCGACTCATTTCTGAATAAACACACTCTGCTATCTCTGTATAAGTACTTGTTCTTGTCTTATTCCCTTCTGGAATAAGGATGCAAATTAAAAGTATATTTCTGTAATACAGAGAGTCAGAAACTAATTTGCTGACACAGGCACTTGAAGCAAGGGAATGCGTTACAGACAGGTAATTATCCTGTTAAGTTAATTACAACTCATTACTCTTTATTTTTTATCTTAATTTTTGAGTTGAGTGTTTCCAGAATCCTGCTCCAACATCAAACAAGATAAAATGCACAGTGTTTTAATTTCACCTTTGACTTTAATATGAAGCAATGGATTTAAAATCTTCTTATGAAAAACTAGACTGTTATTTTATATAGTTTTCTTGTTTTAACAAGTATTTTCTACTTCTATGTTTTAAGCAGGTAACAATATTTGCTTGATATAAATTTAACATAGGAAATCCATAGCAAACAAGTAATTCAGTTTCTTTCACTCTTTTAATCAGTTTCAGTTCCAAGTTTTTGGGAAGAATGTTTTTGGCTAAATCTTGATCATGTTCTCACTCCTGAACCATACATCTCAGCCTGACATTTAAATTGTTAATACTCACTTTGTTATCACACATGTCAAATTTTGATCCAGGGAAGCTTGGGGTGTGTATATGTTGGGATGAGGGTATGGATTTTCAATTCCCAACGTGTAGAGAAGGTACAGTTATCTATCATATCCAGGACTGGTTACCTCAATATCTCTTTTCTGAAAAAAAAAATCCAGATTTTCTTTTGATTTTTTTTTGTTTTCACTACTTGAAAAAATAATTACTATTATGGGAAAATGACATACTTTCTGTGTTGCAACATCTCTGCTTCTCCTGGTATCCTCATCCTTGACTCCACCATCACTGCTGATGCTTGAGGTTTCACTGCCTCAGAGTTTCTTGTTCAGTAATCTAGACAATCCATTCCGTGGATCTTCCTAAAAATCTTAAGTAGCAAAGTGTTTCAATGAGTAATTGAAACGCTGATTATATGAGTGTCTGCTGAGCTGTTTCCCTAAATATTTGTGTTCTCTTTGCTCAAATAAGATGATCTACACTAGACTATACAGAAATCAGATTCTTATGTACCTCCCTGAATTGCTTTTCCCCAAGGCTCTGACTTATTTTCTCTGGGAAATCGATTCCTTGTTTCACTGCTGTTAGCACTATCAGCAGTGGCTTTAGCAGGTGTGTGTCAGGTGGTTGTTCTAATATCTGCCAGCTGCAATTGTGCCCAGCTGCAGCAAGAATACGTGTATATATATATATACATGTATATATATATATGTATATATATGTATATATATATACACACACACATATATACACACACATATATATATACACACATATATATACACATATACATATACACATATTATATATATACTTTAATATATAATATAAATATATTCTGGTAATTAGCTTTATATCAATTTACATATAATAGAAGAATTTCTCAGAAACCCTGCACTATGTTTTATGTGACAGATAAGTGTCTACCACTTTAAGAGAGGCACACATTTTAGCCTTTTCTGTAAGGCATTAATCTAGGTGGCAGAGCCTGATTATGTGGCAATTGGGCTTACTCTCCCCACAGAAGGCTGCCCTGACAGACTTGTTTGCAGTGTGTTCTGGATCAGTGCTCACAGGGAACAAGTTTCCTAGCTGCCCTCCTTCTCTCACCAAAATGACATCAACTGTTTAGATAAATGTGTCAGTGGAAATTATGGTGGTTTTACAGAAACCCCAGGAAACTCTTCTTATGAATATAGAACACCATTGGTAGAAGCCTAAACCTCTATTTCTTAATAAAAATAAAATATGTTAGAGAATAAATGCTACTGCTTTGCAAGGTGTAGTGGGCATTGAAAATGGCAAATATCCATAGAAGCTTATTTCTTTAAGATATGGCATTAAACTTTCTTTCTTTTTGGTAAAAGACAGGACTAAACAAACTGGAATTCAAGGTTCTAATTTTATATGAGCACATTGGCTTATATGAGAATATTTTGCAAATAAAGTATCTTTTGATTTGCCAACATTTATGTGATCAATTCTTGAAAGGTTTTTTATCCTTACAAACTCTTCTACTATGGCTCTAACAAGGTTAAATATGAGCTAGAATTTTAATTATGTGAATAAAATAATTAGTATAGTAATAGGTTCACTTTGGAAAAGAAAGAGGAAGACTTCATCTGAGCAATAATGGACGTAATATATAGAAGAAAATCCTGCTAATAACCACAGGAAAACAGGAGGTGAAACACTGACAATAAAAAGACAGTGATTATCTGGTTTATGATGAAAGCAGTTCCTTTCTTTGATCACAGGAGAGCACTGTTCATCTATGAAACATTTTGTTTAAAGGGAATAACTGGAGCCTTTGTGATCCAGAAGAGGCTTGATGTGGCAGACTATATAACCCTTATTATTGAATCATAGCTATAAAAGAGGGACACATTTTTCCCATAGAAAAACAGTTATATTTGTAAAAGATTTTGTAAGCTGTCAGTGTGCTAGTCTTGAAATCAATTGGCAACAATACATATATATGAATCTTTTCGGTGCAAGACTCTGAGAGTCCCTAGCAATACGCAAGATGCATTTCCTCGTAGAAAGAGAAGTAATTACATCATGCCTTGTAATTTAAGTGTTTCATTTAAGAACTGGTCTCAACTAAGCTCAAACAGATAACTCTTAACATAAATATTTAGTAAATATAATTACCCAAAACAACCTATGAAAGATCTCTGTGGATATGATATACGTACGTTTCTCAGTCAGGTAAGATTAAGAGAATAGTGTTTCAAACTGTTTTTCCTTGTTTTCCAAGAGTAACAGGATTTAGCAAAAGATGTTAAGTCTTATGAGAACAATTAGCAAGATATTTGATTATTTTTTCACAAGAGCCATGGACAAGTAATATTATCTCAAGGATTATTTACATCAATTACATAAGGAAATTTTAGTATTTCTAAATCATTTAGTTTTCAGAGGCAATACAAAGCAGGGGCTTACTTCCATGTTTAAACATCTTATCCAAAATTCTAAATAGAAGTTCATTTTTTTCTTTATAACTTTCTAGAGTTAAATACATATTTATCTCTTGTGATTGGAAGCTTTGGAACTAGAGGTGGCCAGGAAAGTACCGATTCCTGATTTCATTCTCCCTTTCTAAACCTATGACCTCTTTCTTTCTTTACTCCTTTCTCACCCAGATTTCAAGTTTTTATGGCTTCAAAATTGTTTTTTATACTAAAAATAGTCATTGACATTTATTGATAATTCAGCTGATGAGATGAGAGTCCATACCTCTCCACTTCCATGAGTATTCATTCAGGGGCATGCAAGATAACAGTGTTTCCTAGAATTCTCTCAAGTACACGGTTGCAAATATAGAAACATTATTTAAATCAGTTAGAAAAGATGAAGCTTCTTGCTAATTTGCAATGATCACTGATGAAACCCTCGGTTTTCCAGTCTGCCGGATCTGTTCTAATATGCAGTACCAGGTAATGAGCTTTAAGTAAGTTCCTTCAAGGCTAATTTTTCCTCAAATATTGTATTAGCATAATTCTACATATTTGTGAATTTGGAATTACCTAGAGTGTTAATTTTTAAATTTTCATCCAGATGTCTCATCTTGGGTGGATATAGTCTGAGAGTAGTAGATGGAAAACATCTGTTGAAAACGTTTTATATAGCATAAATTTGGCTTCAACATTATATAAAATTATCTAGAAACAAGTAGACTAATCCTCAAATAAGGTGGAATATTTTTTGAAAAAAAAGAAACAATACTTTTTAAATTTGTACATTACTGATTATTGATTTCTAGTTGTGCCTTTACCAGATATCATCATCACATTGTAGATTTATTTTTCTTTACAAAGGTTAATGATCCGTATGCTAAATGGACTATCCAGAACTTTTGACCCACAGCAAATAAATCTCTTTACTCTAGTGTTTTCCTACTTTGGTTTTATCTTGATTTTTCAAAAATGCAGATGTTGATAACCTCTTAAAAATAGAGTATTAAGGCTTGGTGAAGTGGCTCACGCCTGTAATCTTAGCACTTTGGGAGGCCAAAGTGGGAGGATCCCTTGAGCCCAGGAGTTTGAGACCAGCCTGGGAGAAATAGTGATATCTCATATTTATAGAAAGTTTTAAAAAATTAGCCAAGGATAGTGTCACACACCTGTAGTCTCAGGTACTGGGGAGGCTGAGGTGGGAGGTTCCTTTGTGCCCAGGAATTTGAGGTGGCAGTGAAGTACGATTGCCATGCCACTGTACTCCAGCCTGGGCCACAAAGCAAGACCCCAGTTCTAAAAAAAAAAAAAAAATTAAAAATGGAGTATTCAATCAGAAATTGGGTGAGTTATAAAGTCAAATCTGACTTAGGCATATACCATTGTTCTTGAACACCTTTGATTTAAGAAAAAGAGTGTCGTGGGGCACTTAGCGGTTAACTTTTGATTTAGGCTTCTTAGAGATTAGTTTATACTAAGATAATGATGTTCCATCTTTTAAGTATTGATTTGGTTTGGCTGCGTTCCCTCCCAAATCTCATCTTGTATTGTAGCTCCCGTAATTCCCCTGTATTGTGGGAGGGACCCGGTGGGAGATAATTGAATCATGGGGGCAGTTTCCTCCATACTGTTCTCGTAGTAGTGAATAAGTCTCACAAAGTCTGATAGTTTTATAAGGGAAAAGGCCTTTTGCTTGACTCTCATTCCTTCTTGTCTACTGCCATGTAAGACATACCTTCCACCATGACTGTGAGGCCTCCCCAGCCACGTGGAACTGTGAGTTCATTAAACATCTTTTTCTTTATAAATTACCCAGTCTCAGGTATGTCTTCATCAGCTGCATGAAAACAAACTAATACATGTATTATATATGATATCTAGTGTCTGTAATTTTAGGATTTGGGTTCTTTTTCTTCTTAAATGCTCAGTGTTATATGTATTTGAAGTGTAATATTGGGTAGCAGTTTGCAACATTTACATTTCATTTGTAGTGTTTTATATCCCTAGAAATCAAAGCTTATTAAATGGATTTCAAAATAAAGACAAGGCTCCTATTTTATTAAGAAAATTTTGATGTTCATAAAATCAGCAGGAAAGATTGAAACAGACTGAGGACTGGGCAGCTGTAACAAATAGATTCCATATTTCATCTCAGAAATGGTATCAGGTAATCATCCTGATGCCATGACCACATATTAGCCAAGGAAGCCTGCACCATCAACATCACTAACTCAGCTCCCGGATAATATCACTACCTCCAGGTAATCCACTACTCACTTGTTTCATTATTCCCTCCTTTGAAATTTCGGTGAGTGCATTTTATTGGTGAGTCTAGGTCATGTGCTTGCTAACAATATGCATGGAAGCTTTGGACATGAATTTCTGGCATTTTCAGATTCTATGTTTGCAAGAACACTCATAAGGTGAGAGTTTTTGCCAACATTAGAAGGGGAGACATCAAATGGGCAGCCAAAAAGAATGACATGTGTCTTGCCTGTCTTTATAATGGCCATCTGTGATGGCATGTTGGCTCTTATGGTCAGATAAGTTGGGGTAATTGCATAAAATATTAGATGAAATCTCTCCTTTTGGGGATATTCAGATATTAACTTTAAATTAGTATCATTATAATGCACTATCATGTTAAGCAGCTTTTGGAAAAATAATTTTTTTAAAGATACATTTCAACCCTTTCATTAGTGGCGAAAGATGATGCAATTATAATTCTAGGAAAAAAAAGTCAAGGAAACAAAAAATGAAAATGATTACTAGAGTATGAATGGTGCTTACAGATTATGAAAAAAGACTGATTATTATGCTATAGAAAATATAAATTAAAGGGAAACAATATGTTTCAAGTCTTGCTAAAGGGGAGAGGACATGATTTTTCTGCATTCATTGAGTTAATTCTGTTACACAAGCTTCTGCTCTTAAAATATAAATGGAGTCAGTTTTCCTTTGAAGTTGTTCAGTATACTCAGATGTAGGCTATAAATATACTTTTGAAGCACTTTTTGACACTACAGTCTCAGTTTCTCTTCTACAGAAGTATAGATAGAAAAAAAAATGAGGAGAGTTTTGCAATCTTCACAAAGTCTTGTCTGATCCCAAAGTAGAACCTAAGGTTCTCAGGTCACTGGTTCAAATGGAGGAGCAAGTGAACTGCTGCTTTACTCATCCCTGGAGGACGGCTTCAAAGTCCCACTTACTCTGCAATATTCAAACTCTGCAGCAAATTAGAAGCTGTTGCTTGGCTACACACAGTTCTATATAGTTTGGCCTAAGTTTGACTGCTGAAAACTATACTGGGAATTAAGGAGACCCTAGATCCCCACTGCAGCCTTGGCCTTGCAGGTATAAAGCACAAATATATGCAAATAGGTAAGAAAGCTCAGCACTGTGTGATATTTTGAACCACACAGACAATTTGTGAATGACCACGCTTTAGAGAGTGTTGCAGTAATGTGATTTGTGATGCACTGTACTCCTAACTTGTTGAATTCAAATGTGGAAATTTCTGTGTTAATTTTCCTGCATACAAATGGTAAGCATGCTTTGTATTTTCTTTTTAGAGAGAGGTATAAAGCACCAGCCAGATCCCACACAAAATTTTTATTTAGATTTGTGTCCTAAGGCCAGTAATAAAACCATAAAGTCAGTGTTCTTTTTTTCTTTTTATAGACTTTGTACTTTTATTTGCCCCAAGCAAAACAGTAAGTAGTAGTTTTCAAGCCTGAATTTCAATATCATAAGGAAATTAAGTATTGCCCTATATTTGTAGAGAAATACTTTGGCAATGGGTCATTTAGATAACTCTCAGAAACAAAGATATCTTTCTTTTTAATAACAGTGACCTCCTTAACCAAATTTAGGAATTTCTACTCTCTAAAAAGAAGAATAAATTATTTTAAAAATAAAATATTGGAAAGAACTCCAAGGTAAGAAATCTTAGGCTGAAGACCCACTTTTTTTCCTCTTAGTATGTGATATTGAGTAGGTCACTTTTCTGTTCTAAGTCTGAATTCCTAAATTTGTGAAATGGCTTAATAATCTTAGGTTGTGTTAGGAAAAATAAAGGTTGACATTTTGGAAGTTTTTTGGAAGGTTGAAACACTATGGAAATATTTAGCTTAAGAGAAAAATAGATAAAACGGAATTCCTGAATATTACTTCTACTTCTTGGATATTTACACACACATATATGTGACTAGACAATAAAGCAAGGGGATGCTCTGGTATATTAGTGAAAAACACAAGAATGATTATTATGTAGGAGAATATAGTGAGATCATCACTTTGAAGGCTATTTTAGCATTTATAATGGCATCTTTTAAATCTTGAGCAAATCAAAATATCACAAGTAATAGAGAAAATGATATGGACTGCCAGCGTAGTAGTATTTAGAACAGCATCTCTGTGTTAAACGCCCTGGGTTTTAAATCTTAAATGTGCCACCAACTAGCCATGTAATCTTTGCAAAATTTCTTCATTTTCTTCCATTTCAGTTTCTTTATCTGTAAAATGGTTATAATAATAGTACCTAAGTTACACAGTTGTTTCTATAAATGAAATGGAATACGGCTCATGTGATAGTCCTCTACTTCAGGATTTAGGACATAGAATGTAGTAAATTCTGTTTTTATCATTGTCATATCTATGTATGTCTAATTTTTTGAGTGACCATTTTTTTCCATTTAAACTTTTTATCTGATGAAATATATCTAATTTGTCTTTGCATTGGCTTAAAACAGATATGCACAGAATTTCTTTGTAGTGGCCAAGAATTTTGTTTTTGTTTTTTTCATACTTTTCTCTTTCTATTCCATCCTTCCTTATGCATAGCTTATAATGGTTACAAGCTATGTTACAAGTTCTTGTTATGGCTAAATATGATTGAAAACCATTCCTGACAATGGTGTTGGGTAGTGGAAAGACCTCTCGTGGTTTTGAATAACCTTAGACAAATGCTTTACATTTGTTGACCACCCCCACCATTTTAATCTATAATATGTGAGAAAAATGTATCAATATTTTTAAAAAGGATATAAATTGCCTGACAGATAATAGCTACTCCAAAAATGGTGACTATTAGTACTATTATTTTTCTTTCAGTTTTAGAATATTTTGACTCTTTTTGGAGTGTTCTAAAATAAGCTATTACATGTTAAGACATTTAAAACAGAAATAGGAATGCTTTTATAGCTTCTGTAATTGATTACCATTAGCGTTGGGCTTGATGTACTAATATAATAAGGATGCTTTGGGGGGCCTGTGCCATCCCTACACTTGGGGATACTTGTCTCAGGAATGTGGTATACTGGATCTTGTGCCTTGGCATACAGAGGGCAGTTCCCTTTGAAAATAATGAGACATTTCTTAGAGGAGTATATGATGATGTAACCTAGTATTATTGCTTCAAGATGGAATCTTTCTTTTTTTAAATTTTATTATTATTATACTTTAAGTTTTAGGGTACATGTGCACAACGTGCAGGTTCATTACATATGTATACATATGCCATGTTGGTGTGCTGCACACATTAACTCATCATTTAGCATTAAGTATATCTGCTAATGCTATCCCTCCCCCCTACCCCCACCCCACAACAGACCCCGGTGTGTGATGTCCCCCTTCCTGTGTCCATGTGTTCTCATTGTTCAGTTCCCACCTATGAGTGAGAACATGCGGTGTTTGTTTTTTTGTCCTTGCGATAGTTTGCTGAGAATGATGGTTTCCAGCTTCATCCATGTCCCTACAAAGGACATGAACTCATCCTTTTTTATGACTGCATAGTATTCTGTGGTGTATATGTGCCACATTTTCTTAATCCAGTCTATCGTTGTTGGACATTTGGGTTGGTTCCAAGTCTTTGCTATTGTGAACAGTGCCACGATAAACATACGTGTTCATGTATCTTTATAGCAGCATGATTTATAATCCTTTGGGTATATACCCAGTTATGGGATGGCTGGGTCAAATGGTATTTCTAGTTCTAGATCCCTTAGGAATCGCCACACTGACTTCCACAAAGATGGAATCTTTCTTGACATTTCTTGTCTATTTAAACTATTTCTAAAAATGTATTCTGGCTTCCAGAATGCTCTTCCCAGATGGTGGAAAAATCCCCCATGAGTCAATAAAAGGTGCTTTTAAAATTATTTGGAAACTGTTCTACTCTAGTATTGCAGTGGACATTGTCAGCTACTATTTGGCAATTCTGCAATACCATGGAGCACATTTTTCTAATTGTGTTATAGAGGTGACCATCCAACTCTGCTTCATTTGTGAGAGCTGGCAGCAGTCAGAACCATGCCATGAATAACTAGAGTAGTGACTTTTGATAATAGAGCTTTTATTTTATATTCTTTTTTTTTTTAAATAATGAATTTGACCTCTTGGATTCCTTCAGAAAATGAGTTAACTGCATCAGGAATGATGCATTTTATAGACTATTCTGAATAGTTAACATATACTAACTGCCCATTCACAGTACTGCTTTAAACCCTTTCTCCCATGGCTTTAGGAAGAGAGAATAAGCATATGATGCGAGTTTCAAGGAAATCCCAAGGCCTCTGTTGTCTAATAGAAACGTGAAGACCTTCTTCGATAGATCTTCTGTTGTCTAATAGAAATGTGAAGACCTTCAGTGTATCCCATTTAAATTGACTTGCAAGGCTTAAGAAACACACTGGAACTATTTAGTAATAATATCTCTTACAAGAATAAAACTAAAAATGAGGGAAAATAAAACTAAGATAAATTGCAATTAAGGTTTACTTTTTTAGATTATAGTTGAATCATGTAGAGTAAATGTATTAGGTAGTAGGAAAATAGCAAGTAAATGGCATCTTAATTCTAGTGCCAGTGAGTGTCAAGTATTTGATAAGGATTTGGCATAGACAGAATATTCTATTGCAGATATTCTCATGTTCTAGGTGTTTTATTTTTCAATTAGAGATTTGTATGTTCATTAACAACAATGTTATCTATTATAATGTTTGATTTATAAAGATATTTGAATTAATTTGCTATTCTAGACTATAGTGGCATAAACTAATTTTGCATTTATTTCTAGATCTATTTTTTTTTTTTGAGATAGTGTCTCACTCTGTCACCCAGGCTGGAGTGCAATAGTGCGATCTCAGCTCACTGCAACCTCCACCTCCTGGGTTTGAACGATTCTCCTGCCTCAGCCTCCCAAGTAGCTGGGATGACAGGCATGTGCCACCACACCCTGTTAATTTTTGTATTTTTAGTAGAGATGGAGTTTCACTACGTTGGCGAGGCTGGTCTTGAACTCCTGACCTTGGCCTGATCCGCCTGCCTTGGCCTCCCAAATTCCTGGGATTACAGGCGTGAGTCACTGCGCCCGACCCCTCTAGATCTCTTTTTTGTGATGGGATGAATTTAAACTCATTTTTACCTGATGACATGAAGGGAAAAAGGTCACTCAGTGGCTCAATAAGTTTTTAATTAATGAAATAAATATAAAAAGGGGAAAAGAATCCCCTCTCTTATTGAATGGTATCCAGTGGTTTCTTGAATAACTATTAATGCCGCGACAGATTCTATTTTGGAATTTCAAAGCCAAGGCCGATGGTCAAACATCAGCTAAAGATAGATTTTCTGAACTCATGAAAAGTAGCCTAGAATTGGAAATGACATAGCCATTTTTTTCTCACGTTAGCTAATATAAATGATCTTTATCATCTTCAATAGTTGAAGGCAAGCAAAAAAGCCTGTGAGTCAAGGAAATTATTATCAGAATGTGAGCCATTTGTTATCTTTAAACATCTCACTGTTTAATCAGTTTTTAAACACTATACTAACTAGACAGTTTAATGATCTGTTCCCCAGCAAAACAGTTCTCCAGGTGACCGTGTTCTCCCCCATGTTTTGCTTGTAATTATGTTCCCTTTTTGGCTTGTAGTTCTCAAGAATAACTGCAGAATATGTGAGAATGGAATGTCCGAAGATAGAAACTGCCTGAAACAACCTGGACCTTGTTCCTGTCCCTGTTATGGAAAATAACATCTTGAGTTAGGGAGGAGCTTCTCTGGACAGGATGGTCTTTGTTTCTCTCTCTCCTAAAAGCAGGGTATCTTTGAAGCTTTTTTCCAGTGATTCATGGTATTCCTGTGATATACGACCCTGAGCCTTTTGTGGGGTCCCTCAGCTGTGATGCACATGGATCAGACCCCATTCACCCTCGGACAGCTTTCTGAGCCCTGAAAGACTGACTCACAATGGCTCATGGGCTGCTTGTGTTTCTTGCTGCCTATCTATAAGTAACACATTTGCTTCATATAACTCATTGCATATGAGTGTGTTCTGCTTCATCAGACTCAGACGAGTTGGTATATTAGTTCATTTTCACACTGCTAATAAAGACATATCTGAGACTGGGTAATTTACAAAGAAAAAGAGGTTCAATGGACTCACAGTTCCATGTGGCTGGGGAGACCTCACAATCATGGCGAAAGGTGAAAAGTACATCCCACATGGCGTCGGGCAAAGAGGGAGTGAGAGCCAAGAAAAAGGTGTTTCCTCTTATAAAACCATCAGATCTTATGAGACTTATTCATTACCACAAAAACAGTATGGGGGAAATTGCCACCACGATTCAATTATCTCCCACCGAGTCCCTCCCACAATGTGGGAATTATGGGAGCTACAATTCAAGAGGAGATTTGGGTGGGGACACAGCCTAACCATATCAGTTGGTAACCAGAACACAGTAAACCTGTTCCATCCCTTCCACCTCCATTGTAACCTCTTTAGCTTCCTATAATCCTGAAGTCAAAGCAGTATTCTTCTTTATATCATTACTTTTTCATATGTAGCTATTGTGATAGAAGATTTTCATGTTTACTTATTACAAAAGACTTTGGACAGTCCTTCAAGAGGTTTATGGTCTGTTTATTTATCTGCCATCTTGGTATTATATCTTTGGATGAGATATAGTGACAGTGAAGTTTCTCTGGAGCAATGCTAATATTCACTTTTCTGCCACTTTTGTAGGCATCATGTAGCAACAGGGAAAAATGACAAAGGATCTAGGCAATCGGTTCTCAGCACCTTGGAGAGCTCTTTGTAAGCATTTTAATATCCTCTTGGGTGTGTACGTGTTTGTGTGTATGCACATGCACAGATACACCGACATATCTATATGCACACACATATACATGTATATAAAATTACACATCTATGCATAACATGCTCATATATGCATCAATATACATATACAAACATATATGTACACATTTAGATTTATACAATGTATTTATATATTTGCAGATTCACAGACAATTTTCAGATGGATTCAGCATTATCAAGGGAGATACTGTGGAATTATTACTATGTGATGATTTCAGGGCTGACATCATGTTTTACTCTTCGTTAAATTATCTTCCCCAGGATGAACTAGCTTAGAACTTGACCGTCCTTTATTTGAAACAGTGATGACCCTAGATGTATACCCCTTGAAAATTCATTGTTATAACAAAAATATTAAGTAGAAATTGTGGTATTCCATCTGCTATGCTACATACTTCATATACATTTACAGAATCTTTACAATTATACTACTAGGTTGGCATTATTATTGTGATTCTAAAATGTAGGAAACTAAGGTTGAGATCATTTCAAATGATGTGCAGGGTTCACTTACGTAGCAATTTGTGAATCCATGACTCAAACTCAGGTATTTATACTTTAGAACCCACGTTATTTTCTTTTTTATTATTTAAATAATTTTAAATTGTTTTACCTGTTCAGTACAGGAGTATATGTGCAGGTTTTTTTACATAGGTAAACTTGTGTCACGAGGGTTTGTTGTACAGATCATTTCATCACTCAGATATTAAGCCTAATACCCATTAGTTATTTTTCCTGATCCTCTTCCTCCTCCCACCTTCCAGCCTCCAGAAGGCTCCAATGTGTGTTGTTCCCCACTATGGGTCTCATCATTTAGCTTCCACTTACAAGTGACAACATGCAGTTTTTGGTTTTCTATTCCTGTGTTAGTTTGCTAAGGATAATGGCCTCCAGCTCCAACCATGTCTCTGAAAAGGACACGATCTTCTTACCTTTTATTTCCATCAACTTTTATTTTAAGTTCTGGGGTACATGTGCAGGATGTTCAGGTTTGTTACTTAGGTGAACATGTGCCATGGTGGTTTGCTGCACAGATCAACCCATCACCTAGGTATTAAGCATAGCGTTCATTAGCTATTCTTCCTGATGCTCTCCCTCCCTCCACACCACCCCACACCCCACAGACAGCCCCAATGTATGTTTTCCCCCTGTGTGTCCATGTGTTCTCATCATTTAGCCCCCACTTATAAATGAGAACATGTAGTGTTTGGTTTTCTGTTCATGCATTAGCTTCCTGAGGATAACAGCTTCCAGCTCCATCAATATCCTTGCAAAAGGCATGATCTCATTTCCTTTTATGGCTGCATAGTATTCCATGGTATATATGTACCACATTTTCTTTATTCAGTCTATCCTTGATGGGAAATTGGGTTGATTCCCTGTCGTCCATATTGTGAATAGTGCCACAATAAACACATGTGTGCATGTATCTTTATAATAGAATGATTTATATTCCTTTGGGTATATACTCAGTATATGACTCAGCTGAGTCAAATGGTATTTCTGCTTCTAGATTTTTGAGAAATTGTCACACTGTCTTCCACAATGGTTGTACTAATTTAAATTCCCACCAACAGTGTAAAAGCATTCTTTTTCTCCACAACCTCACCAGCATCTGCTTTTTCTTGACTTTTTAATAATAGCCATTCTAACTGTGTGAGATGCTATCTCATTGTGGTTTTGATTTGCATTACTCTAATGATCAATGATGTTGAGCTTTATTTCAGGATTGTTGGCTACATAAATATCTTCTTTTGCGAAGTGTCTGTTCATGTCCTTTGCCCACTTTTTAATAGGGTTGTTTGTTTATTTCTTGTAAATGTATTTAAGCTCCTTGTAGACTCTGGATATTAGATCTTTGTCAGATGGATAGATGGCAAAAATTTTCTCTAATTCTGTTGGTTGTATGTTCACTCTGATAACAGTTATTTTTGCCGTGCAGAAGCTGTTGAGTTTAATTAGATCCCATTTGTCAATTTTTGCTTTTGTTGCAATTGCTTTTGATGTTTTCATTATGAAATATTTGCCAATGCATATGGCCTGAATGATATTGCCTAGGTTTTCTTCTAGGGTTTTTATAACTTCGGGTTTTATATTTAAGTCTTTATTCCATGCTGTGTTAATTTTTGTGTAAGGTGTAAGGAAGAGATCTGTTTCAATTTTCTGCATATGGCTAGCCAGTTCTCCCAGCACCATTTCTTAAATAGGGGATCCCTTTTCCATTACTTGGTTTTGTCACGTTTGTCAAATATCAGATGGTTGTAGGTGTGTGGTCTTATTTATGAGTTCTCTATTCTGTTCCATTGGTCTATGTGTCTGTTTTTGTTCCAGTACCATGCTGTTTTTCTTACTGTAGCCTTGTTAGTATAGTTTGAAGTCTGGTAGTGTAATGCCTCCAGCTTTGTTCTTTCTGCTTGGTATTGTCTTGGCTATAAGGGCTCTTTTTTGATTCCATATGAATTTTAAAATAAATTTTTTCTAATTCTGTTAAAATGTCAAAGGAAATTTAATGTGAATAGGATTGAATCTATAAATTACTTTGGGCAATATGGTCATTTTCATGATATTGATTCTTCATATCCATGAGCATGGAATGTTTTTCTTTTTGTTTGTTACCTCTCTAATTTCCTTGAATAGTGGTTTTTAGTTTCCCTTGAAGAGGTCCTTCATTTCCCTTGTTAGATGTATTCCTAGGTATTTTATTTTCTTTGTAGCAATTGTGAATGGGAGTTCATTTATGATTTGGCTCTCTGCTTGTCTATTGTTGGTGTAAAGCAATGCTTGTGATTTTCGCACATTGATTTGCATCCTGAGATATTGCTGAAGTTGCTTATCAGCGTAAGGAGTTTTGGGGGTTTTATTTTCTTTTTTTTTAAATGTCAGTATTGCTTTAATTCAATTCAAAATTAAAGCAAATTAAGAACAAAAAGAATGCAAACTCATTTTTAGAAGCAATGAATAACATTTCCATGTTCCTAGAAATATGGGCAAATTCAAGGTTTCTTACATGTTTCAAACTTTTTATTTATTTATTTTTATTTTTATTTTTTATTTTATTATTATTATACTTTAAGTTTTAGGGTACATGTGCACAATGTACAGGTTAGTTACATATGTATACATGTGCCATGCTGGTGTGCTGCACCCATTAACTCGTCATTTAGCATTAGGTATATCTCCTAAGGCTATCCCTCCCCCCTCCCCCCACCCCACAACAGTCCCCAGCAAAGTCTCAGGATAAAAAACCAATGTGCAAAAATCACAAGCATTCTTATACACCAATAACAGACAAACAGAGAGCCAAATCATGAGTGAACTCTCATTCACAATTGCTTCAAAGAGAATAAAATACGTAGGAATCCAACTTACAAGGGACGTGAAGGACCTCTTCAAGGAGAACTACAAACCACTGCTCAATGAAATAAAAGAGGATACAAACAAATGGAAGAACATTCCATGGTCATGGGTAGGAAGAATCAATATCGTGAAAATGGCCATACTGCCCAAGGTAATTTATAGATTCAATGCCATCCCCATCAAGCTACCAATGACTTTCTTCACAGAATTGGAAAAAACTACTTTAAAGTTCATATGGAACCAAAAAAGAGCCTGCATCGCCAAGTCAATCCTAAGCCAAAAAACAAAGCTGGAGGCATCATGCTACCTGACTTCAAACTATGCTACAAGGCTACAGTAACCAAAACAGCATGGTACTGGTACCAAAACAGAGATATAGATCGATGGAACAAAACAGAGCCCTCAGAAATAACGCCGCATATCTACAACTATCTGATCTTTGACAAACCTGAGAAAAACAAGCAATGGGGAAAGGATTCCCTATTTAATAAATGGTGCTGGGAAAACTGGCTAGCCATATGTAGAAAGCTGAAACTGGATCCCTTCCTTACACCTTATACAAAAATTAATTCAAGATGGAGTAAAGACTTAAACGTTAGACCTAAAACCATAAAAAGCCTAGAAGAAAACCTAGGCATTACCATTCAGGACATAGGCATGGGCAAGGACTTCATGTCTAAAACACCAAAAGCAGTGGCAACAAAAGCCAAAATTGACAAATGGGATCTAATTAAACTAAAGAGCTTCTGCACAGTGAAAGAAACTACCATCAGAGTGAACAGGCACCCTACAAAATGGGAGAAAATTTTCGCAACCTACTCATCTGACAAAGGGCTAATATCCAGAATCTACAATGAACTCAAACAAATTTACAAGAAAAAAACAACCCCATCAACAAGTGGGTGAAGGACATGAACAGACAATTCTCAAAAGAAGACATTTATGCAGCCAAAAAACACATGAAAAAATGCTCACCATCACTGGCCATCAGAGAAATGCAAATCAAAACCACAAGGAGATACCATCTCACACCAGTTAGAATGGTGATCATTAAAAAGTCAGGAAACAACAGGTGCTGGAGAGGATGTGGAGAAATAGGAACACTTTTACACTGTTGGTGGGACTGTAAACTAGTTCAACCATTGTGGAAGTCAGTGTGGCGATTCCTCAGGGATCTAAAACTAGAAATACCATTTGACCCAGCCATCCCATTACTGGGTATATACCCAAAGGACTATAAATCATGCTGCTATAAAGACACATGCACACGTATGTTTATTGTGGCACTATTCACAATAGCAAAGACTTGGAACCAACCCAAATGTCCAACAATGATAGACTGGATTAAGAAAATGTGGCACATATACACCATGGAATACTATGCAGCCATAAAAAAGGATGAGTTCATGTCCTTTGTAGGGACATGGATGAAATTGGAAATCATCATTCTCAGTAAACTATTGCAAGAACAAAAAACCAAACACCACATATTCTCACTCATAGGTGGGAATTGAACAATGCGAACACGTTTCAAACTTTTAAACAAAGCAATGCATATTGCTCAAAATATGTGTTACATTTTAATTAAAATTAACCAGTTAAACAGTTATTTTTTTCTTATTTTTAAAAAATACACAATAATGTCATCTGCAAACAGAGACAATTTGATTTCCTATTTGAATCCCCTTATTTCTTTCTCTTGCCTGATTGCCCTGGCCAGAACTTCCAATACTATGTTGAATAGAAGTGGTGAGAGAGCGCATCCTAATCTTGTGCTGGTTTTTAAGGGGAATGCTTCCAGCTTATGCCCATTCAGTATGATATTGGCTGTGGGTTTGTCATATATGGTTCTTATTATTTTGAGGTATGTTCGTTCAATACTTAGTATATTGTGAGCTTTAAAGGAAGGGATGTGGAATTTTCTTGAAGGCCTTTTCTGCTTCTATTGAGATAATCATGTATTTTTTTTGTCTTTAGTTCTTTTATGTGATGAATTACTTTTTGTTGATTTGTGTATGTTGAACCAACCTTGCATCCTGGGGATGAAGCTAACTTGATCGTGGTGGATAAGCTTTTTGATCTGCTGCTGGATTTGGTTTGCCAGTATTTTATTAAGGATTTTTGCATTGATGTTCATCAGAGATATTAGCCTGAGGTTTTCTTTTTTTGTTATATCTCTGCAACGTTTTGGTATAGGATGATGCTAGCCTCATTACGTGAGTTAGGGAGAAGTCACTCCTTTTCAATTGTTTGAAATAGTTTCAGAAGAAATGGTACCAGCTTCTTTCTGTACCTTTGGTAGAATTCAGCTGTAAATCTGTTTGGTCCTGGGCTTTTTTGTTGTTGTTGGTAGGCTATTTATTACTGCCCAATTTCAGAACTCATTATTAGTCTATTCAGGGATACAATTTCTTCCTGGTTCAGTTTTGGGAGGAATCATGTTCTTTTCATGACTCTAACATGTGCCATTTGTTATTAAACTTGTATTGGACCTTATTCCTGTCCCCGCTAGGGAAAATAACATCCTGAGTTACAGAGGAACTTCTCTGGACAGCCTGTGCTTTGTTCCTCTCTCTCTCCTAACAGCAGGATATCTCAGACACAAAGATCTGAGATATTTAGTCAGATCTCCTTTTTCTATGTGAGCTGGATAAATAGAAAAAACAATTTACAATTTTCCTGAGATTAATTTAGTAGCTCTGCTCTATAATACACATCATTAAAGGAAAAATAATTCCAGTAGCTATAACACATCCCCATGGATGAAATAAAATGATGCATTAAAAATATTTAGTGGCTACCTGACAAAGGAGTAATACTGACAACTGAGCAGTCTCCAAAGAACTTTCATATGCTTTAATTCTTCCCTTATTTCAATCATCTGAGAATTGTGAAAGACTGCTCATGCATGTTTGCATAAAAGAGTTGCTATAGTAACCTTTGAGCATGGTACTAGATGCAACCTACTAGCCAAAAGCTTTATCTTTATGAGAGCAATATACTTTATAGGTTATGAGAGTTATGTATCATCCATGTCCTCAAGCTGTTGGCTATATAATGAAGTCAGAATAGTTTAACTTTGAAGTTAGTCTTCTATGAAGGTTTCTATGTTTTTAGAAAATAAAAATGACTTCATCTTTAGTTTAGATTATTAAAGAATGGGACCAAAGACACTAATACTATCTTATATGCCCTAGAAATGTAGCATACCAATAGATGTTTTTTTTTCTTCTTTAGTTTTTCCACTTGAATTTACTGAATGCTGCCTTCTCACCCTCTTCAATAGTAATATTATAAAAAGTCAGCTAAGGAATTAAATTATTGAGCTTTATAATTCAAGCAAAACAAATACATTTTGCCTCTTTTCTACATGTTGTTTAAATTCTCAATTTTCACTGAATTTTGATAGTGTTTAAAGGAAAAAAACTTGTAAAATATAATAAAATATCACTTGATCTTATGAAATTCCACCTCTTTCATTAAAATTTCCCAGATTATGTACAAATTAATGCTTATTATTCAGGATTTTATTATCTAAAATGCAAATGAGTATAATATAGACACAACAGCAAGTTGTCTGCTCTAAGTCTTCTAGATATGATAGGCAAATTTCTCCTGCCTCTGGGCCTTTGGTTCTCATATACCTTCTTCCTAAAATACCCTGATCACTTTATCAGACTTTTCCTATTTATCCTACAAATCTCAGCTCAAGTTCTACCTTTTCAGGAAAAAGTTTCATGAACAAAGCTCTTTACCTCTTCCATACTCATATGGTGTTAATATTTATAATATTTAACACTCATTTGACACTTACGTTCTTGAAGTCTTGGAAGAATCAGATTGTAGAACATCAGACCAAAGGACCAATATCTTGGGGTTTTTCTCTCCTCAGATCCAAAGGCAGGGACAGTCTTGTCTAATGTTTACCAGAATAATTTTTTTTCATTAGTGAATCTGAACATTGCTACTTATATTATTAATGAACATGAAAGATTTAAATTCACATGTCATTTGTTAATGCAAGTGGTTGAGTAACCTTATGCTCAAGCTTTGGTTCTTGATTTTTTTCTAGAGAAGGAATCCAACAAGAGTTGGGACTAGATCCTGCCCTGGACTGTTATTCTAATATCCTAAGGAATCTGCCCCCTTACCAATCCCATCCCCAGGGCTGAACGCATATTCTAGAATTCCAATTTGCATCTTCTTGGTAGGGAAGTCACACTCCTAAATGATGCTTATAAAAATATTACTAGATATTCCAGTTCTGTCTGATCTCTTGGATAATGAAACTAACTAAGATTAGAATAAATTTGGATTATCCACCTTGGATTGGCTGGTTAATTCTTCACTGAAATTTTCCAGGTCTTTGTTATAATTCTAATTTTGTTAATCACTCCAATTTTAGGTTGAATTTTTCCCTTTCTCCTCATCATTTTTCTCCAGCAAACACTCAGGGAAAAATTCAAGGATGCTGGTTTAAGAAATCACAGTTAGTCATTTATGAATATCTGGGCCTCGGTGTCACAGCTTGGATTAGGAATGTTGTTCAGTGCCCCGGGAATTGCATTTGCCAAACTAAAGGCATATTTCTGTGCCTAGGATGAGAATGGAAACCAGTTTTTGTATCCAAATATAATCTAGACACTAGATATTTAGCAGAAGCCCGTCTGCAGGTGATACATTAGTCCTGGGATTCAGCACAGGATGAAAAAACACTGCAGTGGCAACATTTCCTGTGACCAGTGGTCAACAAAAAGCACATATTTTCATGCCAGGCTACTAGGAGAAAGGACTGAAATAATAATGCAGGGACTCTGAGGTTAATACTGAGATATCCTGTCGTTAAGGTGATTCACCATTAGGAATCCATGTGTGAAGATGATGATTTTTGATTATTCACTCTCTGTGGTTTTTATTGTTCAAGAACCAGGAAGGACTAAAACAAAGAAAGTCACATTTTCTGGGGAATTACTGCTAAATTCACAGAAATGAGCCAGGTATGACATAAATATTGAGTATCTAATTTACCGACTAATACTAACTTCTTAACAACTTCAATTTGATTTCTGTCTCTTTCATACTTATGTATAATACATTGCACTTATGTTCGTATTGAATTTCCCTGCACTATGTCATTAACTTTTATGATTCGAATGATTTAGATTAATGCCAACCCCATAGCTACATGCAGGAGAACATTTAAGATTATTTGGTAAGGATGATATAGATGTAATCAATGCTCAGTTGCTTGGAATCATTGAATATGTTTCCCTGAGCCTAATAGCTGGCCACTTTTTCAAATCTATTAAAAAAGAATATCCATGTTTTGTAAAAAACATTTTTACAATGATATTTTATGAGTTCTTCAAGGCTCATGATTTTCAAATCATTGATTGAAAATAGTGCTGTCCTGATGACTATTTGATATGACCAAGTTTTGAGATGTCCTGTAATCCTCTAATAAAACTCATTTGATGATTTCCTTAAAAGCCTGTGGTTTATTTACAATATTAATTTAAATAAGTAATTTACTGTATTTTTGTGATGGATACTGCCATTTCTATTTCTTTTTCATCCTGCCTAAATAGCTTAATATTTTTTTAAAAGTACTAGACACTTGTACGTGCATTTTTAATGGAAAAAGGTGGAATTAGAAAACATAATCATTTTTACATAAATCTGGATTAAATTAAGAAACAGGACCAGACAAAATTATCAATCATACTAGTTAGAAAAGAAGTAAACTTGTTTCATTTGGTGGCTCTTTTCTGTTGAATCACTACAATGTTAAATATCAAAGCACAAATATATGCATCTGGAAGTTAGCAACCATATGACATGATTAAGAAAAGCTCCAAAGTTACTGTTTATTTCCTTCTTTCTTTCTTAACTCTTTCATTTACTTTCTCTTTGTTTCCTTCCTTCCTTTCATATCCTTATCCTTTTGAGATGGTCTGTTTGTGTCCCCACCGAAATCTCATCTTGAATTGTAGTTCCCATAATCTCAACATGCATTGGGAGGGACCTGGTAGGAGGTAATTGAATCATGTGGGCAATTTTCCCCATGCTATTCTCATGATAGTGAGTAAGTTCTCATGAGATCTGATGGTTTTATAAAGGGCTTCCTGCTTTGCTCAGCTCTCATACTTCTCCTCGCTGCTCTCATGTGAAGAAGCACATGTTTGCTTCCCCTTCCACCATGATTGTAAGTTTCCTGGGGCCTCCCCAGCCCTGCAGAACTGTGAGCCAATTAAAACTCTTTCCTTTATAAATTACCCAGTCTTGGGCAGTTCTCTATGGTAGCACCATTCTTCCTCCTTTTCCTTCTTTTTTCCCTCCCCTCCTCTCTCCTCCCTCTTCCCCTCCCCTCCCCTCCTCTTCCTTCCTTCCTTCCGTCTTCTTCCTTCCTTCCTTCCATCTTCTTCCTTCCTTCCTTCTGTCTTCCTCCTTCCTTCTTTCTGTCTTCCTCCTTCCTTCCTTCTTTTTCTCATTTCTCTCAATTTTCCTTTAATAGTAAGCATCAGCTTATTTATTCATATTCTTTCATGTGAGAATATAGAAAAATTATGGTCCCAAAGGCATATTTTATTTTCCAAGGAAAGTAGAAAAATGGGCCACTCTGGAAGCTTTTGTGTGTGTGTGTAGAATCAAAGATAAAACAGTTTGCTGAAAACCACAAACATGTCTTTCTCCTTCCAATTGAAAAATAAAAACTCATAGAATTCTCAACTTTCTTTCTATCATTTTTATGGAAATAAAGAATAAAGTTCATTATTAGAGGCTGTTAAGATGAAATGAACTTTGCAAATACATTCAGTTAAACCTCCTTAATTTGGAATATGCCAATTTTGATTGTTTGTTGGACAGTTTTGTTCAACAATTAAATAAAGTGTTTCTTGCATATTCTGAAGGAACACATGATTATTTCTGTACACTCAGTTTGTATATATATATAAAGATTTTTTCCCCTTTGTGTGATAATTTATAATTTACATGTAATTATGTGAATTTTTATTAACGTTCTTACCATGCCTAGAAAACAAAAATCTTTAAAGCACTTTGATTTTTTTTTGTCAGAGGTTATATGATACCCATGATCCACTCTTATATTTATCAAGTCAAAGGATAATTTTAGTAAAATATACTGGTGACATTTTATATGTATAATTTAGTTATTCAATAATGTTTAAACAATAGACAACTTTGATTTAATTAAAAAATTCAGAGGTTTCCCAACTTCAGACTAATGACCCTTAGCAATTCGGAGTGAGGGTTTATAGTTAAAACAAATAAACCTGCCTGTAGTAATATTTATTTATATCTCTAGGAATTCATTTCAGAAATATTTATTGAGAATTGGCTATATGCTAAACCCTAACCATTTCAAATATTCTTCCTTCCAATTGCATTTAAAGTGTTTCTTTTTTCATTATTTTTTCTTTTCTCTGTTCATAACAATCCTTCATTAGTGATAATAATGACAACTAACAAATAAACTGTATGAAGTTGAATATTGTCTCCCCCAAACTTGGGTTCTTCCTGGAACCTCAGAATATGAACTATTTTGGAAATAACATCTTTGCACATGTAATTAAGTTTAGAAGAGGGAACAACGGGGAACGATAGGCCCTTAATTTAATATAACTTCCATCCTTGTGTAAAGAAGAAAGAGACACAGAAACAGAGAAATAGAGAATGCCATGTAATGATGAAGGCTGAAATTGGGGTGATGAATCTACAATCCAAAAAATACCAAGGATTGCCAGCAACACCAAAAACTAAGAGAAGGTCATGAAACAGACTATCCCCTAGAGCCTTTAGAGAGAGAAAGACCCAGCATACACTTTAACTTCCAGCTTTTAACCTTCAGAACTGCGAGAGAATAAATTTCTATTCTTTGAGCCACCAAGTTTTTGGCAATTCGTTATGGCAGCTTTACAAACCAACAGAAATGAATGAGTATTTTTACTCTACCTTCCAGAAAAACTTATCTCTAGATATTTTCACTTATTTTAACCATAGCAATACCATATTTCTTCTCTTTTATATCTTAATGATGAATGTAATACAAATATGAAAAAGTATCTTGTGTAAAAGAGAGAATTACTGACAAATTACAAAGTTCTTGTATTGATGATTAATATTAATCAATGTCCTGTTCCCCAGACATAGGGCAGAACGAAGTGAAACACATACAGAATTACCAGAGGGAAAGTACCCTTGGTTCTAGAAATAAGAGCTTTCAATGATAAAACCAATCTAGAAGAAAAGTACTAATTTAAGGAACCAACGCTTGGAGAGTACTGTATTTGACCATCCCACTAAGTTCAATAGATTAATAATAAACCTACATCTAGAAGTATGTTCAAAGGCTTAAAACTACACAAAATCTACTTAATTAAAAATTTTGTATCAGAATGTAGAGTCAGAATACCCAAATGGCATTAAAAACATATAAATGTGAAAAATAATAGGAGGAGGAGAATGAGTAGGAGGAGAAGGAGAGGAAGAAGGAGTGGAGGGAGAGGAAGGAGAGGAGGGAGAGGAGGGAGAAGAAGGAGAAGAAGGAGAAGAAAAAAAACAAAGAAAGAAAGAAAGAAAAGAAAGAAAGAAAAGAGGAAGAAGCCGCTGCCATAAAGCTGTTTATAAAAGTGTTTTTTTGTAATGGCAAAAAAAAAAAAAAGGTAAATTAATACTCTAATTAGTTTATTTAACCATTTTTAATTAATTTTGCTAAACTCAAGACACAATTCTATGTTAGAGATGGACAAAATTTAGTCCCAGCCTGTGATTACTTTGTTGATTGTGGAAAATAGACTTATAAGTAGGGCAAGGACAATAGAGTATGATAAAGGTCAGCATAGAGGTAAGCCATGTTTTAATGAAAGTCCATAGAAGAAGCTTTCAGTTCATCTTTGCCTGTAATCAAGACCTTGCTTTAATTGTGAATATCTCAAATTAATTTTAAGTGATTATCTGTTGTTGGAAGTAAAGGTAGAATGGAAAGCAAGAAAGTAATTCATGTAAAGGAAATAGCATGTACATATGTCCAGGGTAATAATGACTCATACTGACAAATGCAAAAGTTTCATTATGAACAGAGGACAGAGTACAAAGAGTAGAATGATGAAATGAGGCTAGTGCAGCTATCAGACTTACAAATCAGGGAAGGCCTATGTGACACATTAAAGAGTTGGAACTTTGCTCTGAGAATACTGGCTAAACATTTTAAGCATGAAAGCTACTGCTTAAACTTGTCATTTAAAAGAATCACCCTGACTGTAGAGTAGATAGTAGATTTCTAACAGGCAAGATAGTCAGCAGGAAGGTTAGTTAAGAGATCGTACAATAATTCATACTAGGGAAAATAATGTCCTGAATTGAGATAGCAGCAGAGTTGCTGGAGAAAGGTGTTTATATTCACCTTAAATTGAGAAAAATAAGAATATCCAATTTTACAATTGATGAGATTTGTGAAAGGTGGCAGTGAATGAAAAAGGAGTCAAGCAAGATTTCAGCTTCTGGTTTAGACATTAAACATGTTATTCACTGAGATAGGGAATAAAAAACAAAGTTGTTTGTGAAATGGTTAATTGTTATGAGACTAGTAAGAAATGTTACGCAGCTGTTAAACGATAATGCTTATAAAGACTATGTACTAGTAAGAAGAAGTTTATGTTACAAAGTTAAGGAAGAAAAGCAGGATATAAAATTTTACATGCACTATAATTATGGCTAAGTAAAATGTGCAGAGAAAAATAATATAGGGAAAGAAAAGAAAATACTAAAAGTGATGGCATGAGAGCATTACAATTTTTCTTCTCCTTTATAATTTTTTAAAAATTTCATTCTTTGCTTTCATAATAAAAATGTATAAAATTAAAATTATAAAAAATAATTGATTAAAATAATATAAAACTAGTATATTATAAAGATTAAAATAGATGTCTGATCATCTGATATTTATTTGGTAAAATATAATTTCTATCACTTGTTATTACATATTTTGATAAAATTAAGTTAGTGGCTTGAGAATAGAGATGATAAATGAGAGACAAGCCATGCCTTTAGAAAATTTTTCCATTCATCATCTACACTAGAAACAACTACCCAACAGCAATAACAGAAAGGCATAAAGATAACAGTGACTATTCTAACCACCTGGTTAAGGAATTAAATGACCATTTTGTTCCACATGAGAAAAAGTGCTATGTTGTATCAAATAATTTTAATTCCACAACAATCCTAAGTACCCTATTATTGTAATTAAAAAATGGATATACAGAATTCCAGAGAGGTTAAGTAACTCAGCCCAGGTTGCACAGCCAATAAGCAACAGAGCCAGAATTTCAAGCTGGTCAGTATAGCTCCAGGGTGTGCACTCTCAACTGTTCTATGTTGCCTCTTTTTTAAAGCTTATATTTTTACCAGGTTGACACATTTTTGGACTCATGTGACAATATGAGATGAATTCAGTTACCTCAGTATACAAAAATGTTATATGGAATAAGATACTTGGTGCATATCATATACTTGAGGCTTTAAAAATTATCAATTTAGTTCAGAAATAGTGACTTTTACACCAAATTCATATAATTGTATCAAGTAATTCAGATTTTGTCTAAAAGTTTCTATTTCACATTGTATATATATGCTCTTCATTGTCTAAACTTAAAGCTTTTATATAAAAGTTATACAATCCAAAACACAGTGTTGAAGTATCTTACTTTAATCTTAGAATCTATTTTAAAATTTAAAGATTATTTATCATATCTTCATGCAAATAAATTCTAATCACCCAATTTGTGCATTGAATGACATCACTTTCTTATTGCATTTAGAAATAGAATGCTATGTAGAAAATAATAATTACATCTCCATGAAGATGTATGACTTATTTCAAAAAGATTCAATAATAAAATTATCCTACTAAAATTCTCAATCAGTAGAAAAATATGCAGCCCATGCTTAAGAAGATAATCACACGTCCTGAGTTAAGTTGAAAATTAAGCTTCAGCCATACATATTCAAAAAATATTTTAAGTATATTATTTATAATGTTTAAATATTTCTTCTACAAAGAGCTTAGTAAGTTCTATAGCCACATATACATGGCAAAAAATGACAAATTGAATGATAGAATGAGAATTCAATGTTTTAATTATATTGATGTGTTTAATTTGTTAGATATACCATTATTAAAGTGATTTCAGCTTTTTATAAAGCATTCCATTTAATTCAATGAAAGAAATGTCTGTGGTTAACTTATGTCTCATGTGTTGAGATGAAACAGTCTTTATGTAAGAGAATAGATATCTATTAATGGGTTGTGAATTGAGGAGCATTGAAAAGGCAAAAATGCTTGAAAATTATTTCTCCTACTCAGTGCCTCAGTCTCTTAAAAATAGTTGCTCTAGATTCATTTGTTCTGGTCATGCATTATCCTTCATTGTCAGTTATTATATGAAATAAAATCATTTGGCAAAGAGAAGTATCATGACTCACTAACACTATATAATAGGAATGGTTTATGGGGCATCTTAAAGGAGATGAATAAGATTAATACAAAAGCTTGCTGAATATAGGATCATGGAAGGAGGTAGAAAATGTGCAGATAAATACACAAAAAAATTAAGATAAAGGAGGTGTAATAAACTTGGAGCGCATAACTTGGTGTAATAAGCTTCCTCACCCTTGGTGAGTGAAGAACCCGTAACACAAGAATCCATAATCCTTGACATGAGAATCCATATTGACATAATTTTCACATACAAAGCAATCAAACTATGTTTTTAAAGTATTCCTGTACTAAACATTTATTTATTTATTTATTTATTTATTTATTTATTTATTTATTTATTTATTTATTCATTCATTCTCCCAACAAGAGATTTTCCTAGTAATCTGCAGGGTATGAAAAGAAAAAAAAAGAAAATTGAGTTTTGATTGGTAAAATAAATAAAAATAACTATTTAAAACCTCATTTACAAATAATAGCTATACAGATTTAAATATACTTAGTAAAAATCTTTTATCCCCTTAATAAACGTCTGTTTGAGAGTGACAGAAATTTGTAGAAGATTTATAGATGTTTACTGCAAATAGTTGAAACTCTTTTTATATCATATAATTAATGCCTCAATTCTAAGCTTATCACTGTTTTCTCCATGAAAATTTTATCAGGGATGTGGCAGGTATGGAATGCTCCTGACAGCTATTCTTTGGAATAACATCTGCAGGTTTTAAATTAACACATGGCTACCCATAATAAAAACTAGATTAACAAATTTCTCTTGCAGCTATGAATGGCCATGTGATTAAGTGCTAGCCAAGAAGATATGACTAAGTAGGTGTGAGATATCCCCTCCTCACTGGCTGTAATACTTATATGGTAGTAGTGAATGATCTCAAACCATGAAAAAGAGGACAAGACTCCATAGTGAAATAAAAAGATAGGGTATCAGATTCCTGCCACCACAGAGTCAACATATTATTGATGGACTACTTATACTTAAAGAGAAATGTTAATCTATCTTGCTTAAGCCACTGTTATTTAGGTCACTTTTAGACTAGCCAAAACTATGTCATAATTTGTAGTCTTCTGTTTAGCCAAGAGGACTGTGCTTTTGTTAATAGCCTAAATCCTGTATCATGCACCACTTATTTGCTTTCTGAAGTAAAACGAAGAATGTACCCATTTGCTGTGGAAGTGGCTTTAAGTTGTCATTAGCCAGGAAATCCAGAAAGTAGAATTTGCTTATCTATTCCCATCATTTAGATTAAATGACAAGTACTTGGAAGCAGATGGTCTGTATAGTAAAATATAAATTACAACCTTTGAATCCATATATTTTACGGTCATCATAAAAAGTTACTGTTAATAACATAAATAAGGATATAACATCCTAAATTTTATTGCTGCTGCTTAAAACTCAGGATGCTCATATGTTTCATCAGAAGAATAGAGAATGCATTAATCAGTACTTTTTTGTTTTTACTAGTTTTTAAGTCATGTTCTGTTAATAGGTAGTTAGATAATAAAAATAGTAAGAGGTGTAGAATTAAGACCTCTTTATTCCTAATCCAGGGACTTTTCTGATTATACTAAGTTTAAAGAAAGTCATTTGCTTTGAGCGAACACTTAATTTTCTTTGTTGCTGTTTTTTTCTCTAATCATTTTGTCAAACCTGATGAATTTAAGTGCTTCATAGTAATTTTCAAATCAATTAATAGTAAGGTTCGTATCTCATCATGAGTAACTTCAAGTATATGTTTTTGTAATTTAATATTTCTACTGCAATTGATCAATTCATTTTTTCACTGAATGCGTATCAAATACTAATGACTTATAGCCTGATTCCTACAAATAAAGATGTTTTATCCAAGTATCATAGAGCTTCTTCAAAATTCTTCAATGTATGTATCCTTATTGTAAGATATAATGTTGACTCCTGGACCCAGCATAGTTCCTTTATAATTTACCTATATGAACTTGGACAAGATAGTTTTTCTATGTCTCAATTTTCTCATCTTTAAAGTTGAACAATAATTTCATATATCTAATATAGATTTGGTCCCTGCCTGTATGTCCAGTATTTTTTCCCCTTAGGTATCCTCTTTGATGCTTTAAACTTCAGAAACATAATACCATCTTTAATTCCTTAAAGATGAAATGCTGTCTTATGTTTGCATATCTTTGCATATAGTGCCCTTCAGCTCCAGTGTTACTTTCTTGTGGTTTTCCTAGTCTCACAGGAGGACTTAGTAACTTCGTTCTCCTTGTTTACACTCCATCTTCTACTTTGCTCCATTCTAACTCATGTTACTTTGCATAGTACTTGTTTATTGGTACACATCTGTCTCTCTAATACATTTAAATTGTATAAAAAGGCAAGTCATACTTTTACATATATTTTTATCATTTTACCCTTATAGCAAAAACAATTAATTTTTACTAACTTTAGAATATGATATGGTTTGGATTTTTATCCCTGCTCAAATCTCATGTCGAATTGGGGGAGGGGCCTGGTGGGAGGTGATTAAACGGGGTGGATTTCCTCCTCGCTGTTCTTGTGATAGTGAGTTCTTATGAGATCTGATGGTTTAAAAATTGTGTGGCATTTCTCCCTTAACTCTCTTTCTCTTCTGCCACCATGTGAAGAAGATACTTGCTTCCCCTTTGCTTCCCTCCATAATTGTAAATTTCCTAAAGCCTCCAAGTCTTGCTTCCTGTAAAGTCTGTGGAGCTGTGAGTCAATTAAATCTCTTTTCTTCATAAATTACCCAGTTTCAGGTAGTTCTTTACAGCAATGTGGAAACGAACTAACACAGAATGCTTATCCAACATAGCCAGCATAATACTTTTTTTTAAAGCATTGAAAGATAATAAATATTTTGTTAGTTATGCCTAAGATGTGTTATATCTTAAGTTTTAGCCACATAGCATTAAATGAAACAATACATATTTTATTATGAGTCTTTATTTCATTGAGCCAAATTTTTTAAAAAAAGTTTTCAAATAACTCCTTTTCACAAAGCATTCATTTTGTAGACACCAAGCTACGGTGTTTTGTTTCTTGAGTCATTGGGTATTTTTCGTTTTATTAATATTTTAGTTAAGGATTTTTTTCTACTATTTGACATGATTTTATTATACCACAATCCTAAAGTATAAGTTATTTCAATCACACCTGTTTTCTACTATATTTTCCTTAAGAAAATGAAACAAATAAAACATGGCACCACCTAAATGATATCAATAGTTCACAGTTTAGTTCTCATTTGTTATAAAAGAGCTGCATGAGAAAAGCATACAATTTTTGGATTTTATATTCTTAGTGCGATTTCTTTAAAAAGAGGCAGGACTTTTGGAAACAAGCACATGGCTTTTCAAATGAGGTTCGTCCATAGAAAGCAATTATTTGGGAAAATTTCATTGCATAACTTGCTCCTGAATCCTAACCTTTGGTCTTCCCCTTTTGTCTTTGCTTTTGGATTTGCCCCAGCTCTGAGTTCTCTTTTTCTGTATAAATTGCAGCTATCTATGACTTAATAGCTATGAAATAATAATGGATGACACTCAAATATTGTTTTCTATGTGCTAGGTTTAAATCTCCTACTTTATGTTTGCTTATTTAATGCTGACAACTATATTAGACATATGGAACTATTATTCTGTTTTAGAAATGGGAAAACAGAGACATAGAAAAACCATGGTTTTCCCCAGGTTAAATAGCTAAATAAATTTTGGAGCTAAGACTGGATCACAGAAATATCTGTTTTTCATCATTATACAATACTATCTCTCTGCATTAGAAATACATGTATAAGAATGTGCAAAAGAGATAACATCTGGCTACCTTCTACCAGTTTCAGAGTTGAATTCCTACTGCTTACCTATAAGGTTTTGAAAAAGAAAATAATTTATTGGAAATATATTGGAATAACTAATAAAATCGATGTAACAGCTAAAAACTAAGGCTTAGTGTTCTTTTAGTATTATAAAGGTAAGGTTTCAGTGGCTGCTTCTTCTTGAGTTCAAACAACTCAGGTTCAGTGACCTCCAGGTCAATTTGATTCTTCATTGAAGTTTAAATTTCCATAGGAATAGTGGATCAAATTGGCCTGGGTCAAGCAAACATTTATGGATACTAGGGTAGACGTGATGGCACCCTCGAATTCTCTGGCCATTCTTAGAGAAGAGGTAAGAATTGTGAGCCAGGCAGCCACTATACTTGGTTTGTATTTTCCCAATATATGATGCACTTTCTATGTTTTATGTAATGTGTTTGACTTCAAACAGAAATAAAACACCTTAGCTGAACTATATACAAATTAAGACAAATTGCTTCTCCATTCACATACCTCTCCTTAATTTTATATACTAATGTTTTAAAATCTACTTCTAGTTACATATTCAAGATAAATGAGATCCATGTAATACTGACAAAAATTAGTTTTGGTGATTAACAAGCAGATTAACTAAACATCTGTGATTAGTAGCATAGATATACACTATGTGATTTTTGTTCAAAATTATAAGGTAAATTAAATTAGAAAAACAAATTAATTCCCTTCACTTGTGATTTTCACAGTGGTGTTGTCTGTCACCAAGGTTGGACATTGCACGCAATAGATGTTAATTAAAGGGATATATTCTTATATATAAAAACAATATTAAAGGTGTCTTGTCTATTTATACTTCTATAACAGGATATCACATACCAGGTAATTTAGATAGATAAAAAACTATTTCTCACAGTTGTGATTTCAACATCAGGTGAGTGCCTTCTTGCTGTGTCATTTCATGGTAGAAGGTTTCAGAAGGGCAGAAGAGCACAAGAGAACAAGAGAGCAAGTAGGGCTGGAACTCACTTTTACAGCAAGCTCCCTCTCACTCTAACTAACCCACTCTTGTGGTAACATTAATCCATTAATGAAAGCAGAGCTTGCATGACCTAATCACTTATTATTAGGCCCCACCTTTCAACATCGGGATTAAGCTTCCAACATGTGAACTTTTAAGGACACATTCAAACCATAGCAAAAGGTAAGTCAGTACATTGTACTCTAAAGCACTCATGAATTATATGCATTTGCTAATAATTGTAAGGAGGTGGACCATAGATCATCTCCAGGGTTGAAAATTTGCCTTGTTACATTGAAGAAAAGTTATAGAGGCATCATTGTAATGTCACAGGTAATGTAAATCATTTCTAAACTTGGTGGAGGTCAAATGGGGTTTGTAGTAAGTAAACTGCATTTGCTGAATCAAGCTTTTCAATCTAATTAGTTTAAAGGCTCTGGGTACATTTTATGACCTTTGGAACAGTTATCCATTTGAAAAGGTTTTTGCCCTTTAGGCCTCTATGAGCTTTTTTTAGCAATTGACAAATTTAATATATAAAATCTTACCATATTTGATATTTCATTTTTATTAAAGTTCTAGTCTAAAAAATAGCACTTAGGTTAGAAAGATTGTGGGTAACCTGAGGAAGCAGCCTGAGTTTTAAAGATATCAATGTATTTTAAAATGTGTTATTTGATGAGAAAAAAAGACAAATAATAGATCAGACAATGGTAAAGAGGTCTTGCCAAGTCAACTTTACCCAATTTAGACTGATAAATACAAATAAAACATATAAGACATTAGAGATGGTAGTTTTTCTTTCAGAATCTAAAATATTCCAATATTTTGAACTGATGAATATCAAGATATATCCTAGAAGAACTGTGAGGTTACAAGTTAGCTCTAGGTAGAATTTTGTGAAAATTCATTGGCTTCCTGTTTTGGTTAATTGAATATTTCAGGATAACTAATTAGAAAACTTGACATATCATCTTGACAATGTTTAAAATAAAGTGATTTATATGAAAATCCTTAGTATTACCATAGCATCATTGGATGTGTTCACTTAGAGAAAGTACGTCGTTATGTTTGCTTCAAATTTTATGCTTCCCACATGTGTGACTTACCTTGCTACTAGAAAGATGAAGTCAAGTCAAGAGCTATATGAGCAGGGCACATTTGTTTATAATCAAGTGACTCAGTCATATATATCTAGTAATAACTTTAGTATGCATAAAATTTATGAAGCATTACACATTTCACCAATTTTTCCCTCTAATATTAATTCATCATGTATTAAAGTGGAGTTATTACTCAGCGTCCCCTCTATGCATCCCTTTCAACCTTTCCTTCTTCCTGTATCTACTGCATTGGTAAATTATTCTATAATCCAGCATGTAGGCCAATTAGAAAGTCTAAATTATTGACTTACATTCAAAGACCTCTAAACAAAATGCCAGTAATGGAGGGTCATCACCTTCTGCCTGTAATGGAGTACTTTCTAATATACTACTAATTAGTAGTATATCTTTGAAATCTATACAAACTATAAAATTAACTGATTGAAACATCAGAGAACAATTAACACACTCAGAACTCTGGGAAATATCTCAGAGTAAAGGGTTAAACTTTGAGGTGAGCCTCACTTATGCCTCTATTTGTGGCCCCATTCTTAGCTATTCTCACAGGGGCAAGACACCAAAGAATAAAGTTGCAGTCACTGAGAAGCTAAATAATTAAATAGAGATTTCATCAATCATGAGGTGTTATGGTGGCAGAGGCTCCAGGTCCACAAAATAAATATCTGCTCCAGATTTTCAGTGGAGGCCTCCGAAGACCTCTGAAGACAACCTACATATCTATGGTAAGGACATTATGATCAAGACTGATAGAATTCCCTGCTTGTTAAAATATGGAGATATCTTAGTTTCTGTTCATTATCAAGTCAATAATTTCAATCCCCATTAATTATGTGGACCTTTATTAATCTTCCAAGTACATTCTCCATCTTTTTCAAAGTCAGCCTCATATGGCTTGACTGTGACCCCATCCATATCTCAAAATCTCAACTTAAATTGTAGCTCCCATAATTACCACATGCCATGAGAGGGATCCAGTAGGAGGTAATTGAATCATGGTGGCAGGTCCTTCACACGCTCTTCTCATGATGTGAAAAAGTCTCATGAGATCTGATGGTTTTACAAAAGGGCAGTTCCCCTGCACATGCTCTTTTGCCTGCTGCTATATAAGATGTGTCTTGGTTCCCTCTTGCTTTCTACCATGACTGTGAGCCCTCCCCAGCCATGTGGAACTGTGAGTGAATTAAACATCTTTTCTTTATAAATTATTCAGTCTTGGGTATGTCTTAATTAGCAGCGCAAGAAAAAACTAATAGAGTAAATTGGTAGCAGGAGTGGGATGCTGCTGTAAAGATACCTGAAAATGTGGAAGCAACTTTGGAACTGGGTAAGGCAGAGGTTAGAACAGTTTGGAGGGGTGAGAAGAAGATAGGAAAATGTGAAAAAGTTTGGAACTTTGTCAAGTCTTAGAAGGCTCAGAAGACAGGAAGACGTAGGAAAGTTTGGAACTTCCCAGAGACTTGATGAATGGCAGATGATGAACTTGCTGGGAAATGGGGTAAAGGTCACTCTTACTATACAAAGTGATTGGCAGCATTTTGCCCCTGCCCTAGAGATCTGTGGAACTTTGAACTTGAGAGGGATGATTTTGGGAATCTTATGGAAGACATTTCTATGTGGAAAATTGTTCAAGAGGAAGCAGAGAATAAAAGCTTAGAAAATTTGCAGCCTGATGATGCAATAGAAAAAAAAAACAAAAAAAACATTTTCTGGGGAGAAATTCAAGCCTGCTGCAGAAATTTCATAAGTAAGGAGTCCAATGTTAATCACCATGACAATTGGGAAAATGTCTCCAGGGCATGTCAGAGACCTTCGTGGCAGCCCCTCCCATCACAGGCCCAGAGACCTAGGAGTTAAGAATGGTATTGTGGGCTGGGACCAGAGCCCCCCTGGTGTGTGCAGCCTAGGGACTTTGTCCCCTGCATTGCAGCTGCTCCAGCTATGGCTAAAAGGAGCCAAGGTACACCTCAGACTGTGGCTCCAGAGGGTGAAAGCCTCAAACTTTGGCAGCTTCCACGTGATGTTGAGCCTGTGGGTGCACAGAAGTCAACAACTGATGTTTCGGAAACGCTACCTAGATTTCACAGGATGTTCAGAAATGCCTGGATGTCCAGGCAGAAGTTTGCTGCAGCAGTGGAGCCCTCATGGAGAACCTCTCCTAAGACAATGCAGAAGGGAAATGTGGGATCACAGGCCCCACACAGAGCCCCCACTGGTGCACTGCCTAGTGGAGTTGTGAGAAGAGGGCCACCATCCTCCAGACCCCAGAATGGTAGATCCACTGATAACTTGTACTGTGTGCCTGGAAAAGCCACAGACACTCAATGCCAGCCTGTAAAGGCAGCCAGGAGTGGGGCTGTACCCTGCAAAGTCACAGGGCAGAGCTGCCCAAGACCATGGGAACCCACCTCTTACATCAACATGACCTGAATATGAAACATGGCATCAAAGGAGATGATTTGAGAGCTTTAAGATTTGACTGCTCTGCTGGTTTTTGGACTTGGGTGGGTCATGTAGCCACTTTGTTTTGGCCAATTTCTCCTATTTGGAATGGATGTTTTTACCCAATGCCTGTACCCTCTTTGTATCTAGGAAGTAACTAACTTGTTTTTGATTTTACAGGCTCCTATGTTGAAGGGACTTGCCTTGTCTCAGATGAGACTTTGGACTGTGGATTTTTGAGTTAATGCTGAAATATGTTAAGACTTTGGGGCACTGTTGGCAAGGCATGAGTGGTTTTGATATGTGAGGACATGAGATTTGGGAGAGGTCAGGGGAAGAATGATATAGTTTGGCTGTGTCTCCACCCAAATCTCATCTTGAATTGTAGCTCCCATAATACCCACGTGTCATGGGAGGGACCTGGTGGGAGGTAATTGAATCATGGGGGCAGGTCGTTCACTTACTGTTCTCGTGACAGTGAACAAGTCGCACAAGATCTTATGGTTTTATAAAAGGGCAGTTCCGCTGCACACGTTCTCTTGCCTGCTGCCATGTGAGACGTGTCTTGCTTCCCCTTTGCCTTTCACCATGATTGTGAGGCCTCCCCACCCATGTGGAACTGTGAGTCAGTTAAACATCTTTCATTCATAAATTACCCAGTCTTGGGCATGTCTTTATTAGCAGCATGAGAACAGACTAATACACAGCTATAATTTTGTGTTGTTGTGGTTTTATGGACTCAGAAAAGCCACTGAAATTAAAATTGGTAACATAGCATAGATGTTGAGACAAAGACTCTCAGGTAAACTTGGGTAATTTTTGATTATTTAAGCAAAACAGGGCATAACGTGGCCGAATTACCATTTGTATTTTTCAATGAGACTATGGCAGCTTTGTTCTCTGTGGTGAAAACAAAACAAAGGATACATATGGGACTATATAAAAACTAAAAACTTCTGCATAGCAAAGGTAACAATCAACAAAATAAAATGGCAGCCTACAGATTGGGAAAAAATATTTGTAAACCATATCTGATAAGAGTTATAACCATATATCTTAATATCCAAAATGTATTAAGAACTCATATAGCTACTAGTAAGAAAACAAAAAACCCAATTAAAAATGGGCAAAAGACTTGCTGATACATTCTCTGAAGAAGACTTGATGTACAATAGATAATAAAAACATGCTCAACATCATTAATCATCAGGGAAATGCAAATCAATGCCACAAATATATCACCTCACACCTATTAGGATGGATATTAGCAAAAATAAAGAGATAATAAATGGCATACACACCATTTGTTTAATGTGGGAATATAGAGAAAAGGAAATACTTGAACACTGTTGGTGGGTATGCAGATTGGTACAGTCATTGTGAAAATGGTGTGGAGTTTCCTAAATAAAAGTAGAACTACCATATAATCCAGCAATCCCTCTCTGGGCATATCTGCAAAAAAATAAAATCATCACCTCCTAAATATATCTGCAATCCCATGTTCATTGCAGCATTATTCACAACAGCAAAGATAGAGAAGCAAGCTAAATTTTTGTGGACAGACAAAAGCTAAATAAATTGTGGTATACATATGCAAAGGAATATTACTCAGCCTTTGAAAAAGAAGAAGATCCTGCCATTTGCCATGATATGGATGAAACTGGAGGACATTGTGCTAAGTGAAACAAATCAGATACAGAAATAAAAAGCATTACATGATTTTCTTACATGTGGAATTGTTTTTAAAAAATAAGTCAGATATACCAGAGATAGAGAATAAAATAGTGTTTACCAGAAGCAGGAGGTGGAGAGGGGGAGAAATGGGGAGATGAAGGTCAGAGGATACGAAGTTACAAATATGTAAAATAAACAACTCTGGAGACCCCTATGTACACCATGAGGACTATGGTTAATAAGATTGTACTGTATTTGGGATTTCTGCTAAATGAGTATATTTTAGCTTCTCTTGCCACCAAAACAAAAATTAAAAAAGGGTAAATATGTGAGATGACTGATATGTTAATTTACTTCATTATAGTGACCATTTTACTATCTGTATATATCTCATAATGTCATATTTTATACCTAAAATATATACAATAAAATTTATTTTAAAATTATAATATTTATTGGGTATTAAATGCTGCTTTAAAATATGTATACATTGTGGAATGTCTAAATTGAGCTAATTAATATATGCATTACTTCACATCCTTTTTTTTTTGATGGGAACACGTAAAATTTATTGTCATAGCAATTTTCAGTACAATACGTTGCTATTAACTACAGATACCATGTTGTACAATAGATCTCTTGACCTTATTTCTCTTGTCTAACTGAAAATTTTGTAACCTTTGACCAACATCTCCCCAGTTTCCCCTAGGCACACAAACACAGTCTTTAGTAACCAACATTCTACTCCCTACTGCTATGAGTTCAACATTTTAGATTTCACTTATTCATGAGATCATGTGCTATTTATCTTTTTTATGGCTGGCTTTTATTACTAGATGAAAAATAACTGTATTTTAAAAAATGTTCTAAAGAATGCTAGAATCCCCAGTATTTTCTCCAGGACCAGCCATGTCTCTGTCTTTCTGTTAATGAAAAGGAATTAGATTACTGCAGAATAGAATATAGGTAGAGAGAAAATATATGGGCTTAACCATAGCACACATATTTTTATACATGCATTTACATGCATGTCACTCACATTAGAATTCAAGTGGTCTCTTGTCTGAACCACTTGCATTCTAATGTGAGAGATGCATATATACTAATCCTTACAAGTAATAAGTACAAAATACAGGCATGAGTTAAAGGTTATTAAGAACAAAGAAGAAAGTAATTAGTTTTTTTGGTAGAGGGTTAGAAGGAAAATCCTTTCTGGAAAGTTGAAGTCTCAGCTGGGCCTTTAAAAATAGTAAGTGATTGCTTAGAATAGGGCATTTCAAAGCTTTATAAACAGGATCTTAAATGGCATAAAGTCAGAAAAGTGAGTAGATTGGAAATGCAACTAATCAAGTGTGGCTAAGGTGGTCAGAGTTCAATATTAGGTCAGGGCATGGGATGGATAAAGATGGTAAAATAAATTAAGAGGACTCTTAATCCTTGGTAGAGAATTTAAGCTTGTCTTGCAGGTAGAATTGTACAACTGAAGGCAACACCATTCTCATTTTATTCTATAATTGCACAATGAGGTAACCTTGCTTAAAGATATGACAGACCTATTCAAGATGACTAATGCAGGAAATGACACAATCCAATTTGTATCAAAAATGACTCTGCCAAGAAAATGGAGGAGTAGGTTAGACAGAGGCACCTAACAGAAGTAGAATGCAGGCCATATATGTACTTCCAAAAATGTCTGAAAAGTAAAAAGTAACAGGTAAAATTCAGTTTAATAATGTACTATTTCATCCAAAATACCCAAATTTTATGATTTTAAAATGTAATGAATATAAAAATTATTAACTTAATATTTTATATTCTCCTTATATAATGACTGGTGTGTTTACTTTGTTCTTATTCTATATTTGAATCTGGACTAGCCATGAAATTTCAAGTGCTCAATAGCCACATGTGATTAGTGCCTTCTACACTGGATAATGAGGGATAAATGGTTAAAGCCTTGGAAATGAATACAGATATTTTTCCTAGTAAAGAACATTGATGAGGGTTAAAACTAGAGTGGTGCAGTACGAATGGTGAGAAATGAATCAATTGAAGAGATTATTTAGAAAATGTAGTCAACAGAACCTAGTTATAGATTTAATATTGTGAGTGAGAAGTGAGGAAAAGAATCACATATCTGAGATTTTAATTTTGTTGACTGCTACAGAAGCTTAGGTTTGGCAGGAAAGATATTGAATTTGGTTTGGTATATGAATATGAATGCAACTTAGGCATTTACAAATAACATATATAAATCATAGGAGCTAAGATTTTGTAGCTATTGAATTAAAAGTAGAAGTTAATCCACATAGATGAATTGTCAATCTGTAAGTTAGAGAAGGAGAACAAAGAATGGAACTCTAATGAATATCAGCATATCTAATATTTAAGGATATTCAGTAAAAGGAAGAACAAACGAAAGAAACAGTCGTTTGAGATACAGAATAAGAAACAGAAAGGAAAGTATTTAAAGGAAGAAGAAATCATATTGGTGGACATGGGGAAGCAAAAAGTTTCAATGAATAATATGAGAACTAGAAAAAGAACAAGAAAATTAAATTTGGTAATTAGGTCATTGCTTGTATTTGAAAAAAATCACTTGCATACTTCTGGTTTCCATATCTGTATTTTTATAGAAAGTGCAATAACCTACATTACAGAGTCTGCATGGCATAGGAAATGGTAAGGTGGATGCTCCACTTATCTTACCATATGTAACTTTCCCAATAACTCAGGGAGGCCATTACCAGTCATTTTAATGGTGATGCTTAGTGAGATCAAATACCTGCAAAGGTTACCCTGCCATTAAATGACAGATCTGAAATGGAACCCAGGCTGTCTTTTACAAAATATTGTGATTTTCCTCCTATACCACGTTGCATTCTCTAAATTCCTGACAATATTCGGTCTCACATATGCCTTTGTCTGTTATTGCAATCTTTTATATCTTGTTACCTGAAGAAACTCCAAGCAAACAAAGCTGGGGAAAATATAAGATTGCTAGAGATTGGAACACTTAATATTGAGCACAGAAACAAAGGTTAAGGAAAAGACATCTCTCTAGAATCAAGCATCAGGGTTGCTTATTCGCTTCTCCCATGTTTGGAATGCAGTATGCATGGCTGCACTTTCTAGCTTTCTTGAGGTCACCATGGTCTGCAAGTGCTTCCTTCCTGAATAATGTATGTTTGGCCCAGAAAATGACCTTATCTTTTGGTTTATTTCTTTCATATTGAAAAGTTTATAGCGTTAAAGTCAAACCCAAAAAAAGTTTGGTCAATACTTGCTTTCGTTTTTGTTTACTAAATGACATTTTTAAAGTGTATGTATCATAATGTTTGATTTTAATAAATAGAATTGTGAAAATATTATCAACATAAATGTATGTATCTGGGGATTATTTCAATTTTTTGAATTTTGTCCAGTAATTTAGTCTGGAATTTTTCAAAATGTATCAGTAAATATTTAATAGTATGTTAGACTTTGTTGTTCCAGCCCAAGAAAAATCAGGGCTCCCTGCCAGCAAAAGCCACATCTGGCCCAGGATTCTGATGTCATGAAGTTAGAAGATGTTTCAACCATATCACTTATTTAATTTCAAGGTGCCCTTAAGGAAGATATTGAGGAATACAACCTGAATTACATTAACCAGGCTTTGACTAGAAATTGCATAATAATGGAGTGTGTGGCTATGTTGCCTCAAAAAGAAAGGGATTGTGACATTCCACTGAAGACATGGAAAGGTGCTGGAAACTACACTTACAGAAACTCAAATCTGACCCTTCTCTTGTGCATGTCCTTAAATGTCACTCCATTCTTAAAACTGTCCCCTATCTCTCCAACTAGATGTAATCTTTTCATATTCTTCTAAAAAGTAAATATTGAGAGCATTTTCTGGCATTCATCATATTCAGCCTTTTTTTTTTTAGAGACAGGAACTCACTCTGTTATTCATGCTGGAGTGCGGTAGTGACATCATGGCTCACTGCAGCCTTGCTCTCCTAGGCTCAAGTGATCCCCCCATCTTAGCCTCCTGAGTAGCTGGAACTCCAACAGGCACATGCCTCCAAGCCTGGCTATTTTTTTTTTAACTTTATGGACGCGGGGTCTTGCTATGTGACCCAGGATGGCCCATATTCAGTCTTCTATTGAAGCGATTGGTGTTCTATTACTATGATGTACTCTAATAGATTAACATTTGTGAAAGCTGTAATCATTTTCTGTTTAGTAAGGGGTGTGCTGCAGCACCTAGCTTCTGTTTCACACACTTAGTAGGCCCTTGATAAATGCTTTTGTCTATTTTTGAAATAAAGGTGTAAATTAGTGTTGTCTTTTTGGGCAAGTGTAGTAAGATCAATAAGTATTTGAAAACGGTATCTCTCTTTACATAACATTACCTGGATCTCAATTTCCTGTCTTCCCTAGTTCCCAGCAGTTTCATCTTACACCGATTCTCTTCTAGAACCGAACCACGTTATGCCTGAAAACATTGCCTTGTCTCTTAGCCTTTGCATATGTGGTTGCTGTTTCCTGAAATACCTTGATATGTAAGTGTGTGCGAGTGTGTGTGTGTGTGTGTGTGTGTGTGTGTATGCATATGTGTAGAGGTGGAAGAGGTGGAGGAGAGAAAAACTACAATAAAAAGATGTTTATAAAAAGTAATAGATAACAGTTATATAGTCCTGACTCTACTCTTGATACAGTTCTAAGTGCTTTAAATTATAATGCTATTTGAGTCTCCTAACATTACGGCTTAGATGCTGTTTTAATTTTCATCTGATAGATAAAAGATGATACTTCTTTTGCCATAAGATAAAAGAAGTCAATTAATCTATCCAAGGTCATGCAAGCAAAAATAGCAATATGTAAGTTAACACCTGTACCAGAGTCAAGCCCTGGCAGACGGCTGTGCCCACTTGAACTAAGCCACTTCCCGTGATACTAAGAAGCATAATGGCTAAGATGAACCCTCTTGGTCTCATTTAAACAAAGCAAGATTCTATTCATATTTTATTTCTTTTTCACACTGAATCATTTTCTTTTTTCTTTAAAATGTTTTTATTTTAATTTTTGTGCATACATAATAGGTATCTATATTTATGGGATACCGGAAATATTTCATACAGGTATGCAATGCGTAACAATCACATCATGGAAATGGGGTGTCCATCCCTTCAAGCATTTATCTTCTGTGTTACAGACAATCCAATTATGCTGCTTTAGTTATCTTTAAGTGTCTATAACTTTATAACTATTGTTTTATTACTCCTTTAGTTCTCTTTAAATGTACAATTAAATTATTATTGACTATGGTCACCCTGTTGTGATATAAATACTTTGTCTTATTTGTTCATTATAACTATTGTTTTAGTACACATTAACCACCTGCACCCCACCCCCAGTCCCCCACTACCCTTCTCAGCCTCTGGTAATCTCCCTTCTACTCTCTATGCCCATAAGATCAATTGTTTTGAATTTCAGATCCCACAAACAAGTGAGAACATGCAATATTTGTGTTTCTGTCTGTGCCTGACAAACTTAACTTAACATAATGATCTTTAGTTCCATCCATGTTGTTGCAAATAACAGGATCGCATTCTCCTTTTTGTGGCTGAATAGTACTCCATTGTGTATATGTACCACATTTTCTTTATCCATTCATTTGCTGATGGACTTAGATTGTTTTCAGAAGTCTTGGCTATCATGAACAGTGCTGCAACAAACATTGGAGTGCAGATATCTCTTTGATATACTGATTGCCTTTCTTTTGGGAATATAACTAGGAGTGTTATTGCTGGATCATATGGTAGTTCTATTTTTAGTTTTTGAGGAATCTCTAAACTCCACAGTGGTTTTACTAACTTACATTCCTACCAACAATGTACGAGGATTCCCTTTCTTCCACATACTTGCCAGCATTTGTTATTACCTGTCTTGGATATAAGCCATTTTAACTGGGGTGAGATGATATCTCTTTGTAGTTTTGATTTGCATTTCTCTGGTGATCAGTGATGTTGAGCACCTTTTTATATGCCTATTTGCCATTTGCATGTCTTCTTTTGCAAAATGTCTATTCAGATTCTTTGCCCATGTTTAAAATCAGATTATTTGACTTTTTCCTGTAGAGTTGTTTGAGCTCCTTATATATTCTGTCAGATGAATAGTTTGCAAATACTTTCTCCCTTTCTGTGGTTTGTCTCTTCACTTTGTTGATAATTTCTTTTGCTGTGCAGAAGCTTTTTAACTTGACATAATACCATTTGTCCACTTTTGCCTTAGTTGCCTCTGCTTGTGGGGTAATACTAAAGAAATTTTTGCCCAGACCAGTGTCCTAGAGAGTTTCCCCAATATTTTTTGAAGCAGTTTCATAGTCTGAGGTCTTAGATTTAAGCCTTTTTTCATCCATTTAGATTTGGTTTTTGTACATGGTGAGAGCTAGGGGTCTAGTTTTATTGTTCTGCATATGGATATCCAGTTTTCCCAGCTAAGCACTATTTATTGAAGAGGTTGTTTTTTCTCCAAGATATGTTCTTGGCACGTTTGTCAAACATGAGTTCACCGTTGGTGTGTGGATTTGTTTCTGGGTTCTCTATTCTGTTCCATCAGTCTATGTGTCTGTTTTTATGCCAGTATGCTGTTTTGGTTCCTATAGGTCTGTAGTAAAATTTGAAGTCAGGTGATGTGATTCCTCCAGTTTTGTTATTTTTTGCTCAGAATAGCTTCGGCTATTCTGGGTCTTTTGTGATTCCATATAAATTTTAGGATTGTTTTTTCAGCCAGGCATGGTGGGTCATGGCTGTAATCCCAGCACTTTGGGAGCCCGAGGTGGGTGGACCCCTTGAGCCCAGGAGTTCAGAACCAGACTGGGCAACACAGTGAAACCCCATCTTTACAAACAATACAAAAAGTTAGCCAGGCATAGTGGCATGTACCTATAGCTGCAGCTACTCGAGAGACTGAAGTGAGAGGATCCCTTGAGTCTGGGAGGCGGAGGTTGAAGTGAACTGAGATCCTGCCACTGTACTCCAGCCCGGGTGACAGTGAGACCCTGTCTCAAAACAGCAACAACAAAAAATGTTAGGATTGCTTTTTTCTCTTTCTGAGAAGAATATCATTGCTATTTTGATAGAAATTTGATTAAATTTGTAGATAGCTTTGAATAGTATGGACATTTTAACAATGTTGTTTTTTTTCCAGTCCATGAACATGAGATATTTTTTCATTTTGTGTGTGTGTTCTACAAGTTCTTTCATTAGTGTTTTATAGTTTTCATTATACAGAACTTTCACTTCCTTGGTTAATTCCTACATATGTAATTTTATTTGTGACTATTGTAAATGACATAACTTTTTAATTTGTGTTTCAGATTTTTCACTATTAACAAATGCTACTGATTTTTATTTGATTCTTTATCCTGAAATAGACTTAATCATTCTAAAAAAACAAAACTAAGTTTTATAAACTTTTGACAAGATCTGGAAACGTACATTAGCTTTTGTTTTTGACAGCACAATAAAATAAACAATGCACATATCTATAGGTGAAAAATAACCAGTAAGCTAACTAGCCATAAGTATTTTAGACAATTTATTAATTAACAAATTATATTTTAGAAAATTATTTCCACAATTCTCAATAAAGAAAATAGTACATGGTAATATTTTTGGTTTTGTCTTCTTTTCAAAGGGTTTTTTTTTTTTTTTTTTTTTTTTTTTTGAGACGGAGTCTCGCTCTGTCGCCCAGGGCTGGAGTGCAGTGGCGCGATCTCGGCTCAGTGCAAGCTCCACCTCCTGGGTTCACGCCATTCCCCTGCCTCAGCCTCCCGAGTAGCTTGGACTACAGGCGCCCGCTATGACGCCCGGCTAATTTTTTGTATTTTTTAGTAAAGACGGGTTTTCACCATGTTAGCCAGGATGGTCTCGATCTCCTGACCTCGTGATCCACCCGCGTCGGACTCCCAAAGTGCTGGGATTACAGGCGTGAGCCACCGCGCCCGGCCAGGGTTTTTTTAAAATTTGTTTGCCTGTTTGCTTTTAAAACATTTTTTGATATGCACATTTGTACATATACATGGGGTGCATGTGGTATTTTTATATAGACATACAATATATAATAATCAAATCAAGGTATTTAGAATACTACCTTTAATATGTATCATTTCTTTATTTGGGGACATTTCAAGTCTTCTAGTTATTTTGAAATATGTGATACATTGTTGTTAACTTTAGTCACACTATTGTGCTATCAAACACTATAAAACTGCCATATATGAATGGGAACATGTGATATTCGTCTTTCTCTGCTTGACTTGTTACACTTAACATAATGACATCCAGTTCTATCCATGTTGCTGCAAATGACAGGATTCCATTGATTAAATGGCAGAATAGTATTACATTGTGTGTGTATGTGTATATATATATATATAAAATTTGGCTAAGAATCAATCTTTATCCATGAATGGATGAGTAAAGTATATATATATATCCAGTCATCCATACACACACACACACACACACACACACACACACACACACACACACTTTATCCAGTCATTCATTCATGGATAAAGGTTGATCTTACCTTGGCTATTGTGAGTAGTGCTGCAGTAAACATAGGAGGGGAGGGAGTTCCTTTGTTATACTGATTTCCTTTCCTTTGGATAAATACCCAGTACTGAGATTGCTGGATCTTATGGTAGTTTTATTTTTACTCTTTTGAAAAATCTCCATACTGCTTTTCATATTGGCTATAGTAGTTTACATTCTCACCAAGAATGTATAACAGTCCCCTTTGCATCCTCATCAGTATTTGTTGTTTATTTATATATACATATGTGTTGACTATTTCTATGTTGTGTGTGTGTGTGTGTGTGTGTGTGTGTGTGTGTGTTTTAGGGATGAGGCCTTTTTATGTTGCTCAGGCTGAACTTTAAATCCTGGGCTCTAGTGATTCTACTGTCTCAGTCTCCCAAGTTGATGGGACTATGGGTATATGTCACCATGGCTAATATTCTTTAGAGAAATGCATATTCAGATTTTTGCCAACATTTTCATGATATTATTTGTTTTTTTTCTCTATTAAGTTGTTTGAATTTCTTGTATATTCTGGCTATAAGTCCTTTGTTGGAGGAATAGTTTGCAAATATTTTCTCCCAATCTATAAGTTGTCTCTTCAATCTGCTGTTTCTTTTGCTGTGCAGAAGCATTTTAGCTTAAGAGTGTCCTATTTGGCTATTTTCATTTTTGTAGCCTGTGCTTTTGAGATATTACCCATAAAATCTTTGCCTAGCCCAATGTCCTGGAGTGTTTCCCGTGTTTCATTCTAGTAGTTCTGTAAGTTTCCACTCTTACTTTTGTCTTTAATCCATTTTAAGTTGATTTTTACGTATGGTGAGTGATAGGGGTCTACTGTCATTCTTCTTCATGTGGAAATTTTCTTAGCATCATTTATTGAAAAGGGTGTTGTTTCCATAATGTATGTCATTGGAACCTTTGTTGAAAATCAGTTGGCTGTAAACGTGTGGATTTATTTCTGGGTTATCTTTCTGTTTCATTGGTCTATTTGTCTATTTTTTACTAATACCATGCATTTTGGTTACTATTAATTTGTAATATATTTTGAATTCAGGTAGTGTAATGTCTCTGGCTTTGTTCTTTTTGCCGAGGATTGTTTTGGCCCTTTGGACTGTTTTTTGGTTCCATATGAAATTTAGGATAGTTTTTTTCTATTTATCTGAAGAATATCATTATTTTTTTCATAGATATTGCATTAAATCTGTAGATTCATTTGGGTAATATGGTAATTTTAACAATATTAATTCTGATCTATAAGTAGGACTATCTTTCCATTTGTGTCCTCTTCAATTCCCTTCATCAGCATTTTGTAGTTTTCCTTGTAGGAATTTTTCTCCTGGGTAATTTAATTTTTTTGTTGCTATTGCTAATGAGATTTCTTTATTGGTTTCTTTTTCATATTATTCTCTTTTGGCATACAGAAATGTACTGAATTTGTAGATTGATTCTGTATCCTGCCATTTTACTGAATTTGTTTATAAGTTCTAAGAGTTTTTATGGGGGAGTTTTTAAGAGTTTTAAATACATATATCACTTCATTTGCAAAGAACAATAATTTTACTGTTTTTTTTCCAATTTGGTTGCCTTTTATTTCTTTCTCTTGCCTGATTGCTCTATCTAGAACTTAAAATACTATGTTGAATAAGAGTGGTGAAAGTAGGCACCTTTGTGTTGTTCCAGTTCTTAGAGGAAAGACTTTCAGCTTTTCACCATTCAATATAATATTAGCTGTGGGTTTGTTACATGTGGCCTTTATTATGTTGAGATATGTTCCTTTTATACTTAATTTGTTGAGAATTTTTATCATGCAGGGATGTTGACCTTATCAAATGCTTTTTCTGCATTTATTGAGATGATCATATGATTTTTGTCCTTTATTCTACGTGTGTCATATATCACATTTACTGATTTGCATATGTTGAACCATCTTGCATCCCTGGGATAAATCCCACTTGGTCATAATGAATGATCTTTATATGTGTTGTTGGACTTAGTTTGATAGTATTTTTTGAGCATTTTTGCATCAATATTCATCAGTGATATTGACCTTTTTTTTAATGTCCTAGTCTGGTTTTGGTATTAGGATAGTTCTGTACTCCTAGAATGAATCAGAAATATTTCCTTCCTCTTCAACTTTTTGAATATTTTAAGAAGTACTGGTATTAGTTCTTCCTTATAAGTTTGATCGTTTTCAGCAGTAAAGACATCCAGTCTTGGACTTTTATTTGTTGGAAGATTTTTAAATTAAAGATTCAATCTCATTACTTGTTATTCTTTTTAGGTTTTCTATTTTTTCTTGATTTAATCTTGGTAGGTTGTATGTGTCCAGGAATTTATCCATTTCTGCTAGGTTTAACAGTTGTTAGTATATCATTGTTCATAATATTCTCTGATGATTCTTTGTATTTCTGTAGTGTTAGTTCTTATATCTCTTTTGTCATTCCAATTTTGTTTGTTTGGGTCTGCTTACTTTTTTTCTTAGTTGGTCTAACTAGTAGTGTATCCATTTTGTTTATCTTTTCAAGATATCCAATTTTTACTTTGTTGATGAATTTTTGTGTTTCTATTTTATTTAATTCTACTGATCTTTATTATTTCTGTCCATTCACAATTTTTGAGTTTAGTTTATTCTTGATTTTCTGGTTTCTTAAGGTCCGTTGTCAGGTTGTTTATTTGAAATATATCTACTTTTTTATGTAGGTGTTTATTGATATAAACTTTCCTATTAGCACTACTTTCTCTTTGTCCCATAGGCTTGGGTATATTTTGTTTCCTTTTTTATTTGTTTCAAATTTTTAAAATTTCCTTCTTAATGTTTTTATTGACCCAATGCTTGTTTAAGAATATATTGTTTAATTTTCATGTATTTGTACAGTTTATATGGTTCTTATTGTAATTTATTTCTATATGTTCCATGTGGTTTCCAAAGATACTTGATATGATTTCAAGTTTTTAAAAACTTGTTGAGACTCACTTTGTGACCTGCCATATGGTGTATTCTGAAGGATGTTCTATATGCTTACAAGAAGAATGTGTATTCTTCAGCTTTTAAATAAAATGTTCTGTAACTGTGTATTAGGTCCATTTGGTCTAAAGTGTAGCTTAAGTTCAATCTTTGTTATTTTCTGTCTGGATGATTTGTTCAATGCTGAGAGTGGGGTGTTGTAGCTCCCAACTATTACTGTATTGGGGTTTGTCTTTCTCTTTATATCTAATAATAATTGCCATATGTATCCGGTATCTGGTGCTCCAATCATGGCAGAAGATGAAGGAAAAGCAAAGCGATGTCTTACTGTTGGCCAGCAAGGGAGAGCTTGTGCAGGGGAACTCCTGTTTATAAAATCATAAGATCTCTTGAGACTTATTCACTATCACAAGAACAGCAAGGGAAAGACCCGACCCCATGATTCGATTACCTCCCACTGGGTCCCTTCCAAAACATGTGGAAATTATGGGAGCTACATACACACACACACACGCAAACACACACACACACACACACACACACACACACACACACACACACACACACACATATATATATACTTATTATATTCCCTTGCTGAATTGATCCTTTTTTATTTTATTATAATGTTCTTTGTCTCTTTTTACAGTTTTGACTTAAATTTTGTTTCATCTGATGTAAGTATAGCCACTCTTACTTTCTTTTGGCTTTTGTTTGTGTAAAATACATTTTTATCATCCCTTCACTTTTTCAGCCTGTATCTGTCTTCATAGGTGAAGCAATTTTCTAGCAGGAAACATATAGTAGAGTTATTTCTTTTTTACCCATTGAGTCATTCTAAATATTTTAAGTGGGGTATGTAATCTTTTCACATTTAAGGTTATTGTTGATAGTTGATGACTTATTCTTGCCATTTGTCAATTTTTCTCTGGGTGTTTTTGTATCCTTTTTCCATTCTTACTCTCTTGTATTTTATCATTGTGGTTTGGTGGTTTTCAATACTGGTAACATTTGAGCCCTTTCTTTTTTTCATTTGTGCGTCTGTTTTACCAGTGAGTTTTATATATTCGTGTGTTTTCATGATGTTAGATACTGTACTTTCACATCCAGATGTAGTATTCCTTTAAACATTTCTTGTAGGGCTGGTCTAGTGGTGATGAACACCCTCAATTTATTCTTGTCTGGGTAAGACTTTATTTCTTCATTATTTTTGAAGGGTAGCTTTGCTAGACATAATATTTGTGGCTGCCAGTTTTTTTTTATTATTTTCTTTTAGCACTTTGAATCTATCATTCCATTCTCTCCTTGCCTGTAAGATTTCTGTTGAGAAATCCACTTTTAATCTGATGGATATTCCCTTATATATGACTTAATGCTTTACTCTTGTTGATTTTAGAATTTATTCTTTGTCTTTGACTTTTGATAGTTTGAATATAGTGTGGTTTGGAGAAGACCTATTTAAGTTGAATCTATTTGGAAATTTTTAAACTTTTGTATCCGAATGTTTATGTTTCTTGAAAGACAAAAAATCAGCTATTATTTTGTTAAATAGGTGTTCTACATATTTATACGATAACTCTACCTTTCGAACACACACAATTTGAATATTAAGTTGCTTTAAAGTGTCCCATATATCCTTCGCCCACTTTTTGATGGGGTTGTTTTTTTCTTGTAAATTTGTTTGAGTTCTTTGTAGATTCTGGATATTAGCCCTTTGTCAGATGAGTAGATTGCAAAAAATTTTCTCCCATTCTGTAGGTTGCCTGTTCACTCTGATGGCAGTTTCTTTTGCTGTGCAGAAGCTCTTTAGTTTAATTAGATCCCATTTGTCAATTTTGGCTTTTGTTGCCATTGCTTTTGGTGTTTTAGACATGAAGTCCTTGCCCATGCCTGTGTCCTGAATGGTATTGCCTAGGTTTTCTTCTAGGGTTTTTATGGTTTCAGGTCTAACATTTAAGTCTTTAATCCATCTTGAATTAATTTTTGTATAAGTTGTAAGGAAGGGATCCAGTTTCAGCTTTCTACATATGGCTAGCCAGTTTTCCCAGCACTGCTTATTAAATAGGGAATCCTTTCCCCATTTCTTGTTTTTGTCAGCTTTGTCAAAGATCAGATGGTTGTAGATGTGTGGTATTATTTCTGAGGGCTCTGTTCTGTTCCGTTGGTCTGTATCTCTGTTTTGGTACCAGTACCATGCTGTTTTGGTTACTGTAGCCTTGTAGTATAGTTTGAAGTCAGGTAGCGTGATGCCTCCACCTTTGTTCTTTTGGCTTAGGAGCCATCAAAAAGTGGGCAAAGGATGTGAACAGACACTTCTCAAAAGAAGACATTTTTGCAGCCAACAGACACATGAAAAAATGCTCATCATCACTGGTCATCAGAGAAATGCAAATCAAAACCACAATGAGATACCATCTCACACCAGTTAGAATGGTGATCGTTAAAAAGTCAGGAAATAACAGGTGCTGGAGAGAATATGGAGAAATAGGAACACTTTTACACTGTTGGTGGGACTGTAAACTAGTTTAACCATTCTGGAAGACAGTGTGGCAATTCCTCAATGATCTAGAACTAAAGATACCATTTGACCCAGCCATCCCGTTACTGGGTATGTGCCCAAAGGATTATAAATCATGCTGCTATAAAGACACATGCACACATATGTTTATTGTGGCACTATTCACAATAGCAAAGACTTGGAACCAACCCAAATGTCCATCAATGATAGACTAGATTAAGAAAATGCAGCATATATAAACCATGGAATACTATGCAGGCATAAAAAGGGATGAGTTCATGTCCTTTGTAGGGTCATGGGTAAAGCTGGAAACCATCATTCTCAGCAAACTATCACAAGGACAAAACAACAAACACTGCATGTTCTCACTCATAGACAGGAATAGAACAATGAGAACATTTGGACACAGGAAGGGGAACATCACACACTGGGGCCTGTTGTGGGTTTGAGGGAGGTGGTAGGGATAGCATTAGGAGATATACCTAATGTAAATGACGAGTTAATAGGTGCAGCACAGCAACATGGCACATGTATACATATGTAACAAATCTGCACGTTGTGCACATGTACCCTAGAACTTAAAGTATAATAAAAAAAATTTAAAAAAAGTGTCCCATATATCTTGTAGGCTTTCTTTATTTTTTGATTCTCCATTTTTTTTTTTAAATTCCGACTGGGTATTTTAAAAGACCTGTCTTCAAGTTCAAGAATTATTTCTTCTGCTTGCTCTAGTCAATTATTGAAGCTCTTATTTTTATTTTTATTTTATTATTTAAATTCCTTACTTCCAGTATTTGTTTGGTTCTCTTTAAAGATGTCTATCTCTGCTTTGAATTTCTCATTCAGATTCTGATTTGTCTTATTTTTTATATTGATTATCTGTGTTCTCATATCTTATTGAGCTTCCTTAATATTTTCATTTATATGATTTTTCAGGAATTGCATAAATTTCTTTTTTTTGGAAATAGTTGCTGGAGAATTATTGTGTTCCTTTATAGATGTCATCTTTCTTTTACTTCTAATTTTTTGGATTGGCTTTCATAAGGAAATACTTTTTCTGTAGATACATTTATAGCATTGGTTATATAGGGCACTTTAGCTCTGATTCTGGGTGCATGCAGTAGTGTAGTCTCTGTATAATTTATTTGGCTGTAGTGAGCATCAGTGATGTCTCTGAGTTTCTTAGTGGCTTGCCTGTGGTTTTCAGTGTAGGTTGTGGCACAATTTTCTGGAGACAGGGATGAAAAGTGGGCATGTCCTTGGGCCCCAGTGGTTTTGGTGGTAGGCCAAGTGTGCCCTTTCTTGGATACACTGGAGGCATACATGGGCACTGGTGGTAGTGGGTTGAAGTGGGTCAATCCTTGAGACCTCAGGTGGTCTGCTCAGGTTCCAGCAGTGAACCTGGCAGTAGCGGTGGTAGGCCAACCCTCATTTCACCAGATGGCACACAGGGGTGCCAGCAGTGGCAGCAGTGGGCTAGACATAGCACTCCCCAGGTGCCCAGGTGGCATGTGTGAGTGCCAGCCACACGTCATGGTGGTGGCAGGATGGGAAGGCCATCTCAGACCCCAGGAGGAGTGTGTGAATACTGCAGATGCTGGTGGGTCAGGCATATCAATCCCCAGGCTCCCAGCTGACAGGGGCAGGTACTGGCAGGATTGGAAGGCTCCTTCTCAGGCCCTGGGTAGGAGTGGATGCTGGCTGTGGCAGGCAGGGTGAGTCAATCCCCGGGCCCCCAGATGATGCATGTGGTCATTGGTGGGCATATGTTGGGTGAGGTGGTCTGTCCTCAGGCTCTCAATCACAGGCTGTGGTGGGTATGTCTGGTCAATTTTTCCAGTTTCTGGGAATTGAGCAAGCCACTCTTTGGTCTCTAGAAAGCTGTGCACAGGTGGCAGCAGGAAGAGCAAGGCGATCCCTTGCCCTTGGACTATGCAATGACAATAGAAGGGGCAGTGCTGGGCAATGTGGGCTTGGGTTCAGTTCCCCTTGTGGTGTGCATCGGTAACAGGCTGTGCTGGGCAGGACAGGGTGATCTCCAGGCTCTCCATGGTGTGCTCAGCTGCTGGCTGCAGTCAGGCTGAGCCTGTAAGTGCATGTGTGGTGGAAATATTTGCTTTTTAACAGCTTTATTGAGGTATAATTTATATACAAAGGAGTATACATATTTAGCACATACAATTTTATGAACTTAGACATATGTAAACAGTCATGTAATTTTAAAATTTAAAATCTCCATATTTCAAAAAGACATATCTGTTTAAAAATATTACACTAATTTATATGAGAAATTTTGTATGTGTGTGTTAAGGGAATAAACTGCTTGGTTAATATTTTCCTAAGTAAGTTACTTCAAACCATTGGTGGATTCTCACAAGCCAGTCATTGAATTACTGAAAGAATATGAAAACTTAACAAGTATTGAGTTTAATACACCTTATAAGAAACAAAGCTATTTTAGGAGAATTTAAATTTCATTTAGTGTGTAGATATAATCAGGTAAAACACTTTGAAAATATTGTATCAGTAAAAACTAATCTTGTCATTTTAAAGATGTCAGTGACAATACTTTTATTACTTTTTCCACAACCTCACTGAATGTTTGTCATTTAAAACTAATTTCTATTTGAACTTTTCATTTTATTCATTTTTATGGAATTCATCAAAAGAATTTTATTAAAACTAATCCATATCTACTTTGGCTCTGCAACTTTCTAGAATATTTAAATATGTATTTTATATCTGTAAAATGCATCCTTAGCCTCCTGTCCCTTTTTTTCTGTCTAATAATGATATTGATAATGATGCAATATAAATAGATTAATTTGTGTAGCGTGGTTGAGACATGTCTAAATCACTCCTCCACACCACCTGGTTTGTTAATTCAGCTTGCTCCTTATATTTAGATTTTGTTTTATTAACTTTCCTAGAAGCCACAATCTGTAGATTTTTTTTCCAATTGAGAGTAAGACAGGAATATAAAGCTTCAGAAACGTTAGTTCCAGCTCAGTTATTGTGATTATTTATGGTCATGGTTTAATTTTCTTTAATTCTTTTGTTAAACATCCCTGCAGTTAACTTTTTACTGACCCTTAAGGAATCCTATTTCTTCCTTATTAAAAAATCTTTTAAAGACCAATTTACTCCAATTTTCTAATAAAAATGCTCACATACCTTAACAGAATACATTACCAGGATCCCAATTTCCCATCTAGCTCTGGCTGCCACCATTTTTTCTATTATACTTGATTCTTCAGCAGAGCCATACCACATTTTCCCTGAAAATGCCTTCTTTCGTTGACTTTTCAGATAATTTTTCATGCTTTCTGGAATACTTTGACCCATTTTTGTTGTCTTGATATCCTCTTTATTCCTTTTTTTTTTTTGAGACAGAGTCTCACTCTGTCACCCAGGCTGAAGTGCAGTGGCACAATCTCGGCTCATTGCAACCTCCACCTCCTGGGTTCAAGTGATTCTCCTGCCTAAGCCTCCCGAGTAGCTGGGATTACAAGCCTGCGCCACCATGCCCAGCTAATTTTTGTATTTGTAGTAGAGATGAGATTTCACCATGTTGACCAGGCTGGTCTTGAATACCTCACCTCAGCCTCCCAAATTGCTGGGATTACAGGCGTGAGCCACCACACCTGGCCCCCTCCTCTTTATTCTTTAAAGTTCAGATCAAATGACAAATGACACCTCTTGAAGAAAACCATTGCTAATTTCTTTAGACATAGTTGGTAACTCTCTGATCTGTTCCTACTTTACCTTGTGTAAACTTCTCTTCTAGAAGTTATGCCTACTAGACATGGAGCTTATTTATATAAGCTTATCCTATTTTATCCACTTTTAAGTCTTTGGGAATCAATATAGTATCTGATGTATCTTTATTACTATAATAGTAATATCTCTAATTCAATATGCTTACTATACCAGAAAATATACTATAACTCTTAGATGACTGATATAATTTAACATAGGAGCCCTTGAAGTGGGTATTATTAAAACCCGATTTACTGGTATAAAAAGAGTCAGAGAGGTGGTTTAATTGCCCATGATCACATTATAGTTAACAGCGTGGCCAAAATTCGAACCCAGATTATCTGGCTCTTGAGAGAACCTCTTTTATTGCCCATCATGTCATAAGACATACTGAGCAACTGTGGGGTATTGACTTGCTAGAGACAAACTCTAGACCTAGTATATAAAAAATTAGTTTAATGAATAGATGTCAGGAATAAAAACTGTAAGGTTAAATGAGAAAAAAAAGCAATAGGCTTTTTTGTTTACTTATAAATCAGTTAACATGAATAATTATTTGGTATTATAAGAAATTATGTATGCTTTATGTTGCAATAGGGAATGAAGATATGCCTGCTTGTTTCTCAAAGCAAAGTAAATGCCACTGTAGTTTAATAGAATTGATTTGCCATTTGCTCTGCAACTTAAGACTTGCTGGGCTTTGAATGCATTGTAGTGGCCATGCTCATTTCAAATGCTTACACACATACAGTCTCTACCAAATATGCAGCTCTATACCCACCATTTGATGTATCTAGACAGGAAATTTTACCCATGACTTTGCCATCATAAAAATTACTCCTTTTATCTGTTCAAGGAAAATTTGGAGATCAGAGATAGGTTATTTTCCAAAAATATTTTATTGTTCATTAATCTTAGTATCTTTTCTTCTTCGTCTTCTTGTGATATGCAGGAGAGTTGCAAATTGTAGCACCCAATTGTCACCATTTCCTGCAGCCTGAAATATAGTTTGTACTGTTACCTTCTTCTTTTTAATTAGTAGAAACAGAAGGAGTTTTCTAAAATGTTTCAACTGAGGAGTGAATAAGTGGCCAGGATGATTATGAAAGCCACCAGATTCTGCATATTTTATAAATCAGCCCTGAACCAAGAAACTGTTGGAATAGTTTTGTGGGTGATCATTGTCCTCTTTAAGACCTCATAATTATATCCATGAAATGGTATTTCCGGTTCTGAATCTTTGAGGAATTGCCACACTGTCTTCCACAATGATTGAACTAATTTACATTCCTAGCAACAGTGTAAAAGTATTCCTATTTCTCTGCAACCTCGTCAGCATCTGTTTTTCCTTTACTTTTTTTTTTTTTTTAAATTGAGACGGAGTCTTGCTCTGTTGCCAGGCTGGAGTGCAGTGGTGTGACCTTGGCTCACTGCAACCTCTGCATCCCTGGTTCAAGGGATTCTTCTGCCTTAGTCTTCCAAGTAGCTGGGACTACAGGCACAAAAAGCACCATCACACCCAGCTAATTTTTGTATTTTTAGTAGAGACAGGGTTTCACCATGTTAGCCAGGATGGTCTCGATCTCCTGACCTTGTGATCTGCCTGCCTCGGCCTCCCAAAATGCTGGGATTACAGGTGTAAGCCACCGCACCCGGCCTTTCTTGACTTTTAGTAATCACCATTCTGACTGGCATGAGAGGTATCTCATGGTGGTTTTGATTTGCATTTCTCTAATGATCAGAGATGTTGAGCTTTTTTTCATATGTTTGTTGGCCACATATATGTCTTTTTTTGAGAAATGTCTGTTCATATCCTTTGCTCACTTTTTAATGGGGTTCTTTGTTGTTTTTTTGCAAATTTGCTTAAGTTCCTTGTAGATTCGGGTTATTAAACCTTTGTCAGATTACCATTTGATCCAGCAATCCCATTACTGGAAATATACCCAAAGAAATATAAATCATTCTATTATGATTTTTTATTACGTGAACATATGCTGCTTATGTTCATTGCAGCACTATTCACAATAGCAAAGGCATGGAATCAACCCAAATACCCATCAAAGATAGAGTGGATAAAGAAAATGTAGTACATATACACCATGGAATACTATGCAGCCATAAAAAGGAATACGATCATGTCCTTTGCAGAGACATGGATGAAGCTGGAAGTCATTATCCTCAGCAAACTAATGCAGGAACAGAAAACCAAACACCGTATGCACTCATTTATAAGTGGGAACTGAACAATTAGAACACATGGACACATGGAGGGGAACAACACTCACTGGGGCCTGTCGGGGGAGGGTGGGGAGACTGGGGGTGGAAAACATTAGGGAAAAATAACTATTGCATGCTGGGCCTAATACCTAGGTGATGGGTGGGTAGGAGCAGCAAACCACCATAGCACACGTTTACCTATGTAACAAACCTGAACATCCTGCACATGTACCCCAGAGCTTAAAAAGTATATATATATATATACATAATCCATGAAATGGCTGGAAACTTGGCAAAAGGTAAGACATTGATAATCTAAAACAACCAGAAGCTTGTACTACTATAGTATTTCTGCTACAATGAGCAACTACTTTATTAGATATAAAAACTATATTTTGTTTAAGTAATAAGTGGTTGATATTTTTATAGGTAGAACCCAAAGAGGATCATTAAAACTTTATAGATTGTAAGGAGATATTGTACAAATATTAAGATTTATACTCATCTGTTAGCTGATGGATCGAAAAGAAACACAAATGGATATTTACCTGACTTGAGACTTAGATTATCTTTAAAACTGGAATGGTAATACATCTCTTTCAGAGTTTTCATAATGATTAAACAACCAAAAATACATAAAGTGCTTATTAGCACAGTACACTGTACATGAACACATTGTTGGAACCCTATACACATTAGTCTCATTTTCTCTTAATGAAACAATCAACATTAAAATAAAATATGTTAATGCAGATACTTTTTTCTTCAGCTTTGGAAATTAGCTAAGAGTCTTTAACTGTGATGTTAAAGACTGGGGTACATGTGCAGAACGTGAAGTTTTGTTACATAGGTGTATACGTGCCATGGTGGTTTGCTGCACCCATCAACCCATCATCTACATTAGGTATTTCTCCTAATGCTATCCCTCCCCTAGCCTCCCACCCACCGACAGGCCCCTGTTTGTGATGTTCCCCCTCCCTGTGTCCACGTATTCTCATTGTTCAACTCCTACTTATGAGTGAGAACATGTGGTGTTTGGTTTTCTGTTCCTGTGTTAGTTTACTAAGAATGATGGTTTCCAGCTTCATCCATGTCCCTGCAGAGGACATGAACTCATCCTTTTTTATGGCTGCATAGTATTCCATGGTGTATATGTGCCACATTTTCTTAATCCAGTCTATCATTGATGGACATTTGGGTTGTTTCCAAGTCTTTGCGATTGTGAATAGTGCCACAATAAACATACATGTGCATGTGTCTTTATAGTAGAATGATTTATAATCCTTTGGGTATATACCTAGTAATGGGATGGCTGGGTCAAATGGTATTTCTAGTTTTAGATCCTTGAAGAATCGCCACACTCTCTTCCACAATGGTTGAACTAATTAACACTTCCACTAACCGTGTAAAAGCGTTCCTATTTCTCCACATCCTCTCCAGCATCTGTTGTTTCCTGACTTTTTAATGATTGCCATTCTAGCTGGCGTGAGATGGTATCTCATTGTGGTTTTGATTTGTATTTCTCTAGTGACCAATGATGATGACCTTTTTTTTTCATATGTTTGTTGGCTGCATAAATGTCTTCTCTTCAGAAGTGTCTGTTCATATGTTCATATTCTTTGCCCACTTTTTGATGGGGTTGTTGTTTATTTTTCTTGTAAATTTGTTTAAGTTTTTTTATAGATTCTGGATATTAGCCCCTTGTCAGATGGAGAGATTGCAAAAATTTTCTCCCATTCTGTAGGTTGTCTGCTCACTCTGATGATAGTTTATTTTGCTGTGCAGAAGCTCTTGAGTTTAATTAGATCCCATTTGTGAATTTTGGCTTTTGTTGTCATTGCTTTTGGCGTTTTAGACATGAAGTCTTTGCCCATGACTATGTCCTGAATTGTATTGCCTAGGTTTTCTTCTAGGATTTTTATCATTTAAGGTCTTACATTTAAGTCTTTAATCCATCTTGAGTTAAATTTCGTATAAGGTGTAAGGAAGTGGTCCAGTTACAGTTTTCTGCACATGGCTAGTCTTAACAAAAAAATCCTTTTGTAAGCCAGGACTCTAAAATCTTGGACTAAGTGTGGAACACTAGTAAACACTGGAAACTAAAAATAAAATGCTGAAGTATGTGGTCCCTTAACATACTTTAAAACATTTTTGTTTCTGCTAGTTATGAAAAATATATCTTTATTATTATTATTTTATTTTTATTAAGTTTTATTTTAGGTTTGGGGGTACATGTGAAGGTTTGTTACAAAACTAATCATGTATCATGGCGGTTTGTTGTACATAGTGACCAGGAGAAAAGAGCGAAACAGAAGTATTTCAACTATATTATACCAAAAGGAACTCTTATAATATTTTATGAAACACAACTATTGCTTAAGACACAATTGGCATTGAACAATTATTATTCTGTTATTCACATCAGAGTAAAATATGACATGAACTTTTAAGATAACAAACAGCCTATTTCTTGCCAGGAGTTAGGAATAGGAAGGCTGAGGAGGCAGTATAGCTATCAAGGTGTAGTGTGATGATTAATTATATCTGTTCATTTGATTGGGCTAAAGGATTCCCAGATAGCTGGTAAAACATTACTTCTGGATGTATCTGTGAGAGTTTCTTCAGAAGAAATTAGCTTTTGAAGCAATGTACTGAGTAAAGAGGATCTGCCCTCATTCATGTGCATGAGCATCATCCAATCCTTTGAGGGCCCACATAGAACACAAAGGTGGAGTCAAGGACAATTCCCCCTGTCTTCCTAAGCTGAGACATCCATATTTTCCTGACCGGTTTCTTGGGACTTCAGTCTGTGGAACTTATATCAGTGGCCGCCCTGGTTCCTTGGGCTTTTGGACTCTGAATTGCACCGCTGGCTTTCCTGGTTCTTCAGCCTGCAAATGATGTATCGTGGGATGTCTTGACCTCCAGTACTGCATGAGCCAATTCCTGTAATAAATCCCCTCATAATATGTATGTCTATATTCTATTGGTTCTCTTTCTATGGAGAATACACAAATACAGGCAGCATGAGTGAGCCTTGTAGTGATGGTACAAATGAGTATCTTGATTTTGGTAACCGTTGCAGGAAGCTGCACATCTGACAAATTGCATCCAGCTACACACAGACACACACACATATGAATACATCTATGATGGAAAGAATCTAAGAATCCATAAGATCTATAGATTGTACTAATGTCAATATCCTGTTGTTAATACTGTACTATAATTATTCAAGATATTAACATAGAAGGAGGCTGAGTAAAGGATGCCTGGAACTTACTTGTAATTTCTTTTTTTAGCAGCAAATGTATTGAAGAAAACTTTCAAAAAGATGCAAGCTTTGCTTTAACATAGTGCAGATTGAGGCTATTGTGAAATCAATGGTAAAAACCTTGAAATTAGGATGCAAATAGATGAGGACCCACATTTCTTTCCAACTTTTGTAGATCTATGATTATTTCAAAATAAAAACTTACAAAATAGGGTAGTATCTATAATGTGCAGGGACTCACTTTTCCAGGCACACAATAAGCACTATATATGTATTATCACTTTTAATCTTTGCAATATCAATTTGAGGTACACTATTACTCTTTCCTTTTTACAGATACGAAAAGTGCAATGTTGAGCAGCTGACTTGCCAAGAACCATATAGTCGAGTAGAAGAACCAAAATAAGCATTTCAATTGTATTTCATATTTTCAAGTAAATGAATATTTGTAGCTAAATATAGAATCCCAGAATATATGCCAACCCTTCTTTCTCATAAATCAGGCATCCTGTCACCTAGATGGTCAGTTTTGTCTATGATCTATTAGGTATGTAGCAGTATCAATTAATGTTGCCGTGGTCAATATAATGCTAAGCCTTCATCGGCATTATTTAATAAAGTTGATGCCTGAAAGGTTATGTGTTGAGATTAATAATGGGTTAGAGCTTTATCCATAAAGACATTAAATGTAATTGACTATCAGAAAGTATTGTGAGGTTTTCTTTCCAATTAATTGTTGTCTGATTCTGTTCTTAATACATATTAATAAAATATTCTGTTAACATATATCATAGCTATTAGGGTCTGTTAGGCTCATTATATGCAAAACTTTGAAAATAAATATTGAATGTAGAAGGAAGTTAATTCCCTAGTATGGAGATGGGCGAGCTACATAAATGAGTGATTTAAATTTAGGCAGTTTTAAATGAGATAATTACTTATGGTTTACATAGGAAAATAATTTATTTTGGGATATCTACCTGAAAACTGGGTCAAAATATTCTTATGAAAATAAAATAGACTTACAAAAAAGGAAAAAAAAAAGCTTTACTTTATACACAGTCTTAATATAGTCTAAAAAATAATTTAGTTGTGTGAGATTTTCAATAGTGTCATTTACTTCTCAGAACTTACTGTGTGGAGTGGTATGTGTGGAGTGATGAGTATGATCAATAACTAAGACTCAACATAAATCTATATATAACTTTAACAAAAATATGTTACTTTTTAACATACTAAAGTGTAGCTTGGTGAGTGAGGAGGGCCAGGTATGGAGTAGGTAGAGTGTCACTCTTTTTTTTTTTTTTGAGATCGAGTCTCGCTCTGTCACCCAGGCTGGAGTGCAGTGGCAGGATCTCGGCTCACTGCAACCTCTGCCTCCTGAGTTCAAGCAATTCTCTTGCCTCAGCCTCAGGAGTAGCTGGGACTACGGACCACCAAGCCTGGCTAATTTTTTTTTTTTTTTTTTTTTTTTAGTTTCGCCATGGTTTTTGCCACGTTGACCAGGCTGGTCTTGAAATCTGAACCTTAAGTGATTCACCCACCTCAGCCTCCCAAAGTGCTAGGATTACAGGCATGAGCCACCACATCCAGCTAAGTGTCACTCTTAATTGTGGTCACTCTCGTATACCAAGAGTTAAAATTAACTTGCTAAAATAGTTACCATTTTTGATCCTTGCCATATACCACAGACTATATTAAGTACTTTCAAGGCATGATCTTGTTTAATCCTCATATTCATCCTAAGAAGTAGCTATGATTATCTTCATTTTAGATATGGAGAAATTGAAAGGGAAAATATGAAAATTGTTCATTGTTACTTTAATAATCAAAATACTGGTTTATCTTCTGTAACAACTAGCGTAATAAAAGTTCAAAGCTGATAATATGGTAGCCACCATAGTACCTGGATTGTCTGCTTCCTCTCTCTTCTCTACACATCCATCTTGTCATATAAGATGGCAGCTTCAGCACCTGGCATTGTATCTGAAGTCTATCAGTGGAAAGAGCAGAAAAAATAAATGCTGAGTGTCTCTTTTCCTTTAAGGATTTGACCAGGCAGTTGCTTACATTAGATTCAGACACACTCCATTGTCCAAAGCACAGAAACCAGGCCATACCTAATTGCAAGGAAGGCTGAAAACATACTGATTTGCTGGGTGGCTATGTTCTTAGCCAAAACTATTACTGAAGAGGTGAAAAATAAATATCAAATAATCTCTTCTAAAGCAGAGTACTGTGACTAGTTAAGTGCCTATGGACACTTTTCCCTACACACAGAATCTACTTGCCCCTTCTCCAAGGAACAATCCTAAAGACCATAGTTATTGTGTCCAGTTCAAAATAGAAATGAAGTGTCATTCTTTCCATTATGTCAGGATATGACTACTCATGATATGACCCACTATAAAATACAAGATAAGCTATCTACTGACCCCTACCCATAACCAACATATGCCCATTTTAAAATAACAGTGTAAGAATAAAACAGATGCCATAAAACTGCTGTTGAGTAATGTAAAGACTAAAAATAGACATTAATCACTGGTCCGTAGTAATCAATAAATCCCCCTGAACAAAAATTATGAAATCTATCTGCTCTTTCTGTACCAGAAATGGAATAACAGCTCTGGTTGCCAGATATGGTGACCCCTCTGTCTGTATTTCAGGGGTAGAAGTGTGGGTTCCCGTTGTATATTGTCTATTGTCCTTCTTGGCCTTGTTTTGAACTCAGAAATTGTTGTTTGTCCCTTATTAATGTCCACTGGATAGACTGGACTTCTTGGGGGCAGTAAAACTTTTAGTTTTCTTGCTGTTGGTACAGTTTTAGGACTTAGATTATTTTGGGAGCAGTCACAGGCTTCTGGTTCTTTTAGAAATATAACGTTTAAAAAGTTGAGAGACTTCTCATATATACATTTATAGAGAGTTTCATAAGTTCAAGTTTTCTTATTCATATAATAGCATTTTCCTTAGAGCTGCTTCAAAATCCTTCTGATTTTCTACAAAAACAATGTGGGTGTAGAAAAGCTAACATAATACTTTAGAAATAGGTGTGGTTCTTTCTTGACTTTGAAATGCTAATGAATTTCTAATAGTGTTGGTTTCATTTCTTCTATTCTTTTTTCCCAGTTTGTAATCTGTTTTTCACCTGAACCTAACCACTTTGATTTCCCCAAAGTATTCTTCTTAAGTTATTTCGCAAATATTTGAGTTGCCTACTCCATGGATGGCATGGTGTTAAGCACTAAAGATGTGATAATGAACAGTGTGATCCCTACTTCCATGGCAGTTACTGTCTGGCTGGGGAGAAACACAACAAACAAAACACGACTCTGACTTTTATTGAAATATTATTCCAATAAACATTACATAGAAAAGTGTAGTGTACATATTTACTAATGACTTTTAATATAGTGTTATACAATTTTGATATATTTTTTCCTGTGAAAAATGCTATTCTCTACCTTTGATCTTTTATATAATCCCTTGATTTTATCACTTGTTTATTCATAACATTCATGTGTCTGTAAGTTTAGTTTGATAATTTAATATTCTCATATTTCCTCTAGAAAATAATGCCCAATGTTAGATTTTTTAAAGTTCATGGTTATATAATCAATATATACTCTTTGATTATTGAAAACAGACTGTAATAATATAACTTTAAATGAAATTTAAATTAAGTTTAATATGCCTTCCATTAAACTCTTACTTGCATGCTCAAAGACTACAATTAGTAATACCAGTAAGGATACTTTTTTCTCCTTTTCTCTTTGGAGATATTCACTAGACTTTATGTTTTCAGCTGGTATCTCCTTAAGAATTAGGATTAGTGTCAAAGCCTATTGTGAACAACATTAATGCCTGTACTTTAGCGGTGACAACAATATGTTTTTGTTATGTGCTGTATATTCACTTGGTGCTTTTACATCTTCAGTGCACTTTTCCTTCACTGCCACATGCAGTTTCTATGATTACAAGCTCATTCCATTTCTATTTTTGCCTTTAAGAGGCCATGCTGCTACATATGGGAACGAAAAACAACGACAAGCAATTTAGCCCTAATGCTCCTTCTCTGGATTTCATTTTGAATCTAACAATCTTTAGTACACAATTTCATATTAATGAATCCATTAATTTGTATTAAATATATCCCACTTGTAGAGAAAACTCACAGAATTTTTTTTTCTTTTCTATTTCAGTTTTAGTGTGAAAACTGCTTCTGAGGCAGGGCCTATTTAGGCTTTGACAAAGTTTACAGTGTCTTGAATGAGACTTTTGCCAGAAAAACCACTTTTCTACAAGCACTGTGTGACTTCTACTTTTATTTCTTCTGTGAATATATTGTTCCTTATTTAAAGGATAAATATTTTTAAAAGTATGTTTTTCTCTATTATATTCCTTCTCACCCCAAACATTCTGTTACCAAATAATTTAAAACTACTGTCTGATGGATGAGATTCTAGTTTCTAGGGATTAAAACAGATACGAATACTATAGATTCTGTGTTAGCAAGGCCTAAAATTCAAAAAATAACAAAAGTGACCCAAATCAGTATGGTAGTATGTCCCGAATTGGTGGGTTCTTGGTCTCGCTGACTTCAAGAATGAAGCCGCGGATCCTCGCAGTGAGTGTTACAGCTCTTAAGGTGGTACGTCTGGAGTTTGTTCCTTCTGATGTTCGGATGTGTTCTGAGTTTCTTCTTTCTGGTGGGTTTGTGGTCTCGCTGGCTCAGGAGTGAAGCTGTGGATTTTCGTGGTGAGTGTTACAGCTCTTAAGGCGCCACGTCTGGAATTGTTTGTTCCTCCCGGTGGGTTCGTGGTCTCGCTGGCTTCAGGAGTGAAGCTGCAGACCTTCACGGTGAGTGTTACAGCTCATAAAGGCAGTGTGGACCCACACGGTGAGCAGCAGCAGAATTTATTGCAAAGAGGGAAAGAACAAAGCTTCCACGGTGCATAAGGGGACCAGACGGGATTGCCACTGCTGGCTGGGCAGTCTGCTTTTATTCTCTTATCTGGCACCACCCACATCCTGCTGATTGGTAGAGCTGAGTGGTCTATTTTGACAGGGTGCTGATTGGTGTGTTTATAATCCCTGAGCTAGACACAAAGGTTCCCCACGTCCCTACCAGATTAGCTAGATACAGAGTATCGATTGGTGTATTCACAAACCCTGAGCTAGACACAGGGTGCTGATTGGTGTGAATACAAACCTTGAGCTAGATACAGAGTGCTGATTGGTGTATTTACAATCCCTTGGCTAGACATGAAGGTTCACCACGTCCCCACCAGACTCAGGAGCCCCGCTGGCTTCACCCAGTGGATCCCGCACCGGGCCGCAGGTGGAGCTGCCTGCCAGTCCCGCGCCATGCGCCCGCACTCCTCAGCCCTTGGGTGGTCGATGGGAGTGGGCGCTATGGAGCAGGGGGCGGTGCTCGTCCGGGAGGCTGGGGCCGCACAGGAGCCCACGGAGCGGGGGAGGCTCAGGCATGGCGGGCTGCAGGTCCCCAGCCCTGCCCTGCGGGGAGGCAGCTAAGGCCCGAGAAATCGAGCGCAGCGACGGTGAGCCGGCACTGCTGGGGCACCCAGTACACCCTCCGCAGCCGCTGGCCCAGGTGCTAAGCCCCTCATTGCCCGAGGCCGGCAGGGCCTGCCGGCTGCTCCGAGTGCGGGGCCCGCCAAGCCTACGCCCACCCGGAACTCCAGCTGGCCCACAAGCGCCGCGCGCAGCCCGGGTTCCCGCTCGCGCCTCTCCCTACACACTTCCCCGCAAGCTGAAGGAGCCGGCTCCGGCCTTGGCCAGCCCAGAAAGGGGCTTCCACAGTGCAGCGGCGGGCTGAAGGGCTCCTTAAGTGCCGCCAAAGTGGGAGCCCAGGCAGAGGAGGCGCCGAGAGCGAGCATGGGCTGTGAGGACTGCCAGCACGCCGTCACCTCTCGGTAGGATCCCATTTAACAAGACACAATCAATGAGGGTTGAGGTCATTATGGCATTATGGAGAGTTTATGAGAGGCAGGGGGATGGAAATACATTTTATAAGTACACAAAAGCTTCTGGTGGCTAGATGTGGCAGATTCATAGGGTGCCTTTAATACTTAAAATCTCACCTGGCCACTTGCAAAGTTGATGGCCATGGCAGGATAGATTGCTGCCAATAAACTTTAATTTTAGTTAAGGAAGAGTCACTGGGAAGTTGCTTTACCAAACCAGCTGCCTTCTATTCCATTTAATCTTAGTGATTTATCCTTTGTCTTAACTATCACACACACACACACACACACACACACACACACACATATATATATATATATATTTGACATTGGCTCAATGTTAGTCAATTCAAAAATATTCATTTATACTTAGTACCTGCTCTGTCCTGAGCATTCTTCTATGTACATACAATTGTATGTTTAAAAATTTGAGTTTGGCAGCAGCAGGCTGTTCAGCTAAGGAGTTTCACTGTACTGTGAAGAAGCACAGGCTGTGAAGAACCTAGTGAACCTTACTGTGAAGAACCTAGACCAACAAGCAGAGACCATTTCTGGCTCATTCTTATAAGAAATGCTTCTTCCAAGAAAGCTTATTATAGCACAAGAAATGATAATATGAACTGTTTCATTGAGATTCTCCTACATATGTGGTCACCCAATCTTCTGGGTCCAAAATAATTTATAAAATTTACACATTTTTCTATTTCTTTCTAAGAAATCTTTTTGGGAACTGTACCATATTGAACTCATCAGTTTTTCCTAATTCATTTTTGCTTTACTACTAGTAATGGGACTGAACAAATGTAGAAATGATTATTATCAATCATCTGCTTAGTATTGATCATCCTTCTAAACATCCTTCCCCCAAATCTTTACTTCTAGAATATTTCTTATCTATCCTAAATTCAGTTTATTAAATATCAATAACATTCCTTTACCCAGAAATTTATCTCCATCTATTACAAAGTTAAATATACATGCTAGATTTTCTTATGTTTCTTCATTTCTGTCAATCCAGTAAAATGTTTTTCTTTAAAGCCAAAAAAGTTGGAGTTTAGAAACGATTAACAAGGGTAAGATACTCTAATTGTAGTTTTTTTTCTAACGTAGAATGCCCCTGCTTGAATTTTCAGAATATACCATAGTTTATTGTTTTTATAAACTGTAATGTGTGTTCCACTGGTCATCTTCAAGAAGCCTTTAGGTGATACATAGAAAAGATTTAAAAAACAATTATAGAGAAGTGAATCAGCAAAATGTCAGAATAAGCAGCTCCAAGCTTATATTATTATCCCACAAAAACATCAAAGAACAAATGGAAATTGTCAGAATTGACATTGTTAGAACTCTGGAAAACAGACAAATATGGTAACCAAACAAATTTTAATATCTCACTTTCAATAATTACTAGAACATATTGACTGAAGATCAATAGGGAGAGTGGACTTGAACAATCCTGTAAAGCAACCAGACCTAACAGACATACACAGCACTCTCTACTCAACAACAACAGAACATACATTCTTCTCAAGGACACATGACTCACTCTCCAGGGTATTACCGAGGCTAGATTAAAAACAAAATTCCACAAAAGCAAAGAGTGAAATCATACAAAGTATCTTCTCTTACTAACATAGAATGAATCTAGAAATCAACAATAGAAGAAAAATTGAAAAATTAAAAATATATATGTGTATATTAAACACACTCTAAAACAACCAATGGATCAAAAAGGAAATGATAAGAAAGTTAGAATATAATTTGAAAAGAATGAAAGCAAAACATAATCAAAAGTTTTATGATGTAGCAAAAGCAGTAATTAAAGGGAAATATATAGCTCTAAATCCTACATTAAAAAGAAGTAAGATCTCAATAACTTAACATTTTGAGCAACTAGAAAAAGAAGAAAAAATTGAGTCAAAGCTTACAGAAGAAATGAACTAGTAACGATTAGGCTGGAGATAAGTAAAATAGAGAATAACAATAGAATAACAATAGAGAGAATCAACAAAAGCAAAAGGTGATTCTTTGAAAAAAATAAAAAATGGCAATCCTTTAGTTTGACTAATGGAAAAAAGAGAAAATATACAAATAACTAAAACTAGAGTTGAAAGTAGGGACGTTACTACTGATATTACAGAAATACAAAAGTGTATGAGAGCATACTATGAACAATCATATGCCAAAAAACAACCTAGACGAAATGGCCAAATGCTGGAAATATATGGTTACCTAAACTGACTTAAGAAGTAACAGAAAAATATCATTAGATCTGTAACAATTATAAGATTGAATCTGTAATCAAAAACCTCCCACCAAACAAATGTCCAGGACCAGATATCTTCCCTGGTAAAATTATATCAAACATTTAAAAAGAATTGACACCTATCTGTCTCAAACTTTTCCAAAAAATAAAAGAGGAAAGAGCACTTCCTAACTCATTCTATGTGACCAGAATTGCCCTGATCTTGATACTAAAGCTAGATAAATACACTGTAAGAAAAGAAAAAATACAAAGATCTCTAATGAAAGTAGATGCAAAGATTCTGAACACCATGCTGGCAAGTCAAATTCAACAGCATTAACAATGACCAAGTGGAATTTATCCAAGGATTGCAAGGGTAGCTCAACAAAAGATAATCAATGTCATACACCACATGATCATCTCAACTGACACAGAAAAGGCATTTGACAAACTCCTATACCCTTTCATGATTAAAAACAATCAGAAAACTAGGAATAGATGACAACTTTTTTCAACATAATCAAGAGTATTTATTAAAAAGACAAAAACAAAAACAAATGTAATATCATGTGTAATGGTGAAAATCAAAAGCTTTTCCCCTAAAATCAGATTAGAGTTTACCAGGTACTGGAGAGAGATAGTAATGGGGACTTATTTCTTATTAGGTGCAGAGTTTTTCTGGTGTGATGAAAAGTTTTGGAAATAGATAGTAATGATGGTTGTATAACATTGTGGATATGATTAATGTTACTACTTGTGCAATTATAAATAGGTCAAATGGCACAGTTTATGTTACATATGTATTGTACCATACTAAAATTTAAAAATGCATTCGTTATTTAAAATTAAAAAAATAAAATAGGTATAAAGGGAATTTAGTAGCAATTTAAAATTTTTTGGTAAGTTTGTAGCATTCATTTTACAGAAGTTATTAAAGATTGAAATTACAAACAAGACTATATGTTTAGTCTACAGAAAATATAGTTTAGGTTGTATGTATTAGAAAAATATAACGAATAGCTATTCAATATGACTGTAGTGATACACTGTCTTACTAAAAGGTACTGATTTAAAATAAACTTCAAAACAATAGTTCAGGTTGTATGGAGATATAATAAAGATTAAAGGATTCAACTAACACTAAGCTATCTTGTAAACAAGTAAAAATAGCTTTACAACGCATAAATGGCAGGAACCGTAATCTTTGTTTTGCATATAAAAGAAGACAATAGGTTAGTAACAGAAAATATACATTTTTGTGCCTGTGGCAATTGTTTTAATACAGTTGTTTTTAAAATAGCCCAAAATAGCAGACTTTTAATCATTTAGAGACTGACTTATTTGAATAGCTAGAGAAACTGTGCTAGCTATGGGTTTGATAAACTCTGGGGCTATGAAGACCCAACCTACTGCTACACATCAGAATTCTCTAACCCACAGTCTCACACCATGTTGCTGTACAACATCATTTAGATACTTTAAAGCTCCTCTCTGGATTCCACTCTCCCCTAGGAATTTCCTTGCCTTTTTTTTTTTTTTTAACTTTTAAGTTCAGGGATACAAGTGCAGGTTTGTTACATGGGCAAACTTATGTCATGGGGGTTTGTTTTACAGATTATTTCATTACCCAAATATTAAGCCCAGTACCAATTAGTTATTTTTCCTGATCATCTCCCTCCTACCAACCTCCATCCTCCAAAAGACCCCAGTGTGTTGTTCCCTTCTGTGTGTCTATGTGTTCTCATCATTTAGCTCCCACTTATTTGTGAGAACATGTGGCATTTGGTTTTCTGTTCGTGTGTTAGTTTGCTAAGGATCATGCCCTCCATCCATATCCTTGCGAAGGATGTGATCTCATTCTTGTTTATAGCTGTGCAGTATTCCATGGTGTATATGTACTACATTTAAAAAAATCTAGTCTATCATTGATGGGCATTTAGGTTGATTCCATGTCTTTTCTATAAATTAAATCAAGATGGATTAAAACTTAGGTGTAAAACCCCAAATGATAAAAACCCTTGAAGACGACATAGGCAATACCATTCAGGACACGTTAAGAACAAAGATTTTATGACAAAGGCACCAAAAGCAATTGCAACAAAAGCCAAAATTGACAAATGGGATCGAATTAAACTGAAGAGCTTCTAGACAGCAAAAAGATACTACCAGATTGAACAGACAACCTAAAGAATGGGAGAACATTTTTGCAAACTCTGCATCTGACAAAGGTCTAATATCCAGCATCTATAAGGAACTTAAACAAATTTACAAGAAAAATACAAACTCCCATAAAAAAATGGGCAAAGGAGATGAACAGACACTTTTCAAAAGACATACATGCGGCCATCAATCACATGTAAAAAAGCTCAACATCACTGATCATTAGAGAAATGCAAATCAAAACCACATGTGATATCATCTAACACCAGTCAGAATGGCTATTATTAGTAATTAACCTCTGAATGGTGTGATGCTAGAAGGAAGCTCCCCTGCATCCAAACCAGCCAAATAAAGGTGCCAAATAAAGGTGGTTTATGTTACTGCCTCTGTGTGATTATATATTTTCCTTTTTCAGCACAGGTCCCATGAATCCACTACAGTATTTACTATCATATAGGAGTAGCATAGAGCTGTATTATTTTGTAAAAACAAACATACCATCCAAAATGAAAGGAGAAGTTGATCTCGATTTTTCATGTAGAAACGGCATGTGCAGAAGTACAGTGGCAAGAAAGAACTTGGCATTTTTGAGGGTTTTAGAAGTGGCTAATGTAACTGTAGTATAGTGTAAGCGGGAGAGTAGCATAAAATGGAGGTGGAAAGATTGGCAAGGCCATATTGTTTAAGGCCTAATATACTATGATAACAGGTTGCGCTTATTTTATGTGCAATAGAAAGGCATTGAAGATTTTAGTTTTTTTTTCAAATTTATGTATGTATTTATTTAAATTGACAGATAAAATAGTACATATTTATAGTATGCAATTTGATGTTTTTAAGTATATGCCTATATACTATAAACAGTTTAAATCTATTAATTAACATATGCATTATTTCACATAGTCGTTTTTGTAGTAAGAATGCTTAACAACCAGTCTCAGCATTTTTCAAGAATACAGCATATCCTCATTAACTACAGTCACCATGCTATACAGTGGACCTTTTAAACTTATTCCTCCAATGTAACTTGAATTTTATATCCTTTAACCAATATCTCCCCAATAGCCATATCCTTCTTCCTCACAACAGCCCCAGTCTCTGATAACCACCATTCTATTCTTTATTTCTGAGATCAAATTTTTACATTCCACATATGAGAGAGATGATGCTATATTTGTGTTTTTTTTACTCAACAATGTTAAAATATTTTATGCAATTTTAAATGTATAATATATTTTTTATTTATACTAAATAAGTAGAAACATGCTTAGAAAAATTTAAGTAGACACATGCTTAGAAAAAAGACAAGATTGTTTTTTATTTCTTTAAACTTTTCTGTGAGTTTGGCTGATATAAGAATAGAAGGGAGAGAGTGAAGCATGGAGTTAGGAAGATGTGTTAACAAGCTGCAGCATTATCCAGAGAGAGAGGGAGGTGACTTGGATGAGATGGCTGCAGTGAGCATGGAGACACATGCCAGGACTTGAGATACATTGTGCAGGTAGGGACGTCATGCTTGCTGCTAGTTTAGATGTTGGATTTGATAAAGAGAGTTTCCGACCTGAGCAACTGTGTGGGTGGTGTTGCCATGTTCACAAATGGGAAAGAATGTGACACCTACATGTTTTAGTTAGTTCTATTTTTAATGTGTTAGGGTTATAGTGTCTTTGAAACATTCAAGTGGTGATATCAAGAAGTCAGCTAAATGTAAGAACTGGGAATCTGTAGAGAGTTTATATAAATAAGAGATTCTTCAGAGTTTACAAAATAAGCCTTGATGGTCAGTCCCAAATAAATGTAAAATTACAATTTTAGGTGGATAAATAAGTGGAGAAGGCATAAACAGTGGTTATGGTCAGACTGTTAAAGTATTTGATTCTAAGATAAAGAGCTGGAATTTCAATTGGGAGGTGATGGAAGTTATTGAATTATCTGTGTAGGAACTGCCATATAAAATCAGTGATTAATGAGTATTAACCTAGAGGTGGTATGGTGGATGGGATGAAAAGAAAACTGAAGTGAGGAATATGAAATCGAAAGCCATTCCAGCACTATCAAATTATCACTTGTTTTTAAAAACCACTACCAAGTACATGTGAGAATAAAGTAAAATGTACATGACTGCTCAGCATGGATATTACTGCAAAATCTTAGGACATTAATTTACTTATAAAACTATGATGTATAAACTCATTCTATATGTGTCAGAAATATCAATTGAAGGCATTTATATTAAGGGGGAAAGTTATTCACAGAACACCCAAACACAAAAAAATTCTTATACACAATCATTGTAATACTCTTTACACAATAAAAAACAGAGTAAGTTGTTAAATAGATTCTAACATTTTAGCATAAAATAATGCTATAAAACCATTGAAACAATATTTATGCAATTATTTCATGAGGAAAATGCCATAATTAAATTGCTAAGATGGCAGATTATATAATTTTTTGTAAAAACTAAACTATATGCGTAGAAAATAAATCTACATTTTTCATTGTTCAAATAGTAAACATGGAGAAAAAAAGACACTTCTAAAAAAGAAAAGCAATTGCAGACAATAGGCTTAAAAGGATGAATCAGTATGTAGATTAAATGAAAATATAAGATTAAATTTGCATAGGAATAATCATTAAAATTTACAACATTTACTGAGTACTTGCTAGGGCTGATATTTTGTTATGCACTTTAAAATATATTTTGCTATTTAATCCTTACAATAAACTTAATATGTTAAGGCCAATATTATATCCATTGTGCAAATAAAAGAGTTTTATTACAATATTTCCTTTTTAGTAATTTTTATGTCAAGATTCAGACCTGAGCGTGAGAGCAAGGTGGCCAAATAGAAGCCTTTACTTGTCACCAGCAAGGAAACCAATTTGACAACTACCTACACACAAAAAAGCACATTCATAAGATGAAAAATCAGGTGAGCACTAACAGTATCTGATTTTAATGTCATATCACTGAAAGAGGCACTAAGGAGGGTAGGAGACAGGGTTGAATCGTCAACACTACCCCTTCCCCATCACCTGGCAGTAGCTGCACAGCACAGAGAGAGAATCTGTGCACTTGAGAGAGGGAGAATGTGGCAATTGTGAGATATTGCATTGAACTCAGCAGTGCCCTGTCATAGCAGAAAGCAAAACCAGGCTGAACTCACCTGCTGCCAACCCACAGAGGGAGTACTTAAACCAGCTCTAGCCAGAGGAGAAATTTCTCATTCTGGAGATCAGAACTTGAGTTCCAGCAAGCACTTGACACAGACTAAAGTGCTCTTGGGTCCTAAATAAACTTGGAAGGCAGTCTAGGCAACAAGGACTGAAATTCCTAGGTGAGTACAAGTGCTGAACTGAGCTCAGAGCCAGTGAGCCAGGTGGACATGTGACCAACTGAAACTCTAGCCAGGGGAACTAAGGAAGCACTTGTGCTACCCCTTCCCAACCTCAGGCTGCCCAGTGCATAGCTCCAAAAAAGACACCTTCCTTCCACTTGAGGACGGAGAGAGAAGAGTAATAAGAACTTGTATCTTGAATACCAGCTCAGCTACAGTACAATAGGGCACCAGTCAGAGTCATGTGCCCTCCTTTTTGGCAACCAGCTCCCAGATGACATTTCTAGACACATCCAGACCAAAGGGAAACCTGCAGCCTTGAAGGGAAGGACTCAGTCCTGGGAGGATTCATTACTTGCTGAGTGAAGGGCCCTTGGGCACCAAATAACTATCAGCAATACCCAGGTAGTACACTGTGGGCCTTGGGATCTGAGACATGCTAACTTTAGGTGTGGCTCAGCAAACTCCTGGCTGTGGTGACTATGGTGAAAGACTCCCTCTGATTAAGAAAAGCAGATGTTAAAATAAAGGGGACTTTGTTTTGCACCTTACATGCCAGGTCGACCATAGTGGGGGAGCAATAAGCAGTCTCTTGGAGTCTTTGAGTCCAGGGCTAGGCTCTTAGACAACATTTCTGAAAACTGCTCTGGTAAAGCAGTAAAGCCCACTTTCCTGAATTTGGAGTCCCAGGCCTGGCAGCATTCACTACAAGCAGACTGAAGAGCTCTTGGGCTTAAAGTGAACATCAGTGGTGGCCTGGCAGAACACCCTGTGGGCTGGTGCTGTTGGTGCCACTGGTGCTGTTGTGGAAAGGAGAGGGAAGAGTAAGAAGACTTTGTATTGTGGTGTGCATTCCAGCTTAGAATAAAATATCAAATAAAATTTTAATGTATTTGACTCCAATCTCTGTTTCCCAGACAGAATCTCTGGACTTGAACAGGGCCAGGGGAACACATCACCCTGAAGGAAAGAACACAGAATGGATGCCTTTGCCACTTGTTGATTATAGAGCCCTAGGGCCTTTAGTGAACATAGGTGGTAGCCAGGTAGTGGTTATGGTGGGCATTGGGCAACAGCCGGTGCTGTGGCTTTAGGTCTGACCCAGTGCAGCCCCAGTGGTGGTGGCTATACGGTGCTTGCATCACCACACACTCAGGTCCAGGTGGATGAGCACAAGGAGAGGAACTCTGTTTGTTTAGGAGAAAGTATGAGAAAAGAACAAGAATCTCTGTCTAGTAATCTACAGAATTCTTTCAGATCTTACCCAATACCACCAAGGTGGTACCTCTGTGAATCTGAAAAAAACGCAGTGTTACTAGGCCTGGGGCCCAAGTCCCTTCAAATACCTGAAAATCCTTCTCAAGAAAGACAGGCACAAAAAAGCCCAGACTGTGAAGGCTACAATAAATACCCAATTCTTAAATGCCCAGACACCAATGGGCATCTACAGTCATATAGATCATCAAGGAAACCATGATCTCACCAAACACACTAAGACACGAGGGGCTGATCCTAGAGAAACAGAGATATGTGACCTTATAGTTACAGAAATCAAAATAGCTGTGTTGAGGAAATTCAGAAAAATTCAAGATAACACAGAGAAGAAATTCAGAATTCTGTCAGATAAATTCATCAAATGGATCAAAATAAGAAGAATCAAGCAGAAATTCTAGAGTTGAAAATGTAATTGACATATTCAAGAATGCATCAGAGTTTTTAATAGCAGAATTGATCAAGGAAAATAAAGAATTAGTGAGCTTGAACACAGGCTATTTGAAAATATACAATCAGAAGAGACAAAAGAAAAAATAATAAAAAAAAAGAAGCACACCAATAAGATCCAGAAGATGGCCTGAAAAGGGCAAATCCAAGAGTCATTCAACTTAAATAGGAGGAAGAGAAAGAGATAGGGGTAGATAGTTTATTCAAAGGGATAATAACAGAGAACTTCCCAAACCTAGGAAAAGATATCAACATTCAAGTATGAGAAGGCTATAGAACACCAAGCAGATGTAACCCAAATAAAACTACCTCAAAACACTATTTAATACTTAATAATTAAACTCCGAAAGCTCAAGGATGAAGGATCTGAAAAGCAGCATGAGAAAAAATAAATAACATACAGTGGAGATCCAATACATCTGGCAGCAGACTTTTCAGTAGAAACCATACAGGCCATGAGAGAGGGGTGTGACTTATTTAAAGTGCCAAAAAGGTGGGGGAGGACAATTTTACCCTAGAATGTAGATCCAACAAAAATACCCTTCAAGAATGAAGGAAAAATGAAGGCCTTTCCAGACAGACTAAAGCTGAGGGATTTCATCACCATTAGAGCTATCCTACAAGAAATGCTAGGGATTTTTCAATGTGAAAGTAAAGGATGTTAATGAGCAAGGAGAAATAATCTGAAGGTACCAAACTCATGGTAATGGTAAGCACACAGAGAAACATGGAATATTATAACATTATAATTGTGGTGTGTAAACTATGCTTATTGTAACTATAAAGACTAAATAATGAACCAATCAAAACTAATAACTACAACAACTTTTCAAGACAGTACAATAAGATATAAAGAGAAAAAACAAGTTTAAAAGTGGAAGGATGAAATTGCACTGTAGTTTTTAGTAGTTTTTTTGTGTTTTTTAATGCATATTAGTGTTAATTTGTTACCAGTTTAAAATCATGGGTTACAATATAATATTTGCAAGCCTCATGGTAACCTCAAATAAAAAAAAACCTACAACAGGTACAGAAAAAGTATAAACCAAGAAATTAAAACATACCACCAGAGAAAAATCACCTTCACCAAAATGAAGACAGGAAGAAAGGAAAGCAGGAAGAGAAAACCACAAAATAAGCAGAAAAAATAACAAAAGGGCAAGAGTAAGTCCCTACCCATCAATTATAACATTGAATATAAATGGACTAAATTTTCTAATCAAAATACATAGAGTGGTTCAATGGATGAAGACACCAGACCCAATTATCTCTTGTCTGCAGGAAACACACTTCACCTATAAAGATACACGTAAACTGAAAATAAAAGGATAGAAAAAATATTTCATGCCAGTGGAAATCAAGAAAGAGCAGGAGTAGCTCTACTTATATCAGACAAAATGATTTCAAAACAAATACCATAAGACGCACCAAAGAACGCCATTATATAATGATAATGAGGTCAATTTAGCAAGAGGATATGATTGTAAATATGTATGCACTCAATCCTGGAGCACCAGATATTAATATATAAAGCAAATATTATTAGAGCTAAAGAGTGATAGACCCCAATACAATATTAGCTGATGACTTTACACCCTACTTTCAGCATTGAACAGATATTCCAGACAGATCATCAATGAAGAAATATCAAACTTAATCTGCACAATAGACCAAATAAACTTAATAGATACTCATAGAACATTTCATCCAATGGCTGCAGAATATATATTCTTTTCCTCAGTAAGTGGATCATTCTCAACAACAGAACATATGTTAAGTCACAAAACAAGTTTTAAAATATTCAAAAAATAAAATGGAATAAAACTGGAAATTAATAACGACGAATTTTTACAACTATACAAGTACAGTAAATTTAAACCATATACTCCTGAATGACCAGTGGATCAATGAAGAAATTAAGAAGCAAGTTGAAAAATTTCTTAAAACCAATGATAACAGAAAACACAACATATCAAACCTGTGGTATTCAGCAAAAGTGGTACTCAGAGGGAAGCTTATGGCTATAAGTGCCTACATCAAAAATGACAATAATTTCAAATAAATAATCTAATTATGTGTCTTAACTAGAAAAGCAAGAGCATCCCAACCCAAAATTAGTAGAAGAAATAAATAATAAAGATCAGAGCAGAAATAAATGAACTGAAGAAAACAATACAAAAGATCAATGAAACAAAAAGTTATTTTTTAAAAAGTTAAACAAAATTGACAAACCTTTTGCCAGACTAAGAAATAAAAAGGAGAGAGAGAAGGTACAGATTAAATAAAACTGGGGAAAAAATGAGACATTACAACTGATAATGCAGAAGTTCAAAGGATCACTAGAGGCTACTATGAGCAACTATATGCCAATAAGTTGTAAAACCTAGAAATAGACAAATTCCTAGAAGTATATAACCCTCCAAGATTCAACCATGAAGAAACATGAAACCCGAACAGACCAATAACAAGTAAAGAGATAGCAGCCATAATAAAATGTCTTCCACTAAAGAAAAGCCTTGGACCCAATGACTTCACTGATGAATTCTACTAAATATTTAAAGAAAAAATAATGCCAATCCTACTCCAACTATTCTGAAAAATAGTGGAGGATGGTACACTTCCAAACATATTCTATGAGTCCAGTATTCTCACACTAATACCAAAAACACACAAAGACACACCAATTTAAAAAGAAACAACAAACTATAGGCCAATACCACTGATGAATAATGACATAAAAATTCTCAACAAAATACTAGTAAAATAAATTCAACAATACATTAAAAAGATTATTTACCATGCCCAATTGGGATTTATCTCAGGGATGCCAGGGTACATTAGCATCTGCAGATCAAGTAATGTGATACATCATATCAACAGAATGAGACAGAAATCATATGATCATTTCCATTAATGCTGAAAAAAGCCTTTGATAAAATTCAACGTACCTTTATAATTAAAAACAAAGAATACTGAGTATTTATTGAAGGAACGTACCTCAACATAGTAAAAGCCACATACAGCAGACACAAAGCTAGTATTATTCTGAATACAGAAAAACTTAAAACATTTCCTATAAATTGAGGAACACAATAAGTATGCTTACTTTCACCTCTATTGTTCAATATAGTACTGGAAGTCCTAGCTAGAGCAACCAGACAAGAGAAAGAAATAAAGGGCATCTGAATTGGAAAGCAAAAAGTCAAATTATCCTTGTCTGCAGATGATATGATCTTATATTTGGAGAAACCTAAAGGCTGCACCAAAAAACTATTAGAACTAATAAACAAATTCAGTAAAGTTGCAGGATACAACATCAACATACAAAAATCAATAGCACATGTATTTGATAACAGAAAACAATCTGAACTAGAAAGCAAGAAAGTAATCCTATTTATAATAGCTACAAATTAAATTAAATACCTAGGAAATAATTTAATCAAAAAGTCAAAGATCTCTACAATGAAAACTATAAAACATTGATGCAAGAAATAGAAGACACCAAAATGGAAAGATATTTCATGTTCATGGATTGGAAGAATCAATATTGTTAAAATGTCCGTACTACCTCAAGCAATCTACAAATTCAATGCAATTCCTGTCAGAATACCAATGACATTCTTCACAGAAATAGAAGAAACAATCTTAAAATTTATATGGAACCACTAAAAACCCAAAATAGCCAAAGCTATCCTGAGCAAAAAGAACAAAACTGGAGGCATTGTATTACTAGACTTTAAATTATAATAAAGAGCTATAGTAACCAAAATAGTATGGTACTGGCATAGAAATAGACACATATGTCAGTGGAACAGAATAGAGAACCCATAGATAAACCCATACACCTACAGTGAACTCATTTTTGACAAAGGCATTGACAACATACATTGGGGAAAGGAGACTGGTCAATAAATTGTGCTGGGAAAACTGGATATTCACATGCAAAAGAATGAAAGCTGACGCCTATCTCTCACCATACACAAAAATAAAATAAAAATTTATTTAATACTTAAGTCTGTGATCTCAAACGATGAAACTGATAGAAGAAAACATAGGGGAAACTCTCCAGGATATTGGACTATGCAAAGATTTATTGAGTAATACCCTCTCTGCACAGGCAATCAAAGCAAAAATGAACAAATAGGATCACATTAAGTTGAAAAACTTTTGCACAGTGTATTAGTCTGTTCTCATTCTGCTAATAATGACATACTCAAGACTGGGTAATTTATAAAGGAAAGTGACTTAATTGACACACAGTTCCACATGGCTGGGGAGGCCTCACAATTATGGCAGAAGGCAAATGAGGAGCAACGGCACGTCTTATATAGCAGCAGGCAAGAGAGTGTGTGCAGAAGAACTGCCTTTATAAAACCATCAGATCTTATGAGACTTATTCACTATCATGAGAACAGCACAGAGAAAAACCTGGCCTCATGATTCAATTACTTCACACTGGGTCCCTCCCATGACATGGGATTATGGGAGTTACAATTCAAGATGAGATTTGGGTGGGTACACAGCAAAACCATATCACAGAGCAAGGGCAATACTCAACAAAGTAAAGAGACCCCCCACAGAATGGGAGGACATACTTGCAAACTACCCATCTGACAAAGGATTAATAACCAGAATATATAAGGAGCTCAAACAATTATATAGAAAAAAATCTAAAAATCTTATAAACAAATGGGCAAAATATTTGAATAGACATTTCTCAAAGCAAGACATACAAATGACCAGTAGGTATATGAAAAGGTGCTCAACATCCTTGGTCATCAGAAAAATGCAAATTAAAACTACAATGAGACACCCTCTTGCCACAGTTAGAATGACTTAAATCCAACAGTCAGGCAATAACAAATGGTAGCAAGGATGTGGAGAAAAGGGAAACCTCATACACTGTTGGTGGGAATGTTAATTAGTACAATCACTATGGAGAACAGTTTGGAGGTTCCTCAAAATACTAAAAATAGAGCTAAATATGATCTCACTATACCACTCCTATGTATATACCCAAAGAAAAGGAAATCAGTTTATCAAAGAGCTATCTGCACTCCCATGTTCATTGCAGCACTATTCACAATAGCCAGGAATTGGAAGCAACCTACATGTCCATCAACAGATGAATGGACAAAGAAAATGTACCTATGCACAATGGAGCACAATTCAGCTATAATGAAAAATGATATCTTGTTATTTGCAATAGTTTGGATTAGCTGGAGGTTAATGTTAAGTGAAATAGGTCAGACACAGAAAGACATATGTTGCATGTTCTCACTTAGTTCTGGAAGCTAAAACTTAAAATAACTGGACTCATGGAGATAGAGAGTAGAAGGATGATTACCAGAGGTTGAGAAAGGTAGTAGGGGTGGGAGTGTGGGGAGAAAGCAGGGATGGTTAATGGGTACAAAAAATAGTTAGAGAGAATGAATCAGAGCTACTATTTGCTAGCACAACAGGGAGAATATAGTCAAATATAAATTAATTTTACATTTAAAAATAACTAAATGAATATAATTGGATTTTTGTAACACATAGGATAAGTACTTGAGGTGATGAATACGCCAGTTAGTGTTATGTGATTATTATGCATTACATGCCTGTATCAAAATATTGTATGTAACCCATTAATATATATATACATTTTTAATTATTAAAACACACATATGTATGTTTTTAATTATTTGTGAGTACCTGCTAGCTACTCACAAATAAATAACAGTTTTAAAAAGAGTATTTTAAAGAAAGATTTAGATCCGTGTCTGTGTAACTCAAAACCACTGCATAATAATTTGGGAAGCTATGAAAAGGATAATGTTGAAGTTACTGGCTTAGGTAAAATCACTAAGCTGAGAATGTCAAAAAGAGTTGTGAAACGATCATAATTCAAGCAAGGGAGAGAGAAGGCATTCATTGTTAACGCATGCTTGCTTGCAAACTGATCCCATTGTCCCCCTGTGTGGGTGTTCTGCTTGAATCAAATTATAACATCTCTGACACATTCCTCTCAACATCAGCTCCATCCTTTTCCACTTGTGGTTTCCTCCTGCTGACATGTATTTTTACTCTGGGAACGTATTTAAATTCTAACACCCCTCTCACCCCCACATTGAAGATTTTCCAGAAAACTCACACCTCACACTTGGCTTGACTTTGTTCAGTGTTCTTATGAGGCTGTGATGTAAAGTTAATATAGTTAAGACAGTTCTAGCTTAGACATGTATCGATTTCTAATATTATTGAGCAGTTAGTTAGCTTAAGCATTTCATGAAATTGAAGGAGAATATTCACTTGCCTAAACAGTTGAAACTCTTTAAGGACTCCAAGTATTCAATTGCCATGAGGGAGCTAGAGAAAAAAAAAATATATGTGTGTGTGTGTGTGTGTGTGTGTGTGTGTGTATAAAATGTGTGTATGTGTGTATACATGTATACACTATTCTTAGAATTGTGGGTACATGTGTAAACCAAATAATAGAAATCCCCTGTCATGAAAATGATTGCATTCTAATTGGGGAAACATGAAATATAATAGTATTCCCCTGGTTCTGGACAGCATAAAAATCAAATTTTTGGTTAGGATAAGACATGAAAACAAGAAAATTTATGAATACTGGATTGTTATCTGATTTATTCCTTCCCTCTCCTTTTTTTTACCGACAAACATACATATGTGTGTATGTATTTTCTTCAACACATGCATTAGCTGCTGAATTGGAAAGGAAAGACAGCAATAATTAATAAAGCGCATTTACTTACAAATCTTCCATCACTTTAGGTTATTCTATGCTACCTTAACTTTGGCAAAGAAAGTTAAATCAATTTTGCCATTCTTAGTTTTCACACCATAGAATTTTGTACCTTGATTTGCCAGGTCATACTCTTTGCTAGCTTTACCCTCTTCAGTGTGGATACATTGAACTATAGTAAGTTAAGAAACATTTTTCAAAACTCACTGTTCTCTGATATTCAGAGCATTATCTCTACAGCTTCTGCCGTGTTTTTTTATTTTTTTATTTTTGTTGCATTTATATATATATATTTATTATACTTTAAGTTCTAGGTTACATGTGCACAATGTGTAGGTTTGTTACATATGTATACATGTGCCATGTTGGTGTGCTGTACCCATTAACTCGTCATTTAGCATTAGGTATATCTCCTAATGCTGTATCTCCCCCCTCCCCCCACCCCACAACAGGCCCCGGTGTGTGATGTTCCCCTTCCTGTGTCCAAGCGTTCTCATTGTTCAATTCCCACCTATGAGTGAGAACATGCGGTGTTTAGTTTTTTGTCCTTGTGATAGTTTGCTGAGAATGATGGTTTCCAGCTTCATTTCCTTCTGTCTCTGCTATTGAAGCCCAACACTAAAAATGTTTGTCTTGAAGGCCTAGGAGAGCAACGTTTCCCTCTGGTATTACTTGATTCTATACTCTGCTTTCCTTGATGTATCTGAATTGCTCAATGTAACCAGAAAATTCCACGTGTTCTACTTTTTTTTTTTTCCTAAAAGCCATGCATTCCCATGCATAAGGTACAAGTCTTCTTGTTTATTTCTTCCATTATATGAAGTACACTAATAACCTTGGGAATATACTTTTGCAGTGTTTAATTGAATTCAAGTATCTTTTCATCAGATTATCAAAATGAGATTCCCATAAGAAGAGGCAATCAGTGTAGGAGGGCTTTTTGTTGTTGTTGTTGCTTTACCTTTTGGTCTAGGACTAAAAAATAAAATATTTGTGTTTTTATCAAGATAATTTCTGTGCTTCATGAGTGTGTGAGTGTGTGTGTGTGTGTGTGTTTTTAATATCCATGCAACTTTCTGCATTTGCCTTTGAAATATTTTGATTGTCCCTCTGGTGAAATCAATGACTATTATTTCACAGTGAGTTGTGATTCTATTTTGACTAAGTGTTTTAAGCCTTCGGACAAATCCAATTTTTTTCTTTTAGTATGATGATATATTTCTATTAAGTCACATTTGTACCTGATCCTCTCTGTGATTAAGGTCATGTGTTTTTAGGAAAGCTTCTCTGGGTTTAGAAGTGTAGTCTATGCCTATGTTCAGAAATTGTATCCCAACATTTCACTCATATTATGTCTACTTCACACTTACTGTTTTGACAGAGAGAAAATATTGAACTGTGGAAAATGTGATGAAAAATGTACTTGTCCATTCAGTATTTATCAAGCATTTGCTATGTGCCAGGCAATGTTCTTAGAATTGTGGCTACATGTGTAAACCAAAGAGTCAAAATTCCTTGTCTTGAAAATGCTTGCATTCTAATTGGGGGTAGGGAGGACATGAAATATAATGTATTCCCCTGGTTCTGGACAGCATAAAAATCAAGATTTTGTGGCCGGGCATGCTAGCTCATGCAAGTAATCCAGCACTTTGGGAGGTTGAGTTGGGCAGATCACCTGAGGTCCGGAGTTCCAGACCAGCCTGCCCAACATGGCAAAACCCCGTCTCTACTAAAAAACAAAAAATTAGCAAGAGGTGGTGGTGGGTGCAGGATAAAATGTAAAAATAAAGAAAATTTATATGACTAGTGGATGGTTGTCTAATTTATCTCCTCCCTCTGCTTTCTTTACCCACACTCCAGAAACATCTCCCATGCATATTGGTATTTTAGATACAGATTTTTTTTTTTTAATCACTCTAACCTCTAGAACAATGCAATAACAAAGCCCTGGACAGTTTTAGCCCATAAGGTTGGTCTCATTCATTATATCAAAGATCTGCCTGGTAAGGGTGGTTTACTTGAGAAAGCAAAAGCACCTTCAAAATACTGAAAAATATGCCGCAGTTTCTATATGTGTTATCTAATAAAGTATAATCCTTGGCCATCCTCTGGGGAGTTTGTTGTTTCCACCTCTGTTACTTACAGCTTTGGAGAGCCGAGTGCTTCAGGAAAAGGAAAAGCAGGCAGTGTTCTCACAACATGAATGTAAAAGACCTTCCCCCCAAGCACACAGTATTTGGGTTTTCAAATGGTATTTATTAAATTTTAATGAGGTTAGAAATCAGGAGCATTATAAGTTGGGCCCTTGGGTTACTGTGAAATGGACTTTCATCATGAATTTTTTTTCATATTTAGTTACTTTAAAAAATGAGCAATAGAGAAATTCAAATATATGAATACATTGTTTTGTGAGGTGCTAACATGTGCCTAAGCATATTATTTTGTGTGTAATATTTCATAGAAAGTATGTTTTTAACATTCTAATTACACATATTAGAATGCCAATTAGGATATAATTGCCCACGGGGCTAAATTTCATTTAGTTAATGCAAATATTTGACAGTATCATTTTAACATCCTGATTGTTCATACATATTATTATAAATACTAGGTTAAAAGTGTTGTAAACGCTTACATGGGCTGGAAACCTAAAGATATATCTAGACTATCAAATACTAAGAAATAAATCTACCTTAATTTATATGACTCTGAAGATTAAATTGGATTAGGCAATGTTTTTATTCATGGCTAATTCTATGAATATATGTGAAGTGAGGTTATAATCTATAGTTTTCTTTGTTCAGAATGTTGAAGGTTAAACTGTAGGCTTGAGTAACAGCTATAACTGTAGCAAGGTGTAGGATCTTGCTGTCTATGGAGTTACATTCTAGTTTCTTATAATAGAATCATACTTTTAGGTCTAAATCTACCTCACCGAAACCTTCTGAGATTGAAATGTAGCAAACTCTTTGTTCTATTATTCTTGCAGTGTCATATTTAAATGATATTTCCATAGTTTTAAACTCTTCTTATCTTAATTTGACATTTTCTTTTATTGCCTGTATAAGATAAATCAATAAATTGTAAATAGGGAAAATGAAGACCAATTGCTTGATTTTAGCTTGTGAGAATAATTCAAAAGCTGCATAAATAGGAAAAAAATTGTGTTTCTAGATAAACTATAACTCCTCTGTAATTTCCTATATACCCCAGCAGTGTTATATGTAAAAGGTGTTTAAAAATGTTTAATATGTAATAAAAATAAATAGGTTTCATGTCCATATTTTTGTAAATGGTATATTTTTGTAACAATGTCCCAAACACTATAGAACACTTTCACGTATTTAATCTCAGTGCTAAGTTTTCAAAAAATCTGTAAAGTCTCAAATGAAACAAAGGCTTTTCTATAGACCTCAGAACTCTATCAGAAATTCTGTAATTCTCAGTTTTATGTGCATGTGCTTAACTGAATGATATTTTCTTTACTGATCCATTAGTATAGCAAATAAATGTGTCTCCCAAGAATAAATTACAGAGGGGAGAGTTGGGAAATCAAAATTTAAAGCCTATAGAAAGTTCTTACCAAATCCACTGAGTATTTCTTTTAGCATTTCTGCCAAGATATAGAGGGTCTGGGTTGTGTTTTAAAATACTTGCTATTTGTACACATTGACATTATAGAAAAGTGACAAAATCAAGTTCACATATTTTAACTCTGGATAATTACTAAGTAGCACTTCATTCAGTGTCAACAAGGGCCTATCCTAGACAATGTTTCCAGTTTTTTTGTTGTTTTTCTTGTGCAGGACTCCATCAATTTTGATTTTCAAACTTTTCATTTTCCTACTCCAGCTGCTTCTGTTAGTTTTCTAGTTCTCAGCAGAAAGTCAGTTGATACCTTTACAAATATTATCTGAAATAACTTAGATGTTACATCTTCTAGGCAGGTGTTACAATAGATAATTCTTCTATTAATAATCCTTCTCTATTGGCCACTTAAGTAGTAGTCACAGCAACATGTTTTATATTTATTATTTGACTTAACTTTTACAGAATTTTTATTTTCATGAGCTATTACTTGCACTTTTATTTAAAAGATGAAGAAACATATTTTTTGAGTTTTTTCTGCATTGATCTTTTTTATTATTATACTTTTAAGTTCTCAGATACATGTGCAGAACGTGCAGGTTTGTTACATAGGTATACATGTGCCATGGTGGTTTGCTGCACCCATCAACCCCTTATCTACATTAGATGTTTCTCCTAATGCTGTCCCTCCCCTTGATCCCCACCCATTGACAGGCCCCAATGTGTGATGTTCTCCTCCCTGTGCCCATTTGTTCTCATTGTTCAGCTCCCACTTATGAGTGAGAACATGTGGGGTTTGGTTTTCTGTTCCTGTGTTAGTTTGTTGAGAATGATGGTTTCCAGCTTCATCCATGTCCCTGCAAATGATATGAACTCATTCTTTTTTATGGCTGCATAGTATTCCATGGTGAATATGTGCCACATTTTCTGTATCCAGTCTAACATTGATGGGCATTTGGCTTGGTTCCAAGTCTTTGCTATTTTGAATAGTGCTGCAATAAACATATATGTGCATATGTCTTTACAGTAGAATGATTTGTAATCCTTCAGGTATATACCCAGTAATGGTATTGCTGGGTCAAATAATAGTGTAAATTAGTTCAACCATTGTGGAAGACAGTGTGGCGATTCCTCAAGGATCTAGAACTAGAAACTTATATTTTAAAAGAATGTGAATAACATGTCCACAGACTTATGTCTTTGGGGTTCTTCATGGCATACCATAGAGGTGGCACTTTCCTTTGACTCCTCTCCCTGTACTATAAGATAAACTTAGTTCCAACTTGCATTTGTGAACTTTTATATTTATTCATTCCTCATCACAGTTTTTGTGAGTGAGGTTTAAATTCAGACATTCTTTGACTTCGGTTATTTTCAGGCAGGCCTTACTTCTGGCTTCTCTTCAACTAACTTCTCACCCAATTCTATGTCTGCCTCTGTATCTTAGAATGGCTTGCCTACTCTCCATCTGTAGCTGGAAATAGCAATCTGATGTCTGGATCTTGGAAGCTGGATTAGAAAGCTTAATCATCAATTAAGCAAGAAGGATATAGATATAGTTTTCTTTTCTTTTTTCTCATGACCAAAGTAGGGAACAGGTAGATAAACATAACTTCTGTGTTATGATTAGACATTGTTTTCAAGTCATAAACATATTTTTCATAAATCTTCTTAATTCAAGAAACTCAATAGCACATTTTTTCTTTAACAGGATTATGGGGTTAAGGTAAATTTGAATTTAGTTTAAATAAATTATCTTTGCTAATTTAATATCAATTCAAATTCTATTAATGCTCAGGTTAACCAGAGTCAAAGTTAGATGAAATCTTATTGATATTCTGACATTTTCATAGTTTTAAGCTCTACTTATGTATTGGCAATTAAAAAAATGTTGGTGTACAGTAGAGTATAAAATGGATTTTATGTAACAATTGATTAAATATCTTCATCAAACACCAAGAATATACAATTAGGCTTGCCTCAGTTTTAATAGTATTTTAATATAAGTTAATTTAAAATTCCTTTACTTTTCTGTGGCTCTTTATTTCAATATCCATTTCATAGCTTCTGTTTTGCTCATATGAATTGCTCTTCTTCACAATAAATATCCAATTAGTCAGTATAGTTTGGAACTATTATTGCATATTATCACTATAATATATGAGTTGTAGAAAATTTCTTCTGTTTAAAATACTTAAGCTTTCATACTCCTGGTGTGTAATTAAGAAACATATGGGATAGAGAGAGAGGGAAAAAGAGACGGCAGCCTTTTTCAGTGGTGTCTCATATCTGTACCTTGATATAGATCAGGCTGAAAGGCATGGGTTCAGAATGCAAAGGTCAACAGAAATCTCTATTTAATAATACAGGATGTTCAATTACTTTTTGATTGTTTCCCTTGGACCAATGGAAATGGTTTAGGAACCACATATCAAGAGCAAAAAGACATGGTAGTCATGAATAATATCTGATGTGTCTTTCTCTACAACATATCTATCCAGAAAAATCAGTTATGCCATGCACATCTTGTCTACTCCATCATCATCTTAGATCTAGTGATGTATTTATATTGTTTTGAGACTTTTACTAAATGGGTAAATTTGATAGTTTTCTCTATTGATCTTCCCTTATATGCCTCTAATTTTCCAGTCCTATGTTACTTATAATAATTACTTACACAACTTAAATTCTGGATTGTTTTGAATGATACACAAGCTTCTTTCTCCCCTTTACATAAAATGCTGCCTTACTCTTATGTCAGTGAAGTAGGTCATCTCTGTGTTTTCAGTGGTGACTTGAGATTCATTTCACATTAAGCTACTCAAGATATATCTGAATTCCACACATAGGTGCATTCTTGGAAATAGTTACTTTATTTGACTTATCTGCTTACTAGCTTTCATTTCAGTAATAACATTTTCTAAACTCATTCTCAAATTCTTGGAGTTCTCCTTTGTTGAGAAACTGAAACTTACTTTTCACTACTACACTGAATGACAAGGCAGTATTTTGTAAAGTGATAAATCAAGCCACATGAACATAGCATTAGTTTCTTAATAAAGAGACAAAATTTGCTTTCTGATGTGTTTTATCTAAAACTTCTTTAAATATGTTTGCTTTTCTAGAATGAAGGGAAATTTCCCAGCCAAACTTTTTTGTTATTGGCTATGAACAGAAAGAATACAAATAAATTGGGTAATGTTTTTGTTACTTGGCTGCTTGTATTTTGAAAAGCTGTGAACCTAAAATAAAATTTAAAAATAAATAATAAATAAAAATTTAAAAAATGAAAATACATATCAAAATATCACATTGTACTTCATAAATCTACACAATTATTATTTGTTAACTAAAAATAAATAAATAAATGAAAAATAGTGCTAAAGAGGAAGAGAAGCTGAATGGACATAGAATATTCTCAAATATGTGAGTAATATATTACTCAAATCTGAGATAGACATTTTAAATTCCACATATATTACTTTTTTAGATTTCACAAATACCTGAAACCTTACAGTGTTTGTCTTTCTGTGCCTAGCTTATGTGACTTAGCATAATGTCCTCCATTTCCATCCATGTTGTCTTAAATGACATAATTTTCTTCATTTTTGAGGCTGCATAGTATTCCATCATGTGTATATACCATATTTCTTTATGTATTCATTCACTGATAGATGCTTAGTTTGCTTCCTTATCTTAGCTATTATGAACAATGCTTATATAAACATGAAAGTGCAGATATATCTTCCCTATACCAATTTCAATTCCTTTGGATATATACCTAGAAAGGGGATTGCTGGATCATATGGTTGCTCTATTTTTTTTTTTTTGAGAAATGTTCATGCTATTTTCCAAAATGTGCTAATTTACATTCCCACCAACAGTTTACAAGCGTTCTCTTTCTACATGTCTTCACCAACACATGTTATCATTTGTCTTTTGGATAGTAGCCATTCTGACAGGAGTGAGGAGCTATCTGGTTGTGGTTTTAATTTGTCATTCCCTGATGATTAGAGATGTTGATCATTTTTAATATATCTGTTGACAATTTGTATCTCTTCTTTTGAGAAATGTCTGTTCAGACCTTTGACCATTTGTAAATTGGGTTATTTGTTTTGTTGCTATTGAGTTATTTGGGTTCCTTATATATTTTGGATATTTGCTCTGTTTCAGATGTATGGTTTGCAAATATTTTCTCTCAATCTATGGGTTGTCTTTTCACTTTGTTAATTGTTATCTTTGTTGTGTGGAAACTTTTTAGTTTGATGCAATCACATTTCTCTATTTTTGCCTCTGCTTTTGGAGTTCTACCCAAGAAATCATTGCCCAGACTAATGTCGTAGGGCTTTCTCCCTATATTTTCTTCTATTAGCTTTATAGATTTGAGTCAAACATTTAAGTCTTTCATTGATTTTGAGTTGATTTTTGTAGATGAGATGAGCTACAATTGTATTAATATGGAGAAACATCATGATATCTAAAAACTAATTCTTACAAAATATCTTTAAAGAATGCATGAATAGGTTCAATAAGCTTATGTATCTATAGTTGCAAACAAACCTGAGTCTTTGGATGCATTTAATTGATAAGTAGGTGATTGCCATAGTAGCCTTGCTTTTGCAATAATAACTTTAAAACTCTCTATCAATGACAAATAAGAAAATCAGAAACTCTAGTTTTTCTGGTGAATGCTCTAAGCCCAATATAGAAAGTTAATCCCAGAGAAAATACTTATGGCTTGAATATTTTGGATATTCTGTCATCGTCTTAGATAACAGTGATCTAATAGTCTTTAGACAACTGTATTAAATGTATAAAACTCAAAATTTTATTTTTTATTTTTGGAAATATTTTTGTATTTCATAGTCACATATCAGTGAATACTCTTCAAGGATTTGAAACTGGCCTAATTGTCCCATAAAACCCATATTTATGGTTTCTTTTGAATAAATATAGAAATTGACCCCCCAGTCTTAAAACTTGAGAAAGTTACATTTGTCTTATCTCTGAGTTCCTTCCTCCGGAAACCAACCATCAGGCCTCCCAGAGAGTATTAAGGAACTGAAATTTGCCAGATCATTGCATCTGGAAAATTAGACACCAGATCCCTCAACCATTATGATTGCTTATCTGACCACCTGCTTCCTGTTGTCAAACTCCTCTTTCTTACCCCCCACATTTCTGTTTTCTCAAACATGGATACATTTCTTCCCTTCCATATAAACACATCATTTTCATTGGCTAAAAAAAATGGATTTGATACTGACCTCCCATCTCTGCTGCAGCACCTGAATAAAGCCTTTTTCCTTGGCAATACTCTTCTCAGTGATTGGCTTTCTGTGTAATAAGCAATGAGACCTAGAGCAAACACCTGGTGTTTTAGTAACAGATTCAGTTTTTTTGTTATTATGACCTCCAAAATATTTATGTTTAATTCTTTTCAAAATGTAAGTTAGATTTAACTGCAGCAACCACTTATCATGTTAGCCTGGATCACTTTTGAATAGAGAGCAAGATTCATGCTGCAATGCAGGAGTGTTATGGTAGAAATATGTTTTTGTAAGAATTCCTTCATCTCTGTCATATCCAACCATTATTTTTCTTTCTAGAAATGGCCCTCCAATATTATCAGTATCCATAATTCTTGGCATTTATATATGACCCAACCTTGCAAATCAGAGTGCAATGTGAATAGTTCAATAATGGCCACTTGATCTAAGCTAGCTTGGATAATATTTCTGGGAATATCTAAAAAAAGGGTACTTCCTTAATTTAGGACTGCAGGCAGAGAGCATGTCTAGATTTTTTCTTCTTTGTGAGTAGAAGTGTTAATTAAAGATTGCCACATAACATTACTAACAACATTAAGGCTTAAAACAACACTTGTTTTTAAATCTCACAGTTCCTGTAGGTCAGAAGTTTGGGCATGGCTTAACTAGGTCCTCTACATCAGGGTCTCAAAAAGCTGCAGTTAAGATATTGACCAAGGCTACAGTCTCATCTGAGGCTCAGCTGGGGAAGAATCTGCTTTTAAACTCGTGTTGTGGCTTTTAGCAGCATTTAGTACCTAACAGGCTGCCAGATTGGAGGTCTCAGTTTTCCCTAACAGTTGGTTGGAGGCTTCCCTCAGCTCCTTGATGTGTCATGGCTCCCAACACAGTAGCCTTTTTCCTCAAAGTCAGCCAGGAAGAGTTCCTAGGAAGGCAAATTGTAATCATATGTAATATAATCATTGACATCGTGTAATCACATATATTCTGTCACTTTTGTGGTATTCTAATTACATCATTTTTCTAACCCACTGCTAACAGATATGAATGGTAACTATTAAATAAATGGCTGTCATATTTGTTAAATAACACCATAATTAGGTCATGGGTTTAGGGAAATAAAGTGTCACCACCCTGGGAAATCTTTTCCTCTATTTAGGCTTCTTGTCTCAGTAAAAGTCATCCTAATTCATCCAGCTGCTCACGACAGAGACTATTTATATTACTAATTCTTCCTCTTACTTAATTGCTCTATTTTAACTCACCTTCAAGTTCTTTGAGTCTGATTCTTAAATATATCTTAAATGTATTCACTCCATGTCTGATGACATTTCCCTAGTCAATATCAGTATCATTGCTTATATAATAATACTATACTGTCCTCACACTTTGTTCTCTTACATAGTAGCCAAACTTTTTTTTTTAAAGGTTCTACTCTGGGACCGGGCATGGTAGCTCATACGTGTAATCACAGCACTTTGGGAGGCTGAGGTGGCCAGATGGCTTGAGCTTGGGAGTTTGAGACCAGCCTGGGCTACATGGTGAAACCCTATCCCTACAAAATATACAAAAATTACCCAGATATGGTGGCTTGTGCCTCTAGTCCCTGAGTAGCTACTCAGGAGGCTGAGGTGGAAGTATTGCTTGAGCCTGGGAGGCGGAGGTTGCAGTGATCTGAGATTGTGCTACTGCACTCTAGCCTTGGTGACAGAGCGAGGCCATGTTTCATCCAAAATATGTCAATATTTTCTTCTGTCATTCATAGCATAAAGTTCTGCATCATCAGTATGCTCTAATGGGCTCTACATTAATTTGTTCCAGGACTATCTTTCTAGCCTCATTGAACTTTTTGTCTGCTTACAGGCATTCCCATATTCTGCTGTCTCTGGCTGAAACAACACTCTTTTCTCCTTCATTACCTGACAAATTCCTACTCATATTTTATGACATTGGGGACCAAACAAATAGGTAGTTTTAGTACTTTTTAAGTGTAAGGCACAGAGCAAAGTTGGTGGGAGGGAAATGAAATTATTTGAGCACCTAATAAACAGAATTGGAAGTTTAAGGGCTGATGATGAATTACAAAAGATAAGAACAAAAAATGAAGCATAGATTTCTGACATGTACCCACTTACCTTCATTCTTTATGATTTCTACCTACCACAAAGAATCAGGTGTTATATGTTTATATATATTAAAATAATTAAGAAGAAATATTCTTCCAATAGTAACACCGAAGAGGTATTTTAAACTTCATTCTGAATTGATAGAAAAATTTGGCAAAATAAACAGAATAGTAGTACTTGAACCAATTTGTACATTTTCCTCTAATGTCTTTATTTGAAGATCTGTGGCTGTCCTGTTCAGGATGGTAGCCACTACTCACATGAAGTCCTTTAAATACAGAAATTTTGAAATATAATTTTTAGCCACATTTTAAGTATTTAATAGCTACAGGTGGCTATGCTACATGCTACCATATTTAACATACATAGAAACTTCCATCATCTCATAAAGTTCTATTGGAGAGAGCTTATTAGTATAGAAAGCTTACAGAATATGTGGATTTGAGGTAAATCCAAACTTACTAGCCTGAAGTATGTGAAAAATAATTTAGAAGTTTAAATGTTACAATATATTTTCTAACTTCCTTTGTGAGAAGTTGAATAATGGTAAAATCTCAGAGCCATACCTCTTGGGAGCAGGAGCGGTGCGTGAAGTAGAGGAGCAGCTTAGAAAAGCTAATATACCTAAAACATAAGAAAACTGAATCCAAACACTATCTCACAAAGTAGGTGTTTGGAATGCCCTATAAGCTAAGAGGAGGGGATTAGGAAGATATCATTAAAAGTAAGAAAATTAAAACAAACAAACAAAAAAACACAAGTATAAGGCAGCTCATCCACCCCAGCATCCAAACCTCTGGCTGAAAGTTAAGGGAGTTTTCTCAGTGTGGCCAGGTTTTGCACAGAACTTTTTAAAGCCCTTCTGTAATATTCTGTCATATGCTAACTAAGTTTTAGCAGAGGGGAATAGATTATACTACAGGATCCATATCTCACAATGTCACACAGAAACACATCAACTCAGAGAGTTTTCATAAAGTAGGCAAACAAAAATAAGACATACTAAAATCCTCATTTGTGTTCATTTTTTAAACACTCCATATTTTTCAAACATTATTTTCCTTCTCTATGATTTTAGGTATGCATTTGGGGCCCTGATGCCTGCTGTGTTGGTGCTCTTTCGACTTCAGCACATAGGGGCTTGGGATGTCAAATTTTCACAAACTTCTGGCCCTATCTTTCAAGAGAAAGTGTAGGTAGAAAACCTGTCTCTGGTCAGGTTTTCTAGCAGCAGAGGCTGAGTAAGAGGATCCTGTGAAAGGATTTACTGAGAACTCTTGGTAGACCTGCTTGGAGAAACTGATCCAACGTTACCCACTAAAGGCATGCATTACCTATTAACAGTGACTGTTGATTTGTCTTCCTAACTTTGGGGTGAAAGTAGGAAAATGGTGCCTCCTGTGATGTATATGGTGTTCTAGACTTTAGAAAAAAATATATTTTACCATGCCTCCCACTGTACCCAGAAAACTCTCTGCAAACTTGTGAGGTAAAAGGCGTCTGTTGAAAAAAATTCAAAATGTCATACAAATGAATTAAATTTTCCTAGGTAAGGTATACACAGGTAGATAATGATGAATAATAAAAATTTAAGATTATTTGAAACACATTTGAAGTCTAAAATATAGAATATAGATCAAGCCACACTGTTCTGTTCTGGCAATGGTGAGAAATATATTGAACAGTGAGGTGTTGCAAGAGAGGGAAGGTAGCAGTTGTATGGAGAAAGATGGTGGAGAGGGAGAGTGAGAGAGAATAATTCACAAATAAATATTCAGAAGGATAGTAAAAAACAAAGAGCTTAAGTCAAATGATCAAGAAATGGAAAAATCAATCTTTGTGTGATTGAGTTGCCCATGGATAAGTAAATGGCATATAAAAGACTAAGTCAGATAAAAAGGAGTTTTCCAGATCATACGGATCACAAATCTTCAATTGTAAACAGCTGCTGCCTTGTCCTTACCAATCCTCATATGTACATTACTCAAGTTTAGCCATTATCTAAACTTGATGCATTTGCATATGATGATCTCTCTACATGGGACATTCTTTTTCTTCACATTCCTTCCTTTTCTTAGTTAGCACTTTCTTCATCATATCTCAGCTTAGACAGCAGCAGTAATTCCTTGAATCTTTCCTGACTACTTAATTCCTGATTTGTTGTGCTTCTCTTAGGTACGCCGTGTACATACAACCAGAAAACTCTTCTCAGACTGTATTTTAAAAGCACATTTATGAATCTGGATTATTATTCTTTAGAGAAAGACAGCAAGCGTTGCTTTTCAATTTGCCTGTGCTTAACAGAGAGGCAAGAAGATAATTTATACTTAATTTGTATGCCAAATAAATAAATTAATGGCATAATGAATTCAACTAAAATAATTGCGTTTATTGGATAGAATATTTATTTTCTCTTTTCTTTTCTTTTTTCTTTTTTGGAGACAAAGGTTTTGCTCTTGTTGCCCAGGCTGGAGTGCAATGCCATAATCTCGGCTCACTGCAACCTCTGCCTCTTGGGTTCAAGCAATTCTCCTGCCTCAGCCTCCCGAGTAGCTGGGATTACAGGTGCCCACCACCATGCTCAGCTAATTTTTGGCATTTTTAGTAGAGATGGGTTTCACCACGTTGGCCAGGCTGATCTCAAACTTCTGACTTGAAGTGATCTGCTCTCATCGGCTTCCCAAAATGCTGGGATTACAGGCATAAGCCTCTGTGCCTGGCCGAGATAGAATATTTCTAACTTTGTATTCATAAAGTGTTATTAAAATTACAATTATTATTCAGATTTTGTTATTTTCAGATATCATTAGAATTAAGCAACAACAACATTAACTCAAGCCCTTTGTAGAAACAGATGAACAAACATGTTCAAACAGAGAAGGAAAAGTAGAGTGGCTTTGAGAGATGATTGAGCCACATAGAGTGAAAGAAATAAAAACTTCTAAATAAAAGAGACTTAAAAATGTGAGGGGAAAAATGTGGAAGATGCAGAGAAAAATTCACAAGCAGAATAAAATACATAATCATAGGAGAAACTTATTAAGAAGGGGCTAATTAAAATTAAATAAGTAATATTGGTAATAACAGCTGCTAGTCTCCTTGGTATTAAAAAGCCAAACAAGTGCGTTATCTTTATTAAGATACACAGAAGCCCTGCTTCATCAAGTGTATAAAAAGTCTCTTGAAATTGTAACGTCATAAATCATTTTGAATATTTTCCCATCAAGTCAAATTTGGTTTCAAGGTTGACTTGCATAAGTATAATTTATAATTACAGCCAAAAAGTTTCAAAAATATCCCCAGACATGAGGAAAATTAGCATTATTAATAGCTCTTCAATTTTTAAAAGCTACATGCTGGATGATATAGCCATATCAATCTAAATTGGAAGACATGATTCTGTAGATTATATCCCCTGACGTTCTTGTAAATGTTTAGTAAATGGCTCCATGAAAAGCTGAGAAGGGCCTAGTGTGAAGCATTTGCCAATTTCTGTGGTGTAAATATTCCACCATGGCTGATTTCAAGATACTGATATAATTTTGCTGTATGTTCATTTTGGAAGAGAGATGCATAATTAATTCTATTTGCATGCAGGTGATGATGATTCACTTTTTGATACTTGGGAAACATGTAATAATTACTATACCATATTCTAATTGTACTAACACACTTTCAGTTGCAAGTAGCATAAACCCAACTTAAATTAGTTTAAATTGGTTTTTAAGCTAATCATTGGTTCTTCATATAATTAGGAAGCTTAGGATGGTAAGGCTGATTCTGACAAGGTAAGACCAAGGGGTTCAAGTGATTAAGCTTCCATGGCCTACATAAGCTCATACTCTTATGTGATCCCACCCTGAACTCTTAAAAAGGAGCCATCTGCATTTTAAAAAAAGCTTATGGTTTGGTAATAGAGACGGTGTATTAGTCAGGGTTCTCTAGAGGGATAGAACCAACACATATCTATATATCTATATATATGTATATCTATATATCTATCTATATCTATATCTATATCTATATCTATATCTATATCTATATCTATATAAAGGGGAGTTTATTAAGTAGTATTAACTCACACGATCACAAGGTCCCACAATAGGCCGTCTGCAAACTGAGGAGCAAGGAAGCCAGTTCTAGTCCCAAAGCTCAAGAACTTGGAGTCCAATGTTCAAAGGCAGGAAGCATCCAGCACAGGAGAAAGATGTAGGCTGGGAGGCTAAGCCAGTCTAGCCTTTTCATGTTTTTCTTCCTGCTTTTTATCCTGGCCATGTTGGCAGCTGATTAGATGATGCCCATGGGTCATCATCTAATCATTAAGCATGGGTCTGCCTTTCCCAGCCCACTGAATCAAATGTTAATCTCCTTTGGCAACACCCACACAGACACACCCAAGATCAATACTTTGCATCCTTCCGTCCAATCAAGTTGACACTCAGTATTAACCATCACAGGCAGGTACATACATCAGTACCCTAAAGTAGAAAAGTGTATCAAGGAAAGAAGAAAAATGAGTTAACCAGCGTTGTATTGTTGGTTTTCTTTTTCTTATATACATTCTAATATTTCAAAAGTAAATTATAAATTCCTTGAGACAGTGCTATACTTTAAGTTTTTTCTCTTTGGACTATGGACATTTTGGTGGAAATTGAAAACCCCATTATCTTGTTATTTGCCACTGTAACTCAGATGTACCATGATTTCAATAATGTCCAATGATCAAAAAATATATTGTTGTTCTTTTGAAGTCATATTTTATGATGTGGAGAGCCTATTCCTTTGTCTGGGATGCCTATTTTTAACCCATTGTATTAGGAAAAAAAATGTTATTTCCTGAAAAATTATATCTACTTTTCTTTGGATATTTATCTTTAGGGTAGAGCTTCCTTTGCTTATAAGTGCTGGAATCATTTTGGTTTTGTCTTTTTTTCCCCTCAAACTGGTTACAGTTGCTTTAAGTTGCACAAGGTGTCTTATTCCTGATATGGTTAAAAGCTCAATCATTTTAGTGTGATGATACTCTGAAACATCTGAAAAGATATATAAAACCAATTTTGATGGGTTTTTATTTTCAATGTTTTTTGTAATTTTCTTTTACTCTGTCTCAGTGATATTCAGTTCACTCTGTTATACAGAATGAAGTTGTTAAAAATAAAGCATGAACTTGGACTCAATGATAAACTTATCAGCTTTCACCTTGTAGGAAATTCTAATGGTAATGTGTTCAGTTTGGGAGAAGAAAAAAATATTCTCGGATTTCATGAGGTTACATTGAGACATAATGACGCTACAATCTAATTTTCCAAATAGATGCAAAGATCACCTTGAGGCTTATTGGCACTGTTGAGTAATAAAAGAAAAATAACTCATTTTGGATCAAAGTCATTTTTCACCTCTGTGAGTGCTTAAACATTTGTTCATATGTAGCTGTTCTGAATCTCTAATTGTAAATAGTGTCAGGTACCTTCAGCTCCTGTAGTTTAACATTTAAAGTGAATTTCAGTGATCCTCAACCCTTGGATATGCAGAAATTATATTTCAGTGACAAATGCAATGTCAAAAATACCTGATAAATAAAAGAAAAATAAATCACATAAAGAGAGAACTAAATGAAACACTTTTCCTTAAAACTTCATTTTCATAGCCTGATACAGAAATTGAATTTTGGAGGGCACACTATAGTTTAGTTTTTTAAAGAGTAAAAAAATGTTTAGATATTTACAGAATTTGGGGGACAATTCTCTATGAATCTCTCACATTGCTGCACATCTTTTAAGCAAGACACTGACTGCCCTTTGATCCTTGCTATTTTTTCTAAAATGTTTGTATAGCAAACAATCTTGGAAGCTACAGATACGGTCTCCTTCTGGAACAATATACAAATATGCTTATTGTCAACAGAATAAAGGCAATGACTTCCTCTGGAACAAACATGAAACATGCTCAGTACTCTTTATGAAGTATTTAAGTTTCCTAAGCTCAGAGGTTTGCTCCCAAACTCAACCTACTGCCTATTTAGTTGTCATCTGGCCTACTTCATATAGCTATTTGGGAATTATGGTTTAGGGAAATGGCACAGGAATATCGTTACTGGAGATACTGCTATTGCTATAATAATCCATACTTCATTTCTGACACAGGAGTCTTATGTCTTGTGTCAGAATCCATAAAATTTTATCACTTTAACTTGTTAGCTTGCAAGAAGGATAAGATCTCAGATCCTTTATAGTTCTTGACAATAGATTAATTACTACTCACTGTAGTTGACACCTGAACCATTCTATAACTGTTATAGTTGTCACTATTACTAAAGTTGTTTTTGTGGCATATTTATATAAGCACGTGCTTAGAAATGTAACCATGAGTGTTTGATACTGATATATCAGAACAATGTATTGCACAAACATTATTTTTGGATTAGTTCTGCAGTGATTTTTCATTTGAACAAAAATTGTAGATTTTTAGAAGTATAAATGAGGCCTGATTTTATTATCTGTATGTACTAGAACTTGGGAGCTTCAACAAAAATTCTATTAGAGTTTTTAAAAATATACTTCTTTAAAGAGCAGCTTTAGGTTCATGCAAAAATAAATAGAATCGATAGAGATTTCCCATGTACTCTCTGCTCCACACAGCCACAGCTTTCTTCACTTTTAGCATCCTGCAGCAGATTAGTTTATTTGTCACAATGAATGACCCTACGTTGACACATCAATATCACTCAAAGTCAGTAGTTTCCATTAAAGGTCATTCTTGGTGTTGTATATTCTTCGGGTTTAATGAAAATTGAATGGCATATATCCAACATTAAAGTATCATACAAGATAGTTTTTCCTAAGAAATCTGTACCCTGCCTATTCATTCCTACCTCACCCCCTAATCCCTGGCAAACACTGCTCTTTTTATGGCCTTCATAGTTTTGTCTTTTCCAGAATGTCATATTGTTGAAATCATACAATATGTCACCTTTTCAGATGGGCTACTTTCACTTAGTAACATGCAGTTAAGTTTCCCCCATATATTTTCATGTGCTGATAGCTTATGTCTTTTTTAGCACTGAATAATGTTTTATTATCTAAATATATCGGTTTACATATTCATTCACCTACTCAAGGGCATCCTTGTTATGGCAATTATGAATAAAGCTACTGTAAAAATTGGTGTACAAAGTTGTGTGTGTACGTAAGTTTTCAACTCATTTGAATAAATACCCAAGAGTGTAATTGCTGGATCATGTAGTAAGATTATGTTTAGTTTTGTAAGAAACTGCCACACTATCTTTCAAAGTGGCTATATTTTGCATTCCCACCAGCAAAGAATGAGAGTTCTAGTTGACCCACATCCTTACCAGCATTTAGTGTTATGTGTTTTGGATTTTGGATATTCTAATAGGTGTGTAGAAGTATCTCACTGTTATTCTAATGTGTAATTCCCTAGTTTCCTAATGCCATATGATAAGGAACATCTTTTCATATGCTTATTCCCAAGTAAATATCTTCTTTGATGAGGTATCTGTTAAGGTTTTTTGTCCATTTTTGAGTTGGGTCATTTGCTTCTTATCTCAGTCTATGGCTTGTCTTCTCATGATCATGGTGGATATTTTAGTGTAAGGATTTTACACTTCAATATGTATACTATTAACTGGAATCAAGAAAAATAAAAAAGCCTGGACTTATTTATTATTAAAATGGCATTTAATCATCAGACATGCTGGCGCTGTTGATCTATTCTTTTTTAAGTGATCTTTGTGATTATGTTAGATAATGTTCCATACATTATGGATCTATCATAGAGCAATGTATTCTCACATGGATTCTAGATTTTTGGATTGGAGTTCTGTTCTTTGAAACTAAAAAAAAAAAAAATACAATAAAATCAATCTGCACTAAAGAAAATTACAATGAGAGATTTTGTTGGAAACATTTCAAATTTTAGTATGTCAAGAAATACTATGTAGACCCCCCAAAAAACCTGTGAACTCGATTAATCTCTTTAGCCAGTCAAGTAGATTAACAGCTTCTGTTAAACAAATATTTCCACAATAATATGATGTATACTCTAATAAAGGTATATACAAAGTGTGGTGGTAGCACTGGAAAAGTTACATTAAAAGGGTAATCTTTGAGGTAAGACTGGAAGGATGTATAGGGCCAGTCCTTTGCATCATTGAAGGAAGACAAAGGGAACAACACGTGTAAGGGCATGGAGGCCGGAAAGGACAAGCCACGTTTGGGAAAGTATTTATAGTTCAGTGTTTCTAAAACACAAATCTGGTAATGGGGAATAGGGAGTGGTAGAAGTGCATAGTTAAGTTGGCAGGGCCAGTTCAGGAAGGCCCTTGAATGCCATGCTTAAGAGTACACTCTTTAAGTGATGAGAAGACATAAAAGCATTTTGAGTAGAGGAACGCGTGATCTGATTTGTGTTCTAGAAATCTGGTTGCTGTGTTGAAGACTTGCTGGAAAGAGGGACAACTGGAAACAATTTTCTTAGAACAAGGAAATGGGAACCTGAGTTCAGGTAGTTGGATTATTCTTGGAGACTAGGAGCAGCTCATGTACTTGATATATAAAATAATGTGTTGGTATGGAAGGATTTAGCTTTGTCTCTACTGATGAATATAAACTATGTTTTATTATTTTTTTCTTGAGAATTAATTCAATGAGTTGTCAGGGTTTCAAATTAAAAGTTTGTTAAAAGTAAACTTAAAAAATATAGTGCTTTTAATAACATATTTTTAAAGTATGTGTAGACATGCTAGTTCTTTTAAGGAATGACCCTTTTCTATTACTTGAAAACAACACTTTTCTTTTAGAATAGGAATAAGACAAAGTTCATATGCCAACATGGTTAAAAATTACTATCTATCCATCATCTATCTGTATGTATGAATGACCTGGTTAGAAGATTTATATGTATGTCTGAAGCCCAAAACAATTGTTTGCCTTACTCTGTGTTTTCTCACTTGCAAGTGACAAAAGTCAGTCTGTATTACCTTGAACAAGTAAAAGGGATTACTTGGTTTATATAACCTAAAAGCCCAGGAGTAGAAAAAGTATGTCAATTTGAATACTTTTGTGTATTTCAAGGAGAAAACACAACCAACTTAAGGTATTACAAGAATCTTATTAGTTTATTACTTCATTTAATTAAAAAATCCATTATTAGGGAGGAACAGATTTTTTGGGGTTCTGGCTTCCTTTCTGTGTGGTTTTCTCTCTACGCTGCCCATATGTCAGTTTCATCATGAAGTTGAGGCTTATGATGGTGGCCAAATGCCTGAAGCAAATCCAAGCCTCACACTGATGTGCATTGAATGTCCAAGAGGAAGACAAAACTTTTTCCCACAACCTTTATCCAAATTCCTAAAATCTAATATTTTTAGATCAAGTTATGACATTTTTCTAATCCTGAGTCCATCACTGTGAACAAAAAGATGCTATCTATTGATTAATTTAATTATGGGTTAAATATCCATCTGTGAACTAGTCATTATGGCTTGTGGAATATGATTAAGCTTGGTGGAATGGGGCAGTCACAACCCATTCTTCAAACTGGGTTTATAGTCAGTTCCACAAAAATGATATGGTTTCCATATAATGGAAGAAAGCTGAAACAGATAATGGGAAAGTGTCTTGCAATGTCCACAGTGCTGCTTCAGGTGTGCTGAACCCAGTTCATTGGAAATCTATCACTCTGTATCTCAGCTTTCTTTAGTATCTGCTTCCTACAAAGTATTCAAAAGGTGACAAGATGGTTACTAGCTTTTTCGGCTTAAAAATATAGTTTACTGGCTAAAGATTCTGAGAATAAGAATTCATTTTTCTCAGTAGTTCAGATGACCAGGGTGAATCATTATTAGGCAGAATTAAGTTACACATTTGTACTTGAAAGCAATTCTTTTGCCAGAGGTATGAATACTCATATTGATTTTACCCTGGCCCATGTGGCATTCTTGGAGGTAGGGTTTAATGTTAGCTCTATTCAAATTAAAATGGCTTTGAATGAGGGCCAGGTAGATCTCCAAATAAAAATAGGTGATGCTTATTAATGAAGGGAAATGACTGATAGACAAAACATCAATCTGTCTAATACAAAACCAAATATTTACTTGTTTCTTGTGAACAAAATCCAAATAATGTATGTTTAACTGAATTAATTAAAGTTTATTTACTACTTGTAACAAAATAAAATAGTTAACTGTCTTAGTATAATTGTAAACTGGATAAATTTATTTCTCACAGTTCTGGTGGCTGGGATGTCCAAGATCGAAGCACCAGTAGATTCAATGCCTGGTAAGAACTCTCTTCCCAGTTCACAGACAGCACCTTTTTTTTTTTTTTTTTTTTTTTGAGATGGGGTCTCACTATGTCTCCTAGGCTGGAGTGCAGTGGCACCATCTCGGCTCACTGCAGCCTTCACCCACTGAGCTCAAGACATCCTCCCTCCTCAGCCTCCAAGCTGGAACCACAGATGCATGCCACCATGCCTGGATAAGGTTTTGTATTTTTGGTAGAAATGGGGTTTCACCATGTTGCCCAGGCTGGTCTTGAACTCCTGAGCTCAAGCTATCCACTCGTCTCAGCCTCCCAAAGTGCTAGGATTATAGGCATGAACCACCACGCCCAGCCAACAGCGTTGTCTTCCTGTGTCCTCATATGGTAGAAGGAACGAGTTAGCTCTCTGGGGTCTCTTTTATATGGGCTCTACTCTCATGATCTCATCACTTCCCAAAGGCCCCACTTTCTAATACCATCATGGGGGTTCAGATTTTAGCATATGAATTTTGAGGAACATGAACATTCAGACTAGAGCAATAATTATTTAAATACAACTAAATAACCTGCATGCTTATGTAAAATCATTTCATTTTATTAACAACAGATTATTAAAAACAATAATAATGAATTTAAAATTTTACATTATTGTATTGTACATGCAATTTAATGCCATTGACTTTGAAATAATTTATTGAATGTTCTTTGAGACCTATAAAGAGGACCAAAAATGTTACAAGCCAGTTAATCTCAGCTTTGGCCTGAGCATTCTTATTCACTTGACTGCAAGAGACATTGAACATTTTCTTATATTTGAAAATATACTTCAAAATTATTTTCACTTCCATTAAATAATCCAAAACTTATGTAGCATTATACAGCATCATGTAGTGTTAGTGACCATGTCAGGAACAAGGTTGATGAACTAAGAAAAATAGGCTAATATCTGAGGGGAAAATATATTTTTAAAAGTATTCTTAATTCAAAATGTATTAATATGTTAAATGCTCCATGAAGTCTGATGAGCAGACCTTCTCAGCATACAATCTTCTCACAAGTCAATTTCCAGTGTAGTTTTGCACTTAACCTTTAATAATGGCACCACTAATATATAATGATTATTAAAGTTTTTTTGTCAAATCCTTATAATATTTTTAAGTCAAACACAATAAATATCATTGTTTTAAACATAACTCAAGTTTGACCTATTATTGGTCTGATTTAATTATATGAGTCTAATTATAGAAAGTTGGCTTCCTTAAAGCATAAGATACGTTAACAATGGCTACCATGATTCTTATTACTCCTGGCTTTACATTATATCTAGGCTGAATCAAAGCATTAGCTCCAAATCAGAAGTTAAGGAATCCATCTTTTCCACTGTGATTTTTTCCACCACCGTATTTTGTAGTGCAGTGATAAGGCACTATATAGTTGAAGTTGCTTAAGTAAGTGCTTTCCCAAGAGATCTCTCTTCTTTACATCAATTTATTTGCCCCTTTATTTGTAGCCCTCCTGATGACAGAATTCTGCTTAATTCTAGTCACTTAACCATATATATTGAATGCCTCTAAGCAGTATTACTGAAAGGAATTAAATATTTTTCTGCCCTCAAGAGCTTTTAATCTGTCAGAAAAAAAAGTGTGTGTGTGTTGAATAAAGATATAATAGGTGCAATCAAATATAATTTATTATTTATATTAGTATTTCATGTTATGTTTTGGGTGAAAATATAAATGAAAGTTATAGAAATTACTAAAATAATACCCAGTAGCAGGTGATTATGAGTAGAAGAGTACAAAAAGATAATATTCTAAAAAATTTACTGAAATTACATGTAGCTGAAGTTGTAAACACTGAAATAAATTTCTACATTTGTAAAATTTGCTCTAAGTCATATACAACCAATATTTTTGGAACCTATTACAAAGCAAGTGACTGAAAATAAAAATTCCCAAAGAAATTATAATTAGTTTTGAATTTTTTTTAATGGGCTTAATTGAAGGGATTGGATTATTGCATAGCAGGGCATTTTCCAAAAGTGGATGTAACCAATTTGCAGTTCCTAATATTCTAAAGGGAGAAATAAAGGTTTAGTAATGTTGCCCTTTAGTCATTAATGTAATCTTTTAAAATTTAGAGGTATTTGATTTTCTAAGAAATCACTGAGTATTTCAACATTAATATAAAACGTTTGCCTCTGGGTGGCACTCAACAGTTTTTTATATGACATGATTGGTGATTGGTTTAGAAAATAGATTAAAAATTATAAGAACATTGTGAACATTTTCTCACACAGTTGGCTTTCAGGGTGTATTCCAAATGAAACTTATTTCAAAAGACTGAGGGAAAAGAAATCACAAAGCCAGAAGGTGTTTAGGAAGGACTTACTGGTAGTTGAGACTTCATATTGTATATTTTGTTCTTTTCAGCTCTAACTGAAAAGAACTGAAAGTCACTACTGTGCTAAAAGAGAAAAAAAGCTGGTTTTTGTGGGATGGTGAATTCCAATAATTTTTTTATTACTTGCTAAATTTGTTTGACAAAGTTCTTGCACGTTTTAACTGTGTTGCAAACAGCAATGCACCTCCATAATTTGTCTGTTTATGTATTTTTTTCATGTGCACATGGAAAAATACGAGCAATGTGTTATAGGAATATTTGATATTATACAAAAGTTAAACTTGCCTTTGGTATAGACCTGCAGGAAGATTCATTTTTTACTTGAGTTCCCAGCACTTTATTCCTAGAGTTTTCAAATCACTTCCCCATAGATTCTTCCTCAAATATATCTTGAGACTAAAATTAAAAAGACATTTAAAAAAATTTCAACTTTTATTATAGATAGAGGGGTACTTGTGCAAGTTGTTACATTAGTATATTGTGTGATGTTGAAGTTTAGGCTACAAATGATCCGTCACACAGGTCATGAGCATAGCACCCAATGGGTACATTTTCAACCCTTTCACCCCTTCCCCTTTTCCTGTTTTTGGAGTCCCCATTATATATTGTTTCCATCTTTGTGTCATGTGTTCCCAGTGTTTAGCTTCCTCTAATAAGTGAGAACATGTGGTATTTGGTTTACTGTTCTTGCATTAATTTGCTTAAGTTAATGACCTCCACCTCCACACATGTTACTGTGAAGGACCTGATTCAGTTCTTTTTTATGGCTGCATAGTACTCTATGGGTGGGTATATGTGCTATATATATATTTTTAAATCCAATCCACTATGTATGGCTAGCTTGGTTGATTCCATGTCTGCTATTGTGAATAGTGTTCTTATGAACACGTGAGTGCATGTGTCTTTTCAGTAGAATGATTTGTTTTCCTTTGGGTATATACTCACTAATGTGATTGCTGGGTTGAATAGTAGTCTTGGTTTAAGTTCTTAGAGAAATCTCCCTACTACTTTCCATAAAGGCTGAACTAATTTACATTCCCACCAACAATGTATGAGTATTCCCTTTTCTCCAAGCCTCACAAGCATCTATTATTTTTAACTTTTTCATAATAGCCTTTCTGACTGGTATGAGATTGAGAGAGGAGGCAGTTAGAGGCTGGTTAGGTAGATAGAGAGGGAGGGTCTTTGGAGTAGAAAATTACTTACATGACTGCAGCTGCACTGGCCCTGTAGCTAATCGGAAGAAATGTAGTTAAGATCATTCCCTTATGCTAGGGTGTTGCTCAGAAAGGACTGTCCCAACTTAGGTGCAGGGGCAATAAATCAACCTAAATGTCCTTAACTTGATCCAACTCATTATAATGTTATTAATGTGACATTAGCATTGAGATTTTAGCCCCACCATATGTTTCACTTAGGCACTCATGGGTAGTAACTAAGATGAAGTCACTCTGGCCAACCCCAGGCATGTGCAGATGCAACACCCTTAGGAGAGAACTTTAACCCTCCCATTTTGGGCAGAACCCAAAGAAGACTTCCATGCTCTTGAACATAAAAGACCCAGAACTCAGCCCTCAGCCCCACTTCTGGCACCTTGCTTTCAGGTCCCCTCTCTTTGCTGAGAGCTTTCCTTTTGCTTATTAAGGGCTACTCTACTCACTCTCCAGTGTTCATGTGCCTTCTTCTTCTTGGTCATGGGACAAGAACTCAGATCTAGCTGAATTAGGGATGAAGCAGGCTGCAACAAGATGGCATCTTGTTGTGATTTTGATTTGCATTTATCTGATAGTTAGTTATATTGAGCGTTTTTTTCATGTTTGTTGGCCACTTGTATGTCTTCTTTTGAGAAGTGTCTGTTTATGTCTTCAGTCCATTTTTTAATGTGGCTATGTTTTTTTTTTTTCTCATTCAATTATTTAAGTTCCTTATAGATTCTGGATGTTAGATCTTTGTGAGGGGCATAGTTTGTAAATATTTTCTCCCATTCTGTAGGTTGTCCGTTTACTTTGTTGATAGTTTCTTTTGCTGTTCAGAAGCTCTTTAGTTTAATTAGGTCCCAGTTGGCAATTTTTGTTTTTGTTACAATTGCGTTTGAGGTTTAAGTCATATTTTTTCCTGAGGTCAATGTCCAGAATGGTATTTTCTAAATTTTCTTCTAGAGTTCTTATAGTTTTAGGTCTTACATTTAAATTTTTAATTCATCTTGATTTAATTTTTTAGATGGTGAAAGTAGGGGTCTCGTTTCACTCTTCTGCATATTACTAGCCAGTTATCCCGGTACCGTTTATTGAATAGGGAGACATTTTTCCTTTGCTTATTTTTCTTGACTTCATTAAAGACCAGATGGTTGTAGCTGTGCATTTTTATTTCTAGGTTCTCTATTCTGTTGCCTTGGTCTGTGCATCTGTTTTTATATTAGTACCATGCTGTTTGGGTTACTGTATTCTTATAGTATAGTTTTAAGTCAGATAATGTAGTGCCTCCAGCTTTGTTCTTTTTGCATAGAATTGTTTTGGTTATTTAGACTCCTTTTGCTTACACATGAATTTTAGACTTTTTTTCTAAATCTTTGAAAAGTGACATTGGAAGTTTCATAGAAATAGCATTGAATCTGTAGATTGTTTTGAGAAATATGGCCATTTTAACAATATTGATTCTTCCAATCCATAAGTATGTTATGTTTTTCCACTTCTTTGTGTCATCTATGATTTCTTTTATTGTGTCTTGTAGTCCTCCTTGTAGAGATTTTTCACCTCCTTTGTTAGATGTATTCCTAGATACTTTACTATGTTGTGGCTATTATACAAGAATTATGTTCTTGGCTGTTATAAATGGATTATGCTCTCAAGTTGAACATTCTTGATGTATAGAAAGTTTATTGATTTTTATACATTGATTTTGTGTCCTGAAACTTTACCGAAGTTGTTTAAGAGTTCCAGGAGCCTTTTGACAGTCTTTAGGGATTTCTAGATATAGAAACATATCATCAATGAAAAGATATAATATGACTTCTTCTTTTCTTATTTGAATGTCTTATATTTCTTTTTCCTGCGTGATTACTCTTGCTAGCACTTCTAATAGTATGTTGAATAGGAATGAGGAGAGTGGACATCCTTGTCTTATTCCAAGAGGAATACTTTCAGCTTTTCCCTGTTCATAATGATGTTGGCTGTGGGTTTGTCTTAGATGGCTTGTTATTTTGAGGTATGTTCCTTCAATGCCTAGTTTGCTGAGGATTTTTATCATAAAGGGATGTTGTATTTTATTGAAAGCTTTTTTGTGTCTATTGAGACAATCTTATGGTTTTTGTTTTTAGTTCCATTTATATGGTGAACCACATGTATTGATTTCCATAAGTGTAACCAATCTTGCATCCCAGGAATAATGCCTATTTGGTTATGATGAATTAAATTCTTGGGCCAGGTGCAGTGGCTCATGCCTGTAATCCCATCACTTTGGGAGGTGGAGGTGGGTGGATCACCTGAGGTCGGGAGTTCAAGACCAGCCTGACCAACATGGAGAAACCCTGTCTCTACTAAAAATACAAAATTAGTCGGGCATGGTGGTGGGTGCCTGTAATCCCAGCTACTCAGGGGGCTGAGGCAGGAGCATCTCTTGAACCCAGGAGGCAGGGGTTGTGGTGAGCTGAGATCACATCATTGCACTCCAGCCTGGGCAACAAGAGTGAAACTCCGTCTCAAAAAAAAAAAAAAATTGATGTGTTGCTGGACTCAATTTACTAGTGTTTTCTTGAAAATGTTTGCATCTATATTCATCAGGGATATTGGCCTGTAGTGTTCTTTTATTGTTGTGTCTTTGCAGAACCCACAGAAGACTTCCATGAAGCTCTTGCAATATAAAAGACCCAGAACTCAGCCCCACTTCTGGAACCTTGCTTTCAGGTTACCTCTCTTTGCTGAGGGCTTTACTTTTGCTTAATAAGTGCTACTCTCAGTTTTTGCTATCGGAGTGATATTGGTTTCATAGAATAAGTTTGGAAGGAGTCCTCTACTTTAATTTTTTAAAATAATTTCAGGAGGATTGGTACTACCTCTTCTTTGTAACTTTGGCAGAATGTGGCAATGAAACCCTGTGGTTTCAGGCTATTTTTTGGTTGGTCATTTTTTTTTTCTTACTCAGTTTTAATACCTACTCCACAGAAACACACTTAAGTACAGAGCCCACAGACCCTATAAACCAAATACTCAAAGCAACCAGTTAACAACGTCACAGTGGAATCAAAACCTCACATATCAATACTAACCTTTAATGTAAATGGTCTAAATGCACCACTTAAAAGGCATAGAGTGAAAAAGCGATGAAAAAACAACATCCATCCACTTGATTTCTTCAAGAGATTCATCTCACATGTAATTACACCCATAGGGTCAAAGTAAAGGGATGGAAAAAGATCTACCACATGAACAGAAATCAAAAGAGCAGAGATCACTATTCTAATATAAGATAAAACAGACTTTAAGTGAACAACAGTAAAAAAGGACAAAGAAGGGCATTAGGTAATGATAAATGACTCATTCAACAGGAAGACTTACCTATCCTAAATTTATATATGCACTTAAAATGGAGCACCCAGATGAATAAAACAAATGCTTTTAGGCCTACAAAAAGACTTAGGCGACTGCACACAATAATAATTATGAACTTCAACACCCTACTGACAGTATTAGATAGAACATTGAGGTAGAAAACTTACAAGGATATTCTGGATTAAATTAAACATTTGACCAATTGCACCTAATAGACATCTACAGAACACTCCACCTATCAAGCACAGAATATACATTCTTCTGTAGAAGAAAATAAATGTAGAAGAAAATAAATAACTAAAATCAGATCCTAATTGAACAAAATTGAGATATACAAATCCATACAAAGGATCAACACAACTGAAAGTTGATTTTTTGAAATGAAAAACAAGAAAAGACTTGTTGCATGTTAGTAATCTAGCTTACCTTAGATGAAATGAAGTAAAAGAGGTGATGTGGATTATACAAAAAAGATACTTGCATATACATGTTTATAGCAGTACAATTTGCAATTGCAAAAACATAGAACCAACCCAAGTTCCCATCAATCAATGAGTGGATAAAGAAACTATGATATCAAACTGTGATATCATATATACATCATATATATAATATATATCATATATGATATATATCATGTATTATATCATATATGATATATATTATATATCACACATTATATATATATCATATATATTATATATTTTTGTAGTTTGCCTAGTTGTGATGTTAGGTTGTTGATTTGAGATCTTTCTAACTTCTTGATGTAGGCATTTACTGATTTCAACATTCTTCTTAATACTGCTTTTGCTGCATCCCAGAGATTTTGGTATGTTGTGTCTCAATTTTCATTTGCTTCAAATATTTTTAAAAATTTCTTCCTAATTACTTTGTTTAACCAAAAGATATTTAGAAACAAATCGTCTAATTTCCATGTAGTTGTCTGGTTTCAAGAGATCTTGGTATTGATTTCTCTTTTTATTCCAATATGGTGTGAGAGTATGATTGTTTGGATTTCCATGTTTTTCATTTATTGAGACTTTCTTTATGGCCAAGGATGTGATCAGTCTTAGAGTATGTCCCATGTACATAGAAGAATGTATATTCTGTGCTTGATAGGTAGAGTGTTCTGTAGATGTCTATTAGGTGCAATTGGTCAAGTATTTAATTTAATCCAGAATATCTTTGTAAGTTTTCTGCCTCAATGTTCTATCTAATACTGTCAGTGGGGTGTTGAAGTTCATAACTATTATTGTGTGCAGTCGCCTAAGTCTTTTTGTAGGCCTAAAAGCATTTGTTTTATTCATCTGGGTGCTCCATTTGAGTGCATATATATATTTAGGATAGGTAAGTCTTCCTGTTGAATGAGTCATATATATTATATATTATATATATAAAATATATATAATATATTATATATAATATGTATATAATGACATATATAATACATAAGGTATATAATGATATATATCATATATATGATGTATATATGAGATATATATATATATATATATGATGGAATACTACTTAGCCATAAAAATGAATGAATTAACAGCATTCACAGCAACCTGGATGAGACTAGATTATTATTCTAAGCGAAGTAATTCAGGAATGGAAAAACAAACATTGTATGTTCTTACTTATAAGTGAGATCTAAGCTATGAGGATGCAAAGGTATAAGAATGACAATGGACTTTGGGAATTTAGGGGGAAAGTGGGGAAGGGGGTGACAGATAAAAGGCTAAAAATAGGATGCAGTGTATGCTTCTCGGGTGATGGGTGCACCAAAATCTCACAAATCACCACTAAAGAACTTACTCATGTAACCAAACACTACCTGTTCCCCAATAACCTATGGAAATGGGAAAAAGAAAAGAAAAAAAAATGGAGCTTCAATCTCTCCCTTCAGGTGTGGACTTGGGTAAATCTATAAGAAGAAATTTTCTCACCAAATGGGGCTAATGATAGTATTACTCCTTGTGAGGAGTAAATAAGTTAATGTAAGTCAAGCAGTTGGCATTCAAAAATGGAGGTAAGGCGAAGCCCTTTCATCTTTATATTTTTCCTTATGTGGTGTCATTTAGAGAAAAAAAAATGTTCATGCAGACCAACTGATTATTCATAGACATCCTGCATTCCCAGATGAATTTAGGCAACCCAACCCAATTCAGCTACCTTCAGTGATTCCCAGAAAACACCCTCATCAAAAATTAATATTATAATTGTGAAAAATAAATGTTAGGTGTTGTGTTCTTCATGTTCTAGTTTCATAGAGAATAAAAACATAAAACCATACTTTCTTGCTTGACCAGCATTTCTGTAGATACAACAATCAAAAATAAACTCAGTGTCGTAGAAACAAGGGAGTTGAAGACAGTATTTCATGAAATGAAATCACTTTTAAACGTGATTTTCTAAGATCTAAAAATAGTTTCTTTTGGTGTGGCCTCATGGGTTTGCCACAAACTTTGTAAAATTTCAAGACTTGATATTGCTTTGAATTGATTTCCAAACCAGGAAGCACCAAGTATGCTGTACATTTAATCTCTTCCACGGATGAAATAGTTTTTGTAAGATCAACATACAAAAAGCACAGGTGAACTTTAGTAAACAATAAAAACATTTGAAGATTGATTTTGGAGATCATATAATCATGTTATTTAAATAGATTCAAATAATTTATTAAAAGTCATGGCAAATTTTTTAATGTTTATTCACAAAATGTATCTTGAATTTTGTCATTCTTGTCATTACATGTGCCTGGCTCCTCAAAAGCATTCTCACTTGATATTTTCTCCATAGACATTAACAACACATGTACCTCCCAAATACAGAGGACACTAATCATAATTTTGAGCAGCACTGCTGAGAAAGATTTTGATAAACTCAAAAGCTTTGCCTTGCCAGAAAAAGCAGAGTCCTAGGAGAATGTATTTTCCAGAAACGTTAAAGTCCTGCCTAAAATGTTCATGTTATGGTTATTTTTGACAGATTTTGGATGAATTCTTCTTAGTGATCAAAACTGTGAAAATGTTTATCTTCTTTTCTAAACTCAAGAATTGAAAATGCCCAGAAGATGGTACTCAGGAAAGTCTGCACAGCCTTTCACAAATAGAACTTACCTCTAGAGCAAATGAAAATACAAAAGCAGAAATCAAGAAGATAGTGTTTATCTCAGGGAATAAAAGCCACTTGTAAAGCCCCAGAGATTGCTGCTGCCGCCAGACATTTAGTTTCATAGGAAGCAAGTGAAAATGAATTTATTAACTACATGGGAAACTGAGTTACTTATATTCACGCACAGGTAAAAAGCATAGTACATTTAATCTAAAACAATCAGATCTCATATAATCTGATCCTTTTTCAAAATGTATGGCATTTAACCTTGTTTAATAGTAATTAATTTTCCTGTCTTCTTTTATACCACACTCCCTTCAATATGCCTGTTGACAAACCTTCAGATTATTTGAACTTTTTATTTCCATTCTATGATCTGGACTGAGAATTAAAAGAGAATGGGAGGTACATGAGGGTGCATGGACTTCATTCTTTCTTTTTATTTTATAGTATGGTGTTAATTATTGCTAGCATTGATGATTCCCAAGGAGAACATTTCTACTTACTGGACATATATGGTTCCTCTCACAGCCGTTTAATCAAATGCATGGTATATTAGCTGTGGGCTAATGAGCTCTTCTTGCTGAAAAGTAGGTAATCCTCACGATTCCCTCACTTCTGGGTAACATGGCTTCCACCAGGTCAGTCACATGTAATTCAAGTCTTGGGTATTAGAGTAACTGCCATTTCAGATTGGAGAACTCACAAAGGAATTCTTAATAATACTATGTACGAATCAATTGAGATCATTTCTGTTCCAGCAAAGAAATTTTTTTTTTTTTACAATAGTAAGACTGAAAATGTCATAGAGATATCAGGCTTCAGGCATAGTTTAATGAGGGCTCTGATTCAATTTTTTTTCTTTCCTTTTTTATGCATAGGCTACATTGACTTCCTCCATGGCATCCAAGTGTAATGAGCAGTTCCGGACTTCACATCCATACAACACAGCATTCACATACATAAAGGGATTCAGCACTGGATAAAGTTTGCTCACTGACATTTTTAAACTAATCATGGCAGCAAGAAGAATAAAAAAAAAGAACTCAACAGCTGGGATGCCCTTTAAGCCGAGAGTAGTTTTGGATCCTTCTTAACCATAAAGCTACTATGCACTTGGTGAAAGGGGGATAAAATCACAATACCAACAACAAAATTACTTGTATTTTAATGGAATATTTCCAAGCCTTGAACAATTCTGGGTGCTTAATAGTGCATAGATTTTTCTTGAAATGAAAATTATGTAAATATAAGGCCTGGGGTTTTCTATTTGCTCATGGATTTTCAAAGTTCACTAATGAAATATCCCAGCAAGATTTACTTGTTTTACACCACAGACTCGTATTTTTATATAATAGAGTATTATATACCTGTGCAATATAAGAGATCATATTACCTGTGCGTGTGTATGATGCTACTGACCTACAAAATACAGAATTATGCTTTCCATAACAACAACCCTCACAAAAGCATTATAACATAGGTTATAAATATAACTTGTCATTAGGTAACTGCGTTTTATTTTCCTTTGAGTATATTAAAATAAATCACATTAAATTATATGCTTTATTTCATAATATTGAAGTAAATGAAATATTCTGATATTATTTATTATATAGGACTTAAATGTATTTACTAAACAAGTATCTGCTGAGTAATTAACCATTGTCAGGCAGTACATAAAGTGACAAAAGGAGAAAACGAATAAGACAAGATTCCTCCTCACAGCTTTCCCACAAGGTACCACCCACCAACAAGTCATGAAATTAAATGCATGACAACTGCTCAGAATAATAAATATTAAATTCAGATATACCGAGGTGTTATGGACACTCAGTTACTGATTTAGAAATTAGTCATCACTTAGTTGCTCAGAGGTGACTTGAAACGTAAAGGATGAATGGGGGTTTGTCAGATGGACAAAGGAAAAAGGAGATTCACATAGAGAATATTGCTAAGAAGGTAACTAAGAGATATGACAGAACTAGGTGGGTGTGTAGAAGAACAATATAATTTGTCATGCAGACTGGGATGCATTTGGGAGAAAAAGAGAAGACTGATAATTAAAATTGTATTATGCTTTGGAATATTATTGACCCACAAATTGAGTTTTATATGTTGATAGACATAATAATTCTAATAAAATCTAATTCAAAAGTAATTTTTCTAAAAATTAAGAAATAATGTGCATATTAAAGAAAAACTTAAAATCCTCTTTTTAATTTGATTATCTGAACATTAAATTCAATAGAAGCAGAATAATTAGTGTTTCTTTGTATACTTAAGAGTTTCATGGTTGTTCCAGAATCTAGAAAATATTCTTATTAGGATATTTTTGGTAAGTTATTATTATTTTTACTATTATTATTTTTTATTATACTATAAGTTCTGGAATACATGTGCAGAATGTGCAGGTTTGTTACATAGGTATACACATGCCATGGTGGTTTGCTGCACTCATCAACCCATCATCTACATTAGGTATTTCTCCTAATGCTATCCCTCCCCTAGACCCCCACCCCCTGACAGGTCCCTATGTGTGATGTTCTCCTCCCTGTGTCCATGTGTTCTTATTGTTCAACTTCCACCTATGAGTGAGAACATGTGGTGTTTGGTTTTCTGTTCCTGTGTTAGTTTGCTGAGAATGATGGTTTCCAGCTTCATCCATGTCCCTGCAGAGGACATGAACTCATCCTTTTTTTATGGCTGCATAGTATTCCATGGTGTATATGTGCCACATTTTCTTAATCAAGTCTGTCATTGATGGACATTTGGGTTGTTTCCAAGTCTTTGCGATTGTGAATAGTGCCACAATAAACATACATGTGCATGTGTCTTTATAGTAGAATGATTTATAATCCTTTGGGTATATACTCAGTAATGGGATTGCTGGGTCAAATGGTATTTCTGGGTCTAGATCCTTGATGAATCACCACACTGTCTTCCACAATGGTTGAACTAACTAACACTCCCACCAACAGTGTAAAAGTGTTCCTATTTCTCCACATCCTCTCCAGCATCTGTTGTTTCCTGACTTTTTAATGATTGCTATTCCAACTGGCATGAGATGGTATCTCATTGTGGTTTTGATTTACATCTGTCTAATGAACAGTGATGATGAGCTTTTCTTCATATGTTTGTTGGCTGCATAAATGTCTTCTTTTGAGAAGTGTCTGTTCATCTGCTTCCCCTACTTCTTGATGGGGTTGTTTTTGCCTTATAAATTTAAGTTCCTTGTATTTTTTGGATATTAGCTCTTTGTCAGATGGAAGATTGAAAAAATTTTCTCCCATTCTGTAGGTTGCCTGTTCACTCTGATGATAGTTTCTTTTGCTGTGAAGAAGCTCTTTAGTTTAATTAGATCCCATTTGTCAATTTTGGCTTTTGTTGCCGTTGCTTTTGGTGTTTTAGTCATGAAGTTTTGCCCATCCCTATGTCCCTAATGGTATTGCCTAGGTTTTCTTCTAGGGTTTTTATGGTTTTATGTCTTAGGTTGAAGTCTTGAGTTAATTTTTGTATAAGATGTATGGAAGGGATCCAGTTTCAGTTTTCTGCATATGGCTAGACAGTTTTACCAACACCATTTATTAAACAGGGAATCCTTTCCCCATCCCTTGTTTTCGTCAGGTTTGTCAAGATCAGATGGTTGTAGATGTGTGGTGTTATTTCTGAGGCCTCTCTTCTGTTCCATTGGTTTATATATCTGTTTTGGTACCAGTACCATGCTGTTTTGATTACTGTAGCCTTATAGTATAGTTTGAAGTCAGGTAGCGTGATGCTTCCAGCTTTGTTCTTTTTGCTTAGGATTTTTCTGCCTATGTAGGCTCTTTTTTGGTTGCAAATGAAATTTAAAGTAGTTTTTTTCTAATTCTGAGAGACTAGGATTGCCACCCCTGCTTTTTTTATTTCTTTCCATTTCCTTGGTAAATCTTCTCCATCCCTTTATTTTGAGCCTATATGTGTCTTTGCATGTGAGATGGGTCTCCTGAATACAGCACACCAATGGGTCTCGACTCTTTATCCAATTTGCCAGTCTGTGTATTTTAATTGGGGCATTTAGCCCATTTACATTTAAGGTTAATATTTTTATGTGTGAATTTGATCCTAACATTATGATGCTAGATGGTTATTTTGTCCGTTAGTTTATGCAGTTTCTTCACAGTGTCTATGGTCTTTACAATTTGGTATGTTTTTGCAGTGGCTGGTACTGGTTTTTCCTTTCCATATTTAGTGCTTCCTTCAAGAGCTCTTGTAAGGCAGGCCTGGTGGTAACAAAATCTCTCATTGTTTGCTTGTCTATAAAGGATTTTATTTCTCTGCTTATAAAGCTTAGTTTGGCTGGATATGAAATTCTGGATTGAAAACTTTTTTCCTTAAGAATGTTGAATATTGGCCCCCACTCTTTTCTGGCTTGTAGGGTTTCTGCAGAGAGATCCACTGTTAGTCTGATGGGCTTCCCTTTGTGGGTAACCCTACCTTTCTCTCTGGCTGCCCTTAACATTTTTTTCCTTCATTTCAACCTTGGTGAATCTGACAATTATGTGTCTTGGGGTTGCTCTTCTCAATGGGTGCCTTTATGGTGTTCTCTGTATTTCCTGAATTTGAATGTTGGCCTGCCTTGCTAGGTTTGGGAAGTTCTCCTGGATAATATCCTGAAGAGTGTTTTCCAACTTGGTTCCATTCTCCCTGTCTCTTTCAGGTACACCAATCAAATGTAGCTTTGGTATTTTCACATAGTTTCATATTTCTTGAAGGCTTTGTTCGTTCTTTTTCATTCTTTTTTCTCTAATCTTGTTTTCATGCTTTAGTTCATTAAGTTGATCTTCAATCTCTGATATCCTTTCTTCCACTTGATCGATTCAGCTATTGATACTTGTATATGCTTCACAAAGTTCGTGTGCTGTGTTTTTCAGCTCCATCAGGCCATTTAGGTTATTTTCTAAACTGCTTATTCTAGTTAGCAATTCCTCTAACCTCTTATCAAGGTTCTTAGCTTCCTTGCATTGAGTTAGAGCATGCTCCTTTAGCTCAGTGGAGTTTGTTATTACCCAGCTTCTGAAGCCTACTTCTGCCAATTTGTCAAACTCACTCTCTGTCCAGTTTTGTTCCCTTGTTGGCGAGGAGTTGTGGTCCTTTGGAGGTGAGGAGGTGTTCTGGTTTTTGGAATTTTCAGCCTTTTTGCTCTGTTTTTTTTCTCATCTTCGTGGATTTATCTACCTTGGTCTTTGATGGTGAGCTTCGGATAGGGTTTTTCTGTGGATGTCCTTTTTGTTGATATTGATGCTATTCCTTTCTGTTTGTTAGTTTTCCTTCTAATAATCAGACCCCTCTACTGCAGGTCTGCTGGAGATTGCTGGAGGTCCACTCCAGATCCTGTTTGCCTGGGTATCACCAGCGGAGCCTGCAGAACAGCAAAGATGGTGGCCTGTTCCTTCCTCTGGAAGATTCTTCCCAGAGAGGCACCCGCCAGATGCCAGCTGGAGCTCTCCTGTATGACGTGTCTGTCGAACCCTGCTGGGAAGTGTCTCCCAGTCAGGAGGCATGGGGGTCAGGGACCCACTTGAGAAGGCAGAATGTCTCTTAGCAGAGCTTGAGCACTGTGCTGGGAGATCTGCTGCTCTCTTTAGAGCTGGCAGGCAGGAATGTTTAAGTCTGCTGAAGCTGTGGCCACAGCTGCCCCTTCCCCAAGGTGCTCTGTCCCAATTACTGGGGAACCTGCCCCGATATTCACATAGGTTCTTTTCTATTTTCCTTAAGCGTCAGCCGACTTGAGAAATAAAGGGACAGAGTACAAAAGAGAGAAATTTTAAAGCTGGGCATCTGGGGGAGACATCATGTGTCAGTAGGTTCCGTGATGCCCCACAAGCCGCAAAAACCAGCAAGTTTTTATTAGGGATTTTCAAAAGGGGAGGGAGTGTGCGAATAGGTGTGGCACAGACATCAAGTACTTTACAAGGTAATAGAATATCACAAGGCAAGTGGAGGCAGGGTGAGATCACAGGACCACAGGACCGAGGCAAAATTAAAATTGCTAATGAAGTTTTGGGCACCATTGTCATTGATAACATCTTATCAGGAGACAGGGTTTTGAGATCAACAGGTCTGACCAAAATTTATTAGGTGGGAATTTCCTCTTCCTAATAAGCCTGGGAGCGCTGTGGGAGACTGGGGTCTATTTCACCCCTACAGCCTCGACCATGAGAGACGGCCACGCCCAGGGGGGGCCAGTTCAGAGACCCACCCCCAGGCGTGCATTCTCTTTCTCAGGGATGTTCCTTGCTGAGAAAAGGAATTCAGCGATATTTCTCCCATTTGCTTTTGAAAGAAGAGAAATATGGCTCTGTTCCGCCCGGCTCACCAGAGTGAGAGTTTAAGGTTATCTCTCTTATTCCCTGAACAATTGCTGTTATCCTGTTCTTTTTTCAAGGTGCCCAGATTTCATATTGCTCAAACACACATGCTGTACAATTTGTGCAGTTAACGCAATTATCACTTAGTCCTGAGGCGACATACATCCTCCTCAGCTGACAGGATTAAGAGATTAAAGTAAAGACAGGCATAGGAAATCACAAGGGTATTGATTGGGGAAGTGATAAGTGTCCATGAAATCTTCACAATTTATGTTTAGAGATTGCAGTAAAGGCAGGCATAAGAAATTATAAAAATATTAATTTGGGGAACTAATAAATGTCCACAAAATCTTCACAATCCACGTTCTTCTGCCATGGCTTCAGCCGGTCCCTCCATTTGGCGTCCCTGACTTCCCGCAACACCAATGAGATAGGAGTTTTATCTGTAAGCCCCTGACTGGGGCTGCTGCCTTTCTTTCAGAGATGTCCTGCCCAGAGAGGAGGAATCTAGAGAGGCAGTCTGGCTACAGCGGTTTTGCTGAGCTGCAGTAGGCTCTGCCCAGTTCAAACTTCCTGGCAGTTTTGTTTACACTGAGGGGAAAACCGCCTTCTCAAGCCTCAGTAATGGTGGACGCCCCTCCCCCAACCAAGCTGGAGCATCCCAGGTCGACTTCAGACTGCTGTGCTGGCAGCGAGAATTTCAAGCCAGTGGATCTTAGCTTGCTGGACTTCATGGGGGTGGGATCCGCTCAGCAAGACCACTTGGCTCCCTGGCTTCAGTCCCCTTTCCAGGGGAGTGAATGGTTCTGCCTCACTGGCATTACAGGCACCACTGGGATATGGAAAATCAAAACAAAACGAAACAAAACAAAAAAACTCCTGCAGCTAGCTCAGTGTCTGCCTAAACAGCTGCCTAGTTTTATGCTTGAAACCCAAGTCCCTGGTGGTGTAGGCACCAGAGGGAATTTCCTGGCCTGCGAGTTGTGAGGACCATGAGAAAAGCGTAGTATCTGGGCCAGAATGCACCGTTCCCCACGACACAGTCCCTCATGGCTTCCCTTGGCTAGAGGAGGGAGTTCCCCCATGCCTCATGATTCCCAGGTGAGGCAATGCCCCACCCTGCTTCTGCTTGCCCTCAATAGGCTACACCCACTGTCTAACCAGTACCAATGAGACGAGCTGGGTACCTCAGTTGGAAATGCAGAAATCATCTGCATTCTGTGTTGATTTTGCTGTGAGCTGCAGATTGGAGCTGTTCCTATTTGGCCATCTTGCCAGCCACTCCATGCTGTCCTAATTGATTACATTTTAAAGATAATACATTTGAAACTGTTGGTAATAGCAGTTGATTTTTCACTGTAGGCAATGAATGATATAGTTTATTTTTTTAAATATCATACACATATATTTACTTTTTGGATGTACGTTTGTAAGAATTTTAACACATGTATAGATTCATGTAACAACTCATATAATTAGGGTCAGATTAGGTCTTTCACCTCAAAAATGCTCTGTACTTGTCCTTTGTAGTCACACTCTCCCTCCACTCCTAACCCCCAACAACCACTGTTCTGTGTTCTCTCACTGCAGTTTTGTCATTTTTTGAGAAACTTGCTCTTTCTAATGAGCCTAAATTCATAATTCATAAATTAATAATGAAATGTATAAATATTTTACACCAACTGTTTTCACTTACTCTCTTTTTGACTACATTAAGAGTAACATCCTATGATGAATATCTTTTTAACACAAAGGCCTTAAATTAATCTGTCTCTATTTATAATTCTTTCAATGATTCTAGAAATGTACATGTTGCAACAGTTGCAGATTTTCACAATGCAATTTTATTTCAAATAAGAATATGAATTTATCTAATAGAAAATACGGCCTCAGCAATAGGTTGTTTCTATAATTTGAGATATCTCAAAGCACAATCATAACTATCAGAATTAAATCTTGTATTCTAATTGAGCTTCCTAATTTAACTTACCAGTTACCCCCATCATTGATAGATATAAATTTCAAAGTTATAACTTCGAATTGAATTGAATTCCTTTCAAAAATTGTTATTTGATTAAAGCTTAAACAATTGAAATTTTTTATGTGCCAATTTAAGAATATTTTGGTTACAGCTTTTAACTGATTTTGAACAAAATGCAACCAAAACTTAGAAGACTGACATTAAAAAATCTAATACTCATTAAAAACCTCTATATTAATTTTTATATCCACTCTTCAAAACCTCAGACATTTCTGAAGTCCTAACAATGCAAAGAAACAAAACATACATTGCCATGCTGACTTTCTTTTTCTAAAAAACAATTCCATATGTTAGTTTCATCACTGCACTTTTGTATTACTGTTACTTGATGTATTTATTTTAAAAACTAAAAGTTACAATCTGTTTTTCCATTATATTTACTTCTGAAGCAATTCCAAGTACATTTTACTGCATTGAAAGGTTACTGTACCAAAAGATTCAAAATATTACCAAGAATAAGATAAATACCTATTTATCTTATTTTACAAAAATTACAAAATTACATAATTTTACACCATGAAATTAATGATAAAACCATTTTGTTAAGAACATTCTCAATCTTTTTGATGGCAGGACTTCTCAGCCTCTATTTTTAACACAGATTTCATGTGTACATAAAGCTGTGATTTTCTTATTCTTGACATTGATTGGTAATGGGGTGGCTTTGTGCATCACAGAGTCCATGGCAGGGATCAACATACAACTTCATGGAACACAAATTGGTCTGGTCAGACATTTTCCCCACTACTACCCTATGTGTGAAAGAGTTAGTTGCTACTAGATACTCATGCCTTGTGCACTCAATCCTTTGCCGCCAACCTCTGTATTGTGCCATTATGCAACAGTAGAAAGGCAAAAGAGGAAGTCAAATTGTCTGTTTGCAGATGACATGAATGTGTATCTAGAAGACCCCATAGTCTCAGCCCAAAATCTCCTTAAGCTGATAAGCAACTTCAGCAAAGTCTCAGGATACAAAATCAATATGCAAAAATCAAAAGCATTCTTATACACCAATAACAGACAAACAGAGAGCCAAATCATGAGTGAACTCCCATTCACAATGGTTCCAAAGAGAGTAAAATACCTAGGAATCCAACTTGCAATGGATGTGAAGGACCTCTTCAAGGAGAACTACAAACCACTGCTGAACGAAATAAAAGAGGACACAAACAAATGGAAGAACATCCCATGCTCATGGATAGGAAGAATCAACATTGTGAAAATGGCCATACTGCCCAAGATAATTTATAGATTCAATGCCATCCCCATCAAGCTACCAATGACTTTCTTCACAGAATTGGAAAAAACTAAAGTTCATATGGAACCAAAAAAGAGCCTGCATTGCCAAGTCAATCCTAAGCCAAAAGAACAAAGCTGGAGGCATCATGCTACCTGACTTCAAACTATACTACAAGGCTACAGTAACCAAAACAGCATGGTACTGGTACCAAAACAGAGATATAGACCAATGGAACAGAACAGAGACCTCAGAAATAATACCACACATCTACAACTATCTGATCTTTGACAAACCTGAGCAAAACAAGCAATGGGGAAAGGATTCCCTATTTAACAAATGGTGCTGGGAAAACTGGCTAGCCATATGTAGAAAGCTGAAACTGGATCCCTTCCTTGCACCTTACACAAAAATTAATTCAAGATGGATTAAAGACTTAAATATTAGACCTAAAACCATAAAAACCCTAGAAGAAAACCTAGGCAATACCATTCAGGACATAGGCATGGGCAAGGACTTCATGTCTAAAACACCAAAAGCAATGGCAACAAAAGCCAAAATTGACAAATGGGATCTAATTAAACTAAAGAGCTTCTGTACAGCAAAAGAAACTATCATCAGAGTGAACAGGAAACCTACAGAATGGGAGAAAAATTTTGCAATCTGCTCTTCTGACAAAGGGCTAATATCCAGAATCTACAAAGAACTCAAACAAATTTACAAGAAAAAAACAACCCCACCAACAAGTGGATGAAGGATATGAACAGACACTTCTCAAAAGAAGACATTTATGCAGCCAAAAGACACATGAAAAAATGCTCCTCATCACTGGCCATCAGAGAAATGCAAATCAAAACCACAATGAGATATCATCTCACACCAGTTAGAATGGCAATCATTAAAGAGTCAGGAAACAACAGGTGCTGGAGAGGTTATGGAGAAATAGGAATAGTTTTACACTGTTGGTGGGACTGTAAACTAGTTCAACCATTGTGGAAGACAGTGTGGCGATTCCTAAAGGATCTAGAACTAGAAATACCATTTGACCCAGCCATTGCATTACTGGGTATATACCCAAAGGAATATAAATCATGCTGCTATAAAGACACATATACACGTATGTTTATTGCGGCACTATTCACAATAGCAAAGACTTGGAACCAACCCAAATGTCCATCAGTGATAGACTGGATTAAGAAAATGTGGCACATATACACCATGGAATACTATGTAGGCATAAAAAAGGATGAGTTCATGTCCTTAATAGGGACATGGATGAAGCTGGAAACCATCATTCTCAGCAAACTATCACAAGGACAAAAAACCAAACACTGCATGTTCTCACTCATCGGTGGGAATTGAACAATGAGAACACTTGGACACAGGAAGGGGAATATCACACACCAGGGGGGCATGTTGTGGGGTGGAGGGAGCGGGGAGGGATAGCATTAGGAGATACACCTAATGTAAATGACGAGTTAATGGGTGCAGCACACAAACATGACACATGTATACATATGTAACAAACCTGCATGTTGTGCACATGTACCCTAGAAGTTAAAGTATAATAAAAATATATATGAAAAAAAAGAGAATAATGACAAGAAGAAAAAAAGAAAGGTATAGAATACTTCCCCATCCTGTTGCCTTTGGACTTTATTATTTGATTGAGACTGTCTTAAGCCAAGGTAAGATAAATAATTATAAGCTTTTACTTCCCCTCTTGCACTCTTGGATTCACATGAGAAGGCAGCTGACATCTTCTGATTCAAGGAGAATGCAGAGATATGTGGAGTAGAATTAATTCACCCTCAGGCCTGGAAAGTCCAGCCATTCTTCAGCTTGAAGCAGAGCTTCTCCCAGTGAGCTGCAGACCTCTGAGCAAGAAAAATAATTAATTATTGTAACTGAGATTCTGGGATGGTTTGTTACACAACAAAAGTTGACTAATACAGACCACAATATCCTCTTTAAAAATGTCTCCTTCTCCCTTCATTTTACAAATCAAATGTGCATTTTCCTTCCACTGAAACTTTATAACCTTCCTACTGCATTCATACATTAGGCCCTCCTAGCTAAATTCCCCATTATTATTTTAAAGTTACTCTCTGGAATATTTTTGCCTCTCTCACTACTTTATAAGTACTAAGTTATATAGTATTTGCAACATACACCTTCACTCTATTGGCTAGCTTAGTAGGCAAGTGCCTGAAGAGCATGAAGATAAAATGAATGCAAGTATAGATTCTAGAAGGAAAGATGTGGTTATAGTGTTCTATTCGCCTCTAGCCTGTTAAACCATATCTGTGGACCTAACTCTGAACACTATCTCCAAAAGAGTTTCAATTAACCAGATAAAAGAAGCCGTAACTTTAAGCGAAAACAAAATTCAAAGAAAAAAATCTACTAAATAAATAAGGCCTGTGCTGGGGTGCGTGTGTGTGTGTGTGTGTGTGTGTGTGTGTGTGTGTGTGAGAGAGAGAGAGAGAGAGAGAGGGAGAGAGAGAAGAGTTTTCTTAAGGAAACAGATACAACATTTTGTCTTTAAATATTTGAAGGATACTTCTGTGAATGGAGAATAAACTTGCTCTGTGGAATATAAGTAGTGAGAACAAGATCCAATACCTGGAAATTTCTTCTCTGGTTTGCAGAGATGATGCTGCCATTCGGAGTCGCTGGATATGGAATGGGCCACCTGAAGAACTATAAATGTGTTTTCACTGGAGACTGTCCTCAAAGATTATACCCACCTTTCATAAACATAATGTAAGAGATTCGTGCCTTGCATAAATGATAATAATATCAATTAATGTTAATGGAGTATTTAATTGCCACCACAACCAACCTTCAACCAACCTTCCTTCCATCCATCTTTCCTTCCTTCCTTCACTCCTTCCTTCTCTACTTCCTTCCTTCCTTCCTCCCTCCTACCCTCCCTCCTTCCTTTCTTCCATCTCTCCCTCCCAGCTGCTAGTAAAAAGGTATGGTCATCAACTGTGCACCAGGATAATGTTCAACACGGGAGTTGCAGTGGCAAACAGATGTGTTTTCTGACCTCATGGAGCATTCCTTTGAGTGGTAAAGACTGATAATAAAGTCAACAAATAATTAAGTATATATTATAATACGTTCAAAATATGAATAAAGTGCACATAGAGGGCATAGTTGATATATTTGAAAATTTGCCAGGGTTTTCCTATCTCTATGCTATTGTATATGTTTTTTACCAGTTTGGTCTTGAGGCCTGTCTCATGATAGTGGCCATAAGCTCTAGCCTTGCCTGAACAGAAATTCAGGGGACTTAGTCTTGGATGACTACATCAGATATTTCTTTATTCTGGCAGACTACCTAATGCCTAAGTGTCCAACCTGTGACAAGGTATCCCTCTGGAAACTTCTTTATACTAAGACACCCTTGTGACTTTTGTTCGACCTGTGTCCAGTTTATTCCTATCAAGATATCAACTCTATAGGAGGTCCTAACTGGGAAAGAGTTAAGTTTGGGTGGTTCATTCAGGTAAAACACAGAGTAGGCAACTCAACAAAACAATATAAAATAACAGAAACAGTTTATTATTTACAGGTCCCAGAAAGAGAGGGAAGCACACCCCCGAGGACCAAGGGGAAAAGGCGATTAGTCCAGGACATGCATGCCCAACCAGTGGGTGGGAAGTGAATGAGAGTGAGCCAGAGATCTGTGTGCTGAAGTCTTTAATACAATCCATGGCATTACTTAGGTGGGTTTCCTGCGGAGAGTTCTGATGGTGAGTTTAGAGCAAGCGGGGATGAGTTCCATGGAGTCCACCGTGACTGAGAGGCAGTCACTGTGGCGTATCTGAGCAGTGGATGAGGTGTGTGGGGTCAATAGATTATATCTAGGCTTTTCCATAGGGAGATGGTCACCGGGAGTTGGTTGTATAAAGTAGATATCTGGATTGGACACATTAAGAAACTAGATGGAGGTGGAAAACTGTAAACAAGGGTGACTATGCCCTCATCCTGATATGAAAAAATTAAACATATTCAAAATGGATGCCAAGGCAACATAAAATTATAATTTGCTGTAAATCCTAATTACAGATAAATACACTGAGCCTCAGACAGGTTAACATCCAACAGCTAATATGTGCCAGAGCTGGATTTCAAATTCAGGTCTATCCAATCCATGTTTGCATTTTCATTGCACTTCAGTGGGCGGTTGAAGTAAATCCCTAATAAGGCACTTTCAAACCCCAAGATTCATATGACATATGCTGTATTCACAAATATCAGTGAGTCAACAGTAAAGCTGCTTTCATAGCAACCATTTAATTGTTTTTATTAACATTAGAAATATTTTTCTAATTAAATACTGGTATCAAATTAAAATAAGATATGGTAAAGTATAGGCTATAAAGAATGGTGGAACCATTAGTCTAAAAATAGTAACCTACATTTTTTTAAATACATAATGCCATAAGATTTCCTGTGAACCCATTGAGAAGCTACATTTTCTGTGTATTCAAAATCCTGCCACAAAAGTTGGTATTTTCCCATAAATGTGAATAGACTGATAAGGAGGAGTTATTTTCTGAGATATTTGCTGCAAAATCATGTAGACTGTAAATTTGTCTGAAGAATAGACCTGAATATTCTTTGTTAATGTTCTTCCTAGGTATGACATTCAGTTAAATAATTACCAGGGATTTGACTGCAAGGTACCAAAAAGAGACAGATGTGTATATGAAACACATGCTGAGTTTGCACTCAGATAACCTGAGTTCAAGTCCCAGCTCTAAGCCTCAATTACCTTTTTTCTATCTGTAAAGTGGGCATAACATTGCTGATTTCACAGTGTTGAATGTTTAGGGTTGAGAAGAAGTGCTGTGCTACCCATAGAGAAATATATCTTCATGGCTGAATGAAGTCCAGTTTATTCCTACGAAGATATTGACTCTATAGGAGGTTCTAACTGGGAAAGAAGTTTGGGTGTTTCATTCAGGTAAAACACAGAGTAGACAACTGAACAAAACAACATAAAATAACAGAAACAGTTTATTATTTAAAGGTCTCAGAAAGAGAGGGAAGCACAATGAAGTGTGTAGGGTCAATAAGTTATATCTAGCTTTTAGCCATTATCCTCAGCAAACTAACACAGGAACAGAAAACCAAACACCACGTGTTCTCACTTATAAGTGGGAGTTGAACAATGAGAACACATGGACACAGGGAGGGGAACAATACATACTGGGGCCTGTTGGGGGAGTGAGGGGAGTGGGTAGAGCATCAGGAAAAATAGCTAATGTATGCTGGGCTTAATACCTAGGTGATAGGTTGATAGCAAACCACCATGACACATGTTTACCTATGTAACAAAACTGCACATACTGCACATGTACCCTGGAACTTCAAGTAAAATACATTTTTTAAAAAGATAACGTAAAGAAAGAAATATGCCTTGTTATAAAACCAAGCCTTAAGGTATACTGCATTTGTCTAGAATAATTTCAATAGTTTCTAAATGTTCAATTTTCTATATACAGTGAATATAAGCTTGTATGTTTCCCATTACACATAATGTTGAATCTCCCTTACCTCAACAGTTAAGAATTGTCTATTTATGGCTTATGGAATTGCCTCTGTCCTAATCTTTCTTGGAAACTTTTTCTTTTGCTGCCCTACTAATCTTCTGTGCCCCATGCTGTTTCTACCTGATATCCGTTGAATTAAAATGGATGCATCTTTGTTCCAGGGTTGAAATTACCTTTAGGGAGCCCTCTTTTTTCTATCTGCATGTTCTTAAATGATACCTCCTACATTCATGGATTTGTATTGCTCTGATTCTCGCTGTTTCTAATTTGGTTCTGACTAGAATTTTAGATCCGCTGCAACTTTAAGAATGTGTGTTCTCTTTTAATATATGCTCTGTGAAGTGCCTACCTGTAAAGCCAGAAGTAGCAGCCTTTTCTAGTAGGGAAGGGACACCTGGGTTGTTTTGGATTTGGTTGTAAGTGAATAACTTTCAGCTGGTCACAGCCTGAGAAAGCCTTCCCTGCAGTGTAGATGTCAATGACTTTAGGACACGTACTGTGCTGTGCTGCACACATTTCTCTAGTATGCTGCAGCCTCGGATGTGTTGTTTAACTCTTTCGTGTCCAGTATATGAAGGCTATGAAAATATTTTAAAATCTTCAAAATTCTCCTTATGGAAATGTTTTGTATTATTACTATCATTGTCATTACCATTGTGAGCTCTTGTGCTTTTCCTATATCACAGAGCAGGCGACTGTCTAGAGGAAAGGCTCTTCCCTCTCAAGTTACTGCCTAATCTTGAAATTAGTGGTACAAATGTATTATATATTTATTATTTTGCACTCAGATTCATTTAATAAAATATTATCGAACAACTATTATGTGCTAGGCATTCATGTTCTGAAAGGTACAGTCATTGGTATTAATTATACTATGTACATTTACAAAATACATTTAAAGGGACCATGGGGTATTATCATTGTCCTTTAATGGATAAATACTAATGAGTGTGTAAATACCTTATAGGTAGTAATTCTCAAAATCGCGCCTAGACCAGCATCATCAGCATCACCTAGGAACTTCCTGGAAATACCCTGCTAAAACAGCCTCACTTGGGAACTTCCTGGAAATGCCTTTCTAAATCAGAAACTCTGGGGGTGGTTCCCAGCAATGTGTGTTTTAAAAAAACCCTCCAGGTGATTCTGACGATGCTAGAGTTTGGAACCCAGTGTTTTACAGGATGTCAGTTATAGAGACGGTGGCAACGGGGTGGAAGTGGGGAGGTAGGAGAGTTGAATTTTGATAATCTTAGGAGAAAATAAGAAAATGGTATGCATTTCCACTATGGAAGGAAAAGACTTGGCCGGAACAATTCAGTAAAGGGTTGTGTAAAGACTGAATTTTACCACTTAAATAGAGGGTGTCCAGATGAACAGAGATATGAACAGTGAAAAGAAAGAATTAAAAAGCTACTGAAAACTTACTTCAGGTATGTCATTATTATACTCAGGGATGATTGACTCAGTAGTGAACATTGTTGACATTTGAGCCCCAGTCTGTCCTTGCAGACAACATTGCAGTGTCTGTGCTTATGGATCCTTAGAGCAGCACACGTTCTATAAATACTTTGGTGTCATACCGTCTTTTATTCTGCTGTAACTGGCATATCTTTCCAATTGGCTTTGTTCCTGAAATTTCTTATGTTGATAACTTGTCTCACTGAAGGTGTCATCTGCAGTAATTCACGTACCACAACTATAAAAAGGATGGGATAACATAACCACCAAGGAGAACTTTAGCTTTGTTGATAGAATTACTCTTTGTAGGTCTTCTGAAAGACATTCTGGTTTACTCATGTATGTGGGAATGTGTGTTTTAGTGTAATATACATAACTATGTACATGTGAGTGTATTTTTCAAGTGATCTGCTTAGTGAGAAATAGGCAATATAAATTTTATTTCATTACCTATGATGAAAATCTTTGACTATAAAAGGTTTCTTTATTCAAGTTGCTAAGAATGTTCCTGCTTTTAGTCAGTTCACGGCACTTGCATTGTCAGCATATACTATATAGAATTTCTCCTGTGAAATTCTCATTAACTTATATTAGTGTCCAAGCCATTAAGTTTGGATTCAGACTATAAAGGGAAAATAAACCAACCCTTTGCTTCATTGCTGATGATGTGTGTCATCCAAATCTCCCCTTCCCAGTGGCAAAGGCCCTCATGGTCATTAATATACTCATTCTTCTTTAATTACTGATTGTAGGAGCTTCCAACTACACTTTCAGATTGTATTATGTCATGCTGCTATTAAATTAAAAACAAATCATTCCTCATTTAGTTAATGAATGCACCTTAGGGACTCTCAATAAATATTAATTAAATTGTATTTCATGTAGTTATGATTCTATTTGAATAACACAATCTGTTTCTAGATAGAACAAATGGTTAGGAATACTGGCAGGTATGTTTTATTTGGAAGAGTGTATAGTATGTGCTTAGCTATAGAAAAAACAGGGCAGTGTAGACACAGCAGTGGTCAAGGGAAGCATTATAAATCTCCAAATCACAAATATGAGTTTGGTCAAAAGATCGCAAACTTTATAAAGTTCCCGCAATTAGTCAGGGGCCATGGAAAATAAACTGTAATTAAAGTGAACATATTTTCTTCTTTCCCCCTACTCTTTCACTTTTCCTTCTTTCCTTGTACTTTTCCTTCATTCCTTGTATTTATTTATAATACACACACATCAGTTGTGAAAATGCAGTGTAGTGAGGAGTACTTTATAAAAATAGAGTGGTAAAAAGTTGAGCTCTGGTCTTTACTTGCTGGCTTTATATTTTCAGACAAGTTACTTTATACCTGGGATTTTAAGTTTTCCCTTCAGTAAAATTTCTGTGAAATTTACTTGTAGAAAGGCAGTGTTTTATCTGTCCATTTATCACTCAGTAACACTTATTGATTATCTACTATGTTGCAGAGACTGTGCTCTGTGCACTAGTGGATGCCTGTGATCCCCTGACATGTACAAGATACCTTGCTAGACTCAAAGAGGAAAATGTATTAGAAGAGAAAGGGGGATAATATTTAAGATTTTAAATATCCAAGTGCTCTGTAGGCACTCATTTAATTCTCACTACGATGTTGTGATGTGGGAATAATTATAAACCAATGTTAAAAGAGTAAGGAACTGAGGCTGAGCTCAAAGATTATTTAGTGAATTTTCCTAGGTAATAGAACACTGAGGTGGTAGACATGGACTATAAACCCAAAAACCTTACCATAGAGCTTGGGTTCTTAAAAATATTGCATCTTGGCCGGGCACAGTGGCTCACACCTGTAATCCCAGCACTTTGGGAGGCCGAGGCTGGTGGATCATGAGGTCAGGAGTTCTAGACCACCCTGGCCAATATGGTGAAACCCCATCTCTACTAAAAATACAAAAGTTAGCTGAGCATGGTGGTGCGCACCTGTATTCCCAGCTACTCAGGAGGCTGAGATAGGAGAATCACTTGAACCCAGGAAGCAGAGGGTCCAGTGAGCCAGAAATGCACCACTATAATCTAGCCTGGGTGACAGAGCAAGACTCCATCTCAAAAAAAAAAAAGCTTCTTTCACTCTAAATACATAATATGTAATATGCTGTATGTGTATATATTATACATATGTAATCATATACACATAATTGTACATAGGATAGGTAGCTATATTTATATCCCATTTTGTTCTAAGATTTTTTAAGACAATACAAACATAATATTTATATTCCACTTTGTTCTAATTTTTAAAGGTGATCATATATAAATAATTAATAGTTTCAGCCCGAGTATCTTCCAGTCCCCTAGGAAACACAAATAAAATATAATATTAGAGACATGTACGAAGTCCTATGAAAATGCTAAATAAGGTAAAATCAACTGCCTAGATAACCTAAACAAGCTGTGTCAGAGGAATAAATATTTGATCTATGTGTGGGAAAGCAATAGGCACTTACCAAGAACAGAAGGAGGTGAGGTGAGGGAACAGTATTCCAGGCAGAGTGTAACATGAGCAAGGACATGATTTTGGAGTTGCAGTATCATAGGATAAAATATTTATTGAGATGTAAGAATCCTGTGGATTAAAGAAGGAACAACATTGAGCTGGAGAGAAGTCTTCTAAGGTCAATGTAAGTGCCCAAGCAAAAAACCGTATTATCTCCGGTTCACAGATGAAGAAATTGGCATAAAGAGACATTACAATTCAATGTCTTGTCATTCATGAAAATCAACAAAGAAAACTTCACCTACATCTAAATCTGGTAGGCTTATAACTCTCTAAAATCATACCCAATTATGAAAAATCAAATTTATCAATGTGTGAGAGCAGTAGAGGGCACATCAAAGAAAGCCAGAAATGACAAGAGAGTAGTGAAAAGCTTATCAGTGAGAAAAGTCGTAAGAAAACAATACTCTTCAACTGGGAAGTTGTTGTGAAAGCATAAAAAGTAGAGAAGATTTTAGAATTGCTGACATTAATAACATTATAGTGAATCATTTAGAGATACTCAAACAACTCTGAGGATTAAGGGGAGATTAGATAGCATGTGTTTTAGTAGAATAAAGAGGTAAGTGATTGTAGAATAACATAGAAATTATCATTGAATGGCTAATACTCCTGTTCAGGTTGATCTGGAAGGTAAATGGAGTTAGGAGATCTAGGAGTTAACATACTCAGTAACAGAAATATGATGTATATGAAATCTAGTGAGGCATTTGACATTATTTCTCTTGTTTACCCTGCTCACAAAAGGAGATATTTTAGCTAGAAGATAGTGTGATGATATGAATAAGTGACTACATACCTGATTATATTCAAGAAGTGTTGCATAATTGGTTGATTCATTCTTGGTGTTACTTTGATTCAGCCATACTGGCTTTTTTGTTGTTCCTTGAATAGACCAAGAATAATTATGCCCCAAAGCTTTGCTGTTTTTCCTCACCTAGATATTGTAACACCTTTTTTTTTTTTTCACTTCATTTAAGTCTTTGCTCAAATATTACCTTAGGAAGGTCTTCCCTGATCACTTATTTAGAATACGCACACTTATGCTCAATTTGCATTACCATAGATTTTTATTTCTACACAGCACTAGACAGTATCTACCATTATGAAGTTATTTGTCTCTACCACAAATATCAGGACTTGTTTTTAATGTAATAACTTTGACTCTACACCTACTGGCATACAGTGTTTATTAAATATTTACTGAATCAAGGAATGTCTGATCATCATTGGGGTGGGATACCTTGCAGAATTGTGCAAAAATGTCCTGTTTTACTCAGTAATTATATAAAGACATAGATGGCTTTTCAAAATCATGGGAACTCCAGAGAAGATGGCAGAGGGATTAGATATGTTAGAAAAAGCTCTATGCATTTTTAACACAATGCTTGGAATATAGACATAATGATCAATTTCTCTTTACCATATGCTCTAAATAGGTTACTTGAATCAAACAGATGAATGACCAAAAGCTAGCAAAGAATCCCTAATGTGATGCACTACAGCATTGTGACTCAGAAAGATTTCAAATAAAATGATAAAATAGGCTACATTTAAGAAAGTGAAATGTAACAGGAAAACTGTGAAAACTACACTTGGATTTAACAAACAAAACTGCATTGAATTCAAGGGAGGTGATGGCACAATTAAAACTAATTCATAATGAAACAAATTCAGCCTAGTCAAGACTTGGAAATTGTAGTAAACCATAAACTGTATTATTATGTAACAAGGCTATTATAAAAATTGAGTCAATATTTGGCTTTGTAAACTAAAGCAGTGTTAAAGTGCTAGTAACTCCATTATATTGTGTGTTAAATATAGCACATCTGAAGTATACCCTTCAAATTATGCATTCATTCATTTGATTAGTAAATATATATGGAGTATCTACTATGTGTTAGGCATTGTTCTCAGTACTGAGGATGGGGTAAGCACATCTCCACACCTGATGTCTTTGTGATGGTATGTATTTTTGAACTAGAGGAAGGCTACTCCCCTCTCTGCACCTCAAGTTGATGGATTTATTGACAAAGCATTGGTGTGCATTTAGCAATAATAAATATGATGAGGAAAAAAGATGAAATCAGTAAAAATGAGAAGGTTTATCTGAAGTATTTGTATCTTAAGTATTTATGATTTTTGAGAGAGTAAAAAAATGTATGTTGCTTTGAAGTTGAGAACTAAAGCCTACAGATGAATTTAAACATTAAATAGGACTTATGTCTGCACAAGTCCAAATTAACTACCTCTTGACATCACTCTCCTCAAAGTATTAATCTCTCCATTTGTAAATTTCTTAAGCACAGAAGAGAATTTCACCTTCAAGAGTAGTTTAGGCATTCTTTATTAGAGTTTGGAACAGGCCATTTCCAATTCTAGATTTCTGTGAAAATGAATTACAATCTCTGAAGCAGATTCCAGAAGGACAACCGAAATGTGGTAAGTGGGTGGTGATCACAGTGTGTTTAGAAAAATAAATTTTACAGTCTGTGATCTCAGAGTTTAAAACATTCTGAATGACTTACAAGACCTCTGGTAGGACTGTGCTTGTTTTATGAAGCTGAGGGGAAGTGAAGCACAGTCCCAAAGTTGAAGATCATGGTAGGAAATTTGTGAGCAGACTATAGAAAAAAGAGAGGAGGGATTAGAATAGAGAGGAAAATTGTGACTCAGTTACTAAAGCCATTAAGCTTTGCCTTAAATGAAGGCAAGTAAAAAGGTGTTTGTATGACTAATGTGGAAATTTTAAAAAGCTGAAAGTTGTAGCAGAATATTCCAATCCCCTTTGTAAACTTACTTTTCTTTGTGGAAAGTGGGAGATGGTACAGTGGAAGTGGTGAATGTTTGTGGAAAAGGATGATATCAGGACGAACACAGGTTTCTTGGAAGTAAAGAAATGGGAAGACCTCTTGTGAAGAAGGTCAATGCCACAGGATGATTTTATTGAAATCAAGTAGAAATATCAAAGAAATATAAGATTAAAGATGGAAAAAAACTTTTAGAATATTAACTTGAGCTATGTAGCCAACAAATTATAGAAATTGCTAGAAGGAGAGATTTGTACCCAGGTGAGTAATTAGGGATAGTGGGACGATAGAAGCAGAGATCTAATGGCATGACTGGGGGCAACTATTAGGAAGGTATCTCTTAAAGGTTGATGTGGAAATGGCTAAGCAGGGTGATTTTTGCAATTTGAAGATAATTCCTCCTCAAATTTTATTGGTTATGCCAATGTTTATTTGAGAAAATATGTTTTTTGGGAAGTGGAAAATACATTCACTTCTTTGATCAGAGGAGATAACAGAAATAATGTCAGATTGTGATTGAGGCAGAAGTAAAGATTAACTGGTAAAAGAGGTAGAATGACTCCAAAAAATTAACTATACCTGTTAAGAAGACATATTAAGGCTGCCTGGGAAAGAGTAAAATTATGTCTTCAAAGTCAAGTTAATTGAGTAAAGGAACTTTACATATTGTAACTTGCCAATTGTGTGCACTGCTTTATCTTGAGATCCCTTGCACTGTGGCAGAACACAGACAGCAAAATATTGTGATGAAATGCACAGAATGTGGAGTCAGACTTCCTGGGTTTGAATCCAAGATCCATAACTTACTCACTACCATCTAACTTTGAGCAAGATATATAACATTTCTGTGACACAGTTTTTTTTTTCATTTATAAAGTTGATATAGTAAGATTCACTTCAGAAAGTTATTGTGAGGATTAAAATGAGTTGATAAATGGAAAATGGAAAAATATAAAAGTTTCTGATATATAATGAATGCACTGTATGGGATAGCTATTAAAATTCTAAATAGATGGCCAAGTGGACTGGTGCACCTTTTTATAAGATTATCCATTGTTGTTGAATCTTATTACTGTAGGTCTTATCAAGATGCAAGGAAAACAAATGCAGAACCTCTTGATTAAGGATTTCTCTGGGGTCTTTGTTTATCGTACCTATTTTCTTTAAGGCACAAGTAAGTGGAAGAGTTATCTTTCATTTCTTTGCTCTGATAAGATTGGCAGAATGAATAATAATTTTAAAAAGTAATTTATCTATATCCCTTTATGGAAATGTCTGTGTACTTTTTGTTATCAGAGATTTGGAGATGCTTGTTTTCTTACATTATTAATGTTCTCCATGGCATCTAAAATGCCCTTTTACTCTAATTTGATCATTCTCAGTATCAGTCCCCAGTAACTTAGGAATCCGTATTTCCATAAATGCAATCAAATCATCTTCTCCTTTAGAATTCACTGACCCTGGAGTCTAGCAATACACAATCAACTTCGGTTTTTTAACCACTCAATCTTGTTTAGCAAAACTTGATTAGATTCTATCATCCTACTCATTAAAGATTCCATCTGTTTAAAACTTCTTTTCTGTTTATAACAAAATTTCTTTCTCGATCTCTGCGTTCTTTATGGCTTACTCACTTTTTGAATTTTGTAATCCAAAAAGAGTATTTGTGACATGTTTTTATTTTCTTTTTGCTTTAAAAATATGACTTTTTAAAAGAAATTACATAATTTTTAATCTACAAATTAAGAATTCCAGAGAGGCTATCCCACTTGGCACAACAGAGGGCTGGACTAAAATGAAATATAAGGAATGCACAGCATCAAGGGAAAACAAACACAAAAGAACACAAGGGAATTTTTTAAGATGATGGATATGTGTAATACCTTGATTGTGGTGAAGGTGTTTTAATAAAAAAAAAAAATCCCAAAAGCAGAAGAATGGGAGGATTTTGACCATTGGTACCAAAAAATTAGTCAATGGATACTTCAAAATTTAAGTGAGACATTTGTCTGTAGGAAAGATGCTTAGAGGATGTATTGCATATAAGTTCTTAAAAGGATCCAAGATCAAGAACTGGGAAACAGGCTGAGCATGGTGGCTCACGCCTGTAATCCCAGCACTTTGGGAGGCCGAGGAGGGTGGATCATGAAGTCAGGAGTTTGAGACCAGCCTGACCAACATGGTGAAACGCTGTCTCTACTATAAATGCAAAAATTAGCCTGGTGTGGTGACGCTCACCTGTAATCCCAGCTACTCTGGAGGCTGGGGCAGGAGAATTGCTTCAACCCGGGAGCCGGAGGTTGCAGTGAGCTGAGATAGTGCCATTGCACTCCAGCCTGAGCGACAGAGTGAGACGCTGTCTCAAAAAAAAAAAAAAAAAACCAAAACTGGGAAACACAGTCAAGGTAGGCTAGTATAGTGAGATGAGTATGGGCTCTGTAAAGAAAATTTCTTGTTTTCAGACACCAATTCTACCATTTATCTCTTTGATAAAGTTACACAAAGTCTTTGAGTTGCAAATTATTATTATTATTATTATTATTATTATTATTATTATTATTATTTTGAGATGGAGTCTCACTCTGTCACCCAGGCTGGATTGCAGTGGCACGATCTCGGCTCACTGCAAGCTCCGCCTCCCGGGTTCACGCCATTCTCCTGCCTCAGCCTCCCGAGTAGCTGGGACTACAGGTGTCCGCCACCATGCCCAGCTAATTTTTTGTATTTTTAGTAGAGACGGGGTTTCACCATGTTAGCCAGGATGGTCTCGAGCTCCTGACCTCGTGATCCGCCTACCTCGGCCTCCCAAAGTGTTTTGCTATGAAATAGGAAGAACCCATTTACTACTGAATTTTGGATTAGATGATATGAAATTCTTAATTCATTGGTATATACTTTATTTTTTAGATTTTTTCACATTTTTCTGGCTCCTATATATATATCTTTGAATGTAATCTACTGCAACATATTTTAGAGAATCAGCTTTCAGCCACACTGCATTTGGTACTGCATTTTGGAAACATTTGCCATTTTTTTACCTAGAATGTTTCAACTGTCACATTGCTGACCTTGTCAGTCAATTCTGAGCTTACTCTCATTTACTCAGAGTGCTTTGCTGTGCAATGTATGGTGTCAACACATTTCCATTTTTCTCATAGTATATACTATTTTTTGAAGTTATTTTGCTCATTTATGTATATGTTTACTGTTTGTCTCTCTCACTAGGATGAAAGTTCATTGAGGGTTTAGCTGTCTTACCTCTGTCCTATAGATACTCAAATTCTATAGCAGTTTTTCTTTCAAAGTAGGTAGCAAATAATTATTTTTTAAACTAATGATTAACTTAGCAAATATGTGTACGTACATAAGGCAGTGCTTATTCAGGACTTAACTATTACTTGAGTAATAGAATAACCAGCTACCCAAGAAGAGTTGCAAGTAGCTTAAATAGTAAGGAAGAACTTATATTTCTTCCTTGAGGCTGTTTTAACTGGGTGACCCAAATTTGCAGCAGGAATTCTTTCTCTGTGAAATAGTATGCACTATGGTTGAGAGGGATGTGTTTGGATAAATAAATCAGTAAATTTATATTGATTACCAGTTATATACAAGCCATATAGAATATAAAGATGAACAAGAAATTGTAACTGTCTATTAACAGTTTACAATCTAGGAGAGAAACAAACATTAGACAATATCCAAAATTAAAGGTTTAAGAATATATATTAAATAATAATAAAACAGGTCATTTGTGCTTTTCCTTGATATTTTAATTATGATGAAGTCCAATTGCTTAACATGCAACAGTGACAGAGAGATGGACAATTATAGACTTCTTCAGGACTTATTGGCCACCCAAGAAAGTGGGCATTGAAAGAAATATTGGATTCTGATACCCAGCTGAAAAAATGCAGTCTGCTTTAGGGAGCAAATGGATTAGAGTATCCCCACTAGCTCACTAAAATCTCCTGACAAATTCTAGAGTTTTCTGTCTCATTAAACTAATATTAAAGTATTTTACTACAATATCTAGTGCCAAGTCAGCTTTTAATAAACATGGGTTAAATTAATTAATGAATGAAAATAAACAATCAGAAGCCTAGCTTTCCAGTATTATATTTTGGGATGTGGATCTCAAAATCAGAATGTTAAAAATAGGATAGTAACTCATGGATATATGCCATTATTATCACATTTCATACTCAAAGCTGAGGCACAAGATGATGAAGTGACTTGTCCAAGTTAGTTGCAGAGCTCCAAGTCCAGATATTTTGCATCACCATCTAACATTTTTTCTTATTATATAACATTGCTAAAAAAAAAAAAAAAGATTTCACTGATGAAGCAGCGTATCATATCATGTAGGCTAGAGGTTTCTAATATAAAGAACATAGAGCCCAGGTATTACAACTGAAGTGTGTGTGTGTGTGTGTGTGTGTATGTATGTGTTTTATCAACAGATACCATTGCATTCCACAGATTCTCAAGATAGCCTATGTTACATAGGAAGTATTACCAATGATTAAACTAGGCCTTGAAGAATTTGGAGAGGCAGAGGTAAAATGGGCATACTGGTAAGGTAGGAACGTTTATGGCTAGTTCAGGGAATATTGAGTTGTTTCAAATCTGACTTGAACATAGGATTCATTTAAGGTATAAATTGGAGAAAGAACAGGTAAATTAAAAACAGACTTTGTAAAATTTTGAACCTAGATGTTATTGACTGAGCCATGAGTATCAATTAAAGGATATAAGCAACTGTGGAAGATATTAATTTATTCTTCTTTTATTCTATTTTTTTCAATGCAGTATGCATATGAGGCCTCATAATGAAGTAACCATAAGAGAAGTGCATTCTATTTTAATCAGAAGGATAGAAGTAAGGGTTACAATGTAATTTTGGCAAAATAAACTAATTTTTCAAGACTGCAGCAACTACATTTATGGACTATAAAAAAGGAATTATATAATCTTTATATAAATGTTAAAAAATATTTATTTTAACTAATTAAAAATTCCTGTACTGTTTATTAAGAATCCCTTGTTCAATTAGTACATTCTTTTACTTTTAATAAAGTTATGTTGAAAATAATTGAATAATTTAATAGATGTAAGTTTTTATAGAACTAATATCCTTCAACATTTACTTAAAAATTGAGATTGGATCCTCTGGACAGAATAGGTAAACTGTGATGTATTTGATAATGTTGATGTTTTCTCATGGTGAATATAGCTTTCCCATTTTTTTATCTTATAAAATTCAATATATCTTGGGAAGAAGAATCCATGATATTATCAATAGTGTTACATCTTTCTCTACATTGCTCCTCTTTTTACAGATGGATTTAAGACAGTATAAAAACACCTGTGAAGTAAAGGTGTTCCACATTGAAGATGCATTTCAGAAGGTAATACAGGTGGTTCAACTTCTTGATTTTGCCTGGGACCAGCATTGCTATCAATGCACATTTAGGATAAAGTTGAAGGTTATACTTTTGCAGAAATGTTGATGAATTTTTACATCTTTCTGTACCTGGTCCCTTGGGCAGTTGTGAGATAATTGGACCCTAATCTATAATCTAAAATCATAAAGAGTATTCTTAAATATACTGATTTCCAGAGGGATAAGGAATACTATGATTATCAAGGGTCTGCATAAAACAGTTATATATATACACAAAATATATATGTACACACACACATACATACACACACGCACATATATTATACATATTAATATACAAATTTTTCTAAAACCATTTAGTTATTGTGTAAAGCTAATTTTAAAGAATCTCAATTAGGAATCAGCCCAAATAGAAAGAAAAACAATATTTCCTCTTCTCTGAAATATGGTAACCCAGATGATATGTGGAAGAATAAAAGAGTAATTACATTAAGTGAGGTAGAACAAATGGGGATGAGATCTGGAGCCTGACTTCAGGATCTAGAAGGATGTGAGGCCAAACACTGGTAAGGAACAGGAGATGGATTTTATTTTAGATAGAACAAAATTAAGATTATGGTGGCAAGCAATAGGTGCTAAACCTGGAAATAATTTGCATAAGATAATTAAGCAATAACTAAAGATAAATCCCAGAGCAGAAGAAACAGAGCAAGAAAAGAAACTCGATATTTGTAAATTAGAGTAGGCAAACCATTGGTATTCGAGTTAAATCATCCTGTGATTTACATAAAATATTTCTCTCTGGAGTTGGGATGGAAAATAGAGTCCAAAACCTAAAGGTATCAAAGTACTGTTTTGGTTATTAAGGCTTAAATTTGAAGAGGGACGGTAGAACTTCATTACCAGCCTAGGGTACACAGAACACTTACTCTTAGGAAGTGCAGTTGTCCCACTAGAACCTGAGATCAAAGTGAAATGTAACAGTATCATTATGAAAGAAAAATAAATTCACCCTAAATTTAAATACTTATATACCTCAAGCTAAGGATGTTGTTTCCTTAGCTAGGATGTTTTATTAGCTAGGATGCTCCTTTAGCTAGAGCCATGGGAATAGTGAATTCTGCAGATGAGAGTCAGATAATCTTAGTTGTGGGAAGAGAACAGCCAAGAGAGGCTGCCAGAAAGGGTGGGGATATGTAAGCCATTGCTCTGGGGTGCGCAAAGAAACAACAGACTCACTCTTTATTTATATTTTACTTTTTGAAGTTCTATATTTGAAATTTGTTTCAAAAATATACGTGATGTATTAGTAGTACAAACATAAAATCTATATATATATATATTTATGCAAACATGTATTTGTAGTGTAGGATCAAGTATTTTCTTATTGATATGGGTGGAAGATCACAAATTTGAATACACAGAAGTAATGGGAAAGGTTGATAGTATTTATGTTGGGAAGTCTTTAATTTACAGTTTGTACCAGTTGAGAGAACTTGGAAATTTGTTATTTCTCTGTAAATTAGTTTTCTTATCTGAAAAATAGGAATATCAAAAACTCCTCATAGTATAAATTACATGTGCACTTGTCACACAGTGGGCATTAAATTTATGATAATCATTGATATTTTAAATAATTAATACTTAAATCATCTTTTAAAATCAAGTTATTTGTTTTCTTTTACTGAGTGGAGTTTTTTATGTGATATTATGGCTATTAGCCATTTATCAGATGTCTAGTTTGGAATTTTTTTCCTATTCTATAGATTGTCTTTTCATTCTGTTGATTGTTTCCCAAAGCTTTTTAGTTTGAGGTAACTCCATTTGTCAATTTTTGGTTTTGTTGTCTGTGCTTTTGGGGTCTTATCCAAAATATTGTTGCCTAGACCAATACAGTGAAGCTTTTCCCCTATGTATTCTTCTAGCAGTTTCATAGTTTATGGTCTAATACTTAAGTCTTTAATCCATTTTTAGTTGATTTTTGTGTATGTTGTGAGAAAAGGGTGTAATTTCATTCTTCGGCATGTAGATATCCAGTTTTGCCAAGCCAATTTATCAAAGATACTGTCTTTCCCCATTTTGTTGAAGGAGTAATTACAAATGATTTATTGTATAGCATGGTGACTCTAGTTAATAAAATTATTGTATTCTTCAAAAATGCTGAGAGAGTAGTTGTTAAGTTTTCTTATTACAGAATTCATAACCATGTTAGGTAATGTTCATGTTAATTAGCTAGATGTAGTCAAACCACAATGGATGTATAGTTCTAAATATCACCTTATATATGATAAATACATGCAATGTTACCTGTCAGGTTTTTAAAATGTAAAATAAAATAATAAGAATATTTAAATCCTAGTTTAAAAACAGTATTATGAGAAAAATTATCAATATTCAGAATTGTATGCACTCTGAGGAAACAGATCATAATCTAATAAGTTCTACAACAGAGAGGATTTTTACAAAGTATTGTACGCAATTTTGTTAAAAATTATCTTTTACCATAAAATTCTCCTAAGCTTCAGGCTATTGAATCTACCTAAAATTTATTTTATGCAACTAATATAAAAGAGGGAGAAAATATATGCACAATAATGTTCAGTATTAGGTTAATTATTATAATGAAAATGTGAAGCAATTTAAGAAGTCATCAAAAGAGGCCAGTTCAAGTACTTTTGAAAACAAACACATGAGGCCGGTATGGTGGCTCATGCCTGTAGCCCCAGCACTTTGGGAGGCCGAGGTGGACAGACCACTTGAGGTTAGGAGTTCGGGACCAACCTGGCCAACATGGTGAAAACCTGTCTCTACTAAAAATTTCAAAAATTAGCTGGACGTGGTGGCGTGCACCTGTAACCCAGCTGCTCAGGAGGCTAAGGCAGGAGAATTGCTTGAACCCGGGAGGCGGAGGTTACAGTGAGCTGAGATCATGCCACTGCACTCCAGCCTGGGCAACAGCGCAAGACTCCATCTCAAAAAAAAAAAAAAAAAAAAAAAGAAAGAAAAAGAAAAAAGAAAACTAACATATGAAAAAAGTCTGTGTTCTAGTGTTAAGAAAAAAGCACTGTATTTGTATGCATGATTATGCCAGTAAAGTCTGCTATCTATCTATCTATCTATCTATCTATCTATCTATCTATCTATCTATCTATCTATCTATCTGTCTATCATCTGTCTGTATATATGTAAAAAGAGAATAAATGAAAATGGCAACAGTTATATTAGGGTGGTGGACATATAGTCAACTAATTTTCTTTATTGTTTCTCAAATATTTTACAACTTAATTATGGTATCTTTAAAGACATATTTTGAAAGTAAGATACAGGAGACATGTGCCAATTTTCTTTTCTTGGCTAGTGATTCTTTCTTTGGAAAATAACCTTATTCTACTCCATGTGATTCTGTGGACTTTTAAAATTATCAGATGATCTTTTTCTTTCACAGATGCCTAACATAATCTGGGTTGGCCAATCAAAATACTCCATCTCCCTGGAAATAATGAGTAACACTGGAGCAATCTAAGCTAAGAATAATCAGTATTCATTTAGGAATTTATGTGAGTTATGTTGCTAAGGTCACTCTCTTTGCAGCAGGTTGATCAGTTAATAGAATGAGTCTTGGGCCATCACTTTTACCATTAAGAGAGTAGCAATAAGTGACAGTGGGAAAGAAACAGACCCTTTATTATAAAACTTGAATTCACCCATATCTGAAGTTTTTAGCTCTAGAGTTTTTCCTTACTTGAGTTAGTAGATTTCCATGTTTCTTAAGTTTATTTTTGGTTTATCTTCAAGACACAACATTTTGAGTAGGAGATCAAAAAAAAATCAACTAATGAATTAAAAGTTCTCAACATTTGAAATTCCAAAGACTGGGTCTTTAGTACCTTGGTTTCACCTCAGAAATATGAATTATATCATATGAACAAAAAATAAAATGTTCTATTTCTTACACTGCTTAAAAGCAATGTTATTAATTAAGCTTATGTATTATTCTGAACTCAGTTATTTGTGTTTATGGAGAACATTAGTTACAATCTCTCTTCAGCACAACTACTAGTTTATTTTCATTTTCCAAGAATTACAAAATTTCCTGTTTTCTACTTCAACTTCTCTTGAGACAGAATGCAAAGAGAACACCATAATCATTGAAGCCAGCTGCTGTTAATCTATTTTAGGTGACAGATTCTGGGACATTGTGGCAAGAGTACATAAATGACACCTTTAGATAATCCTAGAAGAACAAATTGCAAAACTATCACATAACTTTATTGAGCCAAGCGAAAAGAAAAGAACAAGATCAAACAGAACAAAAATGTTCGGAAAAATGTGAACAAAAGAAAGGGATTTATGGAAGTTATTTTTACAATGTTTCCGTATGGATCCTGACACAGCAAAAAAGATGCTGGAGTGCATAACACCTTTTTCAAGCTTTGTTGGCAGGCACTTCTCACTTGGGGGGAGCTTTATTTTATTAAATGGCTGTCAGGAAAGAAAAGGGTCTGCATTATCACGTTTTTCAGGAAGGGTAATCTAGTGCAACAGCTGTTTGCCTTTGTATATTATTTGTAATTCTGTCTCTTCAAAGGTATATTTGGAGGCTTGATTTTGATTTACAGCATGTTATTGTAAATGTAAAATAGATAATTGGTAATGTGCACAAAGAAAGTCTAGATTTCATACAATAACCATGTTATTTAGAAGAATACATGGAATTTAGAATTGTAACACTTTTCTATAGTTCTTTTAAAATGCACTAAAAGTGAATACTGCTGAAAATTATTTTTGGATGTAAAGCTTATATTAGCGACTTTTCATAAACAATGCATGACTTTGAATTATGTGCTTCCTCTTTGATGAAATCTACAATGTAGATTGTATTATCTCTTTAAATGTCTTCCCTCTTCCCACCTGCCAAACCACTAGATTGTGAGCTCCTTGGGTGCAAGGATTATGGTTTATTTATTTTATTTATATTTGGAAACTAAGCATTTCACATCATATCTGACATGTATTATTTGATAACTATTTTCTGAATGACTGACAGTAAATGGAGAAAAATTTATTCTTTCAATGGTTGTCACTTGTTATCTGTGACAGATATTTTGTCTGCAGTTGCACATGATTTTATTTTAAATTCTGACTACTATATTTTCTGGTAGATAATATTAAAACAAACAAATAAACTGGAATTGGATTTAGACAAGCCGGAACTTGATTATATCCATATGCCTTTATGGAAGAATGGCTTAAAGAATGGCTCTATTTCATACCCATTTTCTCTAACTCATTCAGCGTTTCTTTAATTATATTCCACATAACTTTAAACCCAGGTTGTGCTAGATGACAAATGAACTCTATATCCAAGTACATTTGTAAATGTAAATGCTACTTGAGTTCTATATTGCCCTCCTGGAAATTCATATAGAAATCATAAAATAAATGCCTTGAGAATATTTACTTTGTTTTACTGCATATAGTTTAACATGTTAAAACCATTGCTTGCCATTTTTTTGTACATAGAAATCTTTTTTTCTTCTAAAGTCTATTACCATCCCATGTTAATTATGAAGAAAACATATCAGGTTATGATATCCAATATATTTTAAGGTTATACTGGCGTTTTTACACTTGAATTTGCTCTAGGTTTTTGCTCGTTCCAATTGCCCCAACAATCTATTATGTAAATACCAATGTTTTTTGTTTAGGCAAAAAAGTAAAGAGTTTTTTCACTTTCCTATATTCTACTGTATAAGATATACAGTATTCATCTTGAGCTGACTGGTCCTTTTTACTTCTCCAGTAGAAAACTCACTGAGCTAAGAGTTCCTATAAGGAAGCCAGTCTGAGCTTCAACATGGTCTGAATATAATCAAGAAAGCAAAAAGTTCTCCTTTTTTTGTTTTTGTTGTTTTGAGACAGAGTCCTGCTCTGTCGCCCAGGCTGGAGTGCAGTGGAATGATCTTGGCTCACTGCAACCTTTGCCTCCTGGGTTCAAGTGATTCTCCTGCCTCAGCCTCCTGGGTAGTTGGGGTTACAGGCACCCGCAACCACACCCGGCTAATTTTTGTATTTTTAGTAGAGACAGGTTTTCACCATGTTGGCTAGGCTGATCTCAAACTTCTGACCTCAAGTAATCCACACACCCACCTATGCCTCCCATTGTGCTGGGATTACAGGCATGAGCCACTGTGCCCAGCCCCATCTTTATAATTTCATCTTATGCTCTCTGGCAAAATTACCTAAAATATATTTGAAAAATATCAAAATTTTAATTATATTAGGTAGTCTCCCATGAGTTCTAAATCTGTTAGAATGGTTCTGGCATGTATCCAGTAAAGGTGTTGATATTTGTTGATTATTTAATGTGGCATCCATTATCCTTATTCATTTTTCCTTGATTTCATGGGTTCTCCTATATTTTTGGAATTTCTTTGTTTGGATAAAAATGAAGCACAATTTTGGCACTACTGCAAGTCATTTCATTATGAATTTCATAATGCTTTTTCTTGGCAGAAATGAGGAACAGAGGACCATTTAGAGTAGAGTAAGGTGCTTTAAGTGGGAAACTAATTGGCAGGTGGAATAGATATTTTATTTTGCCTTTGAGTGTACTGTCAGCAAAGAGCTATTGAGATCACAATATTTCCTACACATGTAGAGGCACATTTCAAAGAACACTGTGAGAACATTGAGTTTCTGTCTGGGAAGTGGTATCAATTCCCTCTCTTTTGTAACCCTTTTGTAACCCATGCTCACTGTTAGTGTTATCTGCTGCAAAATATTCTATAATGAGATTAGCAAAATTTTAGGGACAAAGCTTTGAACAGCTCTGTCAGCTAGTTAGAGAACTCTACTATAAAATTAGAAATCACAGCTCATTGAGTTAAAAAAAAAATAAGTCGGGTGAACTTGCATGCTTTCATAACTTCTAAACTTTGGTATTGGGTATGAAAATAAAACAAGATTAATTTTGCCACAGAGTATCCTAGTACTTGAGTCCCTTTATTAATATTTTTATTGATTTTGTACCAATTTTCTGAATTAAATTATCAGATTTTATTAGCCAATATACAGAACTTATTCTAAAATTATACAAAATTTTTCTAAGATTATACACAATTGTAATGATGTTATAACTCAACCCAACGACTCACTGATCTGCAATTGAATATTACATGCAGTTAGCATTCAGAACCATTATTGTCTCACTAGCTCAGTTTTAACATTCACTTGTTGGAAAAAGTGTTGGAAATATCATTTTTATTATTATTTCTTTTATTGTATTTCATGAGATTTAATTAAGAATACCAAATGAAATTTCATGGTATTTTGCTAAATATGCTCTTTGCATTCATAATGAAATCCAAGGAATATAAACTATCTATTTATAGTAGTTTCACATCCGATTCCTATTCCTTTTTCCTACTAACTTATCAGAAGTGTTCAAGTCTCACAGAAGTAAATAAAATGAGATTAATCTGAACTCTTTAAAGGTCTGCTCAAACAAACAAGAAATAATCTGACCAACCCTTGAAACTATTTTATTTATTTCCATTTTACTCTCTGGTCTTACTAAGTCTCATAATTGAAGGGCCTTTTCTACTTTTCCTTTACACAAAACTTTTATGGAGACATTTTAAAAAATTGAAATGGGGTCTTGCTCTGTCACCCATCTTAGAGTGCAGTGGCACAATCGTGTCTCACTGAAGCTTCTACCGTCTGTGCTCAAGCTGTCCACCCACCTCATCCTCCTGAATAGCTGGGACTACAGGTGCATGCCACCACACCTGTCTAATGTATTTTATTTTATTTTTTGTAGAGATGGGATGTCACTATGTTGCCCAGTCTGGTCTTGAAATTCTGGGCTCAGTGATCCTCCTTCCTTGGCCTCCCAAAATGCCAGGATTACAGGTATGAGCCAACATGCCCAGCCTGGAAACATTCTTTTCTTTTCCTTTTCAATTTTCCATTCTGAAAATAGTCTTAAGGCTTTAAGAAAATTACAACTGTAGAATATATCCTGTAATTCTTCAGTGGTTTGTACTTTCATTTCTTTATTTTAGTTTTGGTTTTAAAACTCCCCAGACAGTTCCAAAAATGTCAATCTTATTTAGTTTCCATGCTTTAATGATTACACAAGATCTTTATAAAGTTTGGTTTATTGACTCCACCGAGTGAAATAGTGTCTATGTTCCTGGGTGTTGATTTGGATATGTATGCCACTGCTAAATAAGAGCAATATTTAGAATTACTTCAATCCTCCAAAGACCTTAATTTTGACAATTTTTAAGACACCGGGGACTACTACAACTTGAAAGGGTACAGAGAACTGAATTGAGGGATCTCAAATCTACGTCTAGGCTCTAAGTAAAGAAATCAAAAGGTATGTGAAGACCACTACATTTTCACTGCCTCATATGCTTACTTTCCTAATGCAAAAAGTGGCTTTTTTTGTTTGTTTTTAAAAAGAACTTGAAACATGTGTCTTGAAAGACCTAGGCAACAAAGGAGGTCTCATCTGAGAACTTAAATGTCAGCTGCTATCTAGCAGTGATACCAAGAAAATAACAAAACCAAATCACTTGTTAGGGATGTATAAAACCTTAAGATAGTTGGAAGGATGCCAGCCTGATTCCAGCACATTAGTTAATGAGAAATAATGATGAGAAAATTTACTGGAAGCAATTGTTGAGTCAGTCACTCTGAGAAATAGATGGCGTTGTGCTGGGGATACTGTATTACCTGGAGACATACTTTCCAGGGTAGGACAATGTCAGGCTTACTGCTGAAAATCTCTCTATCAAAGCTTCTCAAAATCTATTGAAAATATCCCCTTTTAGGTGCTCCCACATCATCATCATTGGAGCAGCACTGTCATATTGACTATCACACTGTCATGTAAGTTACCTCTTTATATAACTTATCAAACAGTACTCTATGGTAAGGCATGAATTATGTCTGTTCTCTTCCCAATGTTTACCACAGTGTTGGATATATTAAGAAATCAGTAAACATTTTGCCTGTGCAGGAGTGAAGAAATGCAAGCACGATTGGTTATAATAGCTGAATAAGAGACATTGCCTTATTCATTTCTCCATCATTTCTTTAGCTATTCTTAAACATCATTCCAAAAAAGCCATTCAATGAAAAGTTTTCTGGGCTTCTGCCCCAGGAATTCTGTTTCAATAATTATGAGATAAAGCCTAGGAAGTTTGACTTAAAGAAATTTCAAGTTATGACCTGTTAAGTTAAATATTAATTGAATCAGCAGATAATAGATGAGGGTGACATCTTGAAACCTGTCCTTCCATATCCCTATATGCTTCTTGCAGCCATTTCTGCATTCCTGTCTGGGATTGTGGCCTCACTCCAGGCCCTCACTCTCTGACAAAGACAAGACATACGTCTCATTTTATTGATACCCATGAGCTTTGTTTCCACCACACCGTTCTCCCACAGGGAAATATCAGTTTAGTCTGGCAGAAAATAATTACTTGTGTCCTTCAGGCTGTTTTACATTCTACTCCAGACCTTCCTTACTTTTTAACAATGGAGCTATACCTGCTACTTTCCTGCAGAGGGGTGTGTGTGTGTGGTGTGTGTGTGTGTGTGTGTGTGTGTGTGTATTGGTGTTTGGGGAGAAGCTAAGAGTAGAAAATTCAGAAAGGAAAAATTAATGTCCCAAAATATTTGGACTGTGTGAAATGTGTACTTGATTAGGTTTATCTTTTTCAAGCTGGTTGCTAGAAAGCTTAAAATTATATTATGAATCACCTGCAAATAATAGTATTGATGAAATAATAACTGATAATTGTAGTATTAATATAATAATGAATAGCATTTATTAAGCTCTTACTTTGTTCACATTACATTCAAAGTATTCTATGTAAAATTCAATTGAGGCAATTGAGGCAATGAAAATTGCCTAAAACTGTCCTTGGGCCTGCAGCACAGCTTGACTTTTCCTCTGCCCTCTCCTACTTTCTCATTTGTCTTTATAATAGCACCATGAGGCAAATACTACCATTGTCTCCATTTTTATAAAATAGCATGTGCAGAACTTAAGCCATATAAATCCTGTATCCATTTAGTCATTCAAATATTAAAACCTGGTATGTCACATCCAATTATTTAGAAAAGAGAGAAAAATACAAATCAAGGGTAAAAAAGGAGACAAAATTACAATATAGAGATTAAAAACTATAATATTATGAATGATTATATTATCTTCATTGGACAACTAAGATAAAATTGTATATAAATTGCCAAAATTGGTCATGTATGTAAATGTAGACTCTAAAAGTATAAAACACCTAAATGTAAAGGTAATAAAATAAAACAAGAAAATAAAGCAACATTTTTGTGACTTTGAGGTAGAAAAAACTGCAAAATTACAATTAGTATAGTCAGACATTGATGAACTAGTCTATACTAAGATTAAATATTTCTAAAGATCATAAACCAACTGAAGAGATAGGTGACCAGTTGAGAAAAAATAATTGCAACATCTGAAAATGACAAGAGGTTAATTTCTAAGAAAAGAAAAGAAATAAAACTGGATAGAAAAGCGGCTAATAGAGGTGAACAGGCAACTCACAGAGGGGAACCCCCAAAGGCTAACAGCTGCATAGATATTAAATTCAATAGTGATAAAAGTAATAAAAATTGCCCTTTAGTCAATGGAAGAACTATAATCAGAAAGGCAGGTTATTACCTAACATCACTTAAGGTTGATGTGGTGAGGAGTTGGAACTCTCCTAGATGCCTCTGCAAATATAAATATTTGAGACCATCTGAAAGAAATCTAATAGTATTTGCCAAAATTAAAGCATATGCCCAGCAATTGTACTCCTGAGTAATATAGAATTGAAGGTAACTTTCATAACTGCAAATGCGGTAAACAGAGTGATTTGCCTAATAGATTTTCTTTCAATGAAATATTTATGGTACTAGGTACTGGGGATGCTGTCAGTGGACAGCCTTTAGTCTGAGCCCCTTCAGGGCACTCCAAGAGAAGTTTCGGCTGAAAAGAAGCTACTAGCCCAAGCCCTTCTATGACATCCCACATCCAATGGCTGATACAGATAGATGAAGCTCTGGTGATCTCTGTCTAGTTCAGAAAATGTCTGAAGGCCATTGTAGCTCTAGCGTTTCCCACGGAGTTGCTAAGACTGTGATTGGGTCTGCATCGCAGCTTGATTTTCCCTCTGCTGCCCCCCACTTCCTTCCTCTCATTCTATAATAAGCCACTAGCATGCTAAACTCCATGTTAGAGCATACTTCAGGGAAACCCAAGCTATCTAAGAAAGCTAGTGCTAAAGAGGAAGTTCTGAAGCTGGATCACCTACCACCAAGCTGTCAATGAGGATTTCATCATTGAAGTAGGTGGAGCTGTTAATCTTAGCACCAGGTAGCAAATTGGAATGTTATACTGGTGGAAGTAGATGTATTCGCTTGTATGATATAGCTATCGTATTTGAGAAATCATGAGTAATTAGAAATGTAAAGAAAAGGGCAAGTAAATGAACATTGCTAAGCTCTACTCATGTTATGAAAAAAAAAAAGATAACAAAAGGTTGACCCACTTGCATAAGTTTTACTTCCAATCCTTTCACTCGTGGGCACTGCTAGTTTAGAAAACTTCATTTCTAAAGTAGGGGATACTTCTGTCGGGCATAAGAGACCCATTGCATTATAAGTTGTAACTGCTGCTTAAGAACTACAGGCTCTTTGTACTAAGGCACCAGAAGGGAAAAAGGGAAAGAGGAGTCAATATCCAGTTTGGGATAACTGATTTTTATTTATTTAGTTAGTTATTTATTTATTTTTGAGACAGAGTCTCACTCTTTTGCCCAGGCTGGAGTGCAGTGGTGCAATCTGGGCTCACTGCAACCTCCACATCCTGGGTTCAAGTGATTCTCCTGCCTCAGCCTCCCAAGTAGCTGGGATTACAGGTGCCCGCCACCACTCCCTGCTAATTTTTTGTACTTTCAGTAGAGACGGGGTTTCACCATGTTGGCCAGGCTAATTTGGAACTCCTGACCTCAGGTGATCCACCTGCCTCGGTCTCCCAAAGTGCTGGGATTACAGCCGTGCCCAGCCGGGATAAATGATCTTAAGTAGAAAGAGATAAGGCTCCAGTTAAACAAAACGGAGGAATATGTTCATCAGCCAGATAATTCATTATCTTTTGAGAATAAATGGACAAGCTCATCAACCCTAGCCTGTGAAGGGCCTGATGATTAGAGGACTATAATCCTCAGACATGAGAGTCTGTGTCATAACATTTATATGTAAGCTAGCAAGATAGTAGATGTGCTTGATGAGTTCATGAAGAAGACAGTGAGACCTACTACAGCTGTAGGGACACTACCTCTTTTTTTTTCTATGATACTCTTAGGAAAAAATACAAAAACTTGGAGGAGCTACTTCCAGAAATGTCTTTGAAGAAGCAAATCCACATAACTAAAAGGATGAACTGTACTGGACACTGTGATATGACACCCAATCTTTCTCAAGGAAGGACTTGAATCCACTGTTGGGAGTGCTCTCTGCCAACAGCCATCAGGTGTCAGCCTCTTCAGAGATTTCCAGTTCACACCCCTTCCTGGGACGGCCCACCTTTAATGAATTATAGATATGAAAGTATCAAACTCTGATCATGTTGTCTCAAGGAAAGATGTTTTACCTCAATATAGGAGAGACTTGAACATGTTTAAATATTCATAAAAGAAGCCAGTAGATGTGGAAATTTCTTCAAAAAAAAAAAAAAAAGCAAGAGAAAGCAAGGGGCTGTGAATTCAGAACATAGGTAACATTATGAAAAAGGGTCATGTCTGACTAATACTATATAAGAACTCAAACATACTATTTTCTTAAATAGTATTACCAGCGCCAGGTGCAGTGGCTCACACCTGTAATCCCGGCACTTCCAGAGGCCAAGACGGGAGCAGTGCTTGAGGCCAGGAGTTGGAGGCAGCAGTGAGCTGTGATTGCACCACTGCACTTCAGCCTGGGCAACAGAGTGAGACTCTCTCTAAAGGAAAAAAGAAAGAAAGAAAGAAAAAAAAACATTACCATTATCTTTATTAAATTTCTAAAATCGGATCTGCAGTCTGCAATATGTTATAATGATTACATTTGAATCCTTTTATGTTGTCTTTATTTGAATTTTCTACACATCATAGCAATTTGATATTGTCATTACATTGTCAATATGATAAGTATTACCCTGAAATTCAAGTATTTGCAACATAATACATAACTGAAACTGTGCTTGTGTTTTTCTTTTAAAAAAATTTTTTCCCTGTGAATTTTGACTGAATTGGGCCATGATTGCTGGCAAAAACGTTGCATTGGGCTTCATACCAAATACTGTGTCTTTATGTAGAAATAAAACAAAACTTTTTATATCTGGATCACTGGGGAATGAGGCTGATTTGGATATATGGGAATCCTGAATGCCTGGCTCTCTTCTCAGCCATGTGGCCACTTGTTCTCCTCCCTTCTGGTTAGCCTCGTCTCTGCTTTGGGAACTGATCCCACCACTGTTTCATGCCAGTTCCTCCTTGGATCCAGCTGGCCCTAACTCTGCTGCTGGCTCTGGCTGTTCAATGCTTTCATGCCAGACCAAGTATTCTCTTTCCAACATGCCTGGCCCCATCTTTGTTTCTGATTTCAGGCCAGACTCAAATTCATGCAGATAGACTGGAAATTTGGGTGTGGATTAATGGGGTGGGCATAGATACTTAGGGGTTAACCTATAATCTGTCAACTTTTGTAACACATTGATCATCAAACAGAGAATATTCTATGAAATAGAAATTCTTTCTTGTCATTCTTCTCTCTTCACTATACTTCCATTTCCCACTGCCTGGAAAATCTGGGTGGGAGTAGTCCTGGGCATTTTTTGAACTAGTCTGATGCCATATAACATCCCCACCACTCTAACATATTTTGTTGAAATTTAAATTTATCACAATGTGTCAGTCACTAGCCATTTTTGAGAGTAGCTACAGTAAACTGAGAGTTCTCTGAATCCTAAGGCATTCCCAAGCCAAGTAAGAATGTTGATAAGCAATGCAGAAGGAGTCTCTATATCATCTGTTCTTTGGGGAGTCTTAGTCTCTAACATCCAGCAGATAATTAGGCAACTTGTTTGAAATATAAAGCAAAGTAGCAACTGCAATAACTCCCAAATGCACCTCTTTTTATTCTGCCAGTATTGCAAGTATTTAATAAAAATAAGTTTAGAGATAACTAGGGAAGTACTTTAACAGAATATAATGACCATGCTAATGTAGTTGTTATTTTAGTTTAGTATTTACATATATAAATATGTTCTTCCTCTTTATTACATAGATCTAACTTAAGAAACATAATGCATATGTAAATTAAATCAAATTATTCTATTTAAAGATTACCATAATGATTTATAAAAGCAGTTGTTTCAGATCCTATGGAGACTAAAATAGGTTAAATGTAGCTGAATATAACACTTTGTGAAATGAGACTATTTTTCGCCTTCCTTAAAGCCAGGTTAAAAAAAAAAAGGCCAGAATTTTTACCATCTGTTTCTAAATTGCACAGATGGTTGCAAATTTAAGTCTGTTGTAAAAGTACATTGCTTACTGTGCTGTTCACAGTGTTCTTTGATAAGTGTCAAATAAATCAATTGACAGTTAATAGTAGCACTAACTTCAGCTACCTAGAAGTCGTATTGGAACCCACTGGCCCATGAAATATTTTTTTTTTCTGAGATAACTCCCTAATATTTCTTTCTCAGCTAGTGTTTTTTTTTCTAGATCAATTCAGATATTTTTCTAGATTTCCTAGAAAATTTGGAGTCAAATTTCCATGTCCCATACTCAAATTAAGTGTGTGCACTATGAAAATGGTGATAGCATATGATTGAATAGTGTGACATGGAATTTAAATATATTTGAGTAACTACAATTGTTTGCTATGAGAAATAATACTTTTAATAATTGTTATGAAATTAAAAATATGAATTAGTCTATCCCAATTTGGCAATACACAGCTTTTTTCGTGAGTCTGTTGGTTTGGTTTTGTTTGGCAGTGGTAGTTGGAGGAGAAAATTACCTGTCCTGCAACTAGGTTGTAAAGAAAAATGTCAGAAACCAAATTCTTGCCGCCCCCCTTCTCTCTCTCTGTTTCTCTTGTCCTTGGAAACCTTGGAAAACACTTTATCTCAAAGTTTTACCTGAGGAAAATTTAACAGCATTCCAGTTTGGGGCTTAGTTTAACTTCTGTTTGAATCAGGAGACCTTGGATTTTTAAAAATAGTCAGAGGACATGTAATCATTTATGCTTTAAGTATATAGATCGCTGTCCCTAAATATAGAGGCTATTGGGCTTAACAGTCTCTTACATTCATTCATGCAAAGAGTAGTCTTCTGATCGTTTATCCAGACCATATTTCTTGAATATTACTCATTATTTCACCAATAACACAATTTGAATATATTAATGAACAGACATTAATTTTATCCATAAAAATCTATTTCTAACATTCATTTCGATTATAGCAGAGCCTCTGGCAGGAGTAGCCAGTTGGGAGAGTTTCCTTTCTCGTTCTAATGCTGCTTCACTACCCCTGGAGTGTAATTCTGATTAAAGTAACTCACTGCAGCAGGAGTGTAACAGAAACCACACATATATACAGCCCAGGCTCTGGTGAGCTCCAGGCATAGCTAGAGGAGTTTATTTCTGTTTGGGTTTGAGGGTGGGAATAGGAATACCCTCAAATTATCCTTTATTGGAATCTTTTTCTTTTTCTTTTTTTTTTTTTTTTTTTTTGAGACGGAGTCTTGCTCTGTGGCCCAGTCTGGAGTGCAGTGGTGGGATCTCTGCTCACTGCAAGCTCCGCCTCCTGGGTTCACGCCATTATCCTGCCTCAGCCTCCCGAGTAGCTGGGACTACGGGCGCCCGCCACCACGCTTGGCTAATTTTTTGTATTTTTAGTAGAGACGGGGTTTCACCGTGTTAGCCAGGATGGTCTTGTTCTCCTGACCTCGTGATCCACCCACCTCGGCCTCCCAAAGTGCTGGGATTACAGGTGTGAGCCACCACGCCCGGCCTACTGGAATCTTAATTTTCCTCAATTTCTCTTTTATTTCTCCTTGCTTGTATAAAAAATGATGGAAAATTGAATTATTTATTTATTCATTCATTTATTTTTCTTATATTTTTTTATTATACTTTAAGTTCTAGGGTATATGTGGACAACGTGTAGGTTTGTTACATACGTATACATGCATTCTCAATTTTTTAATTTTTTCAGGTACATAGTAGGTATATGTATTTATAGGGTACATGAGATGTTTTGATACAGGCCAGGCATGCAATGCATGATAATAATAATTACATCATGAAAAATGGAGTATCTATTCCCTCAAGCATTTATCCTTTGTGTTACACACAATCCAATTATACTCTTTTAGTTATTTTAGAATGTACACTTAAAATATTATTGACTATAGTAACCCTGTTGTGCTATCAAATACCAGGTCTTATTCATTCTTACTAATTTTTTTTCGTAGCCATTAACCATCCCCATCTCTCCCCCAACCTCCTCACTACCCTTCCCAACATCTGGTAACCTTCCTTCTGCTCTGTATCTCCATGCGTTCATTTTGTTTTATTTTTACATCTCACAAATAAAGGAGAACTTCTAATGTTTGTCTTTCTGTGCCTGCCTCATTTCACGTAACATAGTGACCTCTAGTTTCATCCAAGTTGTTGCAAATGACAGGATTGCATTCTTTTTTTATGGTTGAATAGTACTCTATTGTGTGTAAATATCATTCATTTCCTTTACCCAATAACTTTTATTTTGAGTTCAGTTGTACATGTGCAGGTTTGTTGCATAGGTAAACTTGGGTCATGGAGGTTTGTTGTACAGATTGTTTCATCAATCAGGTATTAATTCTAGTACCCATTAGTTATTTTTCCTGATCCTTTCCCTCCTCCTACAGTCCGCACTAAACTAAAGGGCTCCTACACAGCAAAAGAAACTATCAAAAGAGTAAACAGAAAACCTACAGAATGGGAGAAAGTTTTTGCAAACTATGCGTCCTACAAAGGTCTAATATCCAGCTTCTATAAGGAGCTCAAACAAATTTACAAGAGATAAAACAATCCTATTAAAAAGTGGGCAAAGGACATGAGCAGACACTTCAAAGAAGGCATACATGCAGCCAACAATCATATTTAAAAAAAAGCTCAACATCACTGATCATTAGAAAAATGCAAATCAAAACCACAATGAGATACTATCTCATACCAATCAGAATGGCGATTATTAAAAAGTCAAAAAAAAAAAAAACATGCTGGCAAGTTTGTGGAGAAAAAAGAACGCTTATACACTGTTGCTGGGAGTGTAAACTAATTCAACCATTGTGGAAGACAGTGTGGCGGTTCCTCAAAGACCTAAAGACAGAAATACTCTTTAACCTGGCAATCCTATTACTGGGTATATACCCAAAAGAATATAAATCATTCTAACACATGAATGTGTATGTTCATTGCAAATAGCAAAGACAGGATCAACCTAAATGCCCATCAATGATAGATAGACTGGATAAAGAAAATGTGGTACATATATACCATCAAATAATTTGCAGTCATAAAAAATAATGAGATCATGTCTTTTGCAGGGGCATGGATGGAACTGGAGGTCCTTAACCTTATCAAAGTAACACAGGAACAGAAAACCAAACACCCCATGTTCTCACTTATAAGTGGGGTTAAATGATGAGAACACACGGACACATAGAATAATTGGAAATTTTCAACTAACCCTTGCAAACTTTTAGCCCCCAAATTGGTCCATTCCTCTTCCTAATTCCAAAACAATTAATAGCAGTATAAGTGTTGATATCCCACAACATACCTTATGAATAAAACATCTTCTGTTTCCCCATGCCTTCTGAGAATTTGAACAGGGAACAGTTCTTGAAATAAAAGTGAACTTTAATCTTCCTCTATCTGTGTCATAAAATCCTGAATCATCTTGCTCCTCATTAGAACACACATCATTATTTCATCTTTGTGAAATTATTAATAAATGATTGAGATAATGGGTGTTTAATTTATTTATCTCTTTTCCTATTGCTGAACATTTTCTGGATTTTTAGTGACCACTGGACAAATTACTATATTCAAGTATAAAGAAACAGATATGCTGCTTTTGAATACTTTATAATTTATTCATTAATGAAGACTTACATAGTGCTTACTACATGTTGATGACTGTTCTAAGATTCTTACAATTAGTAACCAACGTAATTCTGATAATCATCCTATGAGATAGATATTATTTTTATTTCAAATATGAGTAAACTGAGGCAGAGATTAAACTAAGGATTTTGGTCAAGACTACACAGCTAGTAAGCAGCAGAGCTGCAGTTCAAAGCAGAATAATATGATTTCAGTGAATGCGCTCTTCATGAATATATTATATTACTTCTACCACATCCAATTGGGCATAAACAGCAAGATTGGAGTGCTGTTGAAAATAAACTTATTTTTAAAAAATTAACCATTCAGTCAGTTACAGGTTACATTTTTAAAGGCTTTTTTCTTATGAAAATGAAAGTTAAATAGAAATGGACCTTACAGTCCATTTTGCAGAATCTAATCAAATCTTATTTTTCAAGGATCAAAGACAATTTCTTCTCTAAGTGATCACTAAAAAATGCATGCACATTGCAATTTGTACTGAAGTACTGGGAAAGCTAAGATAATCGAAGTTTACTTAAGAATAAATGAAGTGACTTCTGTAGAGAACAAAGTTGTGGAGTTTTAAATGGACCTAAACAAAGGTATTTTTTTAAAATCTTCAGAACTAAATAGGCCTGGGTATTTTTTCATGATTTAAGGCCAAAGAGTGATTGGTAATAAGGGCCGATATTTGGATAATTCCCAAATCAGGCCAGTGAACGCTTGGGACATAGAACTCCACTGAATTTGATTACAAAATCAAAAAACATTTCTATAAATATGTTTATGTATTTTTATATGTGTGTGTATGAAAATTTTAAAACAAATAAATGTGGCCATAATATGCATATTATTTTGTAACCTGATGTTTACCAGATCATCTCTCTCATTAATACTTCTTCAAAAACATAATTTTGATGCCTTGGTGGTGATCATTTCCGATACATCGTTGTTTATCAACAAAACCTCTTGTTAGGTATTATTTCATAACTTTCCATTATTCATAATATGGCAATGACTATCATAATAGCTAAATTTTTTTTATAATTTTTTAATCTTTAAGATAATTTGCTATATCTGTTTTTTAAGAAATTCTGTTGCTGGTTGGTAGGGATGGCTAAACTGATCTTTAAAAAATTATTTATTTATTTATTTATTTATTTTTGAGATGAGCCTGGATCTGTCACCCAGGCTGGAGTTCAGTGGTGTGATCTCTGCTCATCATAACTTCCACCTCCTGGGTTCAAGTGATTCTCCTGCCTCAGGCAACTTACAGGATACCAACACTCATACTGCTATTAATTGATTTGGGATTAGGAAGATGAATGGACAAATTTGGGGCCTAAAATTTTGCAAGAGTCAGTTGAAACTTTTCAATTCTTCTGTATATCCATGTGTTCTCATTATCTAGCTTCCACTTATAAGTGAGGACATGTGGTATTTAGTTTTCTGTTCCTATGTTTATTTGATAAGGATAATGACCTCCAGTCAGTACTCCTGAATAGCTGGGATTACAGGTGCCTGCCACCACGCCCAGCTAATTTTTGTATTTTTTTTTTTTTTTTTTAGTCCAACTGGGGTTTCACCATGTTGGCCAGGTTGATCTTGAACTCCTGGCCTCAAGTGATCCACCCACCTTGATCTTCCAAAATGCTGGGATTACAGGCATGAGCCACCACGCCCAGCCTTAAAAGATTTTATTGATTTACATTATTTCCAGCTGAGTATGTGAATGTCCATTTCTTCAAATTATTGAAATTTCAATAAACCTGTGCCAATTCTGGGTATTAGTGTTCTTTTTACATCTTTGATAATTGTACAAAGGAAAAATGATATCTCAGCAATAATTTATTTTTTGTATCTATATACCAGTGACATTTTGCATTGTTATTTATTCTTATGAGCCAATTGTTTTTCCTCTTTGGTGGTTTATCTGCTTTTTTAACCCAACACAACTCTTTTTTTCTATTAGTTTAGTGAATACATTTTTTTCTCTGACTGCAAAGAACTCATTTTATATTAAGGGCATAAAATCTTTGGAATGTTTTGCAATGTTTTTTTGAATGCCTCTAGTTATTTTTGGTGCTTTTCTGATTTAATAGGCAGTACAAACGAAAACCCCTGGGATAGATGTGTAGTAGAGTTCAGAATTTTTCTGACTTTAAAAGACAGTACTATGTGTATACCACATATTTTTAAACACACTGCTGAGGTCTGGGGAAACATCCTATAATCTAACATTGAGGTTTCTTCAGAAAAAATAACTGAAATTTGCAGTATGTGGGAGAATAACCTTATATTAGTTCGGGACAGCATTTGTTGCCTCAGTTTAAGAGAATTCAGGTTTTGCTGCCAGATGAGTTGTAAAAAAAACTCATTTTTAGAAATTTTTGAATTATAGAATTCTGTCCTAGGGGTTAAATATAAAAAGTCTTCTGTACTGTGTTCATGTGAATAGCCTCCTATGTTTTTATTTTATTGCTTTGTAGTTTCCTTTTGTCCATTTTTATTGCTTGTCATGGTTTCAAGTTGTACAATGGTTTATTACTCATAATTTATTGTAGTCTGTTGTGTGAAACAGCTCTAGTTTTATTTTTGTCACAACTTCATTTATTTTTGCTGTATTTTAACTGATTTGAAATGGTTCTTTTATTATGTATAATCATATATAATTAGATCATGTATAAATCATAGATAATTATATTTTATGTCAAATATTTTATTATATATTGTATATGTAATGATATAATACATATATATCTACATATATACCTATGGGTTTCCATTTTTTTTTCCATTGCTTTGTCAGTCTGTTTCTGACACAGTAGCAGAATATGTTAATTATTTGTTTTCTTTCTTTTTTTCTTCCTCCTTTCCTCTTGTTTTCTTTCCGTCTTTTTTCTTTTTTCTTCAAAAGAGCATAGTTTTTCTTTTTTTTGACAGAGATAACTTTGGAGGCAGAGAAAGTTGAATTTAAAAGCAGCACTAATTATAGCTGGATAATATCAGAAAATAACAAAAACTTAAACTGTCTTAGTCTTAATTGCATCATCTGTAAAATACCTGCCTCATAGGGTTGTCTTTGACTAAGAAGTATTGCTATATAATTACTGTTTTGTCCAGAGTAATTATAAAATTTTTTAAAAACCCACAGGTATTTACACCAAGTATGTGGAATAATTTAAGAGAAGCTAATATTTTACAACTGTTTTTTCACCAAGCAATACATTGTATCCCTTCATTTGTTTAAAAAATACATATATAGCTCAAGGAAAAGTTTATCAGCTTTTTATATTGGTTTTGCACATTTCTAATTCAATCAGCACATAGACACTTTTTGCTTGCTATTACAAATAAGTTGAATGTATAGTTTTATGTGAAACTCTTCAATTAGATATAGAATTATATATTTTAAATATTTTAAATAGTTTAAAATGTGTTTCTGGGATGAAGTTACACTTTTTCAGGAATATACTTTCAGACTCATAGATGTCATGTAGAGTTCTGAGCAAATGTTATGTAGATCCTCTGAAATTGTGGATATCACTCATTTTCCTCAGTAGCCATTTTCATTGGCTCAAGAATTCTCAATAAGTTGTCTCACTATTCCATCAACTTTTATATTCTCAGGAGAGACTTAGCATACAAATACGTATTAATTTCCTTTAGTTAAAGTAACTATTCTGTGAACCAAGGAACAGGAGTGTTCAAAAGAAAAAAAAATGACATTTTGATATAATGAAAATTTCTATTTTTGAATGAATATCAACATTTTATTTTGATAGACTTATTTATAAGGTCTCCAAATATAACAAAAACTCTCATTACAAATATACATATTATAATAATGATACACTAAATTGACTGTGAAGCTGTTATTTCGACTGTCTTTTCTTATATGCAGATAAAATTATAGAATAAACATACCTGGCTGGGCGCGGTGGCTCACCCCTGTAAAATCCCAGCACTTTGGGAGGCCAAGGCGGGCGAATCACGAGGTCAGAAGTTCGAAACCAGCCTGGCCAACATAGTGAAACCCCATCTCTACTAAAAATACAAAAAAATTGCCGGGTGTGGTGGCAGATGCCTGTAATACTAGCTACTCAGGAGGCTGAGGCAGGAGAATCACTTGAACCCCGGAGGCGGAGGTTGCAGTGAGCTGAGATCGCGCCACTGCACTCCAGCCTAGGTGACAGTGTGAGACTCCATCTCAAAAAAAAAAAAAAGAATAAACATACCTTAAAATGAAATAAATTAAAAATTAAAATAAGTCACTGAGATGCAAAAGAACAACAGTCTTGCTACCCCTAATGTTTTTCTGTAAGCGTTTATTAGATATTAGCCTAAAACATGTTTTCCTCCTGTGTGCCCTGAGATTGGTTGATTTATTATTACAAAGTATGTCTGACAGGGTTGCCAAAGTGTATGCAGAGCTATATGTCATAAAAAATTTGTATCATGATGTTAAAAGTCATTTGAGAATCCCATTAAATGAAATAACTTCAATCATCCACAATAACTTTGAATTAATTATTGATAAATCTAATCAGTAGTCTGAAATTGCTCACATTTAATATTAATCAGAAAAGCAGATGAGTTCCTAGCATGGTGACAAATTCTTTGTTCCTCCAAGTATCTTTATAGTGTTATTATTCACATGCTCCTGAGTTTGGGAAAATTTTATCTGTGCTAAAACAGGGAAGATTAGATCCTTCAAAGAAATGGCTTCATTGGCTTAGGTTCTACTCTTAAAATTGGTGTATCTAATATTAAATTAACTCACTTAAAATGATGTAACTTCAGTGTTTTTGTTTCTTTGTTTTAATGTAGTTATATTATTATATATAATTTTGTGTTTATGTTTTAATATTCACCTACAACTATACTCAGTAGTCACATACTACAAAAATTATCTTAATATATTGATACATTTTATATGAATTGTGAAGTAATTTCAAAAAGCAGAAAGAGGCCGGGCGCGGTGGCTCACGCCTGTAATCCCAGCACTTTGGGAGGCCGAGGCGGGCGGATCACGAGGTCAGGAGATCGAGACCATGCCGGCTAAAACGGTGAAACCCCGTCTCTACTAAAAATACAAAAAATTAGCCGGGCGTAGTGGCGGGCGCCTGTAGTCCCAGCTACTTGGGAGGCTGAGGCAGGAGAATGGCGTGAACCCGGGAGGCGGAGCTTGCAGTGAGCCGAGATCCCGCCACTGCACTCCAGCCTGGGCGACAGAGCGAGACTCCGTCTCAAAAAAAAAAAAAAAAAAAAAAAAAAAAAAGCAGAAAGAGAGGAAAATAATATTTCAAAAAAACTTTTTCTAATTCTCCTGAATTATATTCTCCTGAATTATATTCTCCACCCTTCCAATCAGAGTTAATCATCATTTTAAATTTGAATTAGCATTTACAAATTTCATTTTTTCCTATGCACTTTATTATATATGTATACAAATTAATGCAATGTATAGTAGTATTTTTCATGTGGTAATATATACTGAAATATACAATTATGATTATTCCTGGAGCTTTGTATAATTTATTTTCATAGCTGTAGAATGCCCTAATATGCATATACTAACATTTATCATCTATTTTGACAAATGTTATTTTGACGTCTAAGTTATTTTGAAATTCTTTGAGGTTTCAAATAGTGCTGCATTGAGTATTCTTGTACATGTCTATAAGAGAAAATATTCAAGAGTTTCTCTAAGACATAAACCTATAGTGGAATCACTTAGTTGAAGCATGTGCAGCTTTTCAACTTTATTAGGAATTCACCAACTTAGTTATCAAATACCATTGTGCTAAACTGCACTCTCACTGTCAGTGGTTAAAATTTTAGTTTTTTCACATTCACTTAAATATTTGTTTGCCGTTCTGTTATATGTGAAATTGAATTTCACTGTGGCTTTCTGTATATTTCCATGATTACCTATGAGGTTGAACATTTATATACTTATTGACAACCTCATTTCTGACTAACAGATATTTGTAATATGTGTGGCTACTAGGTTATGTTGATAATATAAACATTGCAATTTGACTATCCCCATTTGTGACATGTTCTTTATTGTTTATGTTGTTTTTTGACATGCATAAAATTTTATTTAAATACAGCTAAACTTTCAATGTTTTAAATTATTATGTATACTTTATTTTTAAGAAAAAATGATCCCCTTTTGGAAATTAAAAAAAAATTTCATTTTTTTACTAAAGCTTTAAAATTCTCATTTTTCTCAGTAATGTACTTTTGTGTATAGTGTGAGATAGGAATCTATATAGTTTAATATATCATTCCAACTGTAGGTTTTAAATCAGTCTGACCTTTTTGCAGTGATATTCAATTACATTTTTTTCACCAATGACATTTCCCTATAGACATATGTTTGTTTTGTGGCTCTTTTTCTCTTCTGTCTGCTCATTTATCTCTACATCAATACTGTACTTACAGTCCTATTATAAATTTATCATAACATTTAACATCTAATAGGGCAAGTCGACACCCCCCAATTGTTTTAATTACAAAATATTTTAACTGTACTTGGCCTTTTACTCTTTCATACAAATTTTTGAATAAGTTTGCCCTGATACGCACAAAAACTTAAACATTTTTACTGGAATTCTTTTATTTTATACACACACATACATAGAATTTAGAACATTTAATTATTATAAAGCACATTTTTCTAAATACTTATTACTAATTTTTATGCATTATTTTTATTTAACACATTTATTTGTATAATCTTATATTCAATATCCTTATTTAACTCTTTTTAAAAAAATAACTTGTTTCAGTTTCTAAGTCAATAATTATGTTGTCAATGAATAAGAGTATTTTCTATTTCATTGTTACACCTTTATTTGTTTTTCTTGAGTTGCTGCACTGACTGATTTGTTTAGTGCGATATTTAATATCCTTTATGATAAAAGGATTTTGTTTTATTCAAACTCTTAAAGCTAATATTTCTAACATTTTTATATCCATTTTTTGTTGTAGGGTTTTTGATAGATGCACCTTATTCAATTTTAAAAATTTGCTCTATTCCTAGATGGCTGAAAAATTGTTTATATTTTTAATTTTAATCTTGAATTTGAAAACTTTAGTGAAATATTTGTTTCTGCACCTAGTGAGCTGATAATTTTCTCTTCCCTTTAATCTAGTAATATGGTAAAGTACTATCCTAAAGTTAAACCATCTTTATATTCCTTGAATAATTGAACTTGGTTATGACTTTCTAAATATATTTTAGAAGATTCACTTTGGTTGCATTTCATTTGTTCCTTTGGATTTATGTATAAAAGTAAAATTAGCTAATACCTTTATTGTGTCATGATATCCTTGTCTGGAGTTGGGGTTGTAGGATAAAGATTACTATAGTGTTATACAGAGATACAATCACCATAGCACAAAGAAGAGAAAAGATTATTTCTCAGTTCATATTCAGGCAGATGTTTCAGATATTAAGACATCTACAGACCAAGTTGCTTCTAAACTGTCCCTACACAAAACCTCACTGTATCATCCTCATTCTGCTAAATGGAAACTAGTCATTTGCATTTAATCCACTTTTATTGCTTTAGAGAGAGGAAGAGAAAATGAGAGGCAACTAGCTTCTTTTTTTAAGGATGTTATTCCAAAGTTTTTGTAAATGATTTCTGCTTGTTTCTTACTGGCTAAAATATAGATTCATAGCCTATCTAGCTTTGAGGAAAACTGGCACAAGACAATGATGCTGTCTCTCACCATTTCTATTAAACATAGTATTGGAAGTCCTAGCCAAAGCAATCAGGCAAGAGAAAGAAAGGTCATCCAAACAGGAAGGGAAGAAGTCAAACTATATCTGTTTGCAGATGACATGATTCTATATCTAGAAAACCCTCATCCCAAAAACTTCTCCAGCTGATAAACAACTTCAGCAAAGTTGCAGTATACAAAATTGGTGTACAAAAATCACAAGCATTCCTATACACCAGCAACAGCCAAACCAAGAGTCAAATCAGAAAGGCAATCCCATTCACAACTGCCACAAAAAGCATAAAATAACTAGGAATACAGCTAATGAGAGAGCTGAAAGATCTCTATGTGAGAATTACAAAACACTGCTCAAAGAAATCAGAGAAGACACAAACAAATGGAAAATTATCCCAAGCTTATGGATAGAGTGAATCAACATCATTAAAATGGTTATACTGCCCAAAGCCATTTGTAGATTCAATGCTACTCCTATCAAACTACTAACCATATTCTTCACAGAATTAGGGGAAACAAAGTAATTAAAACTTACGTGGAACTAAAAAGAGCCTGAATAGCTGAAGCAATCCTAAGCAAAAAGAACAAAGCTGGAGGCAGTAAGTTACCTGGCTTCAAACCATCTACCAGGCTACGGTAACCAAAACAGCATGGTACTGGTACAAAACCAGGCCCATAGACCAATGGAACAGAATAGAGAGCCCAGAAATAAAGCCGCACATCTGATCTTCAACAAAGCTGACAAAAACAAGCAATGGGGAAATGACTCCATATTCAATAAATAGTGCTGGGGTAACTAGCTAGCCATATGCAGAAGACTGAAGCTGAATCCCTTCCTTACATCATACACAGAAATCAATGGAAGATGAATTAAAGACTTTACTGTAAAACCCAAAACTATAAAATCCCTGGAAGACAACCTAGGCAATACCATCCTGGACATAGGAACGGGCAAAGATTTTTATGACAAAAACACCAAAATCAATTATAGCAAAAGCGAAAATTGAAGTGGAATTTAATTAAACATAGAGCTTTTGCATAGCAAAACAAACTATCAATAGAGTAAACAGCCTACAGAATGGGAGAAAATATTTGCAAACTGTGCATCTGACAAAGGTCTAATATTCAGCATCTGTAAGGAACTTAAATTTACAAGAGAAAGATACAGTCCCATTAAAATGTGGGAAAAGGATATGAACAGTCACTTCTCAAAAGAAGATATGCAGGCAATAATCATATGTTTTAAAAAAAGCTCAGCATCACTGGTCATTAGAAAAATGTAAACCAAAACCACAATGAGATACCATCTCACACCAGTCAGAAAGTCTATTATTAAAAAAGTCAAAAAGCAGATGCTGGCAAGGTTGCAGAGAAAAGGGGACACTTATACACTGTTGGTAGGAGTGTAAATTAGTTCAACCATTGTGGAAAGCAGTATAGTTATTCCTCAAAGGGCTAAAAGCAGAACAATCATTAGACCCAACAATCCCATTATTGGGTATATACCTAGGGGAATGTAAATCATTCTGCCACAAAGACACATGCAGGCAAGTGTTTCAGGAACAAAAACCAAATACTGCACGTTCTCACTTATAAGTAGGAGTTAAATGATAAGGACTTATCAACACAAAGAAGGAAACAACAGACACTGGGGTCTATTTGAGGAGATACGGTGGCAGGTGGAGAAGGAGCAGAAAAGATAACTATTGGGTACTGGGCTTAATACCTGGGTGATAAAGTAATATGTACAACAAACCCCCGTGACACATGTTTACCTATGTAACGAACCTTCACATGTACCCCCAAACCTAAAATAACAGTTAAAAAAAGGAATAATAAGAAATGTAGTATCTAACTGGTGGCCTATGAGCCCAGGCAAAATTTTATGGATTATATTACCACATTTACCAATCTTTATCACAATAATTTATACTGATTCATGCATTGATAGGACAGACTGCTGTATTTCAAGTTCTTGGAACAATTATATATGATGAATCATTTATTTTTCCATCTGTGTGTGATGTTTTATTTTTCTTCCTTCCTTTTCTCCCTCCCTTCCTTCCTCCTTTTCTCCCTTCTTCCTTTTCCTTTGTCTCTCTTTCTTTCTCTTCCTCTCTCTCTGGATTGGATATTTAAGCAGTGATTTATCTTATCAATATGTAGACCTTATTAATGCTTTTTATTTCTTATTGGGTTAATTTTTGTAAATTATATTTTTCTAGTGTATTCTCTAGAATGTGAGATGTTTTCAAGTTGAAGTAGTCATAGTGTATGTATTTTTATATATCTTTTGAAAAACACTGCTGTTATTTACCCTTCTGTACTGTTAATATTGCTTATTTGAAACTTATTTTATTTTGTTTAATCAAAATTGTCATAGGTTTATCTATTTCATTAATTTCTCTTTTAAATAACCAATATTCAGATTTAAGAATCTTATGTATTGCATTTTACCTTCAATTTCATTACATTTTAATTTTATATTTATTGTATACTTTTCTATGTACTTTTGATTTTTTGAAATAATTACCCTATTAATTTTCAGGTTTATTTCCTCTTATAAGCACTTAAAGGAAAAATTATAGATAGCATTTTCATTATATTTACATATTTTCAGATATCCATCATGATTTATGCTCAGAATTGTGCTTTTTAATTTTTAATTTATTTTATTATTTTTGCTTATGTGTTGGTATCTAATGATAATTATGTCTGAGTGTTGTTTGTATTTTTTAAAAATTCAGTACTTTTCCTTTCAATCTAATAAAAATATTACTTTCTTTTCCACAAATACTTGAAAAGAATGTGTATTCTCTGTTGACTACTGGGTTATCTGTGTCTATTAAGTAATTTGTAATCACTTTGTTTAAATCTTCTTTATTATTGATTTTTTAAATTGATCCATCAATTATGAGAGTTGTATTAAACTATATTGATTATGGATTTGCCCATTACTTTTTATGGTTATTTATATTTTTGCTTGATGGATTTTTAGGTTATGATTAGTCACGTTCTTCTGTTAGTTTACATGCAAAGTTTCTGTGTCCTATGTCTTGAACAGGCAGATTTTAAATTGCAAATAGCTGGATTGTATTTTATCCAACAAAATCATCCCTTTTCCTATTTTCCTATTTAACTCTTGAGTTCAATCAATAAGTATTTATTATAATTAATGATAGTTTTGTACATATATGCTAATTTCTGCTTTCTTTACATATGACTTACAATATATTAATCTGATATACCTAGATACTATGCTTTCTTTATATATTTTGATTGATTTTTATTTGTATGCCCCCACAACCTTGACAATAAATTGAAGTATATACATTTCATTTTTATTTTAGATACTCTTAAAATGTTAATACAGATACTTCTTTAGTAAGGATGAATACTAATTATTATTTTTTCTTCTCTCTCCCTCCATCCCCATAATATGAAGTTCTTTGTAACAGTTTAAACCTGTCACTCCACTTTTGTTTTATATCTGAATTTGTTGTAGGTCAGGTTCTGCTGTTTGCTTTTCCTGCAAACTCTGCCTTATATTGATTAACTTCCTGTTGTATTTTTAAGTTTGGTCCTGTGAACTCATGCTCACTAGAGCATTATCTGAGAGAATTTTATGAGGACTTGGGATGAGAATGTATACTTCCAAAGCATATTTTAGCTGTTATATTGACAGAAAAATTAAAGCCTGGGATGGCTTTTTCTGCTTTTCTGCTTTTTCTGCTTTCTCAAGCTTTGGAGTTTGTGGGCAACAATACAAAGAGTGCTAATTCAATATCAAATACACAGCAGGATAGACTTCTGGCTACAGATTTCTTGGGGGTGACTATTTTTGTTACTTAGGTCAGAAAGCAGATAAGCTTTCTTTCTTTTTTTCTTTTTTCCTAGTCTACCCTTTCACTAGAAATGTAGACTCACAGTTTTGTTCTCCACATACTCTGATATTCCTGTATCCATAAGATTCTTAAAACCTCAGATCTAGATTTTTAAGACTAGGAGATGATCCGGAATGACCAAAACTTCGGGACTGTTTTACACAAAAGTTTCATATTTTCCTCTCTGGTTTTGGGGCCTGCATGTCCAGTGCAAAAATTAAGAATTGGCATTCTATTAGGAAGATAAAATCTGAGCTTTTATAAATAGAAGACATTTAGAAATGACTGATCCAATAAAAGATACTTTGACTTGACCCACATACAGATGTCTGCTCTGTTTGATTAAGAGGAAATAAGGCCAGGCACAGTGGCTCACATCTATAATCCCAGCACTTTTGGGGAGGCAAAGAGGGAGGATGGCTTGAGCCCAGGAGTTTGAGAACAGTCTAGGCAACATAAATAGACCACTATCTCTACAAAAATATAAAAAAGTAGCCGGGTGTGGTGGTGTCTGCCTGTAATCTCAGCTACTTAGGAGGGTAAGGTGAGAGGATCCCATGAGTGCAGGAGTTCAAAGCTACTGTTGAGCTGTGATCCTGCCACTACACTCCATCCTGGGCCACAGAGTGAGGAAAAAAAAAAAAAAGGAAGAAATAAGGAGGTTATTTGTAATATTAATCAAACAGCGTGTAGTTTCTGGCATGTAATGAATATTAAAATAGCATCCACCGGGTGCAGTAGCTCACGCCTGTAATCTCAGCATTGTGGGAGGCTGAGGAGGGCAGATCATGTGAGGTCAGGAGTTCGAGACCAGCCTGCCCAACATGGTGAAACCCAATCTCTAATAAAAATACAAAAAAATTAACCGGGCATGGTGATGTGTGCCTGTAATCCCAGATACTCAGGAGGCTGAGGCAGCGGAATCGCTTGAACCTGGGAGGTGGAGGTTACAGTGAGCAGAGATAGCACCACTGCACTCCAGCCTGGGTGACAAAGTGGGACTCTGTCTCAAAACAAAACAACACAAAACAAAATAAAAAAAACAGTATGTTTTCCTATCTATTGTCATCTCTGCTTTCACTCAAAGATTTTTATTTTTGTAAGCAATAGCAGTAAAATGAGGATTAGAATTTAGAAACTCCAGCCTAGATCTCTTTGTAAGACTCATAATATAGCACAGAATGGATTTTCTTCCTTTTTTCCCTAGTATATATTTATTAATAGCTCCCAAATAAATAAAAGACTTGCTGTGATAATTCATTAACACAGAACTTGCCCCAGATCCTCTTAGGTATTTAGACTAATTGGAATAATAACCAATCAAGTTTTGTGTTGCTTGAGAAAAGCTATAATTAAAACAACATATGTATCTAAATATAACTTTAATTTACTTAATATTAAAGTATTTGACACAGTAAACTTGTGATTATATTGTTTAGCTAACACTTTAATATAGTAGTGAAAGTGTGTAAATGTCATTCTGTGCTCTACACACATGCATAGTTGAATAAAAATGATATAGAAAGGGCATTATGGAAGCTTTTCTTCTTTCCTTATTTAAAAGTCTCAGCTGTCTTAGCTGAACAAGCTGGAATTTTAAGATACAGTTGAATTGTGTGATTGGATTTTCTTTTTAATTGCTCTGTGACAGACTTCACAGAACCATGTTAAATTTGAGAGGAGAAATTACAAAAGAGAGGTTCACCTGAGTTGTATCTGTCAGAAAGAGAACTGTTGAAACATGGATAATGGGTGTATACCCTGGGTTTCTTTGATTTATTTGCCTAAGGTCTCCTCTGTAGTAATATGTCTGGCTAAGGTTTTCAAAGAGTGAAAGTTGCTAGACTGTAGAGCTATTTAATAAAAACGTTTCTGACTGGCTTTCAAGATAGTCAACCTCCCCAAAGACAGGAAAGCCTAGTTTGAGGGGAAAAAAAATAGGTTAATTGATCTTCATGTGAAACTTTCTGGATAACTAGATAGATATTAACCTTCCCAAAAATTCAGAGCTAAATCCTCTCTGCTTGAAATATGGTGCTTTTATAAAGCTAAACTTCCACTAAATGAACTAAACACTTTGGAGTACAAACACAGAAATGAACATTTTATCCTCAGCTTGATTAGCACAATTTATGAAAGTTCTGGGTATGGTACAGGGAGCACTGGATGAGTTACTATAGGGAATTATAAGGGAAAAAACAGTCTGCCCAACTAGGTTTATAGTCCCAAAAAAGACTGTATGGAAAGGCCTAAAAAGGGTACTTTAAAGGGAAATAACCACCCCCCAACACTTTTCACTGTAATTGGTCCCTTTGAGCCTAGCTCTGCCTGAAGCAGATATAATTTCAAAAGGAAGCAGACAACCTAGCTGGGCTCTTGTTTAAATGATCTGAGAGGAAGCATGGGGTAAATCAGGGGGCATATTCCTTGGAGATATTTCTGTCATTGAGGTAGGATCTCTGTTTAGCTCAAGTGATATCTTGGACCCTTCTTACATCTTTTATTTTTACATTTTTCCACTATCCTGGGTTTCCTACTGTATAAATATCTTGGTAGTAACTTTCAAGCCTCATGCTTTATTGTTAATGCTGATAAACAAATAGTGTTTTCACATATACACAAAAATAATATATGTAAATATCTATAGCTATCGCTATGCATGTTAATCTATCATCTATGAAATTTTTTAAAGGAGTAATTAACATTATTTGTGCAATAATGGAACTATATGCATGCATCACTTAATGACAAAGATACATTCTGAGAAATGTGTCCTTAGGGCACTTTGTTGTTCATACCTAGGCTGTATGGTACAGCCTATTGCTTCTAGGCTACAAACCTGTACAGCATGTTACTGTACCAAATACTATTGGGAATTTTAACACAATTGTAAGTATTTATATATCTAAACATGGGAAAGTTACAATACAATATGGTGTAAAAGACAAAAGGTGGAATACCTGTATAGGGCAATTACCATGAAGGGAGCTTACAGGACTGGAGGTTGTCATGAGTGAGTGAGTGAGTGTCTGGTGAGTAAATGTGAAGTCATAGGATATTACTGTACTCTACTGTAGATAGTATAAACACTGTACCTTTAGGCTATATGAAATTTATAGAAAAATTCTTCAATAGTAAGTTAACCTTAGCTTCCTGTGACTTTTTCACTTAAGCTTTTTTAAAACTTCTTGACTCATAACAGCTGGAAACAAACACATTGCACAGTTACATAAAAACATTTTTTTTCTTCCTATCCTTATTCTACAAGCTTTTTTCTGTGTTTAAAATCTTTATGTATTCATTTTAAAATTCTTTTTAGTTAAAAACTAAGACATAAACACATACGTTAGCCTGGGCCTACAAAGGGTCAGGATCATCAATATCTTCTGGTTCCATATCTTGTTTCGCTGGAAGATCTTCAGAGTCAATAACATTGAAGGAATTATCATCTCCTATGATAACGATGCCTTCTGGAATATCTCCTGAAGAACATACCTGAGGCTTTTTATAAGTAGAAGGAGTACTCTCTAAAGCAATAATAAAAAGTATAGTATAGTAAATAGATAAGCCAGTAACACAGTCATTTCTTATCAGAATAAATATAGACAATGCATAATTGTAGCTATACTTTTATATGATTAGTAGTACAGCATCACCACAAACACAGGAGTAATTCGTTGTGCTAAGATGTTACAATGGCTACAATATCACTAGGTGATAGGGATTTTTCAGCTCTATTATAATCTTATGGGACCACCATCATGTATGTTGTGTGGTCCATCACTGACTGAAGTGTCACTATGCGGTGCATGACTGACTGTATATCTAAAAAAATCCTCATTCTTCCCAGAAAATTGTAAAAATGAAATAAATATTTATTTAAAATATATCTAATACTGAGCCATGTGCTAGATATTATAAAGGATAAAAATACAAAAGAATTGTGTATTGTACAAAAGCCATTTCATGGTTGTGAAGTACCTACAATCTAGTGATAGATGCAAAATAATTAGAATCATGGCAGATATTGATGAGTGCCTTGAGAAATAGAGAAGAAAAGTGCTGTATTAGTTTAGAACAGTGTTTCTTAAAATTTGTTATCAGAATCTCTGAGACCTTGTTAATTATGCAGATTTGGATTCTTTGTTTTCTAGAATGGGCCTAGAATTTTCATTCCTAACCAAAACTCCAAGTAATTGTAATGAAATGGGCTGAGGATCAACTGAGAAACATATCAATAGATGAAAATATTATTTCTAGCTAAGGATGATGAGAAAAAAATAAAATATTCATGAAGAATCTAAGGTTTTTACTGGCTCTTAAAAACAGAATTTAGACTTGGTGGAGATAGTATGTATGATCCTGATAAAATGCATTGAGAATTATGCCCACAGAGGTTGCCTCTGAGACAGCTATTGGCAGTAGAACTAGGGGAAAAAAGAGTTTTATGGATGCTGTAAGTTGAATGTTTCCTCAAAACCTCATGTTGACATTTAATTTCCACTGTGACAGTATTAAAAGGTGGGACCATTAAGGGATGATTAAGACATGACAGCTCTGCTCTCATAAATGGATTGAAGTTGTGATTGTGGGAGTGGGTTTGTTATCATGAGATTGAGCTTGTTATAAAAGCAAGTTTGTCCTCTTCTTGCTCTCTTGCATACTCTTTTGCCCTTATACCTTTCACCATGGGATGACACAGAAAGAGGTACTTGTCATCCCATGAGCCCCTTGACCTTGGGCTTCCCACCCTATGGAAATGTAAGAAATAAATCTTTGTTTATATAAGTTACCCAGTGTGTGGTATTCTGTTTAGCAACACAAAATGAACTAAGACAATGGATTTGAGGAGTTAGCCAATATTTAGGATTCTGAAGTATTCGATGGAATGTAGCAAATATGACTTCTATTGTTAACCTAAGTTTACTTCTGTAAAAATAGAGGGGATTGGGGAGGTTACAGGAAAATAGGATGGCAATAGTAATTTAAGGAATTATTTGTTATCCAAATGGATTTTGTTAAGGAATATTTTACATATCATGTCTTTGATGCCACGTTTCTACAATGGAGTTGTTGACGTTCTACCTGAGATGATCTTTCTTATTAGGGAGAATACAATTTTCTTTGTCAGGTTGCCTGTCAGGGAAGAGTCTTCACTTGTCTGTATTGCCTTCTATGGTCAAGAACTTCACTGTAATGAATTTGTTGCTCTCCCCAAAAGAGGTATAGCACTTATGTCTTAGTGTTAAATGGATTATATAAGTCAACATTTGCAAATCAGTTGTAACAGTGCTTATTAAATGGTGCCAACTAAATGTGAAATAAACAAAAATGGAACAAAACAAAACAAAGCAAAGCAAAGCAAAACAAAACAAAACAAAACAAATTTTCTTGGCTTCCTACTATATATTTTAGAATTATGTAAACTGTTACCTAAAATATGCTCAGTTCTTGCTACCATCTAGGGATGATCGATCCATTCCTGGATCCATATGGCTAAAGCTTAGAAGTGAAGAAAAGAAGTGTTATTTTTCGCTAAGCTGTGTGCAGCACCAGAATCCTTCTCAACACAGCATTTCAAATGGCCACTCCCAATCCATCAGAATTAGCACTTAAGAGAATTGATATTAATGAGCTCCCACAGGGCATCCATGGTGTAACTTACTTCACAAGAAGAGGGAAGAGTGTATTTACCTTTGTAATTAATCTATTTTCAATTCCCACTGTTTCTTTTCCTACCCTGTCTTTTTGTGACTCTGATGCTTTGAGAGTTCTCTTACTCTGGTATTTCTAATAGTCAGTCATGCTAATTATGTGAATTTATAAAGAATGGGAGTCTTGTTTTAGTTTTATAGCTACAACACTTATGATTCCAGTTTGTTAGCTCAGATATAAGGTTGTTATTGATTCTTTTCCTATTGGCCCATAGCATCTGGGCTGGATATTTTTCATTTACCCCTCCAGATCCACTTTTCACTCTTCTAATAACCTCTTTGTGTCATCATAGCATCTGTCCTGTATAGATTGCATCATCTAGGCTTCCTTGTCCCTGACTTGGACAATGGAAGGCCCATGCAAGGGATTAGAGTGCATGATATTGAATGTCCTAGAAGAAGAGAGCTTATATAGGTAAAAGTAAAATATGCATTTCTAGGAGGAAAAAAATAACAGATCATCAATTGTCTTTGCTTTTTATTGTGTACCTTTGAGCAGCTCTTTTTCCTCAGTTTTCTTTCTATTTCTTATGAATTTCGTTTTGTTGGTATAACACAAGGAACTGAGCCTGTCCTAACATGAAAGGGTTCTCCAAGTTTAGAAGGTGAAGAACCTAACGTGGTTCCTTAAAAAAAAAAAAAAAGAAGAAAAGAAAAAAAGCATTGCAGAAGCACCTTGAGCAAACTGTGTTTAGTTGTTCTAGATCCATCTTTTTATGACTGAGGGTCATGAAAGGTCAACATATGGACTAGCTTACTTTAAAAAAATATCTAAATTAACAGTTTAAAATTATATATATTTATGGTGTACACATGATGGCTTGATATGTGTATACATTGTAAAATGGCCAAATCAAACTACATAGTACATGCATTACTTCACATGGTTTCCATTTTTGTGATAAAAACAGTCTATTAGTTATTGACAGCATATTTCAAAATAGCTAGAAAAGAAGATTTGAAATGTACTCAGTGCAGAAAATGACAGATGTTTGAGGTCATAGGTATCCTAAATACCCTGATTTGATTATTACTCATTATATGCATATATCAAAATATCACATGTGCCCATAAATATGTACTGTTGTTAGGTATCAATATAAATAAAATACACATTTTTAAAAAAGAATCTATTCTCTCAGCAATTCTCAAGTATACAGTATGTTGTTAATAACTATAGTCATCATGGTATTAATAGATTTCTTGAACCTATGTCTTCTGACATTTTATATTATTTGATCAACATCACTCCAATCCACCCACCTATTAATTTAAAGGAGGAAGATTTTGTTTTACCTGCATCAGCACTCTACATGGTAATCCCTGTCAGATACTACTAATCAATATGGCACTCTTTTTCACTAAGCTCCGTGCAGCACGCAAATCCTTCTTAACACAGCATTCCAAATAGCCATTCCCAATCCATCAGAATTAGTACTTAAGAGGATTCATATTTCTCATCCCTTCTAAGAATAGAAGGAAAATGAGCTTGCACAGGGCATCCATGGTGTAATTTAGCTCAAAAGAAGAAGGAAGAGTTTATATGGATTTGGAGCCACCACCCTAAGAAATAATGGAGATTCCTTTTCTACAGTTAGGGAGAGATACTGGGTTAAGTTAAACAGCCAAAAGAGTAATTTTTAAAACTTTGTATATGCTAATATATAGTGCTAATCTTTATCTGATGAGAAAAGTCTACAGCTTGAATTAACCTGGTTTATGTTTGTTGGAAATGAGAGAACTCGATCTGGAATGGGTTTAAGGAGGGCAAAACCCCACAATTTATGGACACCAAACTACAGAAATACATGGCAAAAGTGAGCAGTAGTTCAAACCGGGAATTGAATTACAGGGATCTGCTTCTGTTTATCAGTTTCATTCTTTACAGACTGTCTTTTTCTCAATGACATGGTACATTAACACTAACATTTGCAAACTAGTACCTCATGGCTTTGCTTACAAAGAGAAAATGCCCCTTTTCCAATTAAAAGAATAAAATCTAAAAAGCATATAACGGGCTTGGTTTGGAACATGCTTTGGGGGTGGAATACTATGATTGGTTCATCTCTAGATCCATATGTCTAAAGCTTAGAAGTAAAGAGCTCAAAAAAGAAAAATAAAGTGCTTTTGAAAAGAGCATACGTTATTGGGCAGACCAAATAATGATCACTACAAAGCATTTTCCATTTTATTTGATCATTGAATCCTTTTATTGTACAGAATATCTCAAAAAGATCTCTGATCTGTTAAATATCCTTTAGGAGGTCCTGGTTTATTTTAAAGAGAGTTCTCAGAATATTGAAGTGATGGCATATGGCTTGTAGAGAAACCAGTTATTCAGAGTTCTGGCCATATTCAGTGCAGCTACCATCGGCCAAACAAAGTTGTAGTTTCTCATTCCTTTTTCCACAAAACTTCTACTCTTTCCAGTCATTTTGCTTCTTCATAATCTTTTTATTAATAACCACTTTCTTTCTATTAAATTCATCCATATTCTACTTAAACTTCCAGCAACTGCTCAAGCTCCTCTGATTCTGGGAAACTTGCTGCCAAGTGATGTCTTATGTCTCTAAGCTTTTATATAATTTGTTGTCTTACAATTATTTGGCAAAATTACAACCTACCTTAAATTGTTGACTGTGTGTGTACAAATGAAGTAGATGTGTGTCTCTATGGGTTACACATATCTGTGTTTGTGTGTGTGCATGTGGATGGGCTATGTACATAAACCTAGGGCATATAATTAAACCAGCAAGTTCTGTCATAGATCATAGAGGAGTAGGAGTCATCACAGTAAAGGGCCTGAGACTCAAACACAAGCCACAAATTGTGTTACCTGTGCAATAGCTGTATCATAAGCTGTTGTTCCTGGTGAGACTGTGTTGTCTTGGTAACCATAACCATGTTCTGTGGTAGATTTGTCTTGGCATACAAAAACAGTCTTTTTTGCTCATTAGTTATTTCTGCTTGTCTTTTCAGAAAATGTGAATATTGATTCCCTAAACAGTGGTTTCCCTGAATTATGTTTTACATTGATGGTTTCAAAGTAAGGATAAAACCAAAGTTATGCAAATAAATATTTATATCTGATCCTTAAAGAGTATATAAATTAGGATTAAGGATGGGCTGAAGGAAAAAAAAACACACAAAAAAAACTGACTCCAAAATATTTGGCAGTTAAAATACATTAGAGCTTAAATTGCTGTTATTTGAATTAAGTCCAGAAGCAAGCAGTCCTGGCCAGATATAAATATTATCTACTCAGAAGGGTCCCTTCTCCTTTCACTCCAAGATTGCTTACATGAGTTCTATTTTCGTTGTGCAAATTAGCTTTCGGACAGCAACATTGTGGAAATGATCAAAATGGAGAAGGGGCAAAGGTTATACATACTTTGTCTTTTAAAGTGTGTTCTTGAGAGCTGTTACCATTGTTTCCACTTTAGTCTTTTTGGTGAAAACTTAATTGCAGAGCTTCATGGTTCTCTGCTAAAAGAGATTAGGAGAGCAGATATTGGGATCAGCAGTTATTACTCTCTGACATAAAGCACTGCAAAATGGCAGCTTAATAGTCACATATAGGAAAAATAATTAAACATAATTAAAATGTATTAGCTATGAGAAACACGTCTGACCAAGTAAATGCATGCAAATCTTATTGCCATAATATGATGATTTTGTAATAGCTATCTTAAAATATGTGAAAATGTTCAATATTTAAATATTCAAAATAATGTGTAGTTGAAAGACTAGTAAACCAAAAGCATGTGACCTGGGTGATTAATACAGGACAAAATATCTAATTCTGACACTACAAGCAATTTGGATCAGTGGATGATTATCTCGTTTGAATACCATATTGTGATTTCTGAGACAGTTCTGATTCTGTGCAATTCCAAGTCAAATATAAATTTATTAATTATTCTGATAAATCCATGATGTCAACATTTAGATTAGAGCTAAAGTATCCAAAGATTTCAGCTACTAATGAATTTAAAAAATGTATTCTGGGAAATGTGGGTGCAATGAAAATATCCTTTCATTCTGTCCTACCATGTAACTGTAATCTCCTAAATCAGAACTTAGGGCTTCTTGGTCTTTCTTAAAAGAAATCTCCCAGCATCAGGATATTATGAATACAGTCAGCCCTCCTATCTGTGGGTTCTGCAACTGTGGATTCAACTAACCAAGAATAGAAAATATTTGCATAAAAGAAATTTTGTCAGTTCTGAACTTTTTCCCATGCCATTATTCCCTCAACAATACAGTTCAACAATGATTTATATACCATTTACATTGTATTAGGCATTACAAGTAATCTAGTGATTATTTAAAGTATATGAAAATAGGTACAAATAGTACACCATTTTATATTAGGGACTTGAACATCTTAGATTTTGGTATCTACAGGAAATCCTGGAACCAATCCCCCACAGATACCAAGAGAGAGCTGTATAACACTAAAATGCTTTTTCTCTTATTATCTTTCATATCAAATGACATTCAAGTCAAGACCAGGAAACTTTTTTATCCTATTATGAGAAGAATTACTTACCTTGAGCTGTTGGAGGTATATTGTACATATTTTTCTTGTTTTCATGTGTATTTTTAAAAATAGCTCTCCCTTTTTTTAAACATCTGTATGACATTGAATTTATGCTTTAAAGGAATTAAAATTACTTGAGTTTTGGAAATCAGAGGAGTTAGAATATGTTTTGAATAACTGAGGACAACTCTAGATAGTCATTTCTAACTTGAATTATTGTTCTGAGGATTGAAAACTGGTAGTTGATATAAATTCAGCATGTGAGGAAAGGAGAGGAGAAATGCACAAGAAAATGTAAAATCAATTTCAGCAGTGAGAAAAACATTGTGTATATAAAAGAGGTTGAGAAATTTTTTCTTGTCATAAATTATAGAAATCCACAAATCATAAATTAGGAAAGTATAAATTTTTAAACATCTCTGTCTATAGCTTACAGTAAAATATAATCCCAGACCTTGAGGTTGTTAGCTGCCAATTTAGAAAGTATTGTGTCTTATTCTTATGTGTATGGGATAGGACGAATATAGCTGTGTAAAATGGGACATCTTCCCATGAAGCAGATATGAAATTTTTCCTGATAAAAGGTCTGTGATTTTCTAAAATTGAACATTACTATTCTTCACTGTTGAGAACTGACCTAAGCCCTTTTGACCATTCAGCAAATGTCAGGGATCTGTTGATAAATATTCATAGTCTCTGGGGTTGAGAGGGAGGTGGGGACTATACTTCCTTTCTTTCAGATCCTTAGTACCAGGTGGTAGGTATCAAAAAAGCAAATACTGCCTAACATACAAATATTTAATAGCAAGTATTCATGAAATGGTCATATAACCTATCTGGTAGCTTGGACAGGTACCTCTCTCTACCTTAGACATTCTCCCTAGCACTTCTCATGAAGACTCCAAGGGGGACTTGTGGATTATTTAAGGAAAAAACTTACCAACCTTATAATGAGGGCAAATTTAACTTCCCTGTGAATTAGGATGTAGAAATGTACCAGTGTACAATGACTACAGTATTACTTCATAATAGACACAAATTCTCAATGACATTTAAGAAAACTTAAAATATATATATTTAGTTCATGTTTCTTAATGTTGGCAGGTTAGGGTGGAGTGTCTGGCTGATCTATGTTAAGCTTGGCTGGGTGACTCTGCTTTAAGTTGTAGCTCCAGCTGGGCTTGGCTCCTAGCTGAGATGGGTTTTCCTCTGGGTCTCAGGCAATTGTAGAAGCAGCCCCCTGGGGAAGCTCATCTTATGGGAATAGTAGAGGTAAAAGAAGGCACACTCAATTGAACAGGTGCTTGGCAAGCTTTTGGTTATATCACTTACACTAATATTCCTTAGATAAAGCAAGTCATGTGGCCAAAACAGTAATGAAGAAGCAGAGTAATATACTTCACCTCTTAAGTCAGAAACATAAAAGTCAAATGGCAAAGAATGTGCATATTGGGAAAGGTAAAAATCTAAGCCCATTAAAATAACCCACCACAAGGATCAACAAGGTTATATAACTCAAAAGCTGTCGGCCCTACTTTCCAAATTCTTGTAACTAATCTTAGAAAAGTAACAGGTATGCAAATTTTTCAAATCACTCTTCTTGAACATCACTATTTTACCAGTGATAGTATTTCCTCTAAAATCCCCTTGCTAATGAGCAAACTGTCTGATGCAGATTTCCATAATGATATCTGCAATTAACCAAACAGTATTTTGGGAATATTGATTCCTGGTTAAGGTAATCGAACAGCTGTCAGAATAATTATATTGATGTGGACACATACACCTCATATCACTTAGACTGAAATAAGTAAGTTACCACACAGGCAATTCAAGAACCATAGGACTTTCAATGAAACATTACCTACTGACTTTTGTAGGGCAGTCTCAAATCTGTTATAGCAATACAGTCAATCAAATTTTATTTTATATATGCTGGGTTAAAGAGAATTTCAGGTTTGTCAAATAACTTGAATTTAGTAGAATCCTAGCCACAGCAAACTAGTTCTTGAAATTCTTCCTCATAGTTCACTTTCTGTTACATCCCTTGGTCTCGGGTACCCAGTGTCACCCATTCCTGAAATGTGACCACCCTGATTTATTATGAATTAATTAACAACTAGCCTGGAAACCACTAGAAAGTTTTAAAATCATTGGTAATGTCAGAGCTACATAAAATTTATTTTAATAAGGAGTTTACCCTGGAGGAAAACAGAATTATGGTTCTGGCTAGATAGCCTGAGATAGAAATGGTGAGAAGAGCAATACCTCAGAAATGAGTGGCAATTCTTGACTGAAATCATCAGAAAGGAGAAATCTAAGCTAAAAAAAAAAAGAATCAGAAGGAAACTGCTCTCTTGATGTTTCCTAACGCTGCTATGTGAGGCCAAGCAGGAGGGCCATGCAACGAAAGTTAATTGCCTATGAGGCTTGCAACAAAAGAATAAACCAGAGGGAAATCACTGGATTGAAATCTAAATATAAATGTTCTGACAGGAAATTACAGAATGATAATAAAGTCAAATGCAGGGCAAAAAAATGTGAAATACTATTAAAATGAAAGCAGACACTTGAAATGTTTCTAAATGTAAGAAAATTATGTCTTTAAGCTATAAATATATTTGTGTACTAATAAAATTTCCAGCAGTTAAAATGAAGCTACTGTTATTTGAGCAATAAGGATTGTAGGTAAAGATGCTGTTAGAATTCATGGGGCAAAAGTAGAAATCACAAAGCATCAGAATTTCTGTGAAGTGAGAAATCTGGAAAATATTACTTGAACCATTAGAAAAGTAAAACTACATGCAATAATTCTGAGTAGTGGGAAAATAATCACAAAGTATTTCTAAAGAAAAGTATGCTGGAATTTTTCATATAATTTCTAGGATGAGGTCCTTGAAGTTCATGGATATTAGAAAATCTCTAAATATTATAAATTAAATATTTGGTCTACTTATTGCTGAATATTTCTTACTTTGTCTTTGAAAATTATTTTTACTCTTTCTATAAAAAGAAAAACTTTATTTTTTGTAAGCTAACAATTTTTCTACCTGTAAAAATAGATTTTGAGATGTAAAAAGGTGCTATTTTTCCAACATTTCAAAGGTCAACATGTTTAACAAAATGTAAAAAGGATGTGTACATATGGGGGCAAGAGGTACATGAGAAGTCTCTGTATCTTTCATTTAATTTTTCTGTGAATCTAAAACTGCTCCCCAAAATAATGCATATATAAAGATATATATATAATGCATATATAATATATATACAGTGTGTGTGTGTGTGCATGTGTGTATGTACAGCTGCTAAGCTAGATGAACTCCAGGTTCCTAATTGTAAAATATGTATTTTACAATTATGTAATATACTATACATATTAAAATAATATATTATTGTAATATGTGTATTTTAAGATTAGTAACTTGGAGGTCATCTAGCTTAACCCCCTCTCATACATAAGCACTTTGTACAAGGTCAGAATTTCTAGTTAGATATTAGATTTTTGGACACTCTGACAACTGACCCTGAGCTCCAATAATCTCAATGATGCCAAGACCAGCTCGGTCGTGGAGACCTTAACCCAGCGGCGCTAGAGGAATTCAAGACACACACACAGAAATACAGAGTGTGGAGTGGGAAATCAGAGGTCTCACAGCCTTCAGAGCTGAGAGCCTTGAACAGAGATTTATCCACATATTTATTGACAGCAAGCCAGTGATAAGCATTGTCTCTATAGACTATGGATTAACTAAAAGTATTCCTTATGGGAAATAAAGGGAAGGGTGGAAATAAAGGGACAGGCTCTGGCTAGTTATCTGCAGCATGAATGTGTCCTTAAGGCACAGATTGCTCATGCTATTGTTTGTGGTTTAAGAATGCCGTAAGCGGTTTTCCACCCAGGGCGGGCCAGGTGTTTCTTGCCCTCATTCCAGTAAACTGACAACCTTCCAGCATGGGCATCAAGGCAATGACGAGCATGTCACAGTGCTACAGAGATTTTGTTTATGGCCAGTTATGGGGCCAGTTTATAGCCAGATTTGGAGGCCTGTTCCCAACACAATAATATTTCAATCAGATAAAAAATGATTCATATAGATAATAAATGAAAAAATAGTCTTTACTGATTGCAAATTGATAAATATTTTTATGACTACATACTGGAACAAAAATAAAATTTAAACTATCATTTTAAACTAAGGAGCAATAAAAAGGTAGCACTTTATACTAAAACATTAGTATAGCTACATTATTCCAATGAAAATGAATAATTTAAATACCAAGAATAAAAAACTAAGGGGCTGGCCATTGCAGCTTGTGCCTGTAATCCCAGCTACTAGAAAGGCTGAGGCAGGAAAATTCCTTGAGCCCAAAAAGTTGAGGGCTGCAGTGAGCTATGAACATACCACTGAACTCTAGCCTGTGTGACAGAGCAAGAGCCTGTCTCTAAAAAAATAAAAAGAACTAAGGTACTTATTTTTAAGGATTTAGGGATATGACAATAAAGTGAATCAAAATAATAAAAAGAGAAAATTCACATGAAAATGTATTAAATTTGAAAAATAAAAGAATAGGTAAATAAATTCTAAAGTTGGGTTTTAGGAAACAAAAATGCCAAAATTTTTATAGTAATCTGATTTAAAAAAAAGAAGAAGAAAGAAATATATAAAAGTTTAGGAATTAGTTTGGAAATAAAATTACATATAGAAGACATTACAGTAAGTTATAAAGCTTATGAAACAATGAAATATTTAAACATCTAGAGAAAACAAGTTTAAAGTAATTTTTCAAAATTGGCCCAAGAAGATTTTAAATCTTGAATACCTTTCTTAGCAATGAAGAGATAAAATTGAAGATTTTAAAAATTGATGCTTTAGTCTGGGCATGGTGGCTCACACCTGTAATCCTGGCACTTTGAGAGGCAGAGGGCAGGCAGATGGCTTGAACCCAGTAGTCCCAGACCAGCCTGGATAACATGGGGAAACCCGTGTCTACAAAAAGAAAAATTTGCTGAGTGTACTGGCCTGCAATCGTAGTCCCAGCTACTTGGGAGGCTGAGGTGGGAGGATCCCCTGAGCCCAGGAAGTTGGCGCTGAATTGAGCCATTATTGTGACACTGTACTACAGCTTGGCCAACAGACTAAAACACTGTCAAAAAAAAAAAAAAAAAACCCAAAAAACAAAAAAGAACAAACAAAAAAACAAATGTTTATACCTGAGTATTAAATAACTTTTAAAAGCAGGAAATGTTAATACTCTTCACAGTTTTAGATCTACAAACACACGAAAATTTCCACAATTCATATAATGCAGCTAGCGTAAGCTTAACATCAAAATATGTTTGAGATAACTAGAAAATATAGAGTAACTTCCCATATGAATGCAGATGCAAATATTCTAAGTAATATATTAACAAATATAGACTAATGATGTGATGAAATTTGATTATATTATAACCAAATATAATTCACTTCAGGAAACCAAGCGCAATTCAATATAAGGAGATCCATTCATTCAATCTTTCTAGCTTTACTTAACATCTAACATTATTTTAAAGATTTTATCTAATATATTGACATTAGCATTCTTTCATTCTTCGAGTATTATGTAATTGTGGTTTTCAAAAAGGCAAGATTGAAGTGACAATCTATCAGAATCATTAAGAGAATTTAACATGACAGCTGAATGCAAGCCAAATATGCAAACAATAAATTGTTTTATTCTAGCGATGACTTGCTGGAAGAGAAAAGTTATTTAAAAAGATGCTTAGTAAAATAATAATGAACATTAAAAATATCTGGTAATACAGGTAACAGATATTTAAGATTTATGTGAGAAGATGACATTATTTTATTGAAGTACATAGTCAAGAAATATACAAAAAAATCAATATATGTTTAGTGGAAATCTAATTTGAATCTTATGATGCTTTTTACAAAAATCAGATAAAATAACTTTAAAATTCATGGGGAAGAAAAAAACATCTAGCAATACCCAAGCTAAAATATTATACAAAATAAGATTATTGGGGAAAGGGAGAGTAGTTTTAATAGATACTAAATTTTACCTCAAAAAGGCAAAATCAAAAGAGTATGGTTTTGGAATTGGATGAAGAAGTATACCAGTGGAATGGATATTAGGGTCACCAGGATGCTACTTTTTGGATAGTCAATTTGAATCAGTGGAAGTTGTCTATCAAAAGCCTTAACTATATTCACATAGTTTCATACCTCTCAAAGAAAAAAATACAAATTTTGAAACATACAAACAAATAAATTTTAGACTAAGTAGAAATTATTGAAAAGCTGAGAGACTTTAATTTCTTAAAATAGATATTGTATAATCAAACAATAAGCATTATAAAATATTAAAATATTAAATATTATTCAACAATATAGGATAACATAACTATTGCTCAGAAAATGCTTAGATAAAAGAAGTTAACAAATAATATACAGATAATTAACATAATCCAAACTATATGGAAAACAATAAAGCTTCTTCATAGACAAGACTAGAAGAAAATATTTTTAAAAGTTAATGTTAGCTTTCTTTGGAAATAGAATATCTATGAGTGCTTATATTACTTTTCTTCTATATTTATTTGGAAAAAGTGTACTAGTTTCATCGTTATTAAATTGCTTCTCACACTTGCCTTTTAATATTACTATACACAGCATTATGGCAGGCTATTCTCTTGGACTGTAATTAAACTTACAAATATAATTTTAAATTGTAAGCATCATTGATGAAGTGTTCAGGCATTTTATATGCCTAATATTATTGTATGAATATGATATTAAACCTTACCTTGCATGGAAAGTGACTGACAGTTTCCCTATGTCCTCATCATTCCTGTTCTCTCCTCCTCCTTCTATTCCCTTGACCTCCCTACCTTTTTAATTTTAGGGGAACCTTAGGTGTTGAAGGTTGAGTGATTATATTCTTATACTAATCTTTAATTATATTTTGTTTGTTTCAATTATCCAGACATTTTTCTCCTTAAATAATCTCATGAATAATCATTGTTCTATGTACCCATGTTTATACCAACAGCACACTAAAATACTAACTTTACAGTATGTTGACACTGGTTATGTAAATAACACAGTCTTGTTCTTCTTTTCCAGATTGATTTGTCTACCTTGTTTTTATATTTGCATATAAACTTTAGAAGTAATTTGTAATTTTAACAAATGTGTCACTGAGATTTTGATACTAATTTCATTGATACTATAGATCAATTTGGGAGAATTGCCATCTTCATAATATTGTTTTCAAATCCACCGACATGGAAAATTTCTCCATCTAATTAGGTCTTGCCAATTTATCTCAGCAACGTATAGCTTTTAGCATATAAATCTTGTACTTTTGTTAAATTTATTTATAATTTAATTTTTCTTTGAAATGCTATTTTGAGTGAAATTATTTTCTTTATCTCACATTTGGAATGGTTCTGGATGGTATACAGAAATATTAAATAACTGATTTAAAAAAAATATTTATTTTAATTCCTGAGACCTTCAAAAACTTCATTTGTTCTAATACTTTTATCGTGGATTCCTTATGACATTTAAATATTCAATCATGTAATTTTCGAAAAAATAGACTTTAAATTTTTCTTTCCAATTAGGATGCCTTTGACTTCTTTTTTTATTTGTGTGTTTCATTACCCCTGTCAAACTCTATCAAAATGCTGAATAGAAGAGAAATGGTGAGAGTACATCCTTGCCTTTTTCTGATGTTAGGAGGAAATAAGTCGTTTTATCTCTTTTAAGCGTGATGTTAGATACAGGTTTTACTTGGGAGATTTTTTTTTTTATATCCAGTTGAGAAAATCCCTTATGTTACCAGTTTGTTGAGATTTTTAATCATGGATTAATGCTGAATGTTCTTGATGGCTTTTTTTCTGTCTTTTGAGGTGATCAGTTGTTTTTTATCCTTTAATCTAGAAATATAAAATATAATATTAATTGAGTTTTAGATGGTAAATCAACCTTTAATTTCTGGTAAAAAAATCTACAAGATCATCATGTATAACTGTTTTGATGTGTTGCTAAGCTTGATTTGCCAATAATTTGTAAGGACTTTGGCATCTATGTTCATTAAATATGTTGATCCTTGTTTTATTTTCCTTCAGTGCCTTTTTGTTTGAGACCAGTGCTTCATAGAATGAGTTGGGAAAGATTCTCTCCTGAAGTTCTAAAAGTGTTTTTGAAATTTTACATTACTTCTTTTTGAAAAACTTGACAGAATTCACCAATAAGGCCCTAGAATTTTCTTTGTAGAAAGGTTTTAGATGACTAATGAAACATATTTACCATTCAGTTTTTAAAATTTTATTCATAATTTAGTTCTGGTAATTTTGTCATTTTAGAAAATTTTTATGTCATCTAAATTGTCTAATTTGATGACATTTTTGTTCAAAATATTCCCTTATATTAGTCTTAATATCTGAAGCATCATACATAGTAATGTTTTGTCTTTTATTGCTGATTTTGGTAATTTGTGTCTTCTCTTATTTGGTTAAACTGTCAATTTTGTTGATATTTAAAAAAGAATCAACTTTGGTTTCATTGACTTTTTCTGTTGATTTTGTTTTCTATTTCATTTATCTCCCCTGTAGTCTTTAAGATTTCTTTCTTTCTGCTTGCTTTGGGTTTAGTTGTATTTTTGGAAAGAGGCTATGTTGATCTATTCACCCCATTATGCCAGAAATTAATATCTTTAAAAGTGGAGATGTATCATTCCAGACCTCATTAATCAGAATCTCTGGAAGTGCTTTCATTGAGTGTTTACTTTATAAAATCTCCTTAGATAAATCTGAAGTTCATGAAGATTGACATCCAATTATCATATTTTACAGGTATATGAGCATAATTAAGCCTGCATTCAGAAGTGATTATGTTCAGATTCCTGACGTGTGATAATAAAGCTTAATTGATAGCATGTTGGAAATCAATAAAAAAGTAATTTGTGTGATGTGTGTATGCACACTCATGCACACATACATGTGATAAGTAATAAAATTGCTGTGTGTTATTATTGAACTATCTTATCAGTTGCTTATCACCTTTCTGAAGGCAAATTTAAATATGAAGTTAAATTGTAATGTAAAGGTTGTTCAGCACGAGTAATTAATTAGGACAGAGAAGGCTAGGTAATTGATGAATGGCTAATTTGATTAGATTATGGGAACCTACTATCTCCACCTAATGATTACACTCAACATAGTAAATTCAAATATCCGAGGCAATCAGTCACTCTTTAATGGACAGTACTAGAAACATATTGACAGTTCTTTCTCTTTGCTTGCACCTATTTTAGATTCACTTCAGATCTTTAATTAGCAAGAATCGCTTAAGTGCAGGATTAGTTTTAATTATATGATTCAGTTTGCATATTTACAAAGTCTTTGCACGACCACATATTTACTCATCTCAGTGTGGGCTATTTCTTTACAGACCTTCCTTATGAAGGTTGTGGCATACTATCAAATGATATTAAGATTGGAATAAAGAATGTTTTCACTTATGTCTTAGCAGCATTCTAGGTAAAAGAGATGAATTACTTTTTCTAACATCGTCTGGATAAGGATTAAAATAATTTTGATGTTATAGTTTTCTATCTAACAGAAAACTTAAGTCACTATAAATTTGGGTGACAAATTGTTGTGCATTATCTACCATTCATAGCATGTATATCTTATTTAATTTAGTAACATATTAGTAGAATAAATGATAAAGAAAATTATTCTGTTTATGTAGTAGAATAAGAAAAATTTCAATCAATATTCAAAATGGATAAAAAAGAATACAGTAAAAGTTATGAGAAAATAATTTGTTTCCTTCACTAAATATTTAAGTGAGTCCTAATCGAACACCTGCTTTTGTTACTGGTTTTCATAGTTTCATGTATAGCAAAAATCTACAAGTACAAATTCCTTGCCTTAAGGACATCACTTACATTTCCATATTTTTGTTTTGGCTATATAAACTAGAGGTTATAATTTGGTAGCTCTGGGATGAAATGGGCACAGATATCTGGCTTTTTTTTTCTTTTGGCCTTCACAGGGTTTTTAAAAATTTGTGTGTGTGTGTGTGTGTGTGTGTGTGTGTGTGTGTATAAAACCAACATTTAAAAATGGAGAGATTTCACATTGTCTTGATACTCCACCCCCGCCAAAAAAAAAAAAAAAAAAAAAAAAAAAAATAGTAACACTCTAATGTCACATTTGCTGCCACTGAAGTTGAGAAATTGCTTACTGGGTAACCATAATCCCTTTTCTCCCTACTAAAACTGAAGTTTGAATCAGTAACAATAAATGTTCATTTTATTTTTACAACGATAGAATAATATTTTATATGCCTATATCTCTGTAATACATGGAAAATTCAAAGCAGGAAGTGGAAGAGAAGGAGAGAAAGATAAATTCATGTAGGCATTTGACTTTAATCTTTCCTCAGATCAGTTTCTTATCTGATCTATCAGCCGCCAAAAGTAGCAATTGAGTTGATTAGGTGGCAAATTGTCATGTAAGTAGTGCACACAACCACATGATTCTCCAGACCATTTTAACGCAACAGAATTCTTTACACTTGTCTTGATTTCTTGTGTGTTTTATTAGAAGAAATTGGAGTCTGAATTTTTTTTGATAACTGGCTCCATCTTTCACTTCAATTTGCATTAGTTGGTGTAGAAACGTTCCCCAGCCACATACAATGTACACCTGCTTATTCTGCTGAGCCTCAAGGAAAAGAAACAGTCATTGCATTTATACCATAAAGGGCAATTAATACTAATTTATATTTTAAACAAGACATTCTTAGGAACAGTGAAATTCAATGTGTTCTCGAAAAATAATCTTCACATTTATTGTAGTAAAAAGTCAACAGTAAGTAATCCTGTCTTCATATGGCCCTATATTTATTTAGACAGGATTTCCCATTAGCAAGGCAAGTTTGCCTCAACTAAATTACATAGAGATAATGCTTAAAAGACTCCAGAGAAAGCAATCCCAACTGAATAATTCCCAAGCCAGTTTTCACATAGTGACCCATAGTCAATAGCCTAGCAGTATTTTACTCAGCTTGATTGTTGCTAAGCAACAAATAGGGGGATAGGGGTTAAGCTTCTAGAATCACTTACACATTAATTATAAGCCAGTAACATTAGAATAATGTAAGTTTTAGTAATGAATAGTATTATATATGTTGTCACAGTATGCCTTTTTTCCTACACAAGAAGAAAAAGATCTGTGTGCTACTTGTCATGGGGAAATGACATTTCATTAACATTTGAAGGTACTAAGGGAGTAGGTTTTAAGAGAAACAATTAGGTGTTTTATTACTATCTTTCCCTTTCTCAGAGGTTTTCTTTCCTAATTGCTATTGACTTTGCATTCTTTGAACTACTGAAGCTAACAATAGTGTAAGTAGGTGTTAAGTTTCCTAGTTAAGAAGTTGCTGAAGTGTTTTGATGATTGCATGGTTGCCAAAGACTTTTAGACGCAAGGGAGTTAAAGACCATTAAATGCAAAGAAATCAAAGACCAATTTTTGCTCCCTATACTTAGAGATCATTACCAGAATTTAATTTTCCCAGGAGGAAAAAGCAATGTTCTGAAATCACAGAACATCTCTATCCACATCTCTGAAAGCAGTTACACTGCTATCTACAGTTACTCTCCTTTGTGAAGTTATGTTGCTATATGATTTTTCTTTCTTTCTAAATGGAGCACGTGTTAGCTTAAGCAAATACTCCTTTCACTGTCGTTTGGTAACATGCCAATGTTTGACCAGTAAAAGGGACTGTGGAATACCTGAAGTGCTGTTGGCAGTGAGCTGCTGAACGTCTTGTTTATTTAGACCCGAAAAGACTAGACTATTGATCACATACTGTGGGCCTCTCAATCAGCAAAACCTGTATATGAATGGCTTTAGCTGCGCTACAGACTATGAACTAAAACCATTTAAGAGACCTGCTACATTAAAAATGCATTCAGTCTTCATGTGTATACAAATTCTTTGGAGAAGTTGTATAGTATCGTGGAAAGAATGTGGCCTATATTCAGATAAAGATGAGTCTGATTCCAAGCTCTAGCACTTGATATTTCCATGCCCATGGATCAGTACTTTACTGATTTCTTAGCCTTAATTCACTCACATATAATGTAGAAGTGGTGAGAAGGTGGAGGACAACAATAACTTACCTAAAGGGATCATTTTATGACAATAGAAATATATTTCTCAAACAGCCACACCTGTCACTCTGTACCATTTATTTTATTTTTCCTGATAGCATTTATTATTAACTGCTATATGTATGTATGTATGTTTGTATATTTCCATCTATCTATCTGGAGGGAAGGAAATGCAGCAGTGCAGGAATGCAAAAACGACTGTGAAAGCTGAAAGCATACAAAATGATCTCAATGGGAAAAATTACAATTGTTTCTGAACTTCAGACATTTTTGTCAAGACATTAAAAATTATCTTACTGTAGGTATTAGTATATGTAGATATTAAAATTAGTAAAATTAATATTTAGTACATCATAATTTTTTTTTCTTTTTTTTTTTTTGAGATACAGTCTTTCTCTTTTGCACAGGCTGGAGTGCAATGGTGCGATCTCGGGTCACTACAACCTCTGCCTTCTGGGTTCAAGCGATTCTCCTGCCTCAGCCTCCCGAGTAGCTGGAATTACAGATGTCCCCCATCACATCCAACTAGTTTTTGTATTTTAGTAGAGATGGGATTTTACCATGTTGGCCAGGCTGGTCTCAAACTCCTGACCTCAGGTGATCCACCCACCTCGGCCTCCCAAAGTGCTGGGATTGCAGGTGTGAGCCACCACGCCCGGCCAGTACACTGTTATTTAAAATAGAAACATTGGGAAATAAATTGCTTTATTTCTTGTAAAAAAATCTTATCTAACAGTTGGAGCAGTGCTTTTCTTCTGCATTTGTCTTATGAATTACAATAGAGCATTCTCCTTTTTAAGTTTGATCAACTTCCAACATTTTATTCTTTGTGCTTTCAATCTTGAGAAATAACTCTAAAAGGTTCTTTAATGTGAAATGTGTTTTGTTGTTGTTGTTTTTGTTGGCATTGTCACATTCTCTGGGACACAGAGCCTCACAACCCCTTTCCTCATTTACCTAAATAATTTTGCCTTCACTAAGTTCATCAGGCAACATATGTAGAGCCTTAAATGGTAGCAGTGTCAACATATTCACACACAGATTTCTTCTATAACACCTTTTACCTTTGATTCAAATTTCACTTCCAGAATTTTAACTTTTCTTTTCTTTGCTATACTTTATTTTTTATTTTTTATTTTTTTATTATTATTATATTTTAAGTTTTAGGGTACATGTGCACAACGTGCCGGTTTGTTACATATGTATACATGTGCCATGTTGGTGTGCTGCACCCATTAACTCGTCATTTAGCATTAGGTGTATCTCCTAATGCTATCCCTCTCCCCTCCCCCCACCTCACAACAGTCCCGGGTGTGTGATGTTCCCCTTCCTGTGTCCATGTGTTCTCATTGTTCAATTCCCACCTATGAGTGAGAACATGCGGTGTTTGGTTTTTTGTCATTGCGATAGTTTGCTGAGAATGATGGTTTCCAGCTTCATCCATGTCCCTACAAAGGACATGAACTCATCCTTTTTTATGGCTGCATAGTATTCCATGGTGTATATGTGCCACATTTTCTTAATCCAGTCTGTCATTGATGGATATTTGGGTTGGTTCCAAGTCTTCACTATTGTGAATAGTGCTGCAATAAACATAATGTGCGCATGTATCTTTATAGCAGCATGATTTATAATCCTTTGGGTATATACCCAGTAATGGGATGGCTGGGTCAAATGGTATTTCTAGTTTTAGATCCCTGAGGAATCACCACACCGACTTCCACAATGGTTGAACTAGTTTACAGTCCCACCAACAGTGTAAAAGTGTTCCTATTTCTCCACATCCTCTCCAGCACCTGTTGTTTCCTGACTTTAATGACCGCCATTCTAACTGGTGTGAGATGGTATCTCATTGTGGTTTTGATTTGCATTTCTCTGATGGCCAGTGATGATGAGCATTTTTTCATGTGTTTTTTGGCTGTATAAATGTCTTCTTTTGAGAAGTCTCTGTTCATATCCTTTGCCCACTTTTTGATGGGGTTGTTTTTTTTCTTGTAAACTTGTTTGAGTTCATTGTGGATTCTGGATGTTAGCCCTTTGTCAGATGAGTAGGTTGCAAAAATTTTCTCCCATTCTGTAGGTTGCCTGTTCACTCTGATGGTGGTTTCTTTTGCTGTGCAGAAGCTCTTTAGTTTAATTAGATCCCATTTGTCAATTTTGGCTTTTGTTGCCATTGCTTTTGGTGTTTTAGACATGAAGTCCTTGCCCATGCCTATGTCCTGAATGGTATTGCCTAGGTTTTCTTCTAGGGTTTTTATGGTTTTAGGTCTAGCATTTAAGTCTTTAATCCATCTTGAATTAGTTTTTGTGTAAGTTGTAAGGAGGGGGTCCAGTTTCAGCTTTCTACATATGACTAGCCAGTTTTCCCAGCACCATTTATTAAATAGGGAATCTTTTCATCTTTGATGGCCAAGTCCCTCTTTTTATTATCCCCTTTTGAAAATGTCACATAGATTTATCAGTGGGAGACAAGAAGGCATCACCTTTCCTATTAGATACCAATAAATAACAACATTTAACTATTGGTATGCAAAGTGAATATCACACATGCAGTGACCAATCACTGAAAGACAAAGAAATAATGTGATTGATCACATATCTGTGTATGTATTATTTATGTAGATTATGTACTGAAGCAAAATTCTACATTCTAGAAAGAAGCACATTTTGACGTGATAGGACCTATAGGATGAAAAGATGAATGACCTTTCAAGTAAGACATGTCAGAGCCAAAGGTGGGATTCAGGCTGTAAGTCGTATGTGAACAGGCAGTAATTATTACAGGCTTGGATAGATGGGCTAGTGAGATAATTGTAGAAGAGGTGGGGCTTGAGCTGAATCTTTGAAAAAGAACTTGGAGAAGCAGAGGAAAGGCATGTAAGGACTTCTCATCAGGGGAAATGACAAAAGAATGACAAACATCTCTGATACTTCTCCTGTCCTCACTCCAGAGCCCATGACATACATCACTAATGAGCTGTGGCTTTCTCCTCTTCCTGAGTTTAGGGGCAGGTTTCCAATGCCCATCAATAGCTATTTGAATTTCTACTCTCAAAGACTTACTTAGTCATATCTCTTACATATTTGTCTTCATGGGATGGTACATGATTTTACTGTTAATACTTAAGCATATATTTGTATATTAATAATTTTAGCATAAACATTGTAAATCATTTTCCATTTGTCATTTACATTTATCATTACAGGATTTTTTTGGGGGATTGTTTTCCTTTATGATTAAATTACAAGAATGTGAAAGTGTTTGTATTAAAAATATCACTAATTTCTTTATTATTTCTGCTTCTGATTATCTTTTAAAATAATTTTGAAGACCAAGATATTACAAAGATTCACTTTTGTTTTTGAATACTGATTTCATTTTAAAATAATTTTTAAAAACTTTAACTTCAAATTTATTTCTGTATGAATTTGAAATAGATTTATCCCTGCCCCAATTGGCAAACCAAGTTTGCCCAATTGTATCAGTATATTGACTCAAAATTGATTTATTTTTACTCCTATTAGGATTTGAATTCTAATGCCATATTAATGTATTTTAATGACTGGAGAATTAAGGTTGTTTATTCAGGAACATAGATTTTAAAAAATTCTGAATGATACATTAAAAATTTGGATCTAACATTATTTTATAATAATTCCATAGCATGACCCTTTCTTTAAAAAGAAAGGAGAGATGCTTTAATTATATAAATCTATTGATAAACTGCATATATATATATCAGTTGTATATTTTTATATAGTTTATATATGCATGTATACATATTTATTTAGTTGTTTATATTTTTAGCAGTTGCTCTTGCTGCATAACAAATCACTCCAAATCCTAGCAGCCAAAACCAGTGACCATTAATTATCCCTGTGAGTCTGTGGGTCAGCTGAGCAGTGTGCCTGGTCTGGGCTGGGTTTGGCTGACTTTGGCTAGATTCACTCATGCCTCTGTGGTTTGTTAGCACTTGATAACCATACTTATATTATGGGGTAGTTGGCTGGTTGTCAGCTCAGGAAGAATCCATCATCCATCAGTCTAGCCCAGACTTGCTCACATGGTGGTGATCAGGTTCCAAAAGGAAGCACCAAAAAGTGTAAATTCTCTTGAGGCTTGGGCTTGGAATAGAAAAATATTGCTTTTGCTACATTCTGTTGCACAAGATAAGGCACAAGGACAGCAGAACTTCAAAAGATAGAGAAGTAGACCTCTCCTGTTACTGCCAGGAGCTGCAAAGGCACATTGTAATGATTTGTACATACAGGAAGGAAAGAGAGGTTTTTATTGAGGTTCTTGCAATCTGTCACAATATTAATAAAGGAGAAAATAACAGTAGGATCATATTAATTATACCTGCTGAGAAGTGATTCTAGTTAACAAACATAGTATAAACTTTATGTAAAAGAGGAATAGAAGGATATTTCCTAAACTTGATGAAGAATATCTTTAGAGCCCTAAAGACGTCATCTTCCCTTAGTAAAAGCTACAGTCAACACATGTATTTGTTTTCTAGGGCAGCTGCAACAAAGTACCACAAAGTAGGCCACTTAAAACAACAGAAATTTGTTCTGTCTCAGTCCTAGTTTGGAAGCTGAAAATCCAAAATCAAGGTGTCGGCAGGGCTGGTTCCTGTAGCAGGCACTGGGGAGAATCTGCTCCTTCCTTCCCTCCGAGCTTCTGGTCGCTGGTGGCATTCTTCAGCATCCCTGGGTTTATGTTAATCTCTGACTCTGTTTAATGTGATGTTTGTCCTGCTACGATAGTCTCATCTTAGCTAACTACATCTATAACAACCTTCTTCCAAAATAAAGCCACGTTCTGAGATTCTGTAAAACATATTAATTTCTGTGAATGTCATACAACCAAATACAGTATTAGCATACTGTGTAAATATTATTAAACTATTTTTTGAATGTTTTTTTCTAATAACTTAAGATGACATAAATAATGAATATAAAGAACTACAGATTTAGAAAGGAGATGAGTGATTCTTAGTGATAGCTAATAGAGTTATCTACCAGGAAAATTCTATTAATTCAGTTACAAACTGTTAGGACTGAAATAAAAGTTTAGTAGAATGACTGAATTATAGGCAAAATTTTGATACAAAAGCAGTAATTCATTATCTCACAAACTATCTTTTTTTTGTTGAAAAAACTTAAAATCTACTCTCATAGCAACGTTCAAAAATACACTAATTTTTCAGTTTAGCCATTTCACTATGTATACATACTTCAAAATCAACAAGTTGTATGTGGCAAATATATACACATTTTATATCTCAATTAAAAATTTAAAGATATAGTTAAAAATAAAGCTAATTTGGGTGTGATAATTAAAAAGTAGTAATGAAATATGATGGAGAAAAATATAGTGCCCACATAGAAACATCAAAACAAGTAGATAAGAAATGTCCAGGTAATATACAAGGGAAGATTTAAGGTATAACAGTAAAAGCCTTGTACAAATAGTGTGAATAAACATTTTCTGGATGTAATATAGTAAGAGTGTTAAGTATACTTATATTAATATGCAACACTTACTATAATACCTATCTGGAAGATTTGTAAGAATAGTTAAAATGTTTTGAAAACAAATAACTATTTAATGGGACCAGCTTTAACTGGTGTCTAAAAGTATTATGAATGTCTAGAAGTAATAGAAATAAATTACTTAGGAAAAGAAACAGACATCAATGGAATAAAAGAACAGCTTCAGAAATAGGACCCAAGGATTTGTAGAAGTTTGGGAATGAATGATATATCTGGCATTTAAAATCAGTGGAAAATGATTTTTCAATAGACAAAAGTAATTGTTTATTAATTTTGATGAAGACACCTTAAGGTCTTTTATTTCTGAATTCAAAATGCTAAATATTTTAACATTATAATACAGCAAAACCACTAGAAGAAAATGTGTTTGTATTCTCTAGTAGTGGTTTATCTTCAGCCAGTCACAATATCAATAATTCATAAAGGAAATGATTGATAGTTTTGACCACATGACACTTTTGTAATATCTTTACAGATAGAAAATCATAAATAGATATAAAAGGTAAATGCCAAGATAAAGGAAAATTATTGCAACACCTATAACAGACTGACTTCCTTCAAATCAATAACTAAAGAACATGCAGCCTAACAGAAAAATAGAAAACACCTTTGAAGGGGTAATTCATGAAAGAAAAACAAGTGAGCAAAGGCCAGCTACGAAGATGCTTAAACCTGCTATTGATCAAATATATTGAAGTGAAATACTTTAAACCATTAATTTGATAAAATCTGAAAGACTGGCAGTACTTATGTTAACAAGAGCATAGTAAACATTCTTAGATACTTGTTCTCAGATACATAGAACAATAACATAATGGTTAAGAGCTGGTCTTATGAAATTAGATTGCTGGGCTCAACTCTCAGTTATGCCACTTCTTGTATTGTCATGGACAAGCTAATGGACTTCTTTGGGCCTTAGTCCCCATCTCTGAAAAGGAATAATAATAATGACAATAATAATAATAATAACAAACGCAACCACCACCTAATAGGGATTTCATTGGGATTACACAAGTTAATACCTGAAAAAAAAATCTGGCACACAGTAAATGTTCAATGGATATTAGCTGTAAATGTCATTCCACATTTGAGAGACTATGTGGTAAATTCTTTAGGAGGGACAAATTTGTATCTGTGTGTATACAAAATATTATGATCCTATTAAACTGAATTGGATAACTTATAGTAACATAAGTAATTTACAATTTAATTATGGATAAAAGTGTACATTTTCCCATAAAAATAGACAACTACAAGAGTATTTGATGATCTTATATTTTCATGTACATATAGAGAGAGAAATTCATAATCAGAAAATATTTCCATAAACATCTAGCATAATTCTGGCAGGCTAAATAGTGACTTTCCCATCTTCAGTCATTAAATTCCAGGGAAAGTTTTGAAGGGGTTGTATCAACTCCCCCAGTTCTCAGCCAAGCGATGGATGCTCTTACTGGGTCTTCTTGGACTAAGTGTTCAGGCCTATGTGTAGAAAATGGGAGAAACTCATGGGAGAGTAGGAAAGAATAATTCCTCAGCGTTGGCAGAGCTGTTATAAAAAATGCTGAAATGTTCAGAAAGTTAAAAATAGATGAATATTACATTTCCCACTATTTTTATTCATCTTCATAGATATGTATCTATTTATATATCATATATCCCTGCTTGCTTCCTCACATATGCAAACATACACAATTAGTATTATTAATACATATCTTTCTCTTTTCAGTTGACAGATGATTACCTTTTTCTATGTAATTGTAAAGGCAACCCATGATAATTAAGGCCTTTCCTTGATAATTGTTTTGTGAATTAATGGAAAATCTTAAAGTTGATCTTTAACTGCCTCTATATGAATTAAAGAGTTTTGAATTTTTAAGTGATGCTAATGGAAATGGAATCTTTTGTGGTGAGTGAGATAAGTAAATTTTAGTCAGAGATGCGGTGATTTTTGGATACAGTTGCATTGTTCAGTTAAATCACATCAAAATGGGTCTTGTAAAAATGACTTTTGAGACACTTTATGCTTCAGGTTAAATTTTACAATAATACTTTATCACATTATGACACTTTTGAAATCATTCCTTCCACTTTGCCTTTTGCAAAAAAGCTAACAAAAGCTAGACATGAGAAAGGAAAAACAAATTTGACTTATGTCTAGCTAAATTTGTTAATGCTTTTGTTGCCTTAAATCAAGGGTTTACAAACTATGGCCCTGGGCCAAATCCAGACAGTTTTTTGTGTATAAGTTTTTATTAGCATACAGTCATACATATTTGTTTGTATGTTATCTATAGCTGCTTTTGTGCTAGAATGACAGAGTAGTTAATTACAGAGACCTTCTGGTTCTCAAAGCCTAAAATCATGAATATTTAGCATTTTACAAAAAAGATTTTTGACCTCTGTCTTCTACACTAACCCCTCAACATAGCCAATAATTAAAACAACTTCCTTGCCTTACACAGAGTGCTCCGTCAGTGTATATTTTGGTAATTATACTCTTTTCTTTTCTGGTCACTTCTCAATTTGTATGTGTAAAACTATGTCTTATTTCTCTCTTATGAGAGATTTTTACAAATGACTGTGTATTAGTTCATTTTCATGACACTGATAAAGATGTACTTGAAACTGGGCAATTTACAAAAGAGGTTTAATGGACTTATAGTTTCACATGGTTGGGAGGCCTCACAATCATTGTGGAAGGTAAGGAGGAGCAAGTCATGTCTTACATGGAAGGCAGCAGGCAAAGAAAGAGAGCTTGTGCAGGGTAACTCCTCTTCATAAAACCATCAGATCTCATGAAACTTATTCACTATCACGAGAACAGCAGAGGAAAGACCCACCCCCATGATTCAATTATCTCACACCAGGTCCCTCCCACAACACGTGGGAATCATAGGAGCTACAATTCAAGGTGAAATTTGGATGGGACATAGCCAAACCAAATCAGACTGTTAATGTATTTCTCATTGCTAATTTAGCTTTTCCCTGGGCTTTAAGGACATTTAATGCCAAAAGTTCCCTCAATTAACTTAAATGACATATATAAGACATATATATATATGTATATATATTTTATTTGTTTATTATTATTTTTGAAACTTCAAGCAGCCACTGAACCCAAAAGTAAATTAATAGAACTGAAAAGACAGTAAGCTAATGGTACAAATTAGCACAAACTACTTATTTATATGTGGAACATTTTTAAAGCCTTCATTGGGAAAGTGTTTCACCAATGACATAGAATTTTCTGACGTTTTGTCACATTTAATTCCCACAAAAGTATGAGATATATGAATGCTATTATTTCAATTTTATAGATAAAACCTAGAGAAATTAGTTGCATTGCTCAAAGTCTCCTAACTAGTAAAATAAAGAAAAAGAATAAATCTTGAACCTTTTGATTTGAATGTATTTTTACCTCCCTTGTCTATTCATTTTTTTACCACAGTTTTAGTGGTATATCTATCTGTGTGTCTACCTCCCTACCCATATGGTATCGCATTGTGTCCCTCAAAGAAGATAAATTAAAACCAGAAACTGTGTTTCACTTATGCCTCATCAATTCCACAGCATAAATTATAGCATGGCTTTGAACCCAGAAAAGCTCTGCTTTGAACTCGGTAAAATTTTAAAGGAAATATTACTCCATCATTTGGTAAAAAGCTACATTTAATTGTGGGATTAAGTGGTAACTATGGTTATGAGTCTATTGCTTTATCTTACTAAATTGTAAGCTCTTTGAGACACGTGTCTAGATGATGCCATTTGCTTTATTCTGCCCAAGCATCTTCCCCATTCTCATTAACACCCTTCCCTTTATTGGGAAAACACCCTACATCTTTTAACGACCTCCTATGGAGTTTATTCCAGCATCATATTCCAGTTCATGTGACCTGGGATTGGCCAATGAGATCGTTATATCCTTCTGACTCTAGCAATGAGTTCAGGCATATGAACTTATGGAGTGCTTAGGAAGAAGGTCCATGTTTTCCAACTGATATTGCTGGTAATAAAGATGGTTCAAACCAGGGGTGGTTAATTGCCTGGGAATGGAGATACAGAAAAGCAGAATAGACAGACAGAAAGAAACTGGAATTCAGTAACGTTATTTAATCCAGCAGATCCAGTCATGCTTGCCTCTATTAAAATACTTCTAGGGTATATATGTCGATAAATTCTTGTTTTATAAAAGATATTATTTTCATTTTTTTTTTTGGTAAACCAAAGCAGTTGTGGCTGGCAAACAGCCTTAGAATAGTTGCTCACTAGATAGTAATGTAAACGGAATGAAAAATACTAGTGTTGAAATATGTAAGTGGCTATAAAAATGTTTTCATTTTGTTTTCTCTAAATATCTAGTTGTTATAAAAACTCTGTTTTGAGTGTGTAATTAATTCTATTTCTTTATTGAACTGATTTTAGTGCATTTAATTTAATTTTTACTGCTAGATATAAAAATGTTTCTTCAAATTTTATTTTAAAATTTCAGCAAATTACTCTCATGGTATCTTAAAATATTTATTTCTCCATTAGAAGAAATATCAATTAATTATCCATGGTCCCTATTTTATGTCCTAGAAGTCTTATTGTAGAAAACATATTATGGATTCGAGTTCTGGCACTAATTCTAGCTTAACTAATAATAACACATATTAGTAACTTATTTGGAGCGTGTTGCTTTATCAGAACAATAAGGATTTACCAAGAATCAAAATATTGCCTTCAGTCTTACCTCAACCATGAGCAATCTGTGTAACTTTACAAAGCCACTGGCCAGTTATTCAGCTCAAAGAATTCAATTACAACATGAGAATCTTAAACTCTTTAAAACTTTATATTTTTATTACTGATTTACTATATCAACAATGATGGGTCAATAGGATAGGATGAGGAGTAATGGAAAGAACATGGGCCACAATGCCTTTCAAAACTGGCTGTACTGCTGGCTGTACTCATTAATAGTTATATGACAGAGCAAGTTGCTTACATTCTTGATTGTTAGGTTTAAAACATTTAGTAACCAACATCCCTCAGTTTTTTAAGGACTAAATAAAATAAGTGAATGTGGTAGTTGGGAGCTGCTTTATATTTAAATAACTTAGGAGATGTTAAATATAATTCTGTAAAATTATGTAACATTTGATCTCTCTATATAACATTATATATATAAACATATACATATAAAACATATATAACACCATTTATATATATAAACATGTATATGCATATGTGTGTGTGTGTATGTGCATACGTATATGCCTATGTATTCATATAAACTCAGCTTTTTAGCCCCTACCCTGAAAATCCTTTGAGTACTTTGGTCAAACTAAACTTCTGGACTCTCACAGAATCTTTACAGATACTGTATTAGTCTGTTCTCATGCTGCCATGAAGAACTAACTGAAACTGGTAACTTATAAAGAAAAAGAGATTTATTTGACTCACAGTTTCACATGACAGGGGAGGCTTCCCAGTCATGATGGAAGGTGCAAGGAAGAGCAAAGGCACATCTTACATGGTGGCAGGCAAGAGAAGCTGTGCAGGAGAACTGCCCTTTATAAAACCATTAGATCTGGTGAGACTTATTCACTCTCCCGAGAACAACAAGAGAAAACCTACCCCCATGATTCAGTTACCTCCCACCAGGTCCCTCCCATGACTCATGGGGATTATAAGAACTACAGTTCAAGATGAGATTTGGTTGGGGACACAGCCAAAACATATCAGTTATATAAACAGTTATTCATCAACAGGCCTTGACATTCCAAATCCCAGAAGCTCTATTTAAAAGAACTGGAGGGAAAGCGCTGCATGAAAACTAAAGCACTGATTCACTGGGAATGTCAGCCTCTCTGCTAAAGAACTCCTCTTCCTGTTCCCCAACAATCTCTGAAAGAAAAATGTACTTCTTTTTTGGAGAGAGGATGAGATGTCAAAATCATAAGAAGGGACAGCAATTAAACTATGGAGGAAAGTAGCAAAGAGAATAAAGATGCCTCAAGTATCAAGAAACAAGAAGTAATCAGTGGCCATATGTGGGGTACTGAATTAGTCCGTTTTCACGCTGCTGATTAAAGACATACCGAAGACTGGGAAATTTACAAAAGAAAGAAGTTTAATGGAGTTATAGTTCCACATGTCTGGGGACGCCTCACAATCATGGTGGAAGGCAAAGAGAAGCAAGTCACATCTTACGTGAATGGCGGCAGGCAAAGAGAGCTTGGGCAGGGAAACTCCCATTTTTAAAACCATCAGATCTCATGGAGACTTATTCACTATCAGGAGCAGGGAAAGAGCTGCCCCCATGATTCAATTATCTTTCAGCAGGTTCCTCGCACAACACGTGGGAATTCAAGATGAGATTTGGGTGGGGACCTGGCCAAACAATAGCAGGTACCACAGCAGAAACAGTGGCTGTGTCAGTAAACTAACCTACAGGTACAACGATCTTCCCCAAGTCAGGCTCATACATTTGTGAGGCCTAAGGAATATCCAGGTTACATGCACACATTTGAATTTGTTTCACATTATTCAAGCTTGGGTTTTATTGGTGCTAATCACATTGAAATAGGAGAGTGTCTTAGTCTGAGAGGCACAACTGAAACCCATAGTAACATGAAAAAAAACTATTGAACAACCACCACCACCACCACCACCACCACCACCACCACCACCACAACAACAATTGATAAAACTAAATTTTGAGCTTAGAATGTGAGGCACAACGAGAAAGACATTGTGCATATCACTAGATGACTACCTCGAGAGCAGGTGATAATCAGTAAGTTTTCTGACCCACTGAATATCAAAAACTTGATGCAGAGGAGATATGGGAGGGGGTAATGTGCACCATGAGAAGGAAATACAAATTAGGTTACAGGGATTTGAGACAGCCAATCCAAATATAATTTGAGAATTACTGCATCTTCTCCCCACAATACTTTTCATGACATGTTTGCTGCATTTGAAGATAACTAATAACTAGAAAGACATACACAAAATCTATGCATAGCTATTGCAAAGGAAACAAGCATGCAAAACCACAGAGAGGTAAAAATACTTAAACCCACATTGGGCACTGGAATAATTTGTCATCATCTTTTGTCGTGCATGTACACAAATTTATGTTGTTAAACCCTATTAATTTATTTCAAGGTTTAAATATAATAAGCTATTCTACTTCCTCCAAAAATTTTTATATGAATGTAAAAGAAGACATTTATCAGTAACAGATACTATATCTTGGCTAGGCTCTAAATATGAAGTTCTAGGAAAGAGATTAAATGTAAGTTTATTTCCTAATTTCACAGATTTAATTAATTATGTAATGGATTTCTGTGATATTTTCTGAACAACAGTCTCCTACTTTTCTTTTTTTTTGTCTTATACACTTGTTTCCAAGATGACAGTAAGAATCTCAAGACTTGGGACTTTTTTTTTGAAGACAGTGTCAGGCTTTTAGCGTTCTGCCTGTACCGGGATAAAACATCCCATTAATGTCAGTATAAGGCAAGTAAGATTTCTTATTTAGGCAATAGTTGACTGTGGTTGCGCCTCATTCTATGCTTTTCTCTCTTCTGGACTGTGAAATCAAAAGACTGACACAGTGTAATACACAAGTTGAGAAACAGAACAACTTGTCACTAGGTTTAGTGCAAGATTAAGGTATTTTCCAGCAAATATGAAATCTGATTTCTTTCAAGTTATTGGGTAAATATAAGTGATGCTATCAACCTGGTAGCTCAACTTTTTTTTTTCAAACAACTCAAGTAGTGTCATACCCAAGAATACTGTGAAATTGTCCAGGTCAAGAATCCTGTCTTATTCATTTTTCTCTATTTTGCCTAGCAAATGGTGTGGGAAAAATGAGGTGCTTAAACAAGCTTATCAAATAATACTGAACTAAAATAAAGTCTCAATAGCAGGTAAATAAATTCTGTTCCTATAGATAGGCCAAACATAACAAATTGATTAAATGCTGCATTCTATTTGATTGAGCTTTGTGCAGTTAAATTAATAATATTGACCTAAAATATAGTAACGTCTTTGTGTGAATCTTTTAATTTCCAGTCTGAACACATTGGTACTTCATTATGGCATGTAGTATTAAAAGAAGCAAATATCTTTTCTCCTTGCTTTACTTGATCTTTCTATATGCTCTTAATCTTAGAAATCTATACAACTTTTTTCGGGAAAGAGAGACAACACCTACAAGTCTTAATTTTTAGACTTGGGCAGGGTATTTGCACCCAAATTTTCTGTGAGGTTGGCTTTGCAATCCTGTTTTATTTTTACCAATATTATTGCTCTAAAACATGAAAATCTCTTTGTGTAAATTTTTAAATTCTCACTTTGTGTATTGATACAATGATGTGGATGTAATTGTAATGGAAGCCTTGATCTTCCCCTCATACCTCACATACTGAGTTTCCAAGTGCCGTCTTTATTCTCCTCTACATGTTCACCATAAGGGATTCTGTCTTTATGCACTGATTCTTGCCAGCTGGTAATTCTTTAACCGCTCTGGTGGGGAAGGGACTTCATGAGAATCCACAAGCTAAAAGGTGAAAAAGGGAAGAAAATATAAAAACTTAAGCATGTTAAAAGTGCAAAAGGTATCTAAAAAATAAACAACTAGAGAAACAAAATGTCCTTTCTTTCCTGCTTTGATTTTATTCAATTATGACTGAAATGTTTCAAATCACTGAAATTTCTGAAAATTTTTATTTGTAGCATTTTTTAAATTGAATCTTTGATCAGAGACTAAACTCTGAATTTTAGCTTTGCCTCTTTCTAGTTTGTGACTTTGAGCAAATTAATACAGTGATTCTGTTTTGTCAACAGTAAAATAGATTGCAAAGTCTACCTCATAGGAAAATTGTGAGAAACAAGCTGGACAGAGCATGGAATATGTTCTCAATTATTTTTTTCCTTTCCCCTGAAAACATTTTTGAAATTGCAGATTATAAGGCTATTGGATATATTCAAATTTTAATTTGATTTAGTAAAAATCAGATTATATGGATAAAGAAGGAAACATTTTAAAAATAATGGCATGTGTATCAGAACTACCTTTAGAAATATTACTACATGCACATGTTAAATATTAAAAATATAGAAAAAATTTACTCTAAAACATAGTCTCCCTCTCACCTTATAGCTACAAGTTTATTCCACATAGGCAGCCATCAAGAGTTTTGAGTATCCATCCATGTATTTCTGACTTTTTGTATACCAATAAGACCATGCCATTGTTCTAGTATCTTTATTTTGATGCCTAATTTGCTTCATTCTTTTTCATTGCGGCATATGTACCATAATTTATTTCACTAAAGAGGAGTGAAATAAACTACTCTCTAATGAAATAAATTATGGTACATAAATATCAATTGGCACATAAACCTACCTTTTAGTCATTTACCATTTCAGATAATTGTAATATGAATATCAAAGAATGTATGTCTTTGCTTTCATTGACTGTGCTTACATATCTAGAGATCGATATGTCTATTATACATTCTTAAAAATAATAAAGATAAAACAATATTTTAGTTGCAGTTGCGACTAGTGACACGTGGATACATAGGGGAACAATACACGGGGGCGTATCGTAGGGTGGAAGGTGGGAGGAGGGAGAGGATCAGGAAAAATAACTAATGGGTTCTAGGTTTAGTACCTGGGTGATTAAATATTCTATACAACAAACTCCCACAGCACAAGTTTGCTGATGTAACACACCTGCGTATGTACCTCTGAATTTAAAATAAAAGTGGAAAAAAAGATAAAAGTTTAAATTCCACTTAGTTACAAAAAAAATTGGTTTGTGCATTTTAGTCACTGACCGATTTGGCTGAATTGCTCTTCCTACACCTTGTATCATTTTATCTTCCCACTAATGTTAATAAGATTTTCTAAATTTCCATTCATTTGAAAAAAATTAAATATAACAAAATGTTCATAATTTTTAAATCTGGTAGATGAAAAAGTGATTTCCAAAGGATTATTTTAACTTTCATTTCTTAGAGAAGTAGAATATCCTTTCAAATGAGCATGAGTCACTTTCTCATGTATTTTTTCTGAGCTACCTATTCATTTCTTTTGATCAGTTTTCTTTTTTTGTTGTTTTTTGTTTTTTGTAACAATATGTAAAAAGCGCTATGTAGGATTAGTCATTATTTGTCTGTTATGTATGTTAAAAATACGTTTACTCTTCAATTGTTAGTCTTTTGACTTGGTTTAGTGATTCTTTAGAGGGCCTTTGCCCTTTATGAGAAAGTTGTGACAATCTATGAAGCTGGAGAAGATGGTAGGATTTGGGTGTACACAGGACTTTGGAAAATTTTGCTAAAGACCAGTCTTGGATACAGGAAAATAAAAGGAAATAATTTATTCTTATTGTTTCTTCTTTATTTTGAATTTAATTTAGACAGATAGTACAGTCTACATGGCAATCTAGGGGATGGGGTAAGGACAAATGTTGACCAAAGGGTACAAAGTTTTAGTTAGCCTGGAGGAATATGTTTTAGTCATCTACTGCACTGAATGGTGACCACAGTTGATAACAATGTATTTTATATTTCAAAATTGCTAAAAGGATAGATGTTCAATGCTCTCACTACTGAATAATGATAAATTGATGAGGTGGTGAATATATTAAGTAGCTTCATTGACTCTTTCAACATACATAAATTAAAACATCCATTTATTTTTGTATATGGTTAAAGATAGGGGTCCAGTTTCATTCTTCTACATATGGCTAGCCAGCGATCGCAGCACAATTTATTGAATGGGGAGTCCTTTCTTCATTGCTTGTTTCTATTAGCCTTGTTGAGCATCAGATAATTGTAGCTGTGCAGCTTTACTTCTGAGGTTTCTGTTCTGCTCCATTGCTCTATGTGTCTGTGTCTGTACCAGTACTAAGCTATTTTGGTTATTGTGGCTTTATAGTATAGTTTGAATTTTGGTAGTGTGATTCTTGTTTTATTCTTTTTGCTTACAATTGTTTTGGCTATTTGGGCTCTTTTTTGTGGTTCCTTATGACTTTTAAAGTACTTTTTTTCTAATTCTGTGAAGAATGACTTTGGTAGTTTTATAGGAATAGCATTGAATCTGTAAATTGCTTTGGGCAGTATAGGCCGTTTTTACAATAATGATTCTTTCACTCCATTATCATGGAAATTTTTCCACTTATTCATGTCATCTCTGATTTCTTTCAAGAATGTTTTGTAATTCTCCTTGTAGAGATCTCTTGTCTCTTTGGTTAGCTGTATTTCTTGGTATTTCATTTTTTGTGTGTGGCTACTGTGGAATTATTTCCCACAATTTACATCTCCTTCTATCCCTCCAAAAGCCTATATTTTATTGAGAATACATATAGTAAGACTCAAAAACCTCCACTCTCTATATAAATCTCTCCATTTAATTTTATTCCAATTAGTAATATGAGTAGACTGTACAATAATAAATAGGACTTGTGGGAGCTTAAATACTCATCATCAATTTTAATTTTCTTGCTATCAGAAATATCTTTCAAGTTGAAAACAACCAGTTTCCAAACAACCTTTTAGAACAGAGAAAATATGAAGTCTGCCTATAATGAAGTCTGAATTTATAGTATAGAATAAATATAGCTTTTTACATTTCCTTTGCTCACTTTTATAGACAAAGCAGTGTAAAGATTAATTTACAGACTCATGTTTCTCTGGAAGGTCTTGATTAAAAAAAAATCTTAAGTCCCCTAAAGCCCAGTTTAAAAAATGGTTTAGCCTGTACAATAATTTGATTCAATTAGTAATGATTTGGCAGATCCAAAAGAAAAGTCATTTATTTGTTATTCACCAAATGATGATAAAGTATTGTAATTTCCTAAATATTGTCAGCAGCTATGCACACACATAATGTAGACAATGTTCTTGTGGTAAGAAAGTTTTAGATTATTAAAGAATGTGGAAAATCTTAGAGTCACCTTTGTTACCTTTAGAAATAATTGCAGAGAATTCTGAATAGAAATCTAATTGCGGGAGTTGAAGATATTCTTAACATTTCTTTCAATTAGGAACCCTGCCCTAGTTGTTTTTCAGTAAAGAATAGCAAAGCCATATTATTTAAAGTGTCGTATATTCATTGGTAATGACAAATGCTCAGCAACTTGTCTGAGACCTGAAGGTTGCCTAGCATGGCAAGCACAGCCCTATTTTACTTGCTAGACTCAATTAAAATCTAGGTCTCCTGAGCAGTTTCTAGGTAGAGACCCAATCAGATGATTAGTTCACATTCTAATGACAAAAAACATTGCTGGAGACATTTAATTTTCAGCACCAGAGGCTTTCTTGATAAAAGCTTTAAAAAATAGCTAGAAAATCTTATTTTAAAAATGAGAAAAAGCATCACTGCCTGATAATATAAAGGAACAATCACTGAAAGGAGAAGAAAATAAGGATTGTTGTCATCGTTTGACAATACATTTTAAGGGTTACTTGGTACAATAAGAATTGCTCGTACACTCAGAAGAGTGACAGCATGGTGGAACTGAGATTATTAGACCAAATTATACTTAGTCTTTCAGCTTTTATTTTTAGAGACATATCTGCATGTTTATTATCGAAAGTGTAACATTTTTACCAAGGCTTGCTCCCATGATGTTGAATCAGAAAGAGCAAATATTTTAATCATTCTCTAAAGGATGTTTAAAATCTTGTTATAAAAACAATGATTCAAGGAACAAGTCTCACCCCTTAATTTTAAAACTATTTTAAAAATATTAAGCCCAAACCATTATGGTATAAGCCATGAGTGGCTGGATTTCAATGCTCTTTACCATGGAGCACGCAGAGATTTTACTTATAGCACTGCAGCTTTTGTCCACTTTAGTTCTCCATGGAATTAATGGTCTAAGAAAAATATATTAACACACACCCCAAAATAACATATTATTTTCTCAGTGAGTTCGATTATATTTTCTCAAGAGGATTGCATAAAATGTACTATGAAGAGCCATAAAAACATAACTGGAAAAACATACAAATTACTCTCCTGGCACTCCTGGAATCAGTCCTACCTCTCTCTGTTCTTTTGCAACCAAGCTTTCTTTTAAAAATTATGCTAATTTTTCTTTTTCAAACCCAGTTACTCCTTTCTTTTCCAATCCAACATCTGTTCTCCTACTTACACTGTTCTCATTTTGGTCACCAGTAGCCTCCAAATAGCTAGAGCCAAAGGACATTTATATACCCTGATTTTGCTATATCTCTGTAGGTTTTGACAATGTTGATAACTTGCCACCACTTAACATTTTCTTCTCCCTTAGCTAATGTGACAAAATTCATTCTCATTATGAAAGTCTGTGTTTAAATATCATCTCCTAGCCTACGAGGATTTCTCTGACTACCCAATTTAAAATAGCCTCACTCTAGACACTTAAACTGCTTTATTTTCTTCTCATTACCCATCACTAACTGAAATTCCACTGTGTATTCATTTGTCTCCTTGATTTTTGTTCATACCCACTTTATATTCTAAGCTTCATGAGTGCAGGTACTTCTTCACTGCTGAACCCTCAGCAACTATAACAGTGCCTGGAACACACAAGAAAAGATTCTCAGTAAGCAATCACTGATGATCTGAATGAATGAATACTAGGTCTCAGACCTTTAAAGCTAAGTAGCTATTTTCACTTAGATTTTTCACAAGTACCTCAAACTTAAGTTTTTAAACCTTAATTAATTTTCTTTCTTCCCCAACATGATTTTAAATGCTACCTATAAATCTAAATTACTTCATTTCACCACTCCTTCACTGAAAAAAAAAAGAAAACATGTTTTTAGGATATGATTATAATTCCCTTGAATAGATTTCCTCCTATTTTATTTCTGTTGCTTCTCTCTTAGCCCAGGTGCTTCTACCTACTGCAATAGACTTCTAATTAGTTTATTGTTCTCATGTTTTTACCGTTTTCAATCTAGCCTCTACATTTTTGCATGAACTTTCAAAAATTTGAACCTACTCATTTTAATCCTTAAGTTGATTATGTTTCAATATTTCACTGAAATTTCCACAATAAAGCAGCACTTCTTTTTTTCTCAGCTCTATGAGGCTATTTGTGACCTCCATTATTACACCTTATCATTCCCCTCTGAGTTTTCTTTGTTTCTATAAAGGTACCTACAGTAAACTAATTGCAATATGCTCTTTTATTACTCTCTGCCTACATATATGCTGTTCTCCCAAGTATAAATACTTCTTCTCATTCTTCTCTTCCAATTCTTCTAGCTGTTGATCACTTATTCTTTTAGTACATCGATTTTTGAGTCCCCTTTATATAACAGGCACTCTGTTAGGTACAGAGAATATAGCAATGGGAAAAAAGCCAGACATTGCCTTTGTTTTCCTGAAGCTTAAAGTGTGGTGAGGAAAAAGGCTGTATGAAGAGACTGGGTCCAGAGCAAGGCACAGGCTCACATTGGGTCATTTTTTGAAATGGTTATGTATCATGTTATAATCAACTCAAGGAAGTTTCTATGTTACACTAAAACAACCCAATGGCACAAAAGAAAGATCATTAATTTAAACTGCTTGTGTTATTTGGTATGACAACAAAATTCATAAATATTTCTTTGTTTCTTTTAATTCAACTTCTATTTTCACTCCGCAATGGCTTGTGTGGTTTTTCAATGCTTTATCACCAAGCAAAATCTTCCCTCTTGCCTTAGCCTGTGTACAGATCTCTGCTCTCTGACACTTGATAGGAGAGAGAGGGTAGACAATAATATTTGAAGAAATTATGGCTAAAAAGTTTCCAAATTTGATGACCTCTCTATTCCCTTACACCCAAGAAGCTCAATAAATTTCAAGTACAAGTGCAAGAAACATGAAGACAATTCTACCAACATACATGATATTCAAATTGCTCAAACGAGTAAAAAAGAAAAAATAATCATAATATTAGTTAGAGCAAAAAAAGATATGCTATATAAAAAGGAACTTGGATAAGAATGACAACATATTTCTTGCCAGTTACAATGTAAGTAAGAAGATAATTGAGCAGCATCTTTAAAGCACAAAGAAAAGGAAGAAGATAATAACCTAGGAAACTATACCTAGTGAAATTGGCTTTTAAAATAATAGCAAATGAGGACTTTTCCAGACATACATGCAAAAGCTGAAGTAACTCATTACCAGCATAACTAATTACAATATAATAATTTCAGACTGTAGCTAAAAAGAGAAAGAAATATGGATCTTCACAAAGATAAATATTCTGATCTTAGTTCTTTTTTTAGATAGCATATCTATTTTATCAAATTTTTCTTGTAACAAATTGTAAGATTGCTTATTATTAGTTTAATTTATTTTTATCCTTTCTTTCTTCCTTCCTTCCTTTCTTTCCTTCTTTCCTTCCTTTTCTTTCTTTCTTTTCTTTCTTTCTTTCCTTTCTTTTCTTTTCTTTTCTTTCTTTCTTTCTTTCTCTTTCTTTCTTTCTTTCTTTTTTTCTTCCCTCCCTCCCTCCCTCCTTCCCTGCCTGCCTGCCTGCCTTCTTCTTTTTTTTTTTTTTTTTTTTAATCTCATTCTGTTACCCAGGCTGGAGTACAGTGCTATGATCATAGCTCACTGCAGCCTAAAACTCCTGTGTTGAAGTGATCCTCTTACCTCAGTCTCCAGAGTAGCTGAGACAGCAGACGTGTGCAACTACATTTGACTAATTTTTTTTTTGTAGATAATGCAGGTCTTTCTATGGTTCCCAGGCTGGTCTCAAACTCCAGTCTCAAAGGGTCCTCCCACCTTGGCCTTCCAATATGCCAAGGTTACAGGTATTAGCTACCACACTTGGCCACTTTATTTAAAAAACAATTGTTAAACAAAAATAATAATGTATTGAAGTGTTTATAACATATGTAAAAGTAAACTTCACTCAATTGGTCAGGGAGAAATAGAAGTATATTATTGTAAGTTTTTATAGCATATATATATAGAGAGAGAGCATATAATTCTCAATGTCAATTATAACTTAATAAAGCTGTTAAAAAATTCTGGATATCCAAAGTAGCACTTGACGCCTATAATTTAAATATTCATACTGCCTAATGGAAAAGGTTGAAGATGAATAATTAACATGTATAACTTTATTACTCCCAGGACAAAAATCTATGGAATTGCAATAATAAAATGTAAACTTTCTGTCTGCTAAGATATTCCTAAAACTGGAGACTCTGTAGTATAATGTATCAAATATGTAATCAATTTAATATCAAATTTAATCCTATGAATTACTATTTATACGTCTTTAAAAAACATCATCTAGTTAAATTTGCCTTGTGATTTAGGGAGTTTAGTATCCTATTTTTGAAATGTAAAGAAATTTTAATTGGTGTAATGTGATAGCAAATATTGCTAATACTATAGATATAATATGTGCCAAACACCAACCTGAATACAGAAACATTTCTTTTTCTTCTGTAGCTCATGATGCAATTTAAATATGGGATTTACATTTAAATATCACTCTGCAGTGTTCAGAATAGGATTATTAGAATTGCAATATAGCAGAAGATCCTCGCCCCACCACTGTCAACTAACAGCCTAGTATTCCAGGTGAGAAGATGGTGATTTGGCAAGGGGAGCAGTAAAGCTTAAATGAAACAGATGAATATAGGACATATGTCTGATGGAGAGCTAAAATGTACTAAGGAAATGGATGGAAAGAGTAGGGAATAACAATAAATCAAGAATGCTTCTTACGTTTTTGGGTTTAAGCAACTCTATAAACCTTGAGGCTACAAACCAGTTCTGTAAGAACCGACATGAAGGACAGAAAACAAGTATCTTAAATGTTGTTGTCTACCTCATGTTTATTATGTAAATCACTTGTATGGTCTTCTTGACTGATATTTATCCAGCCTGGATTTGGAAACATGAGTGATAAAATTACCTTGTGAGATAAGGCACTCCTGATTTCAAATTAATGTTGAGGCATATCTGAGACAATTTATGTATTGTCCATTGTAGTTCTTAACTCAGTTCCTTGGGACACACTTATTCTTGATAATAAATTCAGTCAGATTCATTCTAATTTGTTTTGAAATTTAAGTAGTTTATAGATTTTTAAGTTTCTTGAAATCAGTGGACATTAGCCACCTTTTATCTTTTAAATGTTACTTAGATAATATGAATATAGAAAATGACAATTTATAATTTTTAATTTTGATATTACTAACTCAAATGAATGAAAGCAATATCACAGTAGCTCACAAAACAATATACTTCTACCTATGACTGAAAAATTTTATTTCAGCTGTGATCTATATTTATTTTACCAGTAGGTGCCAGTCTCAGCTCACAAAACTGAGACTCAAGCACTTGCTTTTTGGTAAATTCCATTAGAGGGATTTTTGTCTTAAAAAAGTACAGAATAGCAGAGCTTTTTCTGTCAAGGCAAATGACTATTAATGGAATTTGAAAGCATAACACAATACAAGTTCCTGAGCAAGCATACAACTATAACAACTGGAAACAGGATTAATCACTCTTTCCAGATTTTTTATCTTGATATTAGAATATACTGTACCCAAAAGAAAGGAGCAAGGAATAAAATGAAAGAAAAAATATAGGTGTCATTGAAATGATTTCATGGCTTACCTTATCTTCCCTCTTGTCTTTATTATTTTGATTTTTTTTAATGTGGAATAAACATAGATGATACATTAAAGCCAAAAGGAATGGATTTTTCTGTACTAAATTGTAATAGCCTGAAGTTCCTGAATCAGACATCGAGGGTCCCCAGTTGGCCACTGTCTGCATGTTGTGAGTTTTCTCTCACTGAAGCAAAATGTATTTGTGTCATCAAGATTTAGTACAGTGCTTAGATCATTGCTCTGTGAGCACCACAAATGTGCCCATTTTTAGCCCAGTCAGGTACTATCAACACTTAAGATAAAAAGGTACTTGTAATTATAAGTTGAAACACAGGTGTGAATTTAAAAGTATTTGTTAAATGGATTATTTAATAGATACTTGTATGGATTATTAATGCTTTGTATGCATGTCACAGTGTGTCAAACTTTTCTCTGCTCACTAACCTTGTAAAATTATATAGGTAAAAACTTAAGAGAGGACACAGAGTTTACAATCAAAGACCACAATAAGGGGCTTATTTGCTTCAGAAAATCCTAAAGCCATTTTGGATAGAATCTATATTTGGAAAACACACAAGGGGAACCCTCATACATGGAGGTATTAATTGTGTACATAAAAATATTGCTGTTAGCAAATGCCTAAAAGTATACCTGCAGCTTGCCAAACTAGCTTTCCTTAAGAGATAAGGGGAATGGTAAAGCACTGGACTGGTAAATCATGAGGGTGGTACTTCCCTTCTACTGCATTTGAGGACTTGTGTGGATGTGCTGATTGCCCAGGGTGTGTATGCACAATGTGGAAATAACTCATCCTCATTAAATAAAATATCTCTACCCACAGGCACCTTACGTATGATGCAAAGAAGCAGCAGCTCAGATGGGAAAAGAGAATGTAAATTGATTTTCACATGCCAAATTCTCCTAGAAATTTTCTCTGCCCCTTATTTTTGCATTTGAGATATGGTAGAATTAAGAGAGAGAAACAAAACAAAACAAAAGCAAAACAAAAGCTTCCTGGTCTGGAAAAGTCACTAAAAGAACACTAAAATACATTGATATAGAGTACTAGTTACCTTAGAACCCCACTCTACCTCTGATTCTTTACATTTCTAGAGGAGGTTATGCCTGCTATGCTTAGGGGAAAAGGCAGAAAAGATGTTCAAATGGAAAATAAAAACAAATAGCAAAAGTAAGGAAACTACCTACAAAATATTTGCAGTCACTAACCTATTGTGTATTTTAGAAACAGAAATGTGTAGATTAAATGGTTACCACTAGGAGCATCATTGGTCCTGGAATCAGCTGGCTGACCACAGCCTCAAGTTGGCAGTTGAAGGTAGGTAAGATTCTGAAACTGGATAATATGTTGCATGACAATCTTTAGAAGGACAAAGAATTTATTTTAATTTTCCTTCATTTTCATTTTGATTTTTATCAATTTCAAATACTTTGTAGTCTTTGTTTTTCAGAAAATCACAAAAAGAATTGAAGACGTAGAAAGGAGACAAGTAAAGGAAAAATGTAGGTCATATTGAGGCAAGAAAATAAAATACATTTAATTTAAATACAATAACATATCTTCTTCCAATTCTATGGATATATGATGAGTGCTATCCAGATACAAGATATAAAGGTAAAAAGAAAACCAGTTCCAAAGTAGGCAAACATTATAGTTTTGGCATTACTGTAGTACACACTTTTCAACCTTTTCCCAATAGAATCTTCTTTCCACCATCACAGTCACCTATGTATAAATCACCAATATCTCTTGCCTGTACCACTGTTGTACCTTGCGGAGTGGCATTCTTGCTTCTACTCTTGATTTTTCCAATGTGTTTTTCACACAGCTGAGTAAACGTGTAAATGGAAGGCAGGGCCTCTAATTAACAGCATGCATGAGCAGGCCCTGCTGACCTTACCATCCTCATTCCTAACCCCTTCCTCCACATACCTGCCCCACTCCACCACTGTTCCACCCAGTGTTCACTAAGGTAGGGTCCACTGAGGTGCTTTAGTTCCTTAGATAATTCAAATTTTTGTTTTTCTTTAAGACCTATACACCTACTGTGTCTTTTACCTGGAATATTGTCTTTTCAGCTTTTGTGGCCATAGTCCACAATAAAAAATAAACTGCATACCATCATGCAGCATGTGTGGGTGCATATATGTGCGTGTGTAAAAACTGAAACTAGAGTTAACAAAACAGTGCTTATTCTTATCCTTACCATATGTGACACCTCTGAATATTTTTTTAAATTTTTAATGGGTAGTAATGACTCACTTAATTGATTTTATAAGCCACTATTGTATTGAAACCTAGAGTAAAATTACATGTTAATTTTTACTTATAATATCACTAAGGCATTGACGTTCCTTAGGTTTCAAATTAAAGATTATAATCTATTCATGACCATTGCACCTGACCGCCCAATCTAAAATGAGTCCTTCTATTGCTAGTCCACACTGAATCATAACATAAACATTTACTGTTTTACCTGTTACTGTGTTCCAACAGACTGTACAATCTTTGCAGAAAGGGCTTGCAACTTCTGGTTTACTGTTTTGTATCCAGTGTCATGTATATAGCCTGACACATCGTATAGGTCATCGATAACCTCTAACAGCTCCTCTCAGTGTATAGTGGTTACAAAAAGTCACTCCTGCTATCAGTTTTTGGAAATCAGTTGTGAGTAGAATTTTAGTTGTGCAGGTAAGCAGAAAAAAAATAAATCCACATTAAAAAACTAAAGGCAACAATTAAGACTCAAAATATTTTTATTTGGATAAAATTATTGTATTAGTTTCCTGTGGAAACTGTAACAGACTACCACAAACTGGGTGGTTTAAGATAACAGGAATTTATTCTCTTTTCTGGAAGCTAGAGTGTGAAATCTGTATCACTGAGCCAAGATCATGGTGTCAAAGGGTCATACTCCATCTGCAACTTCTAGAGAAAAATTCATCCCTAGTTTCTTCTAGCTTCTAGTGGCTACTGGCATTCTGTGACTTGTGGCTACATCTCTAAAATCTTTACCTTCGCCTTTATCCTTATGTTAGCTTATCTGTTTATATCAAATCTCCCTCTGCTGCCGTCTTGTAAGCTACATTGTGAATGCATTTTGGGCTTGCCTGGATAATTCAAAGTTGGGGAAACAGAGTAAAGACAAGAATCCCAGAGCAACAAGACAAGCCTCAATATTTAATAACTCTATTGAATCATAAACATAAGCAAGTGAGTAGGATTTAGTGATAAGGGACTTAAAAGAACAATTTGAAGTTCTAGTATATATCATGGAGGGGGAATGAAATCAAACAGATCCCAATAGTAATGATGCAGAGAGCATTTCTCCAGCTACTCTGGTTATCATCAGGGTGTTTTCAGATATTGCTCATAGTTTATGGGCCTGGGCCTTCAACACACAGAAGGTTTAATCTTGCTCAACAGAATAAATTTTAATATTTCTAAAATCTGTACATAAAAAACAAGAATAAGCAGTTTAAATATTTCTTTTATATAGGTAATTTGCCACAGTATATGCTACCTGTAAAGCAGCATCATAATTTTAGTGCCTAGATTGGCTAAAACCAATATAGCAGTATCTGCTGTCCTTACAGAACTTTCTCTAGGTTTCTTTCACATTGTATGCACTGCTATGTCACTCATCTAAGGACTTAACAGTTTATTTTAAAGAAGTTAGGATATGATGGAATAAGAAAAAAAAAAACAGGAGCATCTATGACCCAAAATACTATTTCTAGCAAACTATAATTTTCCACTTAATATCCATTCTCTACTTGCTTAATGTAACATCTATTTTTATTTAGGCAGCAAGTGGGTGGTTAAATGACCACATTTCCAACATTTCCTATAGCTAGGAGTGACCTGTGACCAAATTCTAGCCAGTGAAATGCAAATAAAAGTGTCTTGGAGCATTTTGAGAAAGACATAGGAGCTGCATTTCAGTGAAATGGATTATCTTCTTTCTCTCTTCTGTATTCTTGCTATCTGTAATATGCGTATGATTATGTAAACTACACGTTTCCTGGACTATATTGTACCCTTTGAAAAGAAATCCATGCAATCAAGATGATAAAGCAAAAATACTGAAGAGGTCTTTGCTTTATGGGAGAAAAAAAATTGACTTTAAGCTACCATTGTTTTGACATTTTTGTTGCATATGGTTAAACCTAATCCTTTTCTATCTAAAACATTATTGTGTATCATTAGCTGTTTAATTGTGTCATTGATAATATTTACTCAAAACTTCATTCTGTAGCAAAATGTCAGCATGCATAGGACTGCTACAAAGTTTATAGGAGGCTGGGCATGGTGGCTCATGCCTGTAATCCCAGCACTTTGGGAGACTGAGGTGGGCAGATCACCTGAGGTTGGAAGTTCGAGACCAACGTGACCAACATGGAGAAACCTCGTCTATACTAAAAATACAAAATTAGTCAGGCGTGGTGGTGCATGTCTGTAAAATCCCAACTACCTGGGAGGCAGAGGCAGGAGAATCGCTTGAACCCAGGAGGCGGAGGTTGCAGTGAGCCGAGATCGTACCTCTGCACTCCATCCTGGGCGACAGAGTGAGACTCTGTCTCCAGAAAAAACAAAAAAAAAGTTTATAGGTTGGTAAATATTGTTGGATTCTCAAAAATATATAAAATCTAACTATGGGCAAACATTTACTCTAAAGTAAAATTATTACATTTCTTAAGCATAAGACTATAAAATTCAAAATCACTATCTACTTTTTGAAGACCTTACACAGGTTTGATTTTACTGCATTTGCAGTTCACAATTTTCCTTGGCCATTTTCTTTTTTCCAACTGCAAATGTAACTTTTATCATCTAAATCACCAGTTAGCAGTTAATCGTCAGTTTTGATGTCATGTTTCATGGCTAAATTGTAATAGTGTAGAAAGCTTTCTAATTAATGTGGCAAGATATTGGGGGATGTGCTTAACAATTTTGATTTCACATATCAGCTGCAAGTTACAGCTGATTTGGCTAAATACAATTTGTCCACATGAATATAAGAATAACTTTTACCTGTCATGCAAATTTATTTTTTTATGATAATTCCTTGATCTCTCATTTGATTATCAATCTATTTCAGCCTGTTACTAAAGCTCATAAATATGTCACTCAATCTAATTAATATGCATTTCTGTTCTAAGTGCATATTAATTGTATGTACATTCTGTTGTAAATGTAGATTTATCACATATAAGAGATAAACATATTTTCCCTGCATCTCCATGAACCAATCTTTTGATTCAAAGGTAAAGCTCTGGGTCATAGTATTCAGCTAAGGAGATATTTGAAAAAAGATCTTTCAAGTTCAATTTTGCTAATATCTTTATCTTTAATATTTCAGAATTACCAGATTTCTACTGAATCCAGGCTGGTTGCAGTGGGGAGTTGGGGTGTGGGAGAGGACCTTTTAAAAAATGTGTTTCTGTAGCCTGGGGCTGTTTCTGACTGTTGATTTGATGATTGATCTTGGTTCATCTCTATGGTTGCACTAAGGAAATCTTACATACTAATGTTAATCTGTCCTATGGGGCCATATTGACAATGTCCTAGTCCTATATTTAAAAGTGCATATTCTAAGTCAATAAGCCATTGCATAGATTTTTAAATGTCATAAAAATTGTGTGTGATGATCAATGATAATAATTATGGTAACCTAACTTTGCAAGATAGATGAACTAAATTAGCCAGTGTATTTAAAGTTGGAGTGCATATTGTATTTTATATTTGTATTTTATTTGCATTGTGATTATTTCACTGATGCATGTACATCCAGTGTCTTGGGGTCATTTGAAATATATTTGCACAATAGTGGCTAATCACTTACACTATAGGCAGATACCTTCCCAAAAATAGATTTGTTTCATAAATTTATTTGGAAGACAGTTATTAGGAACATCAAAAACAATTTCACGTATGGTCAAGTTTTAAACCTATGCCTTAGCTTATTCCGTGACAGAATATTTAAACTACACTGTAGTTAAAAATTGAAATACTAAAAAATTAAGCCATAGAAAATGAATAATATAAAAAAATTGAATAAGGTTTTTTAATGTTTTGCAGCTTAATGTTTTTACAACATACTGGCAGTTTGATGCACTTGGACAATGTAATATCTTCAAATACACGTACAGCATATTCAAACAATTCCCTTTAAATATATGTATGCATTCAATCTAAAGCATAAATCTCATGTGAAATAAGTAATTTGAAACACTTATGATACTTACTAACAAATTAGTTTGCTACAGAATATTCTAATGATATACCAAAAGCTCAGATGCAGACAACTTCGAATACATAAAATTTTTTGAAATTTTTCCCTCTGTGAGGTAGTGTATAGAGCACATTTGAGGATTACATAAGAAAGTAAACACAAAATATTTCACACCTTGTTTAGCAAATACTTATTTAAAAGCACACACTTCCAGAAATAAAATTCCCGTTTGTTTTGATGTCATAAAACTTTAGTTTACATAAAGACTTCAAAATGTCTTTTTGTAATGGATTTTGTGTGTGTGTTAGTATTTCAGGTATTATACAAATGACAATGCTTTAATCACAGAAATGGTTTGCTGTGTCTAATTGTAAATGACCCTTTTTCAATTGTTATGACAGTCAACATTCCACTGAGGAGAAACTTTAATGTCTCTTTTAAAAATAGTTATGTTTCAAATTGCTAATCCATTCTGACTGCCTGTTGTAACCAGGTACTGTCATGAGGGTAGGAGGAATTGAATGATATGATTGACCAACTCACACTTTTAGAAGGTATGAGATAAATTTCATATATAAATGAAATTTGATTTTGAGTTAAGGACCAGTCCTGTTTTACTCAGGTCATCTCCAAATACAAAATCCTAGAGAGAAATGAGTATTGCCTTATTGACTAACACATAAGTAAGTGTCACCTCACAGTAATTGCACTGTAAACAACAAGACTTGCATTCCTTTACTTTTACAAAAATGGAAAAAGCTATTTCTATAATCTTGTCTGTGCTCTTGTTAATATGGTACAAATACAAAAGTTTTTTATGTAGGTTCATTTTGACTGATAAGAGGATGTAAAGGCATAAAAGTCATTATTACCTAGACAATTATACAAAATTTATTCTTTTTAATTAGTTTCCATTATCTTTTATGAAGGAGCTGCCTATTTTTTTATTTTATTTTTATTTTTGGACAATAGTCAAAACCACTAGTTTTAAAAGAGCAGCTCCAGTTTTGCTTTACCTGTCTGAGATATGTAAGTGTTTCAGAAAATTTTGGAGCTGATCATCCCTAAGACTATAGAGCTGTTGACAAATTACAAAATGCTCTAAGGATAATGTTTTTTTGAAAATAAAGTTGACTGTATATCCTCCCTTTTCACAGGTCATTTGCAGCTCTTAAAAAAAAAAATACCAAAATATATTAGGCTCAAGGAAAGCTGCTCAGTCCACTTTTGCTGCTCTCTGCATCTATCCATACAAAGAAAAATGGATGTGGTAAAACATTTTCTGACTAACACATAAATGCTTCAGCTCTTATCTCCTAGAAAAACTGTAGAAAAAACCTGTATTTTAAGTGTATAGATACTTTCTTACATTTTTAGTATTATCTACTGTCATATATTCATCTTCATACTGGGCAACTCTACTTGTCTACCTCAGCCTCATTTCTTCCTTTTCATTTATTTATGTTTGTTTTTAAATGTCACCTAGGAAAATAACTCATAGAAAGTGGAAACATTCTGTATGCTTAGTGTATTTGTTTTTGTTTGTTTGTTTGTTTTAGTTTCTCCTTACTCTAATTTCCCTGTGTTACATGGTCTTCTCTTTGGCACCTTTTGGATTGTTGTTTTGTACTTTGTGACTCCTTTATGTGCTTTCAAAATATAGATATATTTATGTAATATGTTCTTTTGGGGAAGGCACCAAATCTTATACTTACTTTTCATTTGCCCTGATATATATTTTGGTTTAGAAAATAAAATGGCTTCTTCATGATTAATTTATTTCCTTGTATTTTGCCTTAATAAATGGCACCTGTGATGGTTAATTTTAGGTGTCAACTTGACTAGATAGCCACATAGCTGGTAAATCTTTATTTCTGGCTATGCCTGTGATGATGTTTCTTTAATAGATTGACATTTGAATCAATGTACTAAGAAAGTTTCACCCTCACCAATGTAGGTGGGCACCAGCCAATTAGCTGAGGGCCTGGATAGAATAAAAAGAGCGACAGAGCAAAGGTGAATTCCTTTTCTCCTCTCGGGAGATGGGAAAACTTTATTTTCTGCCCTTGGACATTGGAACTCCATGTTCTCTGGCTCTTGAACTCCAGGGTTTGCACCAATAACCTCCAGGTTCTTAGGCCTTTGGCCTTAGATTATGAGTTACACCATTGACTTCCCTGTTTTTAGTAGGCAAAGAGCCTATCTTGGGACTTCTCAGCCTCCGTAAGCATGGGAGCCAATTATCCTAATAAATTCTCTATCTGTCTGTCTATCTTTCTATCTATGTAAATATCCATCTATCATCTCCTATTAGTTATGTTTCTGTGGAGAACCCTGAGTCATAAAGCACTGAAACTATGTCAAGTCTGCAGCAATATGCAAATTAAGGACAATCTACAATCTTAATGTTGAAAATTGTTCTGGCAATCCAAGTTGCCACTCTCCCATATTTAGTCATTTAACTTTAACTTAGCCAAAAGAAACTGGACACAGGAAAGATGAGTGACTAGGTATTGGAGAAAGTGGGATGATGTCTAGAACTCACTTTTTGGCCTTTTGCTTTTTCAGATCCTTGTACTACTATCTTTTAAGCCAGAGGAAGTTAGTTAATAGGAAAAACATCCAGATGAGATAGCTGGATTGGGATAGTTCATATTGCCAAAGTAAGTTGTTCGTTAGGATCTGTGAAGAATGACAAATACCAAAGACTTTCCAACTAATCTGGATTGATGAAGATGGAATTTGTTGAAATCCTCTTGAAATTACTTCAGTCAACATGGGCGCTATTTTTTTAGCTGTATTTCTTTGCTTATGTTTTTTCACTTCCCATCTGTTAAGCAACGGAAAATAAAATAGGCAGTGATAGGGAATCAGGGGAAACAAAAAAATGAGCAAACAATGCTGGAAGTGGCATTAAATTGTCCTTGCTTGTTTGTCTGTTACTGAGGAAAAAAATTACATTTAAAAAACCAGGAATAGTTTACAAAATTTAATTTACCAGTTTAGAAATTATGTTATAGCATAATTGTCAATGTATGTGTATTTGAGTCTTCTCATACTCTAAATCAAACAAACAATAATACTTTTTATTAGATGCCTACTTTGTAGCACACACTGTACTAAGGGCTTTATATTATTAATCCTCACTAGAAATCTACTTAGGTGGGACTATTATTCCTATTTTGCATTATCAGACAACTGAGGCTTACAAAAGTTAAGGCCAAAATGGTAGTAAATGACAGGACTAGAAACAACTATCCATGTATTTATGGTCAAGCATTTGCTTGTTTGGCTCATATTGTGGCTGTTTTTCTGGTACAGATGCTTCGTATAATTTTAACATTAGTTTAAGGTTACCATTTCAAAGATGAAAATTTATTTTTCTGTAAATGAAATGTAGGCATAATTAATAACTATAATTCTGGATCAGCCACTGTTTACATGGAAAAGTATATATGTTTAGTATATTTAAAGATGCAAGCTTCCTATTTGTATTGTCTCCAAGAGATAATAAAGTATGTTGGGTTCCGAATAGATTTTCTGTTAATTTTATGTATGTGGAATTGGCTATAGGAAATCATACTTCCTTTCCACCTCATCACTTTTCCCCTCTTATTCTCTCCCCAGTAATATTAAGGTGACTAAAAGTTGACCTTTCATTTTTCAGTTGTGCTTTTTCATTTGCCTTAACTTTCCTCAGCATTTGTGTGATACCCAGGTAGTGGGAAAATGCACTCTTATAAGGGGCTTTATTATACATATCTAATGTAGCTCATTAGTCTTCTGAGAACATACATAGTACAGAGAACACATGAGATTGATATTTGTAAGGCTAGTGAGCCTCTGATTGGCATCTGAATAGTTATAGTTAGCAAGACATGTGCCCTCCAGTTATTTATGGTGGTTAACATAATCCAGGATTCTTTCTCATCCTTGAAGTGTGCCTTATCAGCCACCTTAAGGAACATGCACACACATATACACATACGTATACACACACACACTCATGCACTCTCTTCTGATTTTCTTCATGGTAAACAGAACAAAATCTAATATTTAATTTAAAGATTTTATTTAGAATTTTAATATTTTATTTAAAATATTATATTTTGTTCTGTTTAGAAATTATTTTCAGTAAATAAAGTGTTTTTGTTGAAATATTAGGAAGAAGGAAACAATAAAAATAATGTCATTGTGCGGGATATGATGGTAATCAGGAAACTGCATACATAAAAGTATATTGATAAGTATTCACACAATATATACTTTCAAAAGCTCAGGCTAGGTAATCATGGATCACTATTGAGTCTTGAGTTAAAATCGTATTAATTCCTGAATTCATTCAACAAATATTTACTGAGACTATGCCATATGCCTTACACTGTGCAAAATTCTAGGAATATGACCAGGAACAACATAGGCATAGTCCTTGTTAAAAAATATATAGAGTCTGTTGGGGACAGACAGGTAATTAAGTAAACTATGAACTGTGATAAATGTCATGGTAGGAAAATTGCATACCGGGAGGAAATATTCTATTTGGAGGTCAAGAGATTTTTATTAGAGAAAACAGACAAAAAAGAAAAAAAAAAGAAAAGAAAGGTAATCAGAGAAACAACAATGCGGGGGCTCTGTGTGTGTGTGTGTGTGTGTGTGTGTGTGTGAGAGAGAGAGAGAGAGAGAGATAGTAATGGACACCTACTGTTCTGCAAGTCATTTTCTGAAGCTATTTTATTATTTGTACCATAAGGCAGTTTGATTTCTGCTTAGAAAAATGCTATGTGTCTAAACTATGAAATTCTAAAAGCAACATTACACAAATGAAACTAAAAGAGCCAAGCAGTCCCAATACTTAAGAAATATACTGCCTGATAAAAACTTCCACATTTTAAAAATTTACAGCAATAATTCTTTTGAACCAGTAAGATAATAGAGTCATTGCCAGATAAGTATAAATCTTAGAGTATGCTAAATGCTTCCTTAACATTTAGCAAATTTCTGTTGGAATAAGCGAAATGATGTTCTAGCCTTGAATGAATGATTGAAGTCTCAGAGGTGCATAACTTTCCATCATGGGACAGTGTGCAAAGTGACAGATAATGGTTCTTACGCACCTGAGAACATCCCATTTGCTTGAAATAAAATCAAATTGCATGCAGAAAATTAATTTCATAGAACCCAACCTGTAAGAAAGACCAGCTTTCGTGCTGCAGAGATAATCTAAATAAAATTCAGAGAGATTTAGACCAGCAGAATCAGGCCTATTACAACTTCAAATTCTTAAGTTTCTCCTATCAGACCATTAGTCTACAATCCTGGCAACCCCTCACTTCTAGAAACCTGAAAACAAGGGAAAAAGCCCAGTAGTAAAGGCAAAATAGTGAAATTTTCTGGTTTGGTCTTGTGTAGAATGAACTTTTCATTGACGTCATTGACTAAACTCAATGTCAGAACTACCCAAATAAAGGGCATTGACTCATAGTAGATGGACTGAGAAGAAACCATTTCCCAGAACATTGGAAATACTTGGGTTGCATTATTGTTTGTCAACATGTAGGCACTAACTCTACTTTCTCTCTCCAAGTGAAGTTATGGCTTTGTTGATCTGAAACTAGTTCAAGAAACAAGAGGTTTTCTCTTTGATTTATTTTTGTGCAAATATCTGGTAGTCTTCCCTATGATGTTAAATACCTTTATATTCAGTTTAATACCATATCATTTAAGTAATATGCCTATTTTTAGAAGAATGCTTATTGAAGTCAAAATAATTTAGTTTTAATGATGAAAGTTTAAGAAAAAGTGTCAATTCTTTGAAAATACTTGTCTATGCATGTTCTTCAATGAACCTCCTACTTTTCTTTGTAAAGATAACATGACATGGTGAAGAAATAATACTTGGATACATAGTGTAGCATCAAAATTACTAGCTCTGACATGGTACTGTCATAAAAACAGACTCATAGACCAAATGAACAGAATAGAAAGCCCAGAAATTGATTCATACATTTACAATTAATTGATTTTCACCATAGGTGCCAAGAACAGTCTCTTCTTGGCATGGGGAAAGAACAGTCTCTTCAATAAATGGTTTTGGGACAACTGGAGTAAATATTTATATGCAGGAATAAAACCAGAACTTTATTTCACACCACACATAAAAATAAATGCAAAATAAAGACTTAAATGGCAGACTGGAAACTGTAAAATTACTAGAAGGAAACAAGGAAAAGCCTCCATGTCATTGGCAATGGTATTTTTGGATATAAATCCAAAAGTACAGGCAGGAAAAACAAAAATAAATGAATGGAATTACATTAAGCTAAAACTTTTCTGCACAGCCAAGGAATCAATCCACAGGGTAAAGAGACAGCCTACAGAATGGGAGAAAATATTTGCAAACAATGTATCTTGTGAAAAGTGAATATCCAAAATGCCTAAGGAATCCAAACAACTCAGTAGTAAGAAAACAAATAACCAGGTATTTTATTTTTCTTGAGATGGAATCGCACTTTTTCGCCCAGGCTGGAGTGCAGTGGCGTGATCTAGGCTGACTGCAGCCTCCATCTCCCAGGTTCAAGTGATTCTCCTGCCTCAGCCTCCCGAATAGCTGGGACTACAGGCATGTGCCACCATGCCAGGCTAATTTTTGTATTTTTTTTTTTTTAGTAGAGATGGAGTTTCATCATGTTGGCCAGGCTGGTCTTGAACTCCTGTCCTCAAATGATCCACTTCCCTGGTCTCCCAAAGTGCTGAGATTACAGGTGTGAACCGCTGTGCCAGGCCTAGATTTAAAATAGACAAATGATCTGACTGGTTATTTCTTAAAAGGATAAATACAAATGGCCAACAGAGATATAAAAAATGCTCAAAATCACTAAGCATCAGAGAAATGTAAATTAAAACCATAGTAAGATTTCCTTTCACACCTTTAAGAATAGCTGCTATGAAGAAGAAGAAAGGAACAAGTTTTAGTAAGAATGTGGAAAATAGGGAAGTCTTGAACACTGTTGGCAGGAATGTAAATTGGCACAAAATTATGAAAAACTGTATAGTAGTTCCTCAAAAACAAAAAAAAAAAGATATGTTCCTGCAATCCCTCTACTAGGTATATATTGAAAGGAAAATACAACAGTATGTCAAAGAGCTATCTGCACTCCCATGTCCATTGAAACATTATTTACAATAGCCAAAATACGGAATTAACCTAAGTGCCCATCAATGAATGAATTGATAAAGAAAGTTTGGTATATACACAGTGGAATACTATTCAGCTTTAAAAAAGAAGGAAATCCTTTTATTTATGACAGCATGGATGAACCTGTAGGACATTATGTTAAGTGAAATAAGTTGGGCACAGAAAGACAAATACTGCATAATCTCACTTATTTGTAGAATCTAAAAAAGTTGAACTCAAAGAAGTAGAGAGTATAATGGTGCTTACTATGGGCAGAGTGAGGGGAGAGTTGGGGAGATGTCAAAGGATACACAATTTCAGTTAGATAGGAAGAATAAGTTCAATAGATCTATTGTACATCATGATCACTGTAGTTAATAGCAATGTATTGTATTAAAAGTTGGTGAGGGTAGATTTTAATTGTTCTTTACAAAAAAAGTGAAGTAATACATATGTTAATTAGCTCAATTTAGTCATTCCATAATATATACATACTTTACAACAACATGTACATGATAAATACATACAATTTTTGTTTCTTAATTAAAATTAATAAGTACATATATATCTATATAAATAAATAAATAACTTACTAGCTCTGAGGTTCTGGGCCATGCATTTGCTCTTCCATACTTTCAGTTTCTTTTTTTCCACATGAGAAAGTAAAATGAGAAAGTTAATAGTTAAAAAAATCAGAGATTATCATCTGGATTGAATGAAATGATATAGAAACAGAATTTACCATAGTAATAAAAAAAGTTCAATAAATGTTAGCTATTATTTGCACAAATGTAGGGGAAACAAGAATAACCAAAAAACAAACAAACAAACAGAATAAGATTAAAAAGAGCATCAACGTTTTCATAAAAATTAACCTGTTTCGGAAAAAAAAAAAAAAAAAAACACTTCGGTCCCTCTTCCCATCTCATACTGTGCCCACAAGTTGGGGAGAAGGTAAATTTATACACTGAATTTTATGGAATTTTATGTAAGACAGTCCCATTACTATTAGTCAATTAGAACATCTATAAAGTTATTGAAATGTATATGCCATAAACATTCAAAATAAATATCTATAATAATGATAAACATTTCTGTCCAATTTTATTTCTAATTATTCATCTTTAACAATTTTAGGAAATCAAAATAAAATTCACATTTCAAATAGGTTCCATTTGGGCCCAACGACATCTCTTCCCCAAGTATAAGGTATTCTCTGTTGTGGAACGTCATATAAAACCTCACTGTGAGGTAAACTTTTGTTGTTGTTCAGGAAGACCCGTTAGAAAGTGAAATAGCTTTCGTTTTGCATCATCTGCAAGGGTAAGCAGCAATAAGACGATGCGATGCACTCAGTCCAGGACTGGTTGGACTCAGAGCAAAAGGATGCTGCAGTCAAAACACAAGTTATGAGCAGAAACAAAAGCAATGGGTATAATTAATATTATAATGTCCACTGTAAAGCTGATTGCATTCAACATTTTACCATGTAGAGAGAATAAATATATCAATAAGAAACCAGATTCTTAATGGTCAATAATTGAATATTAATCTAAATCTTAAACCTTGCTACAGACGTATTTGATCTTTCAATAGTTTTATTCTACATGAATAGTTTTATTTTACCCTATTCATCTTATCCCTTAAACTTTCATCTGCTAGAGTACATAATTCTCTTGTACATTGTAGTAGAAAGACATTAATTTAACAAGATGCAAAATAGCCATTAAAAGCTTTGGAAATATTTTACAAATCAATTTTCAATTATGTATATTTTAAACTTTATATTTTTACTCCCTATTATGTGATGGACAACGTATCAAGAGCACTACATGGCCTATAACTTCCTTTTAGTAGCAACTGTTTTAGGTAGATTATATTATATTAATTTCACAGATGAAAAAAGTTAGATTCAAAGATGTTGAAAATATTGCCAAAGATTTCATAGATAAATTTGTACAAGATAAATTCATATATAAATCCATAGCTTTGTCTGCCTGTGTATGTTATATTCTGTTTGATGGAAATAAAATTAGATTTAAATAGTTATATATTTATATAAAGAATATATAAAAAATATTAGGTCGGGCACGGTGGCTCACGCCTGTAATCCAAGCACTTTGGGAGGCTGAGGCGGGCGGATCACAAGGTCAGGAGATCAAGACCATCCTGGCTAACACAGTGAAACCCCGTCTCTACTAAAAATACAAAAATTAGCCGGGCGTGGTGGCGGGCGCCTCTAGTCCCAGCTGCTGGGGAGGCTGAGGCAGGAGAATGGTGTGAACCAGGGAGGCAGAGCTTGCAGTGAGCTGAGATCCCGCCACTGCACTCCAGCCTGGGCGACAGAGCGAGACTCCGTCTCATAAAAAAAAAAAAAAAAAAAAAAAAAAAAAAAAAAAAAAAGAAAAAGAAAAAGAAAAAGATTTTTATATAAAGTGTTAAATAAAACTTCAAGGTGTGTTACATAAAAATAGCATCTTCCCAGCTTCCATCTCCCTACAGTCCATCATATTCAAGTCTTTAGCTATTTTGGTATGTAGCTCTAAACACTTAAAAAAATTATACTTTTATTAAACTTTTTAGTGTTAGATATTACCTACTGACTAGCTACTACTAAAGTTGTGGTTATACTTCTTAAAGCATTCAGATCCAAACACAGAACACGTGTTGTCTGTCTCCCCTTCCCACTTCATTCAGAAGTTATCATTTTGGCTAGAAAAGTGAAATTTATATTATTGTGATTAGGTAAATATTCATATTTGTGATGAAAAATGATTATTATTATGAATATGTGATTAGGTAAATATTCATATTTGTGATGAAAAATGATTATTATTTATTATGAATATGTTTATTTCTTATTCAAGTTTTTTTCATTGATCAAATGTTTCCATTTGCTTTCTTTACTAGGTACCTACCATTAACGCTCAAAATCTCCCCACTTGTTAAAAATCTACTGTCCATAAATTTAAAGCTGTATTATATACTTCAGTTTCATCTGACATGCTTCAGTCTGAATTTGTTTCTCTCTGGCTCTATGGGGTTTCGTTTGCCTCCATCTTTTTTTTTTCTCTCTCTGCTTGGATGCTATATCTTATTCTTTAATGATTTATTCCCTTGTTTTTGAGAAACACATATATCAATGGCTTTATGAGAAAGAATTCTTAGGACTTATTGTTTTGCTGTCTGGAAGCTGAGAGGATCATTTTTGTTCATGCTGTCTTGAAATTTCATATTTGCTTTGATATATGTGTCTATTTTCATCCACTGCACTGGGCATGTGTTGAGTTGTTTTAAATCTGAAAATCGATATCTGTTCTAAGGGTACTTTTACTCCACCTTTCCAGAAACAGAAGTCCTCTCACCCACTTTAGAGAAGTATTATGATGTACTTTTTCTACTCTCCTCAATCTTTGACCATTTTACTCCATTACATCCATTAACCCACCATAAACAAAATATCTGACTTTCTATCCCTTATCACACACAAAATAGAAGACATGAAATAGGAGAGCAATGTACAGACTTAGTGTTTTCTAATTTTTATTCCTATATGAAAGTTTTATTGTTTCCTCTTTCACATTTCAAATTGACTCTCACCTTGAGACACTGATATGCCGCCCTCCTTGCTTACTGCTTTTCTGAGCTTTTGGTATCTGATAATTTACTGATTGTAACATATAGGCTGCAATGCAATACACACGCAGTTTACACAGAGAGAGCTCTAGTGTCTAGCTGTGTAGCTTCTCAGGATATCAATCTTAAATTTTTGCACGATACCACAGAACATGCCAGCAGATACTGGGTTCTGATCAAATCAATGCAAAGACCTCACATTCTGCTCCACTCTCTAATACGGACATGACAGAATGACAGACACAATATCAAAACAGAAAACCAAGATATTATTTCTGTTTGCAAATATCATATCACATTTTCATAAAACAAAAGCAGAATAGAAAGGTAAAGAAAACTATGAATCTACCAAACTCCAGGTTGAGAGTTAGCCACTTAAGCATGTCTGTGGAACAGTAAAGATTAAACAATTTCCAAATGAGTTTGATCTAGATTCAGATTTATTTCTTAATCTAAGGACAAATTTGGGTCTCTTCTACTTTGAAAAAGAGACTGAACTGTACGCTTCGGCTGGTTACTTGAAGTGCATCTTATAGTGAATTGCAGCCTTAGTGACAGAGACATGAACGTTGTTTCATTAAGAAAAAATGGAACTAACTCATCCAGTCAATAGCTTTATTTTTAATATCCTTTCTATGACAGGAGCAAGAATTTCCAATTTTCATAATAAAATATATTTACTTTTGAAATGGGAGCCCAAGTCCTAAGATAAAACTGTTTAAAATCAAGAAATAAAAAAAGAGTGAACAAAGAGAAGCGAGAGGAGAAATGAGAGAGAGTGAGAAAGAGAGGGTTAATCTCAATCTAACAATAAAATTCTAAAATATATGAAGGCATTTAGCACTGAGAAAACAGTATCTCCCCTCAAAAATCAACAACCATACAATAATTTATGTAAGATAAAATTAAACTTGCATACAAATTTGAGAGTTGGAAGAATTATAATTCTTTATGCTCATGACATAATTACATTGATTAAAAAAGAAACACTCAAAAGGAAGTAGGGAGGAACAAAAACATGTAAATATGAAAAAGTTAGAATCTTAGAAATAAAGCATTTCACAACTGAAATAAAAGTACTACACTGGAAGGAAAATCCTAGGATAAACATACAAAGAAATATTGACGAATCAGAATCTAATACGGAGGAATTCCCACAGATTACAGACAAGAAGAAATAAGAGATTTAACAATTATGAAAGAACACTTAAGGGATGCGGAGAATAGTTTGAGAGTCTTCAGCATAAATCTATAGAAATTTTGTCCAGCATAAATCAAGAAAAAAATCATAACAAACACAAAATATGAATAGATTATAAAAACAGAAATTAAGAGAATTCACTTCCAGGAAGCCCTTATTAAATATTAATAAGTATAGAAATATATTAGATATGAAAAGATGTTAAGAGGAAAATTTTACAAATAATTACATTTAATTAACACTTCCAGTTAAAAAAAATTCCAGTAGGGTATGTTCATTTTTAAAGTTATAAAAACGAAACAGGGACATTATAAAATTCTGATGGTAGGTAAGAGATAAAAGTAAATAAGGCTAAGATTGTTTTTTATCATAATTCATAATTTAATTATGAGCAAAATTAAATTATAATTTTAATAGACAAATTGGTAGAAACTGCGAATACTATTTGATGTTTTAGAAAATTTTATGATTTTATGCTTTGTTATAAAATTTTATGAGGTATGTAAGTTGAAAAAAGATAACTATAAAAATATTGGAAATATACTCAATAACTACTAAACCAAATGTTTAGGAAGTAAAGAAAAGATGTTTTTGATCCAACCAAGGTTGGAAAGAAGGAAAAGAAAAGGAGTAAATAAAAGAGTGACTGATGGAGTGGGGGGAATTATATAATTAATTAGAATGGAATTTCACAACTTAAAAGACGTACATTTGCTAAAATTATTGAAAGTTGAAAACCTTTGAAGAAAATTATGTTCACACACTCAAAATCTAACTCCATAAGGTGCTTATTGATTATGAGGATTTCAAAAAAGAGTTTAAACAAATAAATGAATGAAAGTAACCATTTAAATACATAAATGAAAAAAATATTCATCACTTTATTACCTTATCAAGTATCAAACTTCACCAATGATAGGACAAATTGACACAGCATTTTCTGTGTAATGGTATAACAAGATAATTTACATTAATTGGATCTTGGGGAAATAATGAGTCAAGTGTAAATTTAGAGGATTCTGGAGAATAAGTGCTTTGGATTTTTAGAAGGTGTCCATGTCATGAGAGGAAAGAAAGTTTGAGGGATGGTGGATGTTAAAGTAGGTTAAAGTAGTCTAAAGAGTCATGAAAACCAATTAGAATGACTTTTGAGTCATTAATGTTTGTTTAGCTATAATGCATATTATTGTGACACATGGGAAATTTTAATATGGTTTGTGTAATAAATAACAGTATTTTAACATGTTAACTTTTCCAATTGAAAGAGATTTATTTTACTCATGTAACAGTATGCCTTCCTTGTTAACCACATACTTCTAAAGCATTTTGTAACAGACTTTTGTATTATGCACAAGGACTTTTCTATTAATCACTTTGGGAGAAAATTTGACATCATTTAATAGACTGAAATATGCATGCTTATGCCTTCCTGGAGATAGTTCAGCACACAAGCAGCAGGCATGTTGCAATGATGGTCATGTCGGCATTGTTTTTAATAGCAAAAACTTGAATAAACGTAAGTGTCCATCAACAAGATTCCGGATACATTGTTTGGTGTATTCTTAAAATAGAATACTAAAAAATATTATACAGAAGGGGAAATGAAGGAACTATACACTCTTTAACATAATAACTTAAGAATAATTGAAAAATAGTTAGACACAAACTGTGTATATACATATACACACATAGATTATTCAAAACATACAAATGTAACGTGTTATAAAACTATAATGAAGAGCACACACATATTAAACATAGTATTCAGAATAGTGAGTATCCTCGGGGAGGGAGGAAGAAAAGAAGATAACACTGGGGAGGAATATAGTAAAGGCTTTAGCAACTTGTCATATTTTCTTTTTTCTTTTTTTTATTATACTTTAAGTTCTAGGGTACATGTGCACAACGTGCAGGTTTGTTACATATGTATACATGTGCCATGTTGGTGTGCTGCACCCATTAACTAGTCATTTACATTAGGTATATCTCCTAATGCTATCCCTCCCCCCTCCCCCCACCCCACAACAGGCCCCCAGTGTGTGATGTTCCCCTTCCTGTGTCCAAGTGTTCTCATTGTTCAGTTCCCACCTATGAGTGAGAACATGCGGTGTTTGGTTTTTTGTCCTTGTGATAGTTTGCTGAGAATGATGGTTTCCAGCTTCATCCACGTCCCTACCAAGGACATGAACTCATCCTTTTTTATGGCTGTGTATTATTCCATGGTGTATATGTGCCACATTTTCTTAATCCAGTCTATCACTGATGGACATTTGGGTTGGTTCCAAGTCTTTGCTATTGTGAATAGTGCCACAATAAACATACTTGTGCATGTGTCTTTATAGCAGCATGATTTATAATCCTTTGGGTATATACCCAGTAATGGGATGGCTGGGTCAAATGGTATTTCTAGTTCTAGATCCCTGAGGAATCGCCACACTGTCTTCCACAATGGTTGAACTAGTTTACAGTCCCACCAACAGTGTAAAAGTGTTGCTATTTCTCCACATCCTGTCCAGCACCTGTTGTTTCCTGACTTTTTAATGATCGCCATTCTAACTGGTGTGAGATGGTATCTCATTGTTGTTTTGATTTGCATTTCTCTGATGGCCAGTGATGATGAGCATTTTTTCATGTGTCTGTTGGCTGCATAAATGTCTTCTTTTGAGAAGTGTCTGTTCATATCCTTTGCCCACTTTTTGATGGGGTTGTTTGTTTTTTTCTTGTAAATTTGTTTGAGTTCTTTGTAGATTCTGGATATTAGCCCTTTGTCAGATGAGTATATTGCAAAAATTTTCTCCCATTCTGTAGGTTTCCTGTTCACTCTGATGGTAGTTTCTTTTGCTATGCAGAAGCTCTTTAGTTTAATTAGATCCCATTTGTCAATTTTGGCTTTTGTTGCCATTGCTTTTGGTGTTTTAGACATGAAGTCCTTAAACATTTTCTTTTTTCTTAAAGTGGTTGATGAGTGCCTAAAAGGTGTCTCTCTGTCTCTCTCTGTACCCCTCCTCCAATAGTTTGTAAACATAATCACGAAAAATATCCAGTTATGGGACTTTTTTAGGGAAAAACATACACGTGCGCGCACACGTGCACACACACACACACCAATTTTGGATATATATGACTTATGGAAAACATACCCAAAACAAAGCCACACATGAAGAAAGGAAAAGATGAAATATTAAACATTGTATACCATGCCAATTAAAAAATAACTCCCTAGAAAATATAAGCATTCTAAAATGTTATGTATCTTAAACTCTTAGCAAAGGCAAATTAAAAACGGACTCGATTTTAGAAGGAAATAAAATATTTGGCATTTATGGTGATAAATTTTATTTTTAATTCTTTTTTAAAAAATAATTTCAACTTTTATTTTGAATTCAGGGGGTATATGTGCAGGTTTTTTACCTGGATATATTGCATGATGCTGAGTTTTGGAGTATAATTTATCCTGCCACCCAGGTACTGAGAGCATAATAACCCAACAGGTAGTTTTTCAACCGTTCCCTACTTCTTCCTTCTCTCCGCTGGTAGTCCCCAGTGTCTATTGTTACCATCTTTATGGGTATCCATTGTTTAGCTCCCACTTATAAATGAGAATATGTGGAATTTGGTTTTCTGTTCTTACATTAATTTGCTTAGGATAATGGCCTCCAGCTGCATCCATGTTGTTGCAAAGGACATGATTTCATTCTTTTATAAGGTTGTGGTACATGATAATATTCTATTGTGTACCACATTTTCTTTAATCCACTGTTGATGGGTACCTAGGTTGGTTCCATGTCTTTGCTATTGTGAATAGTGCTGTGATGAACACACAAGAGTATGTATCTTTTTGGTAGAACAATGTATTTTCTTTTGGAAATATACCCAGTAATAGGTATGCTGGGTCAAATGGTAGTTCTAAGTTGTCTGAGAAATTTCCAAACTGCTACCTCACAGTGGCTGAACTAATTTACGTCCCCACCAACATTGTATAAGTGTTCCCTTTTCTTCCCACCTTGCCAGCATGTGTTGTTTTTGACTTTTTAATAATAGCCCTTCTAACTGGTGTGAGATGGTATCTTGCCGTGGTTTTGATTTGCATTTCTCTGACGATTAGTGATGCTGAGTATTTTTTCATGTTTGCTGCCCACATATATGTCTTTTGAGAAGTGTCTGTTCCTGCCCTTTGCCCATTTTTTGGTGGTTGGTTTTTTGCTTGTTCAATTGCCATCCCCTGAAAGCATCCAGGAAGGGGGCTATACCCTGCAAAGCCACAGGGGTGGAGCTGTTCAAGACCATGGGGCCCCACTTCTTATATCATCATGACCTGGATGTGAGACATGGAGTCAAAGGAGATCATTTTGGAGCTTTAAGATTTGGCTGCCTCACTGGATGTTGGACTTGCATGGGGCCTGTAGCCCCTTTGTTTTTGACAACGTCTCGCATTTTGAATGACTGTATTTATCCAATACCTGTACTCCCATTGTATCTAGGAAGTAACTAACTTGCTTTTCATTTTGCAGGCTCATAGGTGGAAGGGATTTGCTTTTTCCCAGATAAGATTTTTGACTGTGAACTTCTGAGTTTTTTTTTGTTTGTTTGTTTGTTTTTTTGAGACTGAGTCTCGCTCTGTCACCCAGGCTGGAGTGCAGTGGCACGATCTCAGCTCACTGCAAGCTCCACCTCCCGGATTCACGCCATTCTCCTGGCTCAGCCTCCCACGTAGCTGGGACTGCAGGCACCCGCCACCACGCCCGGCTAATTTTTTGTATTTTTTTTAGTAGAGACGGGGTTTCACCGTGTTGGCCAGGATGGTCTCTATCTCCTGACCTCATGATCCACCCGCCTTGGCCTGCCAAAGTGCTGGGATTACAGGTGTGAGCCACCGCACCTGGCCGAACTTTTGAGTTAATGCTGAAATGAGTTAAGAATCTGGGGGACTGTTGAGAAGGCACAATTGGTTTTGAAATGTGAAGACATGAGATTTGGGAGGGACCAGGGACAGAATGATAGAGTTTGGCTGTGTCCCCACCCAAATCTCATCTTGAATTCCCATGTGTTGTGGAAGGGACCCGGTGTGAGGTAATTGAATCATGAGGGCACATCTTTCTCACACTGTCCTCATGATAGTGAGTAAGTCTCATGAGATCTGATGGTTATTATAAGGAGGAGTGTTCCTGCCCAAGCTCTCTTTGCTTGCTGCCATCCATGTAAGACATGCTCCTCCTTCTGCCATAATTGTGAGGCTTCCCCAGCCATGTGGAACTGTAAGTTCAAATAAACCTCTTTCTTTTGTAAATTCCCTAGTCTTGGGTATGTCTTTATCAGCAGCATGAAAATGGACTTATATATAAACTAAATAATTAACTGTGATATATAGAATATAAGTCACAGCAAATTTCCAAGAATAATTATCACACGTATTCTGGATAACAGTTGAATTAAATTAGAAACTAAAAATAATGAGGATATTTTCAAACTTTTTTTTAATTCAGTTTCATTTTATGGATTCAAATTTTTTAAAGTAATGTTCAGATAAATACAATTTTCCGATTGTTGAATGTTCTTGGTATTATTCCATTCCTTTCTGTTGAACATTTTAGTGGAGATCCCAGCCAATTATATACATATATAAATAATTATAATAATGAAATGTGTTTAAGTTGTAAACTAAGCCATAGAAAATCCTAGAAGATATATAAATTTCCACAGAAAATCCAAGAGAGGCTATATATTGAAATTAATAATTTATCCAAATGATTAGTAAGTTACATTATGTAAAATTAAATGTTTTAAATCAGCAATATTAGAATTAAAAGTGAAACAGACAGGCCAGGCACAGTGGCTCAAGCCTGTAATCCCAGCACTTTGGGAGTCCAAGGCAGGCAGATCATGAGGTCAGGAGTTTGAGACCAGCCTGGCCAACATGGTGAAGCCCCGTCTCTACTAAAGATACAAAAAATTAGCTGGGTGTGGTGGTGTGCGCCTGTAATCCCAGCTACTTGGGAGGCTGAGACAGGAGACTTGCTTGAACTCGAAGGGCGGAGGTTGCAGTGAGCCGAGATGGCACCATTGCACTCCAGCCTGGTCGACAGGGTGAGACTCCGTTTCAAAAACAAAAACAAAACAAAATTGAAATAGGCATATCCCATTCACCGTTACAACAAACCGTATGTATAAATAAACTAAGACTAAATTAAGATGTTTAATTAAGTATTATAATACGTTATAGAAGACCGTATAATTACTGAACAAAATGGTGAGCTGTATCTTGTTTAATCATGGGAAGTGATATGGTTTGGTTTTTGTCTCCCAAATCTCATCTCAAATTGTAACCCCCACATTTCAAGGGAGGGACCTGGTGGGTGGTGACTGGATCATAAGGGTGGTTTTCCTCATGCTCTGTGATAGTGAGTGAGTTCTCATGAGATCTGATGGTTTATCAGTATTTGGCAGTTCCTCCTTCGCTCTCTTTCTCACCTGCCTCCATGTAAGACTTACCTGCTTCCCCTTCTGCCATAATTTTAAGTTTTCTGAGGCCTCTCCAGCCGTGAGGAACTGTGAGTCAATTAAATAGTTTTTCTTTATAAATTACCCAGTCTCAAGGAGGTTTGATTCATTTTAAGGAATTAGCTCTCATGATATTTGGGACCGTTAAATTAAAACTTTGTAGAGCAGGCCAGCAGGCGGGGAACTCAGGCAGGAGTTAATGTAGATAACTTGAACATAATTTTTTCTTCCCTTGCAAAAATCTAGGTTTTTGCTTTTAAAGCCTTTCACTAATTGGATGAGGCTCAATCATATTATCCAGGGTAATCTTTACTTAAAATCAACTGATTGTAGGTGATAATCACAGCCACAAAATATGTTCACGTCAATGTCAAGATTAGTATTGGATTAAATAACTGGGTAGTATAACCTAATTAATTTGACACATAAAACTAACCATCACACCTAAATTATACTGAATACATAGTTCAAAAAAATAACATACCCTTCATATACCAATTAATATATTCTATTTACTTCTCTAAGTAATTTATATACTTTAAACATTTAATTGTCACAACAATCCTATGAGATGATTTCAATATCAATTTTACTGCTAAAAATTAGATTTAAAGAAATTAAGTAATATAGTCATGTTGGCTCAGGTAATAAGTAGCTGGTGTAAGACTTAAATGTATGGTGTAGCTTTAAAAAGCAAGCTTTTTTCATGTTAAATCTGCTCTGTAAACACGAGCATGTGTGTGTGTGCGCGCACACACGCACACACACATACACACACCCCACATTAGGAAGAAGAATCTACGGGAATCCTGGTTAATTATGATTGTCTTTTACCAACAGTCCTTTCCCACCCTGAATCTATTCATCATAGGACATTTATTGCATAACACACTCTCTGGCACATAACAAGCACACAGTAAAATTTGTCCAATAAATGGTTTTATAAGTAAAAGAATGGATGAAAAATGAATGACATGCTCATGGATTGTGTTATTATCTCAGCGAAAGATGACAGTTGTTTTGGATGGACAGTTTTCCTTTTCAAGGATGAAGGGAAATATTTTTCATTTTTAAGACAAAATGGAATTTCATCAGTTTGATCTAACTGCCCAAATGCACTATAAAATTTAAGGAAATATGTTAAATCTTTATACCAATATATTGTTTTACTAGACTACTAATATATGACTTACTTGTGTAGTGGAAGATCTCCAGAAAATTATATTTCTTTCTACCTAAGTTATTTTAATAAAAAAAGCACATTTCACTTCATGCTTTTAGACCAAGCTATTAAAATAAATATATAACTGGTTGATAAATAAGCATAAATAACTATTACTCAAAAGATGATGCTGATCAGCAAGTTCCTTGGCTTGTGGGGCAGTGGGCTGGATTAAAGTGTTCAAAAGTACAGCATGGAATGGCAATGAATTAACAAGAAAAATGAGATGCATTAAAGACTATCTTAACAATTATGTTAATTTTTTAAAGAGGTACCTCATTTGGTATGGCCCTGTGTATACATTTTATAACGATTGTAGGGCAGTTCTAACATAATACTCAGCTATCAAGCCCAAATAAGGACCTTAATATATATAATAATTTATATCAAGAGAAAGCTAGGGTGCTTGTACGAGTGGAATTTCTTTTCTTGCACCAAGCTTGGGTGACTACTTCTTCACAGTAGCTTTTGTACATTGGTTTTGAGTTTTAAAATAAAGGTTATCAGTTTGACTTTTGTCCTGGTGTTAGCCTCTGTTACTGGTGATTGATGAGAGGCTTGAAATCTAGTCATAACACACACACACACACACCCCTCAATATGCATATATTGAATTCACAAAAAATAATTTATTTTAATGAAAAATACCTGCAATATTATATACATCTACATTTCTCATTTTCTCTTTTCAAATTCTATTTAAACTGTCTTACTTTTGACTCATAAGAATAAAAATTCAGGAGCATGTACACCATCTCATATGAAGACAAATTTTCTGATAGGGTAGGTTCAGATATGCAGATATAAGATTGATGCCCAGCCTGGAGCTCTTGCACAATGGCTATAATAGTGCACTCTCTTTTTAATAGTCCCTGCAGCTGTTGCTTCTAGGCCTTATATGCTACTGATTTTGTAAATAGTATAATCGTTTCTTTAAAAAGAATGTCTGTTTGATTTGGGAAAGTTCTGATAGAAAATTTCTAAATTTTCACATCTGGAGCCAAAATTCTAGGTTGGGTTATAAAAATTCACTATGCTGAAGATCATGATCTCCTTTCAGTTTGTTTTAGAAAGTGCAGCTGTGATCCTTTCTTGCATTTGTTTTTGTACCTAAATATGATTAGTCAGGTAAACACTCTTGATGATAACTCTCTGAATATTTAAATTTTATGTGCAATGAGTCCTTGGAGCGGACAGCATCACTAGATGAGAAAATAAACTGTGAATGCATTATTTAAGTTAAAAAAAAGTGCTCAATGTGGTCTAGAATTTCTTCCACATCACAGCACTTTCTGGTGATTGTCTAATCTGAGTTTAGCCTCGTGATGACTTCTCTTTTTCTTTGATAAATAATCCGAAGGAGTGGGTCCCCTGATGCCTTTTCTTATTCACTCTCTGAAAAGAAGTGCTGATGAAAATAAATAAAATGTATAATAGGCATTACTGGTTCTCAACCATCTATTTAGTCTGATGAGAAGACAGCAAGCTGGGCAAGTTTTGACCAGCATAGGGCAGGGAGTCAGTGCCTGGAAGAACAATTAGAAATATGTAAGAATCCTCTCCCAGCCATTGAAACCATAGGATACACTGATGTAAAACCCTCTGCCATGTTGACTGAAAGATTAAATGAAAAAAGAATCTGTTAACTCTTTATTTCTGCTAAAAAAATCTAATCAACTCCCTCATTTCAGCCAGACTTATTTTTTTTTAATGGTGAAATTATTTGTGGAATACTTTTCAAGTACATGGATAAGATAACTGATTAGGGCAGTTGTAGTGCATTGGCTTTTTCTCATAGCAAAATTTGGAAGGGAAAAACGTTTCTTCATATCTAATTTTTTCCATGAATTCCATAGAAATATATATAGTTGTATTACCTAGAATTCTCACATAAAATACCGTGAAGGCCCTTAGTTAAATTGAAAAGAATTAATTATTTAAAATCAAAGATCTCTGTTACCTAAATGATGCAGACATTTTCATGCCTAATGTTTGAATAGATTTCATCTGAAAGAACACTGAATTCTGTTAAGAAAATTGAGACACAGGGTTTGATATGCAGTTGAGGTTGGGGCTGCTGTTAATATTTAACTTTGTATTTATTAGCATTGTGGTCATATAACACCACAGGTATGTCTTATTTAACATTTGATTTGAAGAGGCACAATATTTTTAAAATGGTAAAACTTAAGGAAACCTTAGTTAATCTAGTACAAATGCATCTGAACATTCAGGTTTGACATTTAAATTCTGATTTTTGATAGTTTACCTGAGGAAAGAAAGATGCCTTAATCTAGTGTATTTTATGATTTAGACAGCAAAATATTTGTTATTTTTCCTTTGTAGTCCATTCGTCTTTGATATTTCTTTCTTTTTGCTCAAGTAACAACAGCAACAGCAATAAAAACATAAAAATAAAAAGCATTAGTACCTATTTGAAAGGATAAGTTGTATTTTAGTATGTTTATTTTTGTTATTAAATTTGAAACTCAGAATCAGGTGACTTTTTTAAGTTAATATAATTAAAATCCAATTATACCCCATGGAAGTAAAAGAAATAAAAAGACATTTAAATTTTTTGTAGTAACAGGATTTGTGGAAGATTAATAATTGTGATTTACATGCACATTTTACTTTGAAATATAAATTAATGAGTTATTAATGGCATTTAAATGAAAAGTAACATGATCTTAAATAACATCCTGGTAAATTTTCATGAGTCACTTTACAGACTGACTTTTACATTGGTTACAAATTGTAATTTCCACCAATAAAGATATAAAATAGAATATTATCAAACAGGCAGTGAAATTGTTTTTCATAGAAATGTTAGAATTTGTATTTAAAATGTTTTTATACTTGAATAATCAAAGAAGTCATTCATTTTCCTTTTCAATAATGTTTTCATCATTGGTTTTGGAGCAATCTTCTGAAGTGGAAGTTCAAAACATCTATATTCCATTTTTGAAATGTGTATATATTACAAAACATATTTTGTGTTTTGATTAACTGGGTCAAAATTTTATTTATTGTGTTTGCTTTTCGGTCACTTTTTACATTACCAGACTTTGAGTTCCTTTTCAATGAAAAAAAGAAGATGTGAAATTACTACATGTTTTCAAAAGAAAGCATTTATTTATTAAATATTTATTGAACATCTGCTTCTTTCTGCCACTGTTGTATCATTGGGAATACAACAGTAAACAAAATAGAAAAAAAATTCCAGGCATCAAGGGAACTAAAATTCTAAAATAGTAGGGCAAGACAGTCAATTTCCAAAAATAAGTACAGTAAATAAAAATTAGACAATAATAATGGTTAGATAAAGAGATAAAAAATTTCAAGATGGGAGTTTATGATTTTCAGTGGAGTGATCAGGGCAGTCATTCCTGAAAAGGTAACATTTTAACAAATATCTTAAGTGAGATAATAAGTGAGCCATGCAGACAACTCCACCAGAGAATTTTGAAAGCAATCAGCAAATACAGAGACCCTGAGGCAGGAGCAAGCCTTCTGTGTTTCAGGAAGAATACAGAAAAGTCTATGTTCATGATGCATTTGTATTTTTTTCATAGAAATTTGAGAGTTAATTTCTAAACTATTAGTTAAATTGGTATTTGCAAATAACATATCAACAAAATAACGAGAATGTACATATATAATCTCAAAGAAAATACATTGATTTTCATAGCAGATGTTGCTTAAACAGAAAGATAATATCTAGAAAAAAGGGAGGTTAGAGTTATATGCTACTCAATATTGGTCAGTCTTCTTCTGAAGTATTGTATGACATTTTAGGTATTTTGTTTTCAAAAGGCTGCAAATTACTAGAAGCCTAACCTAGAGGAAGAGATTATATGCTAAGGGAACATCATATAAGACCACATCATATAAGGAATGATGGGAGGACCCAGGATGTTGGGTCTGCAATTTAAAAGTCTTCCAAGGAGGAAAATTAACACAGAAAATGATAGCTCTCAACTATTGAATATTTATTTTCACCCAATTAATTTTTTTATTGAATGGATGCAAAAGAGAGATAAATTTGTTACTGAATACCACTAAAAAGATTGTTTGGAAACATTTAATGAATAAGTATAATGTATAATTCCTTTTATTAAGCTATACATGTTTTTTTGAATGTATTATTTCTGGGAATGAATACCAGAAAGAGTGAATATCAGGAAGAGTTTGAGATCTTAGATACATCTCATTTGTGCTTAGCTAATGGATAATTATATACTTCATAATATAGTTATAAAAATAATGTATAAGGAGAATCTAGTATAATTTTGGAAATATTAGGTACTTAGTGTCTGTTGAAGGGAAGTAGTGAGGAAAGGAAAGGAGAAATGCAAGGGAGAAAAAAACTATTGAATATTTTATCATTAGTAACCATGAAACTTTAAGTCTGAAAATTATTCTTGAGCTATGTAACTCAACTCCTTACTTATACGTTGCTCTTATGTAGCTCAAATTATAATTTGACTTTTTACAGGTCACCCAAGAGTAGTTACTCTATCAATATGTTTTTAGAACTCTTAATAAAGTGCTGTTTTAAAATCTCAGTTAGCTAATGTAATTACCTAATGGAGTTGTAATTATTTCAGAGCTCTAACAATGAAAGCCATCTGAGATTGGAGGTACTAACCTCAGAAGGAATAGAAAGTATTATTACTTTAGGTGGTCAGTGACAGACTGGGTCACTATTTGTTGATGATTCATAATTCTAAGGTCCACATACTAATGCTAATGACTTGTGATTGTAAGTTGTATATGTGTAAAAAGAATCAGAATTCTTTATGGTCTTTCTGGTATATATAGAGATAATCTTTTTAGTTCCATATGGGTTTTTGAATCCATTTTGTTTCATTTTCATATATTGCACTCTTAGTTGTCAGGCCTAGTTTCCCAAATCAAAATTGATAGGTTACTCACACACAAAAAAGATCAAAGCTAGACTTTTTGATATGTATTTATTATTTTTGAGTTGCATTAGAAACTAAAGACATCTCCTAGTGAATATGCACCTTAACATCTCATGATAGCTACTTTATAAAAGGTTTATTTTTCACATTACCTAGAATATTTGATTCAACCAAAAGTTACTGCAAAATGTATTCCTTGCATCTCTTTCTTCACATGTTGAATCATTTGGTGACACATGTGGACGCTCAGGCTTTTGAAAGCCAAAACACTTCTCACTAAAATATTAGAATACATTTTCCAGCCCACCTTTTATAAATTGAGCCCTTCTTTGTTATTATGTTAACTTGATTCTCTCTGTTTCTAAGTGAACCGCAGCAAGAATTCTTACCTGCTGCTTAGATTCGCCCCAGAGAATAGAAACTTCAAAGATATGTACTTTTAGGTCTCACATGAAAGGGAGACATAGGTACATATTTTATAAATGGTATTCAACCTATGCATGACAGATCAGAGCTTGATAGACACCTCATTAGAAATGTCTCTGCCGCTTGGTTTTCTCAAAATACAGATTTCATGAAATGCTTTCTATTTGCTCTAATTTTCCCATGGTTGCCCAATTATCAAATATTTTTTTTTTTTACTCAGAAGTATGTTCTTGTGTCTTTTCCATGTATGAGAATATAGTCTTTCCAATTAAAATGAAATAATATTCATATTCATATGAATGAATTCATTTACTTATTCAATATATAGGTTCAGGGCCTCTACCTGCTGATTTAGTTTAGAGATCTCTCATTAAGCTTATTTTTTTTTCCTGTCCTCACTATGTGAGTCTAGATTAAAAAGCCCTGTCCTTTTCTTACTTACAGGACAAGTAAGAAAAGCACTGTTTTGTTCGTCTACAAAGATTCACTGAATTATTAAGGAGAAAAGGATTTGCTACAACAATGAAGATGCTGTGTTAATTTCTAGATATCCCTTTCTCTGAAAGCTGTTTGGCCATTTAAGCTGCTGGGATTCTAGCTTCCCCCCATGTTGTTTGCCCTCCTCATTCCCAACTCTCCTTGTTCTCCAGCATCTACCTGTCTGTTACTTCTCTCTGAAATCCTTGTCCATTCATATAGAGATGCACTTAGGCATCTCTCTCTCTCTTTCTTTTTCTCTTCAATTCTTACTCTTCCATAGCATGCAATTCCCATCTCTTGTCCAACAGAATCTTTTAGTGGACCAATGACCTAGATTTAGTCTACCTAGGGTTTGGAGTTTTGTTTATTTCATTTTAAATTATTACAAGTCATGTGGTAAAGAATACCTTCGTGCTATAGTTACTTTGATGATTTTTTTATTATACTTTAAGTTCTAGGATGCATGTGCACAACGTGCAGGTTTGTTACAGATGTATACATGTGCCATGTTGGTGTGCTGCACCCATTAACTCGTCATTTACATTAGGTGTATCTCCTAATGCTATCCCTCCCCCCTTGCCCCAGTGTGTGATGTTCCCCTTCCTGTGTCCAAGTGTTCTCATTGTTCAGTTCCCACCTATGAGTGAGAAGATGTGGTGTTTGGTTTTTTGTCCTTGCGATAGTTTGCTCAGAATGATGGTTTTCAGCTTCATCCATGTCCCTACCAAGGACATGAACTTATCCTTTTTTATGGCTGCATAGTATTCCATGGTGCATATGTGCCACATTTTCTTAATCCAGTCTATCATTGTCGGACATTTGGGTTGGTTCCAAGTCTTTGCTATTGTGAATAGTGCCTCAATAAACATACATGTGCATGTGTCTTTATAGCAGCATGATTTATAATCCTTTGGGTATATACCCAGTAATAGGATGGCTGGGTCAAATGGTATTTCTAGTTCTAGATCCTTGAGGAATCACCACACTGTCTTCCAGAATGATTAAACTAGTTTACAATCCCACCAACAGTGTAAAAGTGTTCCTATTTCTCCACATCCTGTCCAGCACCTGTTGTTTCCTGACTTTTTAATGATCACCATTCTAACTGGTGTGAGATGGTATCTCCTTGTGGTTTTGATTTGCATTTCTCTGATGGCCAGTGATGGTGAGCATTTTTTCATGTGTTTTTTGGCTGCATAAATGTCTTCTTTTGAGAAGTGTCCGTTCATATCCTTCCCCCACTTTTTGATGGGGTTGTTTGATTTTTTCTTGTAAATTTGTTTAAGTTCTTTGTAGATTCTTGATATTAGCCCTTTGTCAGATGGGTAGATTGTAAAAATTTTCTCCCATTCTATAGGTTGCCTTTTCACTCTGATGGTAGTTTCATTTGCTGTGCAGAAGCTCTTTAGTTTAATTAGATCCCATTTGTCAATTTTGGCTTTTGTTGCCATTGCTTTTGGTGTTTTAGACATGAAGTCCTTGCCCATGCCTATGTCCTGAATGGTATTGCCTAGGTTTTCTTCTAGGGTTTTTATGGTTTTAAGTCTAACATTTAAGTCTTTAGTCCATCTTGAATTAATTTTTTTATAAGGTGTAAGGAAGGGATCCAGTTTCAGCTTTCTACATATGGCTAGCCAGTTTTCCCAGCACCATTTATTAAATAGGGAATCCTTTCCCCATTTCTTGCTTTTGTCAGGTTTGTCAAAGATCACATGGTTGTAGATGTGTGGTATTAATTTTGAGGGCTCTGGTCTGTTCCATTGATCTATATCTCTGTTTTGGTACCAGTACCATGCCATTTTGGTACTGTAGCCATGTAGTATAGTTTGAAATCAGGTAGGATGATGCCTCCACCTTTGTTCTTTTTGCTTAGGATTCTCTTGGCAATGCAGGCTCTTTTTTGGTTCCATATGAATTTTAAAGTAGTTTTTTCCAATTCTGTGAAGAAAGTCATTGGTAGCCTGATAAGGATGGCATTGAATCTATAAATTAACTTGGGCAGTATGGCCATTTTCATGATATTGATTCTTCCTGTCCCTGAGCATGGAATATTATTCCATTTGTTTGTGTTCTCTTTTATTTCGTTGAGCAGTGGTTTGTAGTTCTCCTTGAAGAAGACTTTCACATCCTTTGTAAGTTGGATTCCTAGGTGTTTTATTCTCTTCGAAGCAATTATGAATGGGAGTTCACTCATGATTTGGCTCTCTGTTTGTCTGTTTTTGGTGTATAGGAATGTTTGTGATTTTTGCACATTGATTTTGTATCCTGTGACTTTGCTGAAGTTGCTTATCAGCTTAAGGAGATTTTGGGCTGAGATGATTTTTTTTTTTTTGAGATGGAGTCTTGCTCTGTTACCTAGGCTGGAGTGCAGTGGTGCGATCTTGGCTCTCTGCAAGCTCCGCCTCCTGGGTTCACACCATTCTCCTACCTCAGCCTCCAGAGTAGCTGAGACTACAGGCACCCGCCACCATGCCCAGCTAATTTTTTGTGTTTTTAGTAGAGATGGGGTTTCACTGTGTTAGCCAGGATGGTCTCGATCTCCTGATCTCGTGATCCACCCGCCTGGGCCTCCCAAAGTACTAGGATTACAGGCATGAGCCACCGCGCCCAGCTGGGGTTTTCTAAATATACAATCATGTCATTTTCAAACAGGGACAATTTGACTTCCTCTTTTCCTAATTGAATGCCCTTTATTTCTTTCTCTTGCTTGCTTGCCCTGGCCAGAACTTCCAACACTATGTTGAATAGGAGTGTTGAGAGAGGGCATCCCTGTCTTATGAAAGTTTTCAAAGGGAATGCTTCCAGTTTTTGCCCATTAAGTATGATATTGGCTGTGGGTTTGCCATAGATAGCTCTTATTATTTTGAGATACATCCTATCAATACCTAGTTTATTGAGAGTTTTTAGCATGAAGAGCTGTTGAATTTTGTTGAAGGCGTTTTCTGCATCTATTGAGATAATCATGTGGTTTTTGTCATTGGTTCTGTTGATATGCTGGATTATGTTTATTGATTTGTGTATGTTGAACCAGCCTTGCATCCCAGGGAGGAAGCCCACTTGATCATGCTGGATAAGCTTTTTGATGTGCTGCTGGGTTCAGTTTGCCAGTATTTTACTGAGGATTTTTGCATCGATGTTCACCAGGGATATTGGTCTAAAATTGACTTTTTTTGTTGTGTCTCTGCCAGGCTTTGGTATCAAGATGGTGCTGGCCTCATAAAATGAGTTAGAGATGATTCCCTCTTTTTCTATTAATTGGAATAGTTTCAGTAGGAATGGTACCAGCTCCTCTTTGTACCTCTGGTAGAATTCGTCTGTGAATCCATCTGGTCCTCGACTTTTTTTGGTTGGTAGACTATTAATTATTGCCTCAATTTCAGAGCCTGTTATTTGTCTATTCAGGGATTCAACTTCTTCCTGGTTTAGTCGTGAGAGGTTGTATGTGTCCAGGAACTTATCCGTTTCTTCTAGATTTTCTAGTTTATTTGAGTAGAGGTGTTTATAGTATTCTCTGATGGTAGTTTGTATTTCCGTGGAATTGGTGGTGATATCTGCTCTATTATTTTTTATTGCGTCTATTGGATTCTTTTCTCTTTTCTTCTTTATTAGTCTTGCTAGCAGTCTATCAATTTTGTTGATCTTTTCAAAAAACCAGATCCTGGATTCATTGATTTTTTGAAGGGTTTTTTGTGTCTCTATTTCCTTCAGTTCTGCTCTGATCTTAGTTATTTCTTGCCTTCTGCTAGCTTTTGAATGTGTTTGTTCTTACTCGTCTAGTTCTTTTAATTGTGATGTTAGGATGTCAATTTTAGATCTTTCCTGCTTTCTCTTGTGGGCATTTAGTGCTATAAATTTCCCTCTACACACTGCCTTAAATGTGTCCCAGAGATTCTGGTATGTTGTATCTTTGTTCTCATTGGTTTCAAAGAACATCTTTGTTTCTGCCTTCATTATGTTGTGTACCCAGTAGTCATTCAGGAGCAGGTTGTTCAGTTTCCATGTAGTTGAGCAGTTTTGAGTGAGTTTCTTAATCCTGAGTTCTAGTTTGATTGCACTGTGGTCTGAGAGACAGTTTGTTATACTTTCTGTTCTTTTGCATTTGCTGAGGATTGCTTTACTTCCAACTATGTGGTCAGTTTTTGAATAAGTGCGGTGTGGTGCTGAGAAGAATGTATATTCTGTTGATTTAGGGTGGAGAATTCTGTAGATGTCTATTAGGTCTTCTTGGTGCAGAGCTGAGTTCAATTCCTGGATATCCTTGTTAACTTTCTGTCTTGTTGATCTGTCTAATGTTGACAGTGGGGTGTTAAAATCTCCCATTATTATTGTGTGGGAGTCTAAGTCTCTTTGTAGGTCTCTAAGGACTTGCTTTATGAATCTGGGTGCTCCTGTATTGGGTGCATATATATTTAGGATAGTTAGCTCTTCTTGTTGAATTGATCCCTTTACCATTATGTAATGGCCTTCTTTGTCTCTTTTGATCTTTGTTGGTTTAAAGTCTGTCTTATCAGAAGCTAGGATTGCAACACCTGCTTTTTTTTGTTTTCCATTTGCTTTGCAGATCTTCATCCATCCCTTTATTTTGAGCCTATGTGTGTCTCTGCACGTGAGATGGGTCCCCTGAATACAGCACGCTGATGGGTCTTGACTCTTTATCCATTTTGCCAGTCTGTGTCTTTTAACTGGAGGACTTAGCCCATTTACATTTAAGGTTAATATTGTTATGTGTGAATTTGATCCTGTCATTATGATGATAGCTGGTTATTTTGCTTGTTGGTTGATGCAGTTTCTTCCTAGCCTCGATGGTCTTTACAATTTGGCATGTTGTTGCAGTGGCTGGTACTGGTTGTTCCTTTCCACATTTATTGCTTCCTTCAGGAGCTCTTGTAATGCAGGCCTGGTGGTGACAAAATCTCTCAGTATTTGCTTGTAAAAAAAAAAAAAAAGAATCAAGGACTTCCACCTTTGCATGGGTAATAAGTTACCACTCTCCCCTCAGTGTCACTGGGTCCTATGTGGGAAGCCTGTCCCTCCCCTCTTCTACTGGGATGATGTCAGGGGAGGCCTAGTTGAGAGTCAGAATTTTACCATTACCCATTAGTAATGAGGCCAGCCCCACCACTCTAATGCCAGTGATACTCACATGAGGAGTTTAACAAGGATCTACTACTTCTCTCAACAGGAAGGTATCTGTGAAAGACTATTGAGAAGTAGATACTTCCATCCCCATTCAATAGTATCTAAATCCCCCTTCTGGTGTGTTAATGAAGGAAAAGTGAGAAAACTGGACATTAGCCTCTATCTGGCAGAGATGAGGCAACAATACCCTTCTCCTGTTACAGCAGTGTCAGAGATAGGCAGGTATAAAAATTTTTAATATGATTGAGAGGTTCATAACATAATAACCAAAACGTATAAATTTGTAATGAAAATTATTTATTGTACTAATAACCAGTGTGATCTCAAATTGAATGAAAAAAAAACTCAATGGATTCCAATTGATTAATGACAGACATGTTACAGTATCTGACAATATTTGACAAAGATTTCAAAGCAACCATCATATAAAAAAATCACAATGTGCAGCTACGGACATTCCTGAGAAAAACAGAAACTTCCAAAAATAAGACCATAAGTCTCAGAAAATGCATAAAACATTTATAGAAAAATAAATGTACATTTTTAACTGCATACATACGATAACTGGAATGTTGAAAACTCAATGGATGGACCGAAAAGCAGAATGGAAAACACAGAGGAAATAATTAGTGAACTTAAAGATAGACTAGAAACTAATCTGAAAAACAGAGAAATAGATTGGGAAGGGGCTAGTAATAAACAGAGCCTCAAGAACTGTGGGATTCTTAAAAAATACCTAACATGTACCACTCACGTCATAACATGCATGGAAGGAAAGAGAAAGAAGGCAAGGCTAAAGAGCATTTGAAAACAGAATGGTAAAACTTTCCAAATTTAACAAAAGACAAGCCAATGGAATCAAGAAACTGAGTGAACCCCAAACAAGATAACCCCAAAGAAAATCACACTTCATCTTAATCAACCTCCAGAAAACTACAAACAAAGGAAAGTCCTGAAAGCAGCAACAGAGGAATGACACTTTACCTACAGGGAAAAGCTATTTGAATGACAGCAAGTTTCTTGTCAGAAACCATGGGGGCCAGAGGGAAGTGTCACAGTATTTTTCAAGTGCTGAGTAAAAAGGAATTGTCAACTCAGAATGCTGTATCTAATATAAAAGTTTTCTGAGAAAAATGGAGAAATCAAGACATTCTCAGATGAATGAAAACTAAGAAACATGTTGTCCATATAACTATTCTAAATAGCTAAAGAAAGGTCTCCAAATAGAAAGGGAAGAGTAGAAGGAATCTTAAAACACCACACACAAAAAAGAAATAACAAAATAATAGTAAAAAATAGTTAGATTTAACCCATGTTTTCTCTCTTGTTTCTAAAGAAAATTTCTCCCTCCTCTTTCTAAATTATGTTTGACTTAGGAAGCAAGAAAGTAAAATACTGTCTGATGTATTCTAAATGTATGTTCCAATGGTTGATTTTATGTGTCAACCTTCCTAGGTTGTGGGCCCAGTTCTTTGGTCAAACATTAATATAGATGTCACTGTGAAGGTGCTTTGTAGATATTATTAATACGTACAATCAGTTGACTTTAAGTAAAATAAATTCCTCTTGATAATGTGGGTGGGCCTCATTCAATCAGTTCAAATTCTGCTTTAAGATTGAAATATGGAATTTTTTTTTTTTTTTTTTTTTTTGAGATGGAGTCTCACTCTGTCGCCCAGGCTGGAGTGCCGTTGCAAGATCTCGGCTCACTGCAAGCTCCACCTCCTGGGTTCACGCCATTCTCTTGCGTCAGCCTCTCGAGTAGCTGGGACTACAGGCTCCCGCCACAAGGCCCGGCTAATTTTTTTGTATTTCTAGTAGAGACGGGTTTTCACCATGTTAGCCAGGATGGTCTCAATCTCCTGACCTCCTGATCCGCCTGCTTCTGCCTCCCAAGAAACATGGAAATCTTAACTGAGTTTACAGTATGCTAGTCTGCCCTACAAATTTCAGACTCAAACCTACAATATAAACTCTAACTTAAGGTTACAGCCTACCAATCTGGTTTATACACCTTGGGAGGCTCTGAATCTCTGCAGAATACTGAATGATACATACGCAGATAAAATATTTAATACGAATATATTAAAATTATGAAGTATAAAATAATATAGAGGAAGATAGATTTTTATACTTCACTTGAAGCAGTGAAATTACACTACCAGTATGCTGATATAAGTTATACATAGATATAATGTAATACATAGGAATACCAGTAAGAAACATATGAAATAAATAAATGAAAACAACTGTGTATAAATTTTTAAAAATCTTTACGTAATACAAGGAGGCAGAAAAAGAAAAAAAAAAGACACATAAACACAAAAAAACAGAGAGAACAAACCAGAAAAAAAAAATGTCAGCCTCAAACCCCATCCTATCAAATATTATATCAAATGTAAATGGTCTTAAGAGATTAATGTAAGGACAGATATTGGCACATTGTATGAGAAAAATGTGACCCAACCATATGTTTATAATAAAGTCACTTCATATATTAAAATATAAATAGATTTAAAATAAAAGTGTCAGTCTTTAAGGATTTCTAGGTACAAGATCGTATCATCAGTACACCGAGAAAACTTGGCTTTTTTATTTCCAATTTAGATGTGTTTTATTTTTCCTCATTGCTCTAGGACTTCAGTAAAATTTCAGGATACAAAATCAATGAGCAAAAATCAGTAGTAGTTCTATACACCAATAAAAATCAAGCTGAGAACCACATCAAAAACTCATTCTTATTTGCAGTAGCAAACAAACAAACAAACAAACAAACAAACAAAACACCTAGAAATATACTTCACTAATGAGGTGAAATATCTCTTGAAGAAGAATTACAAAACACTGATTAAATAAATCACGGATGACACATATGGAAAAACATTCCTATGATCATGGATCAGAAGAATCAGTATTGTTAAAATGACCATACTTCCTAAAGCAAGCTATAGATTCAGTGCAATTTCCATGGAAATAGAAATGCCATTCATCATATAATATATTTAAAAATCCCAAAATTCATATGGAACCTAAAAAGAGCTCAAATAGCTGAAGCAATATTAAGCAAAGATAATAAAGCTGGAGGTATCGCATTACCTGCCTTCAAATTATACTGCAAGGCTATAATAATAAAAACAACAAAGCATTGGCATAAAAAATAGACACATAGATCAATGGAACAGATTAAAGAACCCAGAGATAGGCCAGGCATGGTGGCTTATGCCTATAATCCCAGCACTTTGGGAGGCCGAGGCAGGTGGATCACGAGGTCAGGAGTTCGAGACCCGTTGGGCCAACATAGTGACACCCCATCTCTACTAACAATACAAAAAGTTAGCTGGGCGTGGTGGTGTGCACCTGTAATCCCACCTACTCAGGAGGCTGGGGCAGGAGAATCATGTGAATCTGGGAGGTGGACGTTTCAGTGGGCAGAGGTCGCTCCATTGTACTCCAGCCTGGGCAACAGTGCGAAACTACTTCTCAAAACAAAAACAAAACAAAACAAAACAAAAAAAACAGAAATAAAGCCAAATGTGGACAGCTAAGGGATCTTTGTCAAAGTCAACAAAAATATGCACTGGGAAAAAGACACCCTATTCAATAAATGGTGTTGGAAAAATTGGAAAGCCATATGCAGAAGAATGAAACTGGACCCCTATCTCTTACCATATACAAAAAATGAACTCAAGATGGAGTAAATACTTAAACGTAAGACCTGAAACTATAAAATCCCTAGAAGAGGTAGGGCGTGGCGGCTCATGCCTGTAATTCCAGCACTTTGGGAGGCCGAGGTGGGCAGATCAGGAGGTCAAGAGACTGAGACCATCCTGATCAACATGGTGAAATGCCATCTCTACTAAAAATACAAAAATTATCTGAGCGTGGTGGCACGCACCTGTAGTCCCAGCTACTCGGTAGGCTAAGGCAGGAGAATTGCTTGAACCTGGGAATTAGAGGTTGCAGTGAGTCTAGATAGTGCCACAGCCTGGCGCTACCTATCCAGCCTGGTGACAGAGGGAGACTCTGTCTAAAAAAAAGAAAAAAAAAAAAAAACCCTAGAAGAAAACGTAGCAAAAGAAACAGCCAACTGTATAATCAAACAACCTAAAGAATGGGTTAAAATCGTTGCCAACTATGCATCTGTCAAAGAGTTAATATACAAAATCTGCAAGAAAAACAACAAGGAAACAACAACCCTATTAAAAAGTGGGCAAAGGACATTAATAAAACATTTTGGAAAGAAGACATGCAAGTGCCCAACAAACATATACAACATTGCTTAATATTAATAATCATCAGAAGACCCTGTTCAGAGGATGAAGAAATAAGCTCCAAACCACATATTCAAAAAAGCACTATATCTAGAATATATTTAAAAAGCTCTCAAAACTCAACTGTAAAAGAGCAAACAATCTAATGCGAAAAATAGGAGAAGACATGAAGAGCCATTTCACAAGAGAATACACAGATGGCAAATAAGCACATGAAAAGATGTTCAATGTCATTAGCCATTAGGGAAATGCTGGTTTAAAGCACAGTGAGATTTCACTATACACCTATCAGAATAGCTAAAATAAAACACAGTGACAACACCAAATATGGTTGAGGATGCAGGGAAACTAGTTTACTCATATATTGCCAGTGGAAATGCAAAATGACACAACCCACTCCGGAAAAATGGTTTTGCAGTTTCTTTAAAAACAAAATAGCAACAGCAGACTTCAAGTTCTTCAGCTTTGGGACTCAGACTGGCTTCCTTGCTCCTCAGCTTGCAGATGGCCTATTGTGCAACCTTGTGATCATGTGAGTTAATACTCCTTAATAAGCTCCCCTTTATAGATAGATAGATAGATAGATAGATAGATAGATAGATAGATAGATAGATAGATAGAAAGATAGATATTTAATAAAATATATATATTATATATAACTAATAGGACATATATATGTATATGTATATATATCCTATTAGTTCTGTCCCTCTAGATGACCCTAACTAATACAGGTACCATATCATTTCCCAATGTATCCCCCTCAGCTCACAGGTATGACCACCTATGTGTGTGAGGAACATATTTTTGACTAGTGATTGTTGGATAAAAATCTAACCCTGTTTCATGAATTTAACTTTATGTGTGGTACAAGTTGATACTGGGCAGCTATGCACTACAACTCTACTTATGGAGATGGAATTCTCATAATTGGTACAAGTTTGGTAAGAGCACATCATCATCACTTTATATTTAAAAGCAAACAGCCTAATGTAAATAGGCATATCAACTATTGAGCAGTGATAGTTTAGATGGTTGCTCAGGGATCTTTAAGAAAAAGTTTAGATTATAAGGTATAGGTAATATGAAAAAAAAGAATATGGCTAGACCAATGAGAATGAATACAAAGTGTGAATATCTTTTTGTCACGTTAATAACCATCAGAGAGCATCCACTATGTGAGTAAAGATAATCAAGTAAACACAGCGATGTGGCCTTTCAACATCAACCAGTCTTAGTCATTAACCATCCTAGTACTGACATAATTGAATAGCTGTGGTAGTAGGGGTAGAGGCTGTTAATGGAATAAATAATCATGGGCCCTCAATTACCAAATGTTATCTGTATACTTTCACTACTGAAGATCCAAACTACAATCACAGAGATCCACACTTTAATAGAAAGCAACCCCTAAAGGGAACAATCAGTCACTTGGTGACTAATTTAATACATTGAATTTTTTTTTTATTTTAGAAGAGAAAGTGATTCTTTCTGATGGGAATTGGCACATATTCCAAGTATGGGTTTGTCTTTTCTGCCAGCAAGGTCTCAGGAAACACCACTATTCACATTTTTAAAGAGTGTTTGATCCATTGACAAGGACTCTCTTGGGTAAGATTACTTCAGACAAAGGGAACTATTTCATAGCAAAGGAGCTGTGTCTGAATGTACGTGGCCAGGAGAATGCACACATCTCTTTACATATTCTACCCTCCAGACCATCCAGACAACTGCTTTCCTGATAATGTGATGAAACAGCCTAATGAAAGTGGAGTTGGGACTTCAGCTTGGTGATGATATTCTGTAAGGATGGGTGCCCTTCCCTGTGATACAAGATTCATCCCAAAACAGTGATTGGTAAATAGTGCTGTGTCTCCAGTAGATAGAATAAATGGGTTTGAGAACCAAAGTGTAGAAGTAGGAGTCTCCTTTTATGGGCATTGTCGGTGATCCACGTGCAATTGTGCTTTCTGTTCTCTCAACTCTGGGCTCTGTGCAGTTAAAGGTACTGGTTTTCAGACAAGGAAGATCACATCAGTCAACATAGTGAATATCCCATTAAATTTTATATGCCAAAGTTTCTTTGTGTTCTTTTTGCCAAAAGGCCACTGAGAAAAGAAACGTGTCAATGACTCTGATCATCAGAAGGAGGCAGGACATCTTTTATGCAGCAAGAGCAGAGTCAAATAAATTTAACATTCAGGTGACTAGCCCAGGACATGTCCTGGTACTTCTCTACTCAACATGAGAGTGGAGGGATACTGTAGGATAGAAATCACCACCTGAGAAGTGTATGGTAACTAGGAGCTCAGAGCCCTCAAAAATCTCAGACTATATGGAAAAAAAAGTACCATATTTCCTTGTTTTCCCTATAAAAGATCAAGTAGGAAATCAGACGTGGAATCAAGAAAGAATGGAATAGGCTGGTCAGTTCTATTTCTAGTCTAGGCAACATGAGTTATTGCAATATAGACATGGTAACTTAGTTAACCTAGAATTTAGGATTCTTACTCAAAAAAATTCACTTGTATCCTGTGTTTCACCAGTTTCATGGAAGACAATTTTTCCACAGAAAGGGGTTTGCGGGATGGTTTTGGGATGATTTAAGCACATTACTTTTATTGTGCACTTTATTTCTATTATTATTACATTGTAATACATAATGAAATAATTATAAAACTCACCATAATGTAAAATCAGTGGGAGTCTTGAGCTTGTTTTCCTGCAAGTAGACAGTCCCATCTGAGACTTACGGGAGACAGTGACAAATCCTCAGGCATTAGGTTCTCATAAGGAACATGCAGCCTGGATCCCTCACACGTGCAGTTCACAACAGGGTTCAGGTTACTGTGAGAATTTAATGCTGACACTAATTTGAAAGGCAGTAGAGCTCAGGCGGTAATGCTCACTCACCCACCGCTCACCTGCTTTGTGGCCTGGTCCCTAACAGGCCATAGGCAGGTGCCAGTATATGGCCTGGGGGTTGGGGACCCCTTCTCTAGAAGATTTATAGTTTTAGGTTTCATAATAGATGAATCAACCATTGTGAGTTAATTTTTGTATATGATTTGAGCTATGGGACCAAGTTCATTTATTTATTTTTGCATACTGATATCCAATTTCCAGCACCATTTGTTAAAAATATTATGCTTTCGCCCTTCTGTTGCCTTCGCAGTTTTGTCAAAACTCAACTTTTTAATCTATCCTTAATTTTATTTTTGGAATCTTCAGTCTATTCCATTCAACTGCTTGTCTGTCTTTATCTACTGCCATGCTATTTTTGATTATTGTAGCTTTATGCTAATTATTAAAATTAGGTAGTGTTAGCCTTCCAAATACGTATTATTTTTCAATGTTGTTTTGGCCATTCTGTTTTAGAATCAGCTTGTCAGTGTCAACAACAATAATAACAAATTCCCGCTGAAATTATGATTGGGATTGTTTTGAACCTGTAGATCAATTTATCAATAATTATCATCTCAACAATATTGACTTTCCAAACAATAAAAAGCTATCCCTTTATTCATTTAGATTTTCTTTAAATTATCCCAATAATATTTTGTATTTTAAGTACAGAAGTCTTTTATCAATTATCTCACATTTTCCCCTGGGTATTTCATGTGTTGATGCTATTGTAGGGGTCTTTTCTTTTATATTTCAATTTCCAATTGTTTGTTGCTCGCATATAAATATACTTGATTTTTCTATATTGACCTATGTCTTGCAACGTTGCCAAATACACTGATCCATTCTAGTAAATTCATTTTGTAAATTTCATCAGGCTCGCAACATAGACAATTTTGTTGCATGCAAATGAAGTCAGTTTTACTTCTTCTCTTTCAATATGGATATTTGTGTATTTTTTTGTTCTTGCCTGATTGCATTGACCATAACTCATATGGTTTGGCTGTGTCCCCACTAAAAATCTCACCTAGAATTTTTATTCTTATAAGCCCCACCTGTCAAGGGCAGGACCAGGTGGAGGTAATCGAATCATTGGGGCTGTTTTCTCCTTGCTGCTCTCATAATAATGAGTGAGTCCTCATGAGATCTGATGGTTTCATAAGCATCTGGCATTTCCTCTGCTTGCACTCATTCCGTCCTGCCACCCTGTGAAGAAGGTGCCCGCTTCTCCTTTGCTTTCTACCATGATTATAAGTTTCCTGAGGCCTCCCCAGCAATGAAGAACTGTGAGTCAATTAACTCTCTTTCCTTTGTAAATTACTCAGTCTCGGGTATTTCTTCATGGCAGTGTGAGAACAGACTAATACAATAACCTTCAGTACAACATTAAATAAAAGTAGTGAAATAGAACACCCCTGCCTTGTTCCATGTATTAAGTTGAAAGCATCCTGTCTTTTTACCATTAAATGTGGTTACCTGTCAGTTTTCTATAGATTTTTAAAAATTAGGTAAAGTTCTTATCTTACTAAGCTAGTTATTAATATTTAAATAATGAACTTATAAAGTGATAACCATGACCCATTGGATATTTTTTAAACTTTTTTTATCCATAGCAAAAGATGCACTTTACATTTTGACCCAGTATATACATATATATTTTATATTATCTAATTGAAATAAAAGTTCTGATTCAATTCATACTCTTTCTAAATGCCATGAACTATTTTTCCAAGTAAAAGAGTTATCTAAATAAAAGAGTTATCTACTTAATTGATTTTACAATGCAATTTGAAGGTTGAAAATCAGTGGTATATTCAAATAGACTTGATTATACTTGAAACTCTCTCATTATCTCCTTAGAACATTAAACCTCTTTAAGCATTGGATGGATAAAGTAATTTTTTAAAAAAATTAAAAAGCACAATCCTATTAAATTTTGAAAGTTGTGTTATTTTGCCATGATAGGGAAGCAATATGAGAAATAATTAAAAGCATAGTCTCTGAAATCTGACTTATAGCCTATCTCTAAAATTTGTAGTTGTGACTTTTGGCAAAATAAAGAAAAGCTTTCTGAATTTCTTAATCTACAAAATAATGATAGTAAGTACTTGCAACTTGAGTTTTGTGAGAGATAAATAGGTTAATACATGTAACGTGACTTAAAAAATTAATAGATAAGGAATTCTCAACAAATGTTAGATGTTACTTTATACTGTTAATTATTTTACTGGATATTGTCAGGGAAACTGAAAGAAGAGGAAGTCAATTTTGACATTGACCACATTTTTCTCACCTTGACTCCCCACTTATACCTTTGTGCAATTTAAAGCAAAGGAAGTACTCCTCATTAAATAACACAGATTATCTGAGAAGAAATCTTTGTGTATTATGTCTCTAATTTGCCTTGTAATAAGGGTTGAATAAATTTAGATCTACCAAGTTAAAGGAGACAGTTAAAAAAATAGCAAGCTGTAGAAAAATGTATTGCTAATTATGGTACTGCTTAATTTTTCTTTAGAAAATTGGGAACTGAACAAAATCAATGTTTCACAAATTACCAACTTTACGTATTTAAAGACATTAGTACAATGACAATTAATGGAGAATATTTAATAATATACAGATATAGGAATAATTATACAATTTTACCAATTTTAAAATAATATAAGATTTGAGTTTAACCTATAATAAATCTGATGTTTCTTTTTTCTTTTTCCTTTTCCTCTATTTACATTTTACCAGTATTTCACATCTCACCTTGTTTTTTATCAATGTGTAATTATAAAGCCCTTCACTCAGTTGGTCTCCAGTTATAATTCATTAGAAACTTTTCTAAATAATGTTAGTACAGGAATGTTTCCTGATTGGAATTCATTATAATTTAATTGTTAAAGATTTAAAATAAAAGGTTATATGAACAATGAAACGATTATGAATAGGTCTTTGGAATTGAACTTAGTTTGTGTCTCACTTCTAACTTGTATGTATTGAGTAAATTATTTAACTATAGTAACTTTGAATTTCTTCACCTCTACAATTAGTAAGTACTTAATTCATAGTTCTATGGTGAAGACTAAATGAGATTGTGTATATGTTGTGGACTTATCTACATCAATTTGGTAATGCACAACCATAGTGTATTAGTTAGCCTTTGTAGGTAACAGCAGCCACTGATATTTAAACCACTTGCAAGGCATCTCCTTCCAAACTCACAGCTAGACTATATAGAAGGCATGTTTTTGACCACATAGCTCTGAAACACTCCATTCATTAAGCAAACATTTGGCCAGCAAGTAAAAAAAAACAATTCATGAAACTTACTCTATAGCCCAGTGAATTCCTATCTTTCTACTTTTTTTATGCCCCCGCCCTGCCCTCTGCAAAGGCAGGTGAACCCCCACCCAAGATTTAGTTTGGATGCTTAGACTGTTGATTAAACACACACACCACACACACACACACACACACACCCCAAGTGGATATGAGAAGGTTTATTACTTACATAATTGAGGTAAGTTTATTACTTACATAATTGAGATATCTGGGGAAAGCAGGGCAGGTCATAAATGGCTTGAGAAAGCAAAGGAGGAAGTCTGGCTTGGGTTTCTTATTGCGATTAGGGGATGAGGCAGAGATGAGAGCTTCTCTGTGCTGGAAAGGGCTCATGTCGTTTAACTCTCCTGCCAATGCCAAAGGAGTGACATCCAGGCTTTCTTATCAGTTTGTCTAGATTGTGTACACAAGAGGAAAGAAAGGGTGAGGCTTAGAATTGTCCTCAGTGAAATATCCAAAACTGAAGTCATACTCCTCATTATGGTTTTATAAGTACTTTCAATGCATTTATATGAAAGTTTCGCCAAGATAAATGTGATAATATTCTATATTCTGAGGGAAAGATTTAATTAACCTCCAAACCAATGCCTGGAATCAGGATTATTCAGAGGTCAATCTTCAGGTATTTTCCCTGAAGTTAGAAGGTACAGGAATGCTAGATAATTCCAGCTTATTTCCATCAGAGTTGAACTCATCTCTAAAGTATTTTAGCCAATTAGCATTTTGTCAATGAGAAATACTTCTAATATTCATTTTTCTAATTGCTAGCGAGTCCCAAGACCTTTCTCAAATTTACCTTATTTCTGCTGATATCCAGCTGAGATTTTTGGAACACTTTAAAGGAGGCTTATCATAATAGAAATGTAGTTTAACATAAAGATAACATATGATGCCACTCCTTGACTAGTTCTTGTCTACTATGTCAGTGATTCTCAGCTCTGTTAGAGTGAATTCTTCTTTTGATAACAATTATTTTCTCATTTCTTTTTAACATAATTAAACTTCATAAATAATATAACATGGATACATATCTCTTCAAAAACATATCTAAAGGAAAACAAAAGAAAAATAGTTAAAGCTAGTAACCATAAGTAGAATCAGTTGCTACGATGTAGGTAACAATGATGCAGCTGCTACAGATGTAGACATGTTGTGCTAACAATTCAAGTATCATACCACAGCAGTGTCACCATTAGTGAATATGTACAAAGAAGGTACAATTTACCTCGATTTTCACAAAAGTCACATTACAGGAAAAGCATGTGTGTATTAAATTTATCCCACACCACTTGGGTTTATATGGACAATAGAGTTAGATTCTGAACTCAGATAATTTAAGCAGGCTTTTAATTTCAGTGAACATTTATCGGTACTGTGTGTATAATACAGAAAGACTGGCATCCCTGGTTCTTTCTTCTAATTACTTTATATTAAGTGGCAACCAAGAAATCACTTTTTTTTTCCTTTCTAAAGGAACACTAGGGAGTAGTAGTGTTCTCACCAGAAATCATTCCTGGATTACTAGAAATGCTCTTAGTATCTTTGACAGGCTTGAATAACAAGTCACTAGAGAAACAAAAACAACCCTCTCTTCCTCTACATGTGACCCACCTAATTAGTTCTCATTTTCTGCCTCAGAACCATGCCCATTTCAGGACAACTGTCAATGTGGATGATCCTTCCTTCAAGGAAAATTCCAGACCCTCATGCTGTGGTGTGCACTAATCCTCTCCAGAATGACTATGCTTTTGCTTTACATTCATGCCACTAAAGATATCTGTCACAAGATTGATCCAAAATAAAGACAATCCATGTTGGAATTCAAATTTCAGTCTCAGATATTAAAACTTGCATATGGCTTTTACATGAAAGTATTTCTTTCTGTTTCAACCATTTAATATCTATAAGGGTCAGTTTAGAATAAAAAATAGTTGTCTTGAGTTTCATCAATCCAACTCATTCTCATTTACAGTCATATATAATACATTCGTCAATACCTTATTTACAAATTTACGTATTTATTCATAATTATACTACCTTATTATTTACAAGATTAAGAAGAATGCCTTCCCTGAATAGAATGTAGCATTATATTCATGTATCATTTTTCTCTGAACATCATTGTTAAGGTAATATTTGTGAAAGTTTTAAAGCAGTTAAGAAATATAAGGCAGATGAATTATTGCCTTTTACTTGATTTGCCAAATTGCCCTGGCCAAATTTTCTTGCTTAAACACCGTATTTCTTTAGGTTGCTGCCAGTTCTTTATAGTGTATTCTTAAGATGATGGCCAACTAAAGTTTTAACTGTAACTTAGAGTTTTAACTCTAAAAAGTTCTGGACTTGTTTACACATGGCAATAAAATTTTACCATGCTGTGAATTTCAATGCAGTGATCAATTCTAATATTTATTCTCAGGTTTGCAATGCCCTTATTTATATTTAACTTTCCTAATTGTTGTTATAAATCCAGTTCCAATTTCCCCATAATATTTGGATTAGAAAACATAGGATGCAGAATTATCAACTTCCTACATTATATCATATTAATATACAAGCCAAAATAAAACTCCCAGTGAGTACTTCAAAAAATAATGTAGCTGAGCATAGTGGCTCACACCTGTAATACCAACACTTTGGGAGGCCGACGCTGGAGGATCACATGAGGCCAGGAGTTCAAGATCAGCCTGAGCAACATATTATAGCAAGACTATATCTCTAAACAAAATTAAAAAAAATTAGTTGGGCATAGTGGCATGCTCCTGTAGTCCCTGCTATTCATACTCAGGTAGGTGGATCGCTTCAGCCCAGGACGCCAAGGCTGCAGTGAGCCATGATTGCACCACTGCACTCCAGTGTGGGCAACAGAGAGAGACCTTGTCTCAAAAAGTGAATGAATGAATAAATAAAAAAATAAACAAAAGGAAATGTGATCAAATAAGTTCTTATACTAAACCATGCTATATTAGTTATCTTTCCATACCCGATCCTAGGGTTTTTTAAAAAAAAGCTGCTTAAGGGGCTTTATTTGCCTTACTACTATCATGTAGAATTTTAATAATTTTTTCCAGCATTTAATGTTGAAGCATAGTTGGCATATATTAAATTACACATTTTTAAATGTTCAATTTGATGAATTTTGATATATGCATACATCCATAAAATAATCACAATTTAAAAAGTGAATATGTATATCACCTCCAAAAATTTTCTGCTGTCTCTTTGAAATTTTTTCTCCACCACACACCACTACCTAATCCCAACCAGGCACCAGTCTGCTTTCTGTCACTATAAACTGGTTTGTTTTTCCAGGGTTTAAATAAATGGAGTATAAATAAGCATTTTCATCTGGCATCTTTCATTTAGTAGCTGCAAGAAATTCAGCCAAATGTAAGATCAACAGAGGCTTAAAAACGCCACTGTAAAGTGGCCCATTACAGCCATCAAAGAAGCCTAGAAGAATGTAGTGTATGGATCATCACATTTTAAGAAAATAAAACAAAATTGCAATAGAGTGTTTAAATTAAAAACTTTTCTGTTGTACAAGCTAAATAAATTGAAGCAATTATTGAGAAAATTTAGAAAAGCATTTCTCATGTCTTAACTGCTATCTTTATACACTCAATATGCTCAGATGAGATGGGCAGGTATCTGTAGTACAGTGCATGGAGATTTGGGAAGTTAAAGGCAAAATAAAACAAAACAAGCACATGTAACTACCATATGCAATCAAACCACCTCATTCTTTTGGGATCCAAAACCTAGGATGGAGCACTGCGTGTCGGGACTATTCTGTGAACCTTCGATAGTCATTTGGTTTCAAATAACACATATATTTAAATGAACATTATTTTATTTTAACTTATGTGTATAGAGACTATTACAAATATTAACTTTATAGAAGGGGAAACTTTAATTTTGATAGAGTTGAGAACCACTGCACTACTCAGGCAACATCTTTATCTGCCAACATGGTGGTCAATTTCTATGAGCATTGAGTAAATCCATGTATAAGCATAAAGAAAGTGACTGTATCATCTCTTGTGTAAGTTTGTAGCATCCAAAACAGTTCCTGACACATAGCAGATCTTCAATATATATTTGTTAATTTGGATTAATTTAATTAATCACCTGCTGCCTATTGATTCATCACGGTAAATGAAAACATTATGCAAATTAATTTTGGGCTGCTTTTTGAAGACAGAATCAATAATTAGAGCACTAGTACCAAGCAAATGCTTAAATTGAAGACTCCTGGCTCCTATAATTATGGGTCAAAAAGGAACATCCAGGAAAAGACCTTTAATTGGCCTTAATGTGTCATTTTCGTTCTCCCAAACTAATCAGTACATCCTGAAAATTGAGCACTAAAATTCCATTTAACTTTAAGACTGAGAAGCAGTATAATTGGAAGTCTTATCAAAAACTTATGACTGGAACAAGGGTAGAGTACTAATTCAAAAGAAGGTCGGAATGGGTTGTTTGATGGATAAACTATTGTTTGAAAAGCCAGCTCCTCTCAGTCTTGACTAAGTTATGGAGCTGGATGTATGTGAAGCAGCAGCTAGTAGTATCAGGCTGTTCTCTACCTACAGAAAGCCTGGTCTACAAAGAAGGAAATGATGCTTGACAACATAAAACAGAACTAAGATATGGAGAGGGATTTGAGTCCTTCAATCCAATTGTACCTGAGATTTGTTTTACCCTACAATTTCCATTTATAGAGACAATATATTTGGATTTTGTTTAATTTATTACATTAGGTGCTGTTACTTGAAGCTAAAAACATCACATTTAATATCAATTAGTAACACTCAGTATATCAAGAACAACTGTATTATATTAGAAAATCAGTACACTACAAAATCAGCCCATGAAACTGAAAAACCTTTATCTTTAGTAACTAATTTTAATTACTTACTTTGTGTTTAGCCAAACATAGAAAAAGACCATTCATATTGTGGGACATGAGTGTATTTTAATTCACTTTGAACTATTTATGGATCTCTTAAATGAGAGTGGCTTGTTAATTTTCTTATGAGGTACATGAAAAACTAGTCCCAATAAGACATTAGAATAAGATTTATAAAGACTAAAACACTTAAACTCTACTTGAGTTATGGAGATAAAGTATATTGAATGCCTTATATTTTATATTTTATTTATGTTATATAGTTATTTATATTTTATTTTCGTATTTTACATTTATATTGCTAGGCTGGTAGTCTGTGTCTGATTCTTAGTGGGGATTGTTCTCTTAATGATTGTCTGTCACAACTTTACATGTATTTTTCCAAATAACAGCATGTGAGGTAATTGTTCAAGCACTAAGGTCGGATATATGATAACCTCTGCAGAGGAGTCTAAAATCTGTTGCTTCCCACAGATTTCTCAAGGTCTTTAAATTAAATGGATCACAAAAGCAAAAGCCAAACGTTATACAGGAAATTTTGTAAATTTTCCCTATGTTAATTTTTCCTCAAGCCAATCGCTCTTAATTTTAAATACAAATAAGACATTTGAAAATATTTTGAAGATAAGCGTATCTCTTTTCCTCCATTATATTATCCCATACAGAAACATTTAAACAACAATGAAATCCCATGTTTGTTTTTTTGCTTTTAAAATATAAGCTACATGGGACCGGGCGTGGTGGCTCATGTCTGTAATCCCAGTACTTTGGGAGGCAGAGGTGGTTGGATCACTTGAGGTCAGAAGTTCGAGACTAGCCTGGCCAACATGGTGAAAGCCCTTCTCTACTAAAAATACAAAAATAAGCTGGGCGTTGTGGCATGCACCTGTAATTCCAGCTACTCCAGCTACTCTGGAGGCTGAGGTGGGAAGATCACTTGAGGTGGGAGGATCGCTTGAATCTGGGAGTGGAGTTTACAGTTAGCCACGATTGTGCTGCTGCATTCCAGCCTGGAAGACAGAGCGAGACTCTGACCCTAAATAAATAAATAAATAAATAAATAAATAAATAAATAAATAAACTATGTGGTTGATGATAAAACTAAGTAGTTTTAATTACGAGACCAGAAAAGCAAATTTTACCTTTTGTGTAGTCAGGCTAACAATGATTTTCTTTAAATTATCTAAATTAATTGAACTTACCACACAGATCAATCATCTAAATGACTGATTAAATTTTTATTGTTTTGACAAATAAGGCTAGGTGTTTTTGAGACATAGAGAAGCTAACAGTGTACTAGAAAAGTGATCATTTGAGAAGCAGATAGAAATTGCTCAAAGCAAAAATCACATAATTAATTAATCAATTAGTATTTCTGGCACTATTCTGTAAGCCTATTTGGAAACAAAGATGTTTAAATCGGTGAAAGACTGCCCTCTTTTCTCTATGTCCCCCAAAATTTTAACTCATTTGAGTGAATTTCTCATTGTCTTAAAAATCACAATGGCTAATTGTGGAGATTGAAATGGTAACTAAATATCTTTTCTTTGCCTGATTAAACCCACAATATAAACAATGAACATATTTTCACTGAATATGTATTATTCATACTAAAGCCTGAAGGTTAAAAATTGATATTCTAATTGTTATGCTTTCTGGGTTGAGTAATTTGGGTATTTCCATGAGTGCTGATCTCATAGTTCCATTGGTCTTTACATAGAATTTTATATAGTCCAGAATATGCTTAACATGTTTTATTCCACATGGTCAGTATCAAAGTGGAAGTGTTTGATTATAGGGACAATATAATAATGAATTTCTTACTTTAATACAAGTTAACTTCATTTATAAATACTATGCTCAGTATTACAAAAAGAAATTTTGTGTTTGGGGAAAAATCTTTTGTTTGAAAGACATCTATTTGCTAGTTTTATTTAATTCTATAATTACAAACTTAGAAATATTCAAGTCGTAATTACCAAACATGCTCATTCTGTGAGAGAAACATTATTTTATTTACTTTTAATTTTGTTATGAAGAGGAAGGGGAGAGTCTTGGTGCACTATCTTCCTTTTATAGTTTCCATGGAAAGAAAAGGAGCACAGTAGTAGAATGATCTTGAAAGTGATTATTTAGTAAGATTTGAAATTGCCTGAGAGAAGCTTGAATGTAAAAATTGGCATTATCCTTTGAACCATTTTTATATTGATATTAATACCAAGAAAATTCACATCTGACAACTTTAATTGGTAAAGCATCTCTGTGTTTGATATTTCTAGAGGGAAAGTAATAGATGATCCCTTGTGTATTTTATGCCTAGTCTATATTTGAATGGCTTTGAATATGTGGATTTGGGTCTGGAAATGGATATAAATGATGTATTCTGTCTTATTTTTTACAACTTCTAATTTTCTTTTTTCAATAATGAGGAATCTAAGTCGTCACATTTCATCTTGCCTTTTTTGGTAAAGAAAATTCTATTTGTAGGATAGGAAAAAAAAATGTTTTTCAGGCCTTCAACTTTTCAGCTCAATTATCCAGCTGATAAGATCTGTGATGTTTACCACTCATCCCAGGTGTCCTGGGATATGAACATTTTTTCTCTTCTTATAAATGAGAATGTGGCTTATCTTATAGGAAACATCTTGACAGTTAATAAAAACTACATGATAATTTAAAATTCAAAATAGACCTTTATTTATGTCATAAAACAGAATTCATCATGTTACCATACTTTTGGCTGAGCTGAACACAATTCAGAAGCAGTGAATATTTGTATCCCATTCTGTGACCAGTACTGTGATGCCCAAGTCTCTCCACTAAATGGAGTTTTAAAAATCTCTATTAAAATCAAATTTATTTCTGGCTCTGTATTCTGTTCCATTGGTCTATTTGTCTGTTTTTATGCAAGTACTGTACTGTTTTGATTATTATAGCTTTGTAATGTCTTCTGAAATCAGGAAATGTGATGCTTCCAGCTTTGGTTTTCCTTCTCAACACTACCTTGTCTATTTAGCGTCCTTTGTGATTCCTTGCAAATTTTAGAATTTATTTTTGTATTTCTGTGAAAAATGCTATTGGAATTTTGATAGGGATTGCACTAAATCTGTACTTTGGGTAGAATGAACATTTTAACATCAATTCTTCCAATCCATGAACACAGGATTTTTTTTCCATTTATTTGTGCCATTTTCAATTTCTTCAATCAACATTTTATAGTTTTCAGTATAGAAATTTCTCACTTCTTAGTGAAATTTATTTCTATATGTTTTATTCTTTTTAATGCTGTTGGAAATAGGCTATTTTTTTATTCCTTTTTCAGTAAGGAAATAAGGGAACATGAGTGGAGCTGGAGGCTATTATTCTTAACAAACTAACACAACAACAGAAAAACAAATACCATATGTTCTCACTTACAAGTGGATGCTAAATGATGAGAACTCCTGAACACAAAGAAGGGAGTAACAGACACTGGGCTCTACTTAAGGGTGGAGGGTGGGAGAAGGGAGAGTAGCAAGAAAGATAACTACTGGATACTGAGCTTAATACCTAGGTTATGAAATAATCTGTACAGCAAACCCCTGTGACACGAGTTTACTTATGTAACAAACTTTAACATGTACCCCTGAACCTATAATAAAAAAGAAAATAAATGCAACTCATTTTGTACATTGATTTTGTATCCTACTGGTTTCAGTTCAATTTATTAATTCTAGTAGGTTTTTTTTTTTGAGACTTCATGGTTTTCTAAATGTAGGATCAAGTAATCTGCAAACAAGGATAATTTTACTTTTTCTTTTCCAGTTTGGATGTCTTTGGTTTTTCTTGTCTGATTGTTCTTGCTACTACTTTCAGTACTATATTGAATAGAGTGTTGAGAGTAGCATCTTTGCATTATACCAGATATTAGATAAATAGCTTTCATTTTCCCCCTTTTATTATGATTTTCACCAATGACTTTTATTATGTAGAGGAAATTTTTTCCATACCTGTTTTGTTGACAGTTCTTAACATAAAAAAGTGAACTTTGTCAAATGCCCTTTCTCATTCTATTGAGATGATCATTTAATTTTTTTATTCTATTAATGCCATTGGAATTTTGATAGGATTGCACTGAATAATTGATTCCTTGATAGATTTGAAAATGTAAAGCAACCTTGCATCTCAGGGATTAACCCCACTTGTCCATGGTGTATAATATTGTGATGTGTTTTTGAATTCAGTTTGAATATATGGTCAACTAATTTTTGACTAAGAAATCACAAAGGAGAAAAAATAGTTTCTTCAATAAATGATGCTGGTAAAATTGTATATATGCTTGCAAAAGAATGAAGCTGGTACAATGTTACACTATACACAAAAATCAACTCAAAATAGATTAGGGACCTAGATGTAAGACATGAAGCCATAAAGCTCCTCAAAGAAAACATAGAAAAAATATTCTTCCTATTGGCAATGGCATTGTTTTTTGATATTTTTCCAAAAGCTCAGGCAACAAAAACAGGAATAAACAAGTGGGTTCACATAAAAAATATCTGCATGACAAAAGCAACAACACAATGAAAAGGCAGTAAAACCTAAATGAGATACCACCTCACACCTATGAGGATGGTTGTTATCAAAAAGACAAGAGATGAGAAATGATGGTAAGGATGTGGATAAATGGAAACCCTTGTGCACTATTGTTGCAAGTGTAAATTGGTACAGCCCTTATGAAAAACAGCATGAAAGTTCTTGAAAAATCAAATATAGAACTACCATGTGATCTAGTAATCTCTCTTCTCACTATATATCCAAAGGAAATGAAATCATCTCATAGAGACAGCTCCACTTCCTTTCACTGAAGCATTATTAACAATAGCCAAGATGTGAAAACAAACTGTCAATAGAAGAATAAATGAATAAATTTTGATATATATACCTATAAACATATATACATATTTTTCTATAGATATACATAGATATTTCTCTGTATATAGTTATTTCTCTATAAATATATTTCTATATGTATACGTATGTATCTATATATAAAATGGAATATTATTGAGCCTTTAAAAAGAAAATACTCCCATCAGTTAAGACAACATGAATTAATGTAAAAGACAGTATGTTAAATAAAACAAGCCAGCTACAAATAGAAAAATACCCCATAATCTTACTAGGTGGAATCTTAAAGTCAAATATGTATAAACAGAGAGTGTAGAATGGTGGCTACCAGTTATGCATAAGGGGAGAAAATGGGGCTATGTAGGTTGAAGGGAACAAACCTGTAATTACGTAGGACAAATAAGTCTAGAGATCAATTGTGATGACTAGTTAATTATGTACCGTGTACTTGAATTTTCTAAGAAAGTAGATCTCAGGTGTTTCCACTACAAAAAAGGTAACTAATGTGAGGTAAAAAAATATTAATTTGCTTGAGTGAAGAAATTTTACTATGTATATTTATATCAAAACATCATGTTATGCATCTTAAATATGTACAATAAAATAAATACATGCATACATTTAGAGGAAAACAAAAATGATGTCTTCTTTAAACTTGTCATTGTCTTGTCATATTATATATCATAATTGCTTTCATTATTGAAGACCACACATAGCCACAACAGCAATGTGAAAACCATGAGATAATCACCTAGTTTCAGGGGATGTGTCTTGCTAGCTGTGTACTAAATTAGACTGTCCTAAGAGACACTCCGAACTTCAACATTAATATTTCAACTGAATAGTAATAATTTTTAAATGGTCAGGACAACAAGCAATAAGTAAAGGTGTAAGAAAAATAGTGTCACCCAATACCTTACATGTAAACATTTGCATTTCTTTTCACTATTCAGATCGGAACCAAGATAAAAAGTCTTCATTAGGCAGTTGTAGAACAGACATATTTGGATATATCCAATAAATGAGTACCTAATTAAATAAAAAAGTATCTAGTCACATGACTTATGACATTTTAGATAAATTGACATAAGTAAGATGGCAGTCAGATATTAATAAATGAATGAAGGACAAGAAGAAAACAGATACATGGAAAGAAACAGTATAAAAACAATGCACCTGTTGAACTCTATCTGAAATTAAAATACATTTGTCCATGGAAAATCTGTAAATGATAACAAATGCTATATATAGTATGATAATTTTTATAGGTGTTTATATTCTGATTTAAACACAGGCAGTGTGTTTGTCACAACATAGAAACAAGTAATGAAAAAATGAAAGGAATTGAAAAACTGCAGAATTATAAAATAGAGTTACATATATTTTTATGTTTGTTTCTTAGCTAAAAAGATGATGGAGTGTCTAATAAAATTACCCTAAAAATAATTTAGTTTGGTTCCAATTTAAAGATTTTTAGTGTATAAAAACAGACAAATAGTGAAAATGGCAGGTAATAGGTTGTAAATACTGACAGAAGAAAGTGGCTATTATGCTCATCGGTGGTCAGTGTTAGTCATATTATTATATAACTTTATTAAAGATCTGGAAAAAGCACCAAATGAGATATTAAAATTTGTAAATGGCACTTGTTATAACTATTTGCTTATGACTCAGTAATTATTTTATTATTATTTGAACTTAATAGCGACAGTTTTATGTTAATAGTGCAGAACTAAAATAAAAAATAAAATTGAACAATGAATTTAGAGGGCTGTAGAAATATGTAAGGAGAATACTCAAACATTTCTGGATAAACATAGCTCACATAACCTTTGATTCTATTTTCTTCTCAGAAATTTTATAGAATAAAGGAAGAAAAGTATATTTACATTATAGTAAGCAAGCATTTATTTTCTTCTTTCCATATATCACTCTACAAAATTAATCTCCATTTTCATTCCAACTGAAGCAATGATAATAAAATGAATGGAGATATCTCTTTTATGTGGCACAAAACAAAGTAATAATAGTAGTAATGATCATGATAGAACTACTATTAATACTAGTCCCACTATTAGATAACACTTATTAATACCTTTGTGTGTATCAGTTCTTATGTGGCATGCACTAAACTCACTTAGTCCTTGCAATATAATAATCATTTATTATTGTTACTTAAATTCTTATAGAACGTTTAACAGGAATCTAATAATTGGTTTTTGAGTATTGATATATCAAATATAAGAAGTCCAGACACCTAGGGCATTACAGAGTCAGATTGTGCATAGCTTTCCACTAACAATATCTTTTTGAGAAATTTTATTATCGTAGCTCATGTCGAATGCTTCTACTTGGAGATTAATATTTGGGGGAAAAATACATTATATAAAGGAGACAGAAAACTCCTTTGTAAAACATGACATCTAATCTGTGCCCAAGGCTGAGAAATTGTGGTTCATTAGAATGATGACGTACAAATCAATCACTAGTAATTAAGCACTCATACCTACAACTGATAAATCGATATTGGTTTCAATATGAAATTTCAACATATGAAAACAGACTCATAGTGGGGAAACACAGCAGGAAATAAGTTGTAAATACAAAAGAAAATGGCCGTTATGCTGGTCAGAGGTCAGTGTTTATCATATTTGTCATATACTTTAGTCATACCCTTGTTAATACAGTCATAATACCTTGAGAAGATGCATTTGTCAAATTATTGCAAATTATATTTTTTGAGTTCTGGATATACATATAAAACTAAGGTTGATTACAACATGCATTAAATGGATACTTGATCAATTGCTTAGTTAATGCCAGATTGGCTATTATGGCATTCTGAGGCCAAACATTGAACATTTTAAAGAAGCTATAGAAATAACCAAAATTTTACTTCCTAAATTTATTAGCAATGTGTCTTAATGTATATATAAATGTATGTAAATAGTAAAATTTTCATTGTCTAAAGTGAATTAAAAATGTGTGATAAAGGCAATAAGGAAGGCAAAAAAGTTGTTCTTAGATTTTTAGAGTCATCTTTAGTACTGTCTGATCCACTGGAGCATAAACAAATATTGTATTTTGCACAGGCATCAGTCATATTCTTAAATAGGCTATTTGCCAAGTTCATTTAAGTGATACTTCCATGAACTGAAGTTCAGATTTATCAACTATATATTATATAGTTTTACTAAAATGTTATTTCAAGCATGTAGCCCTAGAGGTCACGCAATTTAACTGTCTTGCAGTTATAATAATTGATTATAGTAGAAGTCAGATGGCTAGTGTATGAAACTTATAGCCATAACTGAACTCCATTAAACACCTTCACAATGTCAAAATCAGTTGCTCCTAGCAGTGCCATTCCTGTTATCGTGTTGATCAAAAGGTAATGGGGAGTGACAAGCAATATCACAAACACTCCATCGTAAACAAAATATTCTTCAAACACTTAAATGGCTATGGTGATAGACTGTTTCATAATAGCCAAATCCAACAGTCTTTTACAGCTTTCTGAATCATGCCTATGTTTTGCAGAAACAAATATTCTCCTAAGGACTTTAAATACAAGCTGGTAAACTACCTGAAGAATAAAAGCAAAGAATAGTTCATGTGAAAAATCAATGTGAGAAACCGATTTCCATGAACAACTTAAGTTTGCCTGGTTGTTTATATTCCCCATATAAATAACAATAACAATAATATTAATATATTACCTCCTCCCTGTTCAATAACATACTTTCAGTGTTGTATGAAATTAGGGTTTTCTCCTTGCTCCGAATGACTTATAACCTTCTCTTGTCACTGGACAATGCTACCTCATGTTTCATGATTTGCCTCAAATGTTACTTTCCTTTTATTCCTTCCCCTAAACTTCTTCACTTCTAATCACAAATAATTAGCCTCCAATTTGTCTTTATAGCATTTCATTTAATATCTATAATATAGTAAAACCAAATAGCTCTATCTGTAACTCAAGTCACAGCATGCTCAGCAAGTGCAAATTGAATTCAGTGTTTTTGTCTTCCCAAGCGTAATTGCTCATACTCTAATCAATTATGTAAGTGATTTGAATTACCATCTATCTCTCTCAGCCACCAAGTGAGAAACTTGGAAACTGTTAATAACCTCACTATGTTTTCATTATCAATTGATTTTTGTGAGTAAATCTTATCAGTACCTCCTTAATAAAGCATGTTTGAGCCATCATAATTTCTCTAGGTCAACTCCGCCCCCAGTATCAGATATCACTGGGCTTGTCATTGGCTTCTTTTTTTTTTTTTTTTTTTTTTTTTTTTTTTGTGAGACTGAGTCTCGCTCTGTCGCCCAGGCTGGAGGGCAGTGGCAAGATCTGGGCTCACTGCAAGCTCCGCCTCCCGGGTTCACCCTGTTCTCCTGCCTCAGCCTCCTGAGTAGCTGGGACTACAGGCTCCCGCCACCACGCCCGGCTAATTTTTTGTATTTTAGCAGAGATGAGGTTTCACCGTGTTAGCCAGGATGGTCTCGATCTCCTGACCTTGTGATCTGCCCCACTCGGCCTCCCAAAGTCATTGGCTTCTTTTTTACTGGGCTGTCTGAAAATTGTCTCTATTCACTTTACCATTTTTTCAATATAATTTTCCCAAAAAGCAAATGTTATTTGATAACATTATTAATAAGTCTAATATAATATCAAAGTACTCATGGACTTTAAGCCTATTGCCTATGGGGTTAATTTTTTAACAGAAAATAAATACTGTTTCTCAAACTCAGCTCACACAATTTCCCAGTATCTTCTGTTGATACTTTCAATAAATCTTTTTGTCATTACTCTACAAATTAAATTATTCCTTTATATATCTAACAAACATTTATTGACTACTAATTATGTTGTGGGCATTATTCTAGGTTCTGAAATTAATGACGGTGAACCACATCCACAAGCTAACAGACATTACTTTTTCTCTCACCTTTCTCAGATTTTACTAAGTGTCACCTTCTAATTTAGGACTTCTTTGACATTCTGTTTAAAATTTCACCCCTCAAAACCCACCTTCTTTCCCTCTTCCTCAAACAGCTTTTTCCCATATCCCTTTTAATTCTGAACCTACTGTATATTCTAGATAGTTTATTTACACCCCTTCTTTGAGTGTAAACTAAACTCAATGAGGACTGACATTTGTGTTCATTAGAAGTCAGTAAAAACAGTGAATAACTCCAATATGTGAATGATTCTCAAAAAGAAATTAAATGTTAAATGACTTAAGCTGACATTTATATGGCCCTGTTACTGCTGTCTGAAGGGATATTTTTTTTCTCCATTGCCATACTAAATTATGTTTTATTTTATTCACAGACATTAAGGATTTATATAAATTTCCACATCCCACTTTCTGTAATCCAATTAAATTCTTTTTATATGTCAAGCTTATGTTTCAGATATCTCCTTCTCTATGAAGCCTTGCTTCACATCCCTGGTAGAACTGCTTTCTTCTCTGTGGCATCAAATAATAAGCAATGCTTCCACAAAGACATTTATTATAGTGTATATTAAATTTACTTTAATTTTATTTACAATTATGTAGCATTAGGTGTGGTGAAGAAAGGGTAAGCATGCATTAGTCTGCAAATCAGAATTTTCTAGTGAATACTGTTGATTTTTTTCTCCTAGAGAACACATGAAAAGGTCTTATTAATTTTGTGGCTCAGATGAGTACTTTTTAATTTAAAATTTAAAATACTGATATGAAGAAACTTCTAAGATATACTGTTATAAAAAATTCAGTAAAGAATAATGTGTAAGCTTGCTTATGGAAAAACGTGAATAAATTCTTTATTGCTTATTCTCTTTACTTATGTTTATTGAGTAATTTGAATATATTTTCTATGTAATAAATACAAAATAGACTCCAAAAAGAATACAGCTTCCCTCCCCCTTATGTGTGCTGGTCAGCAAAAAATCTAGAGATACATTTTGATTTCTACAAGTAAATTTTTTGATTCTTTAGGAGAGTTGAGCTATTAGTAATGAGCTGATAAAAATTACACATCAAGTCCTAAGGGAAAATAAGCCCGTGTGTGTGTGTGTGTGTGTGTGTGTGTGTGTGTGTGTGTGTGTAGTACCCTTAGGAAACATTAAAATAATGTTCATTGAATTTAACAAATATTTATTGAGCTTCCATGCTAAGTGTTGAGTATATAGTTGTTAACCTAATATCTAAATTTTTGCCCTCTGGGAATTGCTGTCTATTCCAGAAAAATAAAAACAAATAATAATAACTACATTAATACATAAACATTAAAATGAATAAGTACAATATAAAGTAAGTGGTATTTCAGGAAAGCAGAGAGTGCTGCAATAGATAATGAGAGAACAGGTCTTTCTGAGAAAACCTCTCAGGGGAGATAGTATCTATACTGAAGCTCAAAAAAAATGACACGGAATCAGCCATGAATCAGGAGTCGAGGAGCCACGTTCCCAGGAGAGAATGAGTTGGTCAAATGCTCTGAGGCAGTAAGGAGATCACTGTGAATCCTCAGATACTGGTGAGCAATGAACAAGAAACAGAGAGTAGCATGAATTAAGATTGAAGAAGTTTACAGACACCAAATTCTGTAGTACCGTGTAAAACAAGGAAAGGAATTTGGACTTTACTCCAAGTTCAAAGAGGGATTACCTTAGCCTATGTTCGGTTCTTATAAATATTCCTGCAGGCAAACATGATGTCTTCCAATAGGTAAATGAATAAGCAAACTGTGAGATATCCATATATTAATAGTAAAATATTATTTGGTGATTTTAAAAAACCATTTCTTCTCCTCCAACTGGAGTAGGAAAAAATAATAATAATAAAAAGAAGTTGAAAAAAAGCTATCAAGCCATGAAAAGACAGGAGGGACCTTAAATGTATATTTCTAAGTGAAAGAAATGAGTCTGAAAATGCTATATTTTGTATAATTCTAACTGTGTGATATTCTGGAAAAGATAAGACTATACTGGTAGTGAAGAGATCACTAGTTTCCAGAAGTTCATGGGAACATGAAAGGGAAAGATAAACAGGTGCATTTTGGGGTCGTGTAACTATTCTATATGATACTGTAAGAGTGCATATGTGACATTATGCATTTTCAAAAACCTGTAGAACTGTACAACAGAAGGAATAAACCCTAATGTAAATTATGAACTTTAGTTAACAGTAATGTCCTATGTTAGTATTATGTAAACACTATCTTATTTCTTCTGGATTAAGAATATATGTGAGTGGGTGTGGACATATGTGTGTGCACATCTGTACATCTGCACATTGTGGGTATAAAAATACAAGGGTATAGTAATAAAGTGTATTGTTATTGGCATCTGCATCCTGTTTATTCCACTGCTGTGTAGATCTAATATAGCCTCATGATTTCCCACATTTAAAAACATTTAATAATGATGGAAGAAAACATAACTAATGTAGCCAAGTTTTGAATCTTTAAAAGAAAAATGCCCAGACTATGAAAGCATCCTACATTTAAATGAAGGGTGGGGAATTAAAATATTGGTAACATCTTTAAAACTGCCTTTGCAAAAAAAAATATAACTGAGAAAATTATTACAGTGAACGTGATCCGACCTAATTGACTCCATCTTGCTTCTAACTTACAAGCTGTCCTTGTTCATTCCTGGGTGTAGACCAAAGTAGCTTTGGGAGGAATTTAATTTAAAGTTTAACTTTGAAACAAAGATGATAGCCCTCTCCTGAAATAAGCCGCCTTCTTGCTTGGGGACAAGTCTGCCTTTGTAGGACTAACAAATTAACTACAAGACTAGAAATTATGTTTTAGGAGTCATGCAGCTGGAGGCAGCATGATTCTGAACCTGCTCCTGGGGATAACATCACTACTGTAAAACATAAGATCAGTGCTTTATTTTCCAGACCTTGCATTCTGTTGCACCAGTGGACACCGCACAGACCAGCAATCTGGCTCAGCCAATTCTGTGATTCCACCCAGCAACACAAGACAGCAGGTAAAACCCACTTCCACTCCATATGATCTTACCTCTGAACTGACAAAATATCCTACCCACCAAATTATCCATAAAAACCCTGATGCTCAAATTTTCACAGACTGATTTGAGTAATAATAAAACTCCAGTCTCCTACACATCTGGTTCTGCATGAATTAAACTCTTTCTCTGTTGCAACTCTCCTGTCCTGATACATTGGCCCTGTCTAGGCAGTGGGCAAGGAGAGTCTATTGGGAAGTTATACCCTTATCTCTTGCTTTTTGTTCATAATATTCAATAAATATTTTTCCTTGTTTTGAGGAATGTAGAATATGAAGTAAATAATGGAGCAACAGAGTTTTTAAAAGAAATTTAATGAAATATGTGAATGAATATGTGAATATTACTGGAAAAAAATGAAATATTTAACTGATAAACTCTACTCGTTTGGAACACCATACTGCAAAGCAAATGATGATAGAATAATGTATTTACTCTTTCTATCTCATTAACTCTGACCTTCCATTAAATAGTGTCTGTATTTCATTTATCTCGGGTTACAAGCACATATAAAATGCTATTTTATTTTATTGAGAATCAATCTATTTTTTATTAGATACTATGCTTAGAGGTCTGTATGATCTTTTAATCTTTAAACAACCTTAACAGGTTGTATCAGTTAAGGTAAAACAAGTTTTGTTTCTAAAACAAAAGTAAAAATTCATGGTGGTTTAAACAAGAAAATTGAGATTTCTTCAACATAATAGACTGATTATAGGTATTCCAGGATTGTTATGACAGCTTTGGGATGTTAAAAATACAGGGTCCTCTTCTTTCTTTATCATCTTCAATCTGGCTATTGAATTGCCTCTATTATGCTTAATCCAGCATCTCACCCTGCATTTCATTTAGCAGGGAGGAAAGAGGGAAATTGGAAGGGAAGATGTTTCTTCAATTTACAGACTCAATAGGTGCCCATATCACTTCTAATCTCATTTCATTGATCAGTAATTTAGTAACATGGGTATGCATAAGTCAAACAAAAATGGGCTGGGAGATGTGGTTTTTAACTCAATTGCCAAATAGCCAACAAAACTTCATGGCGTTCATTATTAAAGGAAGAAGGAAAGAGATAGTATTGTGAAAAAAGTGACATCTTTGCTTGAGTCCTTGCCTCTGGTCACCCAAATATCTAGGCATGCCCTGTTTCCTACATAGTAATATTACCCTCTCGCCATAATGGAAAACACTAAGTCCCATCCAATTACTGAAATGAGATCAATGTTCATGATAATTTTCTCTGTCAAATTCAGTGATCTATAAACTTAAAGAACAATACTAATTTTTCAACTCAAAAATAACAAGGTGAAGCAAAATCAAGGTAAATCTACCTAAAAGACTATTTCAGAAAAAAGAATGAATAGGGAACATGTGTAAATCACTGGTCTGCAGCAATTATCAAATCTTTCTGGGCAAATGGTAAAATTTCCTGTCCTGGTAATGGGATAAGTTCCTTGGAAGCCTCTGGGGCTGCTTTATTGAGGGGGAATATCTTATTCATTATTTTCTGTGGTCACTGGATTTGTCTTGAAAAGGTAGACTTCCTAGAAAAAGTTGGACAGCCTAAACGTATTTTAAAAATGGTCATTTTTTCTACATAAATTTTACAAGTGAAATTGATGTAGTTCATAATTACCTGAGCATAGAATTTAACTTTATTTTATGAATAAGTGTTTGAGGGGCATATTTTACCACCAAATATTCTAGTATTGCAACTAAGAAGTAAATTAAGAAAAATTATATTTAACATATTTTAAATTTATTAGGTGAATGGTCTTCAGCAACTTCTCCTGTAGTTATCAGAGAATCAGCTTCAATAATTGATCTCAATTGGCCGTTGTCAATTTCCAATGGCTGGCCACTATGCTCCTCATCTTCAAAGCTCTTGTCTCCTTTGCAAAACTTCTTGAAAAACCACTGCACTGTATTTCACTTAGCAGGAAGGAAATAGGAAAATTGGAAGGGAAGATGTTTCTTTCCTTTACAGATTAAATAGGTGCTCATGTCACTTCTAATCTCATTTCAGTGAACAGAAATTTGGTAATATGGCCATGCATAAGTCAAATGGAAAGGGAGTTCATTAGGAGTTCCTGGGCCAAATAAAGGCGTTGACATTGCAAGGTGTCTCCGCTGCTCTATGATGGATTTTGAACTCGAACAAGAAAATCACTAGAATTTGCTTTTTGTCTAACATCATTTCCATTGTCTAAAATAAATATAAAATAAACAGCAAGTAATGTCATTAGCAAAAAAACATAAAGTGAGAAATGTGTATTAAAGTGATATATAACATAGCCACATTTAAGAATGTATTCCAATATCAAACTGCAAATTTCAACAATGCAAAAACTGCAATTATGTATGCACCACCCTGATATATTAACACAAATATAATTTATGTATGACAATATATAATACTATACTGTATAGCAATATTAATATACTATATTTAAATATAATTTAGATACTAAACAAAAATTATTCATTATTTTAAAAAATCACATATTTTTATCTCAGTAGTGATATTTAAGGGAATAATATTACATATTCATATCAGCTTTTATTTGATGCCCTAGTATTCATGTAGATATTAGGTATGAGCACAAATATCTGACCATTTTCTTTGTTTCTTCCTATATAATTAAGTCCTGAACTACATGCTCTTTTGTTATAAATCTATTTTCTTATTATTCCCTTTTCAATTACATTTGGATCATTGTGTTGGTTTTCAAAAACTAGGTGTAAATGTAGAGTATCATATTTATTTTGGGATCTTCTGAGACAAGTAATGTGTAAACTATATTAACCCTTGGTTAACTGATGACATCATTGATTTTGGAGGAAAATCCTATTATAATCATAGAAATCACAAAAATGTTAACATTTTAAGTTTAACATTATTTATTTTCTTATTTATTTTGACCAGTTTTCATTAAAAAGCAAATAACAAAGAGTCCTGAGAAGGATTATTCTGATATTCTTTTAGCATTATATCTTGAGAAAATACACAAATAACATATGAAGATGAACGTTTGCTAAACAATGAAGGAACAATTTAAGCTTTAGACATGGGTAAATATGGAAGTACAATATTCTAGATGTTTATATCCCCAGAGGATAAAAATCCTAATAAAAATTGTATTAAGTTGTTCTCCAGTGCCTTTTTTCCCATCCTACATAATTGTCATGTTCTATTCCTTCATTTTTCAATAATTTAACCCTAAAAATTTTGGGAAGAGAGCTGGCAATACAAATGATATAAAAGTCTATGACATTCTGAACAATGGTAATTAGTTAGCATCCACTCTCATCTTTCATTAAATTAATTATAAAGACGAAGACAAAAATAGCATCACATAAAAACAGCAATAACAAGGATGGAAAAAATGTTTTGTCAAAAACTTGAAGAAATTAATTTTTTTAATATAAAGATCATCAATGTCAACTTTGTCCTATATCCTTATTACTTTACAAAATTGATTGCTTCTTTCAGCAGGAAAAATTGTCTTCACTACTTTCCAGCACACCACAAACATTCTGGTTCCTCTTTTATCTGAAATTCTTAAACAACTTCTTTTATCTATCTACACTCACTCCCTAAGTGATTCCAAGCAGAATATTGATTTTAAACACTGTCTATATGTATAGGTTACTTCCAAATTTATATCTCCAGCCTAAATCTGTCTCATAAACTTCAGACTCTTACATATATCTAATACTGTACTTGGATGTCCAAAATATTTTCAAAATCAATACAACCTCAACTAAATTCTTAATCTTCACCATTCAAGCCCACCAACATTTATATCCATTTAAGACGTTGGCAACTTTATACTTCCAGTTGTGTTGGCCCAAACACGTGGAGTCATCTTTGACTCTTTTCTGTCTCACAGTCCTCATCAAATATGCCAGTAAACCATCAGTCTTTCTCTTTAATTCCACTGATTCCATGTGGTGCAGGCCACTGTAATTTCTTATCTGGGTTATTGTTACAATTTATTGATATTATTAGTATAATTTTCTAATAATTCTTATTGTCTGTACTCTTGTTACTACTATAGTTTATTTTCAATTTAGTTGTCAATCATTTCCCCTAAAACTTAAATACTTGTCTTTTGCTCAAACCTTCCAGTGGTTACTCATTTAACCCAGAATAAAACTAGTCCTTACAATTGTCTACAAGTTCCTATATGATAAATTTTGCACAACTTCCTGTTATCCTTCTAACTACATTTCTTCTCATTTTTTCCATTATATCTGTAATACCTATAATAATGACTAAAACATAGCAATAGTTTAATAAGCAATTGATTAATAATTAAATTTAGGGTATTATCTATAAACTGATTAATGACTAACAATGTTAATTAAATCAGTGGTCCGTATGAACACATGCATTGTAGCTCATTATGTCCTTGCAAGCAATATTTCCTCATTCTTGCTAAACCATCATGGCACCTTTGCTTACCCATCATCTCTTATTGCCTTTGTAGAATAAGTTAAAACTGACTTTTATTCTCTATTTTCATCCCCTAGAAAAATAAGTAGACAAACTCTGTAACCTTATGTAACTTTACAATATTTCATGGATTTCAAAGGACTGAATAACAAAGATTGTTAACTCCCAACCAGAAAATGGATCCCCTAGAGAAAAATGTTTCATAGATGCAGATGCTACTTTAGCACTATGAAAATCTGCTGATTTTAGCATGCCTAAAATATAATTTTACATTTGCCTTAAAATCATGTATTTCCCTTACAATAACCTATAGACAATTGCTGAAATTTACAGAAACTTTGAAAAAAAAGAGATATTTTCCAAGAACAAAACTTAAGTGGAAAATAGCAAATTATATAATAACAATCCTTTATCACTATTATATAAATATCATTGTTGTGTGAGTATGCATTTGCATATTATTAACATAAATTAAGCATTTTATCCCTGAGTCTTTAATTTTGTAATAATTACTTACAGTATATAAAATATAAAATACTCATAATAATTGAAGTCACTGATAAAATTTTCTCCTTTTCTAAATTTTAATAACTAATTTGATAATTTCTTAGTTTGATGAATGCTTCTTCTCTGAGTTACGTTACACCAATTTGTACTTTTTAAATGTTAATGTCTCAATTCTATGGAGGTTTTACTTTTAGTGAAAAAGAAATACAAGAATGAATAATACCATGCAATGAGTACATTAAAATTAGTTCTCAATTTTCACATTTCAAAGAAATAGGCACAACTAACTAAAGTTTCCACTATGTTTACAACTTTTAACTGTGTGTAGCCTTAGCAGTTTATTAAATTCCTACAGATGTCTGGGTGTGGTGGCTCACGCCTATGATCTCAGCACTTTGGAAGGTTGAAGTAGGTGGATCACTTGAGGCCAGGAGTTCAAGACCAGCCTGACCAACATAGTAAAACCACGTCTCTACAAAAAAATTAGCTGGACTACTGTAGTAGCACAGGCCTGTAATACCAGGTACTCAGGAGGCTGTGGCAAGAGAATGGCTTGAAGTGGAACTCAGGAGGCAGAGGTGGTGGTGAGCTGAGATCTTGCCACTGAACTCCAGCCTGAGTGACAGAGGGAGACCCTGCCTCTAAATAAATAAATAAATAAAATAATTCATATAGAAGAAAAAATGGTTCTAGCAGTTATTTCTTAAGCATGCTTTTAGGAGTACCTTGCCTGCTTTTGAAAATAATAATTACCAACCTGTATTCAAGATACTATGATTGAATAGAATTATTTTGAGAACTTGGAAACAGGATTTTTATAAGCCTCCTTGTGATTCTGATTCAGATGTCAATGGGCCACAAATCACTGAGAAACACGTCTCAGTGTTTCTCACTGAGAAGTATCTGGGATTTATGTTTCTGCCTTTACATAGAGGAAAATAACATCCTCTGATATAAACAACTCTCAACCTATTATTCTTCCCTGATAATTACTGGGGGCCCATGGCTCTGGGAAAAGCATGTTGTGGGTGCTTTTTCTTTTTCCCTTTTCTAGCCTGTGGCTATAGAATGAAGGATTTATAGTAAGTAAGCTCAGCTATCTTCTATTACAGATATTTTGGGGGGAGTTACCCATGTCTTAATTAAGACATGAAAGAAAACGAAAGGAAAATAATATGACATAATTGTATTGAGACTGAAAAATACTACCCATAATTACAAATTTGAAATATAAGTAGTCATTTTTCCACTGGCCATACATATATAAAATTTGATGTACTTATAAAAAAAGGAGTATAACTTTCAAAGAAAAATGACCCTGAAATGGAATAAATGAAAAGACAAACAAGCAAAATTTGAATTATGTTAAAAAAATGAACTATTAACCAGCTCAAAGTAACTCAATAGTAACTAGCACTTGTTAAGCCCTTACTTTATGCCAGAATTATAAGGCTTTTAAAAGGTTAACTTATTTAGTTTTCATAACTATACTAAGTAATAGCAAATATTATTCTCCTTAATTTACCAATAAGAAAATTGAAGCACTTAAAAGGCTAAATAAAATTCTGATCCCGAAGCTCACACAGGTAATTGTGTTCGGAGATACAGAATTGGTTCTCGGCAGTTTGGCTCATGATAATTTTATTTTACTGATTCAGTAATGTAACCTAAAACAACTTAACCTCTATGCATACATTTAAGGAACAATCCCTTAATTATTTATATTTTTATAGATATATTTTTAAATCTTTTTAAAGATTTTTAAAGATTTAAAAATATAGACCTAATATTTCTAACTGACCAGTTTGATTACTTATTTAAGGCTGTAATTCAATTCTCAGTCTAATAAACCATACCTAAAGTCCATTGTCAGCCATTTTGTGTTTTTGCAAATAGAGAATAGCAATAAAAAGATAGACCTAAAAAATCAAATAGATATTCTTTAGTTGAAAAATACTATAGCTGAAATGAAAAATTGTACTAGAAGGCTCAACAGTGTTTTATTGTTTGGGGGCACATATTCTATTTTAGAACTGCTGAAGAAATAAAGTGCAAGCTTAAGGATAGATTATTACAGATCATAGAATGCAAAGTACAGAGAAAAGGAAGAATAAACCAAAAGGAACAATGCCTCAGAGAAATGTGGAACACCACTAAGTCCACAAACATATGCTTAATGGGCGTACTAGAAGAGAAGAAATACAAGAGTGCAGAAAAAATGCTCAAATAAATATTGTCTGAAACCTCCCTGAATTTACAAAAAAAAAACATTAATTTATACATCCAAGAATATCAACAAAATCCATATAGAATAATCACACAGAGCCACACCAAGACATATAATAAAAATATTTAAAGACAAATAAACTTTTAAAGGAACAAAATAAAAAGATTTACGTAGAATAAAACCCCAACAAGATTAATAGCTGATTTTAATCAAAAGTAATGGAGGCCAGAAGGCAGTGCATGACAATCAAAATACATAAAGAAAACAACAGTTAACTAAGAATCTTTTATCTGGCAAAACCATTTTTTAGATATGAAACAGAATGACAAAACCTATCAGCAGCCATGCACAGTGCTAAGAAATAGAGATGCAATGGTAAATGAAATGACAGTCTCTGACTTAGTGGAGTTTATAGTATACTTTCAGGACATTTCATGAAATAACAAGAGGGATTTAAAAGTTGTAAATCTATAATAATTTTCTAGATGTTAGGCCCCTACTCCAATCACTAGCAACAATAGAGCCATAGTTAAAACAAAAACATTTTGGTACTATTTACAGTGAAAACGTTGGTGACATTCTATTAATACTATTAATATTCATAACTTCATTTTATTAATGGAAAATCCCTATGAAGCCAGAGAGTCTATATCATACAAAATCTTTAGCTGTAGCTTCATCTAGGATAGCCCTACAATAATGCACAGCAGAATCTAACAGAACATTTCTCATGGCTTATCTAACATTATTACCCACATGTTAACACCTACTTCCCCCATAGAAATAAAGCTAATGCTAAAATATGACATTATCGGAAATGACTTATTCTTCTTAATTTTATAGTCAAGTACTATTACCACTGTTTATAGATAAGTAAATTAAGGAAAAGACAGACTAAGTTACTTGCCAAGGTAGCAACAAGTTGAAAAGTAGAACTAAAATTTACAGCTAATTTTCCAGGATTCTGAAATTTATACTTCTGACTCCTATATTGTTTTTTGAGAAGTTTAGTAGAGAAGGGAAGAAATTAGAAGTGTAGCTTGAGGCAAGAGAAATTAATATAGGAAAAACTTTTGATAAAAATATGATGAAATAACATTAGCATTACATGCTTTATACACATAAGTTGATTTTTTCGATCATTCAGATAAGCTTCTGGATCTCCAGTTGCTTCTTAGTGTGAGTGTTTTGATAGTTTGCCTATGTTCTACATTATTGTTATTCCAATTGCTGATCATTTCTCTTTCTTAATATCTGAAACAAATCAACTTTTGCTTTAAACAAAGTATGATATTTTCCATATGTGACTTCAAATAATGTATAATAGTTAAAGTTCTATCAAATAAAAACTTTGAGTCAACCTTTACTATTATCACAACTTTCATTTGTTTGATGAGATAAAGATAATTTTAATTGTACTCCTGAGTTTCAAATGGAATAATATTCCATTAATATATTTTAAGTAAGAGAAATTAATTATTTTTCCAAAGATAGGCTTATTACTTTATTTTAGTATATTTATTTCACATCACAGAATGAACATTCATCTATCTATCTATCTATCTGCCTACCTTTCATAATCTTTCATATAATTTGTTGGAGTTGACTCATATTTTTATATGTCCTAAGCATGAATAATGGCCACTCATTTTTTACTTTGTGCATATACTTCCTAATATTAATATATGTTTGTATTGTTTGCATTATGCTCTGACATATTTCAGGATAAAATTTAATGAAAGCAATAATGAAGTAGTTTGTTCAAAAAATTAAAAAGACAGTCCCACCAACAGTGTAAAAGTGTTCCTATTTCTCCACATCCTCTCCAGCACCTGTTGTTTCCTGACTTTTTAATGGTTGCCATTCTAACTGGTGTGAGATGGTATCTCATTGTGGTTTTGATTTGCATTTCTCTGATGACCAGTGATGATGAGCATTTTTTCATGTGTTTTTTGGCTGCATAAATGTCTTCCTTTGAGAAGTGTCTGTTCATGTCCTTTGCCCACTTGTTGATGGGGTTGTTTGTTTTTTTCTTGTAAATTTGTTTGAGTTCATTGTAGATTCTGGATATTAGCCCTTTGTCAGATGAGTAGGTTGCAAAAATTTTCTCCCATTTTGTAGGTTGCCTGTTCACTCTGATGGTAGTTTCTTTTGCTTTACAGAAGCTCTTTAGTTTAATTAGATCCCATTTGTTAATTTTGTCTTTTGTTGCCATTGCTTTTGGTGTTTTAGACATGAAGTCCTTGCCCATGCCTGTGTCCTGAATGGTATTGCCTAGGTTTTCTTCTAGGGTTTTTATAGTTTTAGGTCTAACATTTAAGTCTTTAATCCATCTTGAATTGATTTTTGTATAAGGTGTAAGGAAGGGATCCAGTTTCAGCTTTCTACATATGGCTAGCCAGTTTTCCCAGTACCATTTATTAAATAGGGAATCCTTTACCCATTGCTTGTTTTTCTCAGGTTTGTCAAAGATCACATGGTTGTAGATGTGTGGTATTAATTCTGAGGGCTCTGGTCTGTTCCATCGATCTATATCTCTGTTTTGGTACCAGTACCATGCTGTTTTGGTTACTGTAGCCTTGTAGTATAGTTTGAAGTCAGGTAGTGTGATGCCTCCAGCTTTGTTCTTTTGGCTTAGGATTGACTTGGCGATGCGGGCTCTTTTTTGGTTCCATATGAATTTTAAAGTAGTTTTTTCCAATTCTGTGAAGAAAGTCATTGGTAGCTTGATGGGGATGGCATTGAATCTGTAAATTACCTTGGGATTGTGGAAGTCAGTGTGGTGATTCCTCAGGGATCTAGAACTAGAAATACCATTTGACCCAGCCATCCCATTACTGGGTATATACCCAAAGGACTATAAATCATGCTGCTATAAAGACACATGCACACGTATGTTTATTGCAGCACTATTCACAATAGCAAAGACTTGGAACCAACCCAAATGTCCAACAATGATAGACTGGATTAAGAAAATGTGGCACATATACACCATGGAATACTATGCAGCCATAAAAAATGATGAGTTCATGTCCTTTGTAGGGACATGGATGAAATTGGAAATCATCATTCTCAGTAAACTATCGCAAGAACAAAAAACCAGACACGGCATATTCTCACTAATAGGTGGGAATTGAACAATGAGAACACATGGGCACAGGAAGGGGAACATCACACTCTGGGGACTGTTGTGGGGTGGGGGGAGGGGGGAGGGATAGCATTGGGAGATATACCTAATGCTAGATGACGAGTTAGTGGGTGCAGCGCACCAGCGTGGCACATGTATACATATGTAACTAACCTGCACAATGTGCACATGTACCCTAAAACTTAAAGTATAATAATAAAATAAAAAATAAAAAATAAAAAAACAACAAAAAATTAAAAAGACAAAAATAAGAGACATAAAGAATAATTGTGTTAGATCATATAAGTTTACTTATATGAGGCCCCTTTCTGAGGTATGGGAAAATCCTGAAACCTCAACAGAAGAGCTCTCAGGAACCCCTGAAATGTTTTCTGACTGAAGAATGTAAAGAAACACAGAAGATAGTCATTGAGAGGCAGTAATATGCAAATTAATGTCAAACAGAAAAATGCTAAAATGCTTTAATTGTAAAGTACTTTAGCATTTTTCTAAATGTAAAGCACTAAAGCATTTTCCACAGGTTTGATAACACTTTCAGAGCTATAGATCTCAGAATTAATAAGTGCATGCAAATAATACCTGATAATATTAATAGGTTAAGAACTGTTTTTCTTTTTTACTGTGATGATGTATCAATGGCTAGGATACAACACAGCAAAGAATGGATTTGAAACTAAATATACAATGACTACATTCATGATGGATATGAAAATAAATAAAAAATAAACAAATCTATTAAAAGCATAGAATTAAACTCTTAAACTGATAATCTTATATAAGTTCTAGTCTTGACAACTTAAATAGAGTGAATATTGACAGTGTTAAGGAATTGAGGTTAAAAAAAGTTCTGGTAATGTGTTTTTAATTTTTTTTTAAGTTAAAACATTTTATTTTGCTAATGTGTATGGTATCTCTTTTTCTTATAAGTTTAAGTTCAGGGGTACATACAAATGTTTGTTAGGTAGGTAAACTTGAGCTTCAGTCATGGGGGTTTGTTGTACAGATTATTTCATCCCCCAGGCCTTATACCCAGTACTCAATAGCTATCTTTTCTGCTCCTTTCCCTCCTCTCACCCTCCATCCTTGAGTAGATCCCAGTGTCTGTTGTTTCCCTCAGTGTGTCCATGTGTTCTTGTCATTTAGCTCCCACTTATAAGTAAGAATATGCAGTATTTTGTTTTCTGTGCCTGGGTTAGTTTGCTGAGGTTAATAGCCTCCAGATCCATCTATGTTCCCACAAAATGCATGATCTTCGTCTTTTTTATGACTGCATAGTATTCCATAGTGCATATGTACCACATTTTTTAAAAATCAACTGTGTCATTGATGGGCATTTAGGTTGATTCCATGTCTTTGCTTGTATAAATAGTGCTGCAGTGAACATTCACATGTATGTGCACGTGTCTTCATGGTAGAATGATTTATATTCCTCTGGATATATACCCAGTAATGAGATTGCTTGGTCAAATTATATTTCTGTCCCTGGGTGTTTATGGAATCACCACATTGTCTTCCACAATGGTTGAACTTATTTACACTCCCAACAACAGTGTATAAGTGTTCCCTTTTCTCTGCAACTTCAGCAGCATCTGTTATATTTTGATTTTTTGATAATAGCCACTCTGATTGATGTGAGATGGTATCTCATTGTGGTTTCAATTTGCATTTCTCTAAAGATCAATGATATTGAGCTTCTTTTTGTATGTTTGTTGACCACAGGTTTTTTTTTGTTTCTAATGTACTACTATTTTAGAATTTTTCATGTGTGTGTCTATGTATGTTTTTGTATAACTAGATAGGCACGTGTTTTAAACAAAGCTTTCAGCATTGTAACCTACACGTGTGCCCCAAAACGATTTAATATCCTGAGGCCTTCATGATATATTCATAATATTTGAGTTCTGTGAAGATTTATACTTAAATTGAAATAATATGAGAATTAAATTTTGTCATATTTCTCATAATCCATTTTAATTATTTAGAAAACTACCAAAAAATAGAATCAGTCCCCCAAAAAATTAAAAAAATTGGAAATTCATCAATAAGCACATGAAGATGCTCAATATAATCATTTTGGAAGTGCAAATTAAAATTATAATGAGATACCTCTACACACCTTCTATAATATTTTTTAAATTAAAAAGAATGAAATGACCAAGTGTTGGCATGAGTGAGGAACAATTGGAACTCTGACAGAATTGTTGGAAAGGCAACTTTGGAAAATAGTTTAGTAGCTTTTTATAAATTTGTGCATATATTTACCTTATATGACCCATATATGCCACATATGCCCCAGGAATCCCACTGCTAGTAACAATTCAAAATATATTAAAATATATGTTTATATCTAGGCCTGTGTGTTAATATTTATAGCAGCTTTTAATAATAACTTTCTAAGACTAGAATCTATCTAAATGTTCACCCACAGGTTTATGGATAAATAAATCATACCCATCAAACATTGAAATATTTCTCAGCAATTAAAAAGGAATAAATTATTGAAGCATGCAACATCATGGAAGAAACTCATAGAATATTAGTTTCTTATGGCTGCTATTACAAATTATCACATGTGGGGGTTTATAGAAACATAAATTTATACTGTCATATATCATGGGAGGAGGCCAGAAGTAGAAAATCAGTTTTATTGAGATAAAATTAAGGTGTCAGCAGGACCATCCTCCCTCCAGAGGCTCTAGGAGAGAACCCAGTTCCTTGCCTCTTTAACTTCTGGTGGCTGCTGGCATTCTTTGACTGTATCACTGCAATGTCTACTTCCTCCTCTTCTCTGTGTGTATAACTTTTCTTTCTTTATTTTAAAGATACTTATGATGGCCTTTATAACCTGTTTGGATAATAGAGGGTAATCTCATCTCAAAATTTTTAACCATATCTGCAAAAACTTTACTGTGTAAGGTAACATTCACAAGTCCCAGGTATTAAGACTGAGATCTGGTTTGGCTCTGTGTCCCCACCCAAATCTCATCTTGAACTGTAATCCCCATGTATTGGAGGAGGGGTTTGGTGGGAGGTAATTGAATCATGGGGCAGACTTCCCCTTGCTGTGCTTGTGATAGTGAGTTCTCACAAGATCTAGTTGTTTGAAAGTGTGTCTGACTTTCTGCTTCATTTACTCTGTCTCTTCCTACCATGTGAAGAAGATCCTTTCTTCCTCTTCACCTTCCTTCATGATTGTAGGTTTCCTGAGGCCTCTCAGTCATGCTTCCTGTTAAGCCTGCAGAACTGTAAGCCAATTAAACCTCTTTTCTTCATAAATTACCCAGTCTCAGATAGTTCTTTACAGCAGTGTGAAAATGGACTAATACAGACTGGATATCTCTGGGGCCATCTTTCAGCCTAATACAAATTTCAATTCCATTATGCTAAGTGATAAAAGAAAGACTAAAATGTTGCATATGGGTTGATTCTATTTATACTCCATTCTATCATAGACCAAACAATAGGAACCAGCATATCCTTGGGGAAAGAAGTTAAAATTATAGAACTATATTATTAAAACAGTGAATTTTATTTTATATTAATGATATCTCAATCAATTAAAAAATAAAAGGAAAAGAGATAACATGGCGTACCTTATATACTTTTAAATTAATCTTCAGTTTAGGTGTTAGAAACACACCTCTCTCTTTTCTATGATATCAGAGGAGATCTATAGCCAATTGTTCCTCTATTTCACCTTGAAGTGTTGACAAGCTGGTCCCACTAAATTTTAATCTGTTCAGAAGTCTTAGCACTGTAATTTTTCTTCAATTTACTGATTTATATTCAGATCCTCCTATATTCTCCCCCAAATTCTCACATTTTAAGGATATTTTGGTTTGATGAATTGCTGTGGGGAATAAATTTTCTCAAATATACCCCGGGAACGTGTTTCTTCAACCGTTCCCTTTGTTTCTTGTTGCTTAATACAGAAAATGTGTGTGTGTGTGTGTAAGTGTGTATATGTGTGCATGTTTATTAAACATATGGGCTGTGTGAGGTTAAATAGGTTGGATTAGTTTTTTGAAAAGGTGCAATTTGAGTTTAAATGGAAGGACAAGTAGAAGTCATGCAATGAGTAGCATGAGCCTCTGTAAAGATATGGAACCCAAAAGTCATATTTGACATCTCTTTCTTGAAACCCTTTTATCCAAAACAGTATCTGCAAGTTGTGTCTATTGTACCTGCTAAATTATAACATTTGCCACTATTCCATTTCTCTGCCAATAACAGCTTAGTTTAAGCTAACCTCGATATCATGCCTGGAAACTGTCATGCCATGCCCCCACAACTAACTTGTAAACATCTTTTCTTTTCCACTCCTAACTTTTCTTTGCACTTTTATCACAGTGACCTGATCCAAAACAATTCACATCAGTATCTTCTCTTGACATTTAGTATATCAAGTCAGTTCTCATTACCTCATAAATAGATTTCCTGTTCTTTTTTAACAGAATGCATTTTTCAATTACAGTTCACCATTGAATAATGTAGGGGTTGGGGCATTGACCCTCCCACATAGTCAAAAATTCATGTATAACTTTGACTCCTCTAAAACTTAACTAATAATAGGTTGCCTTACAGTTAACATATACAGTTCATCAACATATATGTTGTCCATTATATGCATTATATATTGTATTCTTACAATAAAGCAAGCTAGAGAAAAGAAAATGTTATTAAGAAAATCTTAAGAAGAGAAAACACACTGAGAGTACTGTACTTTATTTATCAATACTGTTAAGTTTATGTCATCTGTTCACAAGGAAAAACTTCTGTCTGAAATGGTAGACAACCACAGCTGCAGACCTCAATCTTCAGTGCCTATCAAGAAATTCAACTTTTTTTTGTAATGTGATGATTTTTCTCACTACTTGGGAGTATTTTCAGTATTATTAGTGACACTTTGAATGAGTTCCATGGTGTTATTCAAGGTATAATTGTATACACACATGCTTCATTTGAATACAAGGAATTAATTTAGATATTTAACTATTTAATTTTCAAAAATATTCACTTGTATATGCACTGATTTCTTTAACTGTCACTTACATTGATTTTTTTTCTTAGTTAACTGAATCTAGAAAATTTGAAATATCTTTCACTAAATTAACAAAAAAATTATTAACACAATGAAGGAAAGTGAAAAATCTGTAAAATTTATAATAGAATTATTATATCAAGTTTTCAAGAGATTTATGTTACTTGTAGAAAATAAATTCTGTCACACTACCCAAAATTACTTCATAGAACAGTCATAATTAAAATTGGGTTTTTAAATATTTTAAGAGTTAAATATAGCTTTACATTTGTTATTTTTTTCTTATTCACAGTAATATAGTTTACTCCACCAAGAGTTGATTCTATTGGTGCTTCTCTATTTCTCCCACTTAAATGTATTGTGCAGCAGCATTTTTTTAATCTGGTAAATATCTATCCCAGTCATATTGGAGTTTACATAACATGTATAATATGATACATTCAGTTCTCCCAACTCCCATATAAGTGTGCATAGCAATATTGAGATTATTCATTCCTACCCTTACGATAGCCCTTGTCTTAGAGGCAAGAAAATATTACCTAGCTATGAATTTACTCAATAAATGTTCATTGACAACCTCAGAGGTTCCAAATAGTCTTTCATATCACTAGAAGCTATAAATTATGATAGCAGTTGTGGTCTTTACCCTCAAAGAGGTCTGAAGCTAGCAGACCTCTTTCCAGATTAATATCATGGAAATTGATGTTAATAATCACAATATAAACCCAGCTTCATAGAGCTGTTTGAAGCACTATAAAATGTCATAATGCATATGAAGCACTTAGTTGAATATTTATGGATATTAAGAGCTGAATACATGTTTAGTACCACCATTATTTTTAGTAGGAAGAGTACAGTAAAGTGTAACTATTTTGATGGGTGTTAAATTATAGTTGCCCAAAGTGTAGCTTACAACACATAACACAGACTGAAGGCAGGGGCTGAGGGAGCTCAGTGGAGGCAGTAAAATGACAGGCATGTTTTAGTGAGAAGTGTACAACTACCACTTTATACATCTCACGTCTGTCTCCAAATCTCACACAGATATCTATCTTTGGAGGACTTTGTCATATATAAGACTTTATTGCAAGAAAGTTTAGAAAAGATTGTTTTAGATATCCAGGTTCTATAGCATAGGATGACAAGTTAGAAAAAGAGTTTTAAATGAACATCTTTTGAACTAACAGCAACTGCAGAGTCCATGGTTTGGCTACTCATACACACACATGCACCTGATTTCGCGTATCTAACTTTGAAATAACAATAATAATAACATGTTTACACTTATCCTAATACAGCCATCTGTGGGTCCATGAAAATCCAGAAGCAGAATTCTAAAGTTTTGTTTTTCCTGTGTCCATCTCTGGGAGATAATTTTCCTTTAGTTTACTATATCATCTTGATAGCTTGTCATATGTTAAATAATTGTATATATGACCACCTCCAACCCATCATATATAAAATTATAGAGGAAAATCAATTGATAAAAGTGAAAATTATGAATAACTAAAACAAAGAAAAAATATAGTATCTATTATAGTCCTTGTTCTACCTAGCCACAACCTGATAGCTTTTCTTTACAATTTTCTTCCCCTTTTACACATATATTTTGCCTTCTTCCAGCAGCTCATGTGATCAGGTCTCTTTATCTAATGGAGTGATCCAAACCTTCATTTCTCAGGATTTTGAGAGTGCTTGCTGATCTCACCTGTATTAGTCTTTCAGAACAATCTATGATCTTTTACCACTGTATACCACAGTATTAAAAGGTGTTTCAGAGGATTTCCTCAGGCTCCACATATGCTCTCATTGCAGAGTAAAACCCAATTTTTCATTCAATTATGCACCCCAGGATACATATTGGGATTGTGTTTGCCTGTTTGTTCAGTGAAATGAGAAATCCTGAAAGGTCAAATAATGAGCTCAACTTCCAACTTAGTGAACCCATTTGCATGTCCTCTACCGTGGACAGTTCTCCTTTGGGTATTAAGATCTGTAAATCACCATGGTTCAGCATCATAGGCATAGAAAACAAACAAACAAGTAAAACAAAACAAAAACTAAATCTAAAGAAAAATAAAAAATTCTAAGTGAGTCATGAAGTGCAATAATGAGAGACATCTCTCAACTCCTACTTTTTATTTTCCAGACCTCTGTATTCTGGCTATGGGTGAATAAAACAAAACATACATTGTTTGTTCTTGAAGCCACAAAAGATGACATTTTGTTCAAAAATATTAACACTGAAAACTCTGCAAAAAGTGATTCAAGAAAAGGACAGTGAATGTGAAGTATTTGAATAAGAAATTTAAATGATAATAAAGCACCATGTCATATAATTTTGGCTGTGTTTTAAAATTTTAATTTTAGTGCTACATAAAGTAATGACACAATTACAATAACTGACATCTTAGATTTTATGATGCTTGATAAAAAGAAAAGTCATCTGCCCTGTGGCAGCCATTCACGTGTGTTACTGTGACCTGATCTACCTTCGAAAGAAAACCTACTTAGGAGTTGGCTGACAGCCTCCAGCTGCAGCAATTTTAGGATCCATTTCAATTTTCCCTTGGAGGCCACAGTCCTAAGCTCCTCTCAAACAATGCCAAGACATGGCACATTTCCTAGTGATGGCCAATTCTGTCCAATGTAAAATTCTTCTAATAAGAAATATTTTCTCTAGGGCTCCATTGACCTAACCAAGCATTTCTCAGATTAGTGCTCTATGTCTCTCTTTCGGGAAAATAAGGATTATCTTTAGGCTATCTGGCTAGAATGGGAAATCCTCATCTCTAATATGACCTTTGTTCAAATGTTGAGACTTAATGAGCTTTCCTCACTAAAGGTTTTTGCAATCTCATTTTTCTTAAAATTTGTCTAAAAGCAAACAACTTTTCCACTCCTTCAAGGCCCTGTATTTCTGAATTCTATCAATTCCTTTTTCTTTCTTCTTCAAAACCACTGATTTTTTTCCTAAATTTATATTTTTCTTGCACTATCTTGCCAAATGTAGCCAACTTTTGCTGAAACTACATAGGGGTTCTTTCTAACCACTTTCCTAGAGCTTTTGCTTCAGCAAATTCAGGATTTGCCTTCCAAGTTATCATGATCAATGGTTTTACCAACTTTCTACTGAATAAAACATATTGTTCTATATCTGATATATGTCCCTTTAATGGTCACCATATGGCCACTAAACCAATAGTACTTGAAAGTATTACTGTCTTTATTAGTCAAAGTATGATAAATGCAGAAACAAACGTCTTAATATTGATGGTTTCATAAAATGAAATAATTATTCTTTTCTTACATAATTGTCTTTTCTTACGCATTCTCTTCTTACATAATACTGCAGATAAAGGGGTCTCTGTTCCCTGCTCATGTATTTACCCATGCCTCTTCCATCCTATGCTGCTAACATATTTCAACCATATAGCCTCCAAGTGCACGTGGAAAAATGAGTGTTGAGGGAGCACACTCACTCTTTACTCTCCAAAAGAGGCAATGTTTCACCTTACCATTGCTGATAGTTATGTAGCTAACATCAAATGAAAAGAGGCTGGAAAATGACCTTTAACTACTTTTCCAGAAAGTAGCCTTGTTATACACCTAAACAATCATCATTGCAGAGGAGAAATTCATATTGTTGGGGTCATGCAAAATTTTAATTCTTGTCTTCATATTCATTTTCAACTAAGCAGGTGTTGGGATGGATGAGGATAGGAGCTGGCTGAGGAGCAGATAGATAATTTTGATAATGCTATTATGAAGATAATTGTGTTGAGAGGATCTACTGGTGAGCATTTTATGATGATTCCAACAGTTCCAACCACTGTTTATTAGACATTCTGGTCACCAGTCCAATCTACTTCTATATAATTAACCAATCATCCTGATAAGCTATTACCACTTTTCACATATTAATGTTTATGTATATATACACACACACCTCTGTATATCTCTCTTTTCATAAAAACTAGAAAGATAGCTGAAGGGATAGATCAAAATTCTGCCATCTGTGAAAACTGTCATTATATACTTTCCATCAGAGTCAATTAGTGGGATCCTAAAGATATCACAGTTTACTTCTAGCTGGCAATAGCTAAAACTATTTTACAAAAGGCTAAAGCCTTTTGTAAACCAGGCTCATTTTTTGTTGTTGTTCATCTCAGCCAATTAGATATAAAGAACTCACAAAGATGTTATAGCTATAAGTTGTAGCAGAAGTTGGTACATTGAAAATATAAGTTACTTGTGGATAAAGTCCCATTGGTGATATCTGAATTTATGGCTTAATGGATCAGATATCACCAAATTTAGGAGGGCAAGCTCAAGTTATTGGGCTACTTAGGTTTCCGTAAAAAAGCATTCAGTCTTTAACATAGATCAAGAATAAACAAAATCCATTTCTATTTCTCAGAAACAGTAGAGTTAGTTAATGAGGAGGACATGTTTTTTTTTTCTAAAATCCTAAGATCATTGGCTGTTATTCCCCAGTTAAGGCTTGACATGAAAAACAGCCAGCATTACAACCTACCAAAAATACATATAGAAACAATCACCTAGTTCATACAAGCATTCCAGCCTGCGACAGCTGATGAGCCTTCTATTTCTATGGAACACATTACAAATTGCCAGCCTCAGATAATTTTTGAATGGACAGAGTTTTTAATGAGCATGCTTCCTTTTTAGTGTTATAAAGTACAAGACATAGCATTTGTTTTTAATTTGAAGAGGATATCCTAACATAGTCTAGACTTCAATCATCATGTATTTACTGAAACGAAGGCTACTGAATTTTTATGGAGCTCATTTCCCATTTTATGCATGCATGGATCTTCATTTGGTATCAACGTACTTCTAGTTCCTGATCACTAGGTTTTATCATCTAAATATTATCAATCCAGAAGATCAGAGTGGTATTCGCTAATATGGTGAGATGATTAATGTTTCTAAAGACTAAATTATATATAAAATTAAGGAATAGACACAGGTCTAAAATGATACAGTAAATGCATATTGTTAACTATGCCAGATGAAAGAAAGCTGCTTTTTCAGCTTTTTTCTTTGGGGATGGGAGGAAGATTTGTTAGATTAATATTACATAGCAAGTACCAGGGCAATGTTGATTCACTTAAATAATGAAACCATTTGTGGAACTACATCTTCAATTTGTTTCAATACTTATTTAAATATTATTCATCAAGACTATTAGTAGGCTCATTAGGTAAGTTTTCTTTATATATTATAGGTATAACTCTCCTTGTATTCTTCAAGTCTTTGAGGATGTCATTGATTTGCAGTTTTTCAAGGGCTATAGTACTGTTTTTTGATATACAACTTTGGTAGAACAATAGAGAAAAAATTCATTTGATGCTTTTTCTAATGGAAGCAATGGATTTGTTGGTCAGGAACCAATGTGAGGATCCTGCTGATGTTTGAGTGTATCTGTTGAAATTACATATGTTAAGTATCAGGAAATACAAAATGCATTCTGAGATCTGCTAGGCCAACTGAAAGGTAGATTTGGTCCAAAACTATGCACACTTATTACCAAGTCCCATTAGACTCCACTCTGACTAAAGAAGTAGATTGACCTTCAGATCCCTCTGAGATTACTGTGTGAGCTCAGAAGATGATACAATAATACCCCCAAATCAAGGTATTTTGTTTCCCTTGGCACACATTTACCCGGATAAATGGTTGAAAGTGCCTTTGGAGAAAGCTAGGAGGAAGATTTACAAAATATACCGGGGTAATAAACAGAAATAAAGGCCAAAAACTCATGATTATCTCAATAAATACAGAAAAGGCTTTCAATAAAATTCAAGATCCCTTCATGTTAAAATCTCTCAATAGAGTAGGTATTGAAGGAACATGCCTCAAAATAAGAACCATCTGTGGTACAAACCCACAGCCAACATTATACTGAAGGGGCAAAGGCTGGAAGAATTCTCCTTGAAAACCAGCACAAGACAATGATGCCCTCTGTCACCACGTCTACTGAACATAGACTAGAATAGAAGTGCTGGTCAGAGCAATCAGGCAAGAGAAAGAAATAAAAGGCATTTAAATAGGAAGAGAGGAAGTCAAACTATCTGTTTGTAAATGACAAGATTCTGTATCTAGAAAACCCCATAATCTCAGTCCAAAATCTCCTTCAGCTGATAAACAGCTTCAGCAAAGTGCAGGACACAAAATCAATGCACAAAAATCCCAGGCATTTCTATACACCAACAACAGCAAAACCAAGAGTCTAATTAGGTAATCCCATTCACAATTGCCATAGCAAAAAATAAAATAAAATACCTAGAAATACAGCTAATGAGAGAGATGAAAAATCTCTAAAATGAAATTTATAGAAAATTGATATAAATTTATAAGTAATTTATAGATTTAATGTTATTCACATCAAACTACAATTGACATTCTTCAAAGACATAGAAAAAACGATTTTAAAATTCATATAGAGCCAGAAATATGCCTGAATAGCCAAATAAATATTAAGCAAAAAGAACAAAGCTGGAGTCATCACGCTACCTAACTTTAAACTATACTACAGGGCTATAGTAACCAAAACAGCATGGTACTGGTACAAGAACAGACACATAGTCAAATGGACAGAACTGAGAACCCAGAATGAGACTGCACACCTACAACTATCTGATCTTCAACAAATTTGACAGAAACAAGCAATGAATAAAGGATTCCTTTTCGATAAATGATGCTGGGATAACCGGCAAGCCATATGTCGAAGATTGAAACTGGGTGTCTTCCTTACACCATAAACAAAAATTAACTCAAGATGGATTAAAGACTTAAATGTAAAACCCAAAACTATTAGGAAAAAAACCTGGAAGGCAACCTAGGCAATACCATTCAAGACATAGGCACTGACAAAGATTTCATGATGAAGATGCCAAAAGCAATTGCAACAAATGCAAAAATTGACACGTGAGATCTAATTAAACTAAAGACCTTCTGCACAACAAAAGAAACTATCAACAGGGTAAACAGACAACCCATGGAATGGGAGAAAATTTTTGCAAACTATCCATCTGACTAAGGTCTAATTTCTAGTATCTCTAGGGAACTTAAACAAATTTATGAGAAAAAAACAAACAACCCCATTAAAATGTGGGCAAAGGATATGAACAGACATTTCTCAGAAGAAGACATACATATGCCCAACAAGCATATAAAAAAGTACTCAAGATCACTGGTCATTAGAGAAATGCAAATCAAATCCACAATGAGATACCATCTCATACCAGTCAAAATGGCAATTATTAAAAAGTCAGGGAATAACAGAGGCTGGCAAGGTTGTGGAGAAAAGAGAACTTTTATACACTGTTGGTGAGAATGTAAATTAGTTCAACCATTGTGGAAAGCAATATAGTGATTCCTCAAAGAGCTCAAAGCAGAACTACCATTTGACCCAGCAATCCTATTACTGGGTATATACTCAGTGGGATCTAAGGCATTCTACCAAGAAACATGCATGCAAATGTTCATTGCAGCACTGTTCACAGTAGAGAAAACATGGAATCAACTTAAGAGTCCATAAATGACAGACTGGATAAAGAAAATGTGGTACTTACACACCATGGAATATTATGGAGCCAGAAAAATTAATGAGATCGTGCCTTTTGTGGGAACACGGATGGAGCTGGAGGCTATCATTCTTAGCAAATTAATGCAGGAACAGAAAACCAAATACTGCATGTTCTCATAAGTGGGAGCTAAATAATAATAACTTATGAACACAAAGAAGTAAACAACAGACACTGGGGTCTACTTGAGTGGGGAGGGTGGGAGGAGGGAGAAGGACAAAAAAGATAACTATTAGGGTACTGCCTTAATATCTAGATGATGTAATAAGATGTACAACAAACCCCCATGACATGTGTTTATCTATCAAAACTCCACATGTATCCCTGGACCTAAAATAAATATATCTATAACTATATAGATATAGATATAGATATACACACACACATACATATTGGTGTGTAGTTTTAGAAATTTTCTCAAGATTACCAAGCCTCCCATTATTCAAAGGTCTCTGACTCTGTAAACCTAGTCTTGGGAATTAGATAAGGATACATGAATATTTTTATTGTTGTTCTAATTCAGGCCTGGAAAGATTTGTTTTTCTTTCTCCAGTTTATATATGAAATTAGAACCTAGTTGACTGGCCTTGTATTTTGATCACAGAGATTTAGTTATCAATTGAATTGCCAAATATCCATTTGGGTCAAATGATTCCTATTACCAGTCTGTTCCTTCTGTCTATTATGGTAACCACAGCAATATTCTTTTTAGTAGATAAGCGCTGTATGTCTATTACAGTAACCTGCATATATTGGTTAAGTGCTATTATTTGGCATCAGCCACTTGGAATACTATCATCCACAGTAGTACTAATGGCACCCCTACCCACAAAGAATAGTGAACATATCACTTTCCAAAGAGGCTGGAAAAGCTTTCACATGTAGGTTCTCAAAGATTCGTCAAGGACCTAGTCTCAGTTAACATATAGTAACTCCATTTAATGTTAATCCGCCTAAGCTTTTTACTTCCTTTTTAAATTTGTTATTTTATTTTTAAATTTTATTAAATGTTTAATTCTGTGGGTACTTAACAAGTGTATATATTTATGAGGTCCATGAGCTATTTTGGTACAGGACTGCAATACATAATAATCACATTAGGGAAAATTGGGTATTCATCCCCTCAAGTATTTATCCTTTGTGTTACAAACAATCCAATTATACTCTTATAGCCATCTGAAAATGTGCAATTAAATTATTATTGGCTATAGTCCCCCTGTTGTGCTATCAAATACTAGGTTTTTTTCATTATTTCTATTTTTTTGTACTCATTAATCATTTCCACCTCCCATCATCCCCCAACTACCCTTCCTAGCCTCTGGTAACCATCCTATTACCTATCTTCATGAGTTCAATTGTTTTGATTTTTAGATCCCAGAATTTCTGTCAACTTCATTTAGGTGCCATTGAACCATTGCGTCTTTCAACTAACCAGGTATCACCAGCTGTATGTGTTAAAACGTTAAGGGGAGATTACCTTGTAAATGTGACCATTTCAATGAATTCACTCCAATCTGAATTGACTTCTACCTTCCCTAATGAAGCACCTTCAGACTTCATTATGTAAATGTTCCCCCAAATTTGCCAATATAAGTGAGGAAAATATTGTGATTCTTTTGGTATATAAGTCTTTCCTTCTGAATTTGTGGTTGTAATTTTCCCAATGGGATATAAAGTAATCTGTTTCTAGTTCTAGATCTGAAGGCAATAAGATAATAAGGTAAAGCTGAAAGAATTGGATCTCTTGCAGGGCAACTTTTTCAGGTTACATCATTATACAGTGTTTAATTAAGGCAGGACAAACCCTATAAGACAGAGAAGGGCCTGCAGTATTAGCAAAGGAGACTGTAGGATTTGGTGTACTCATAATCATTTGAATTTTATAAAGTATTACCACTCAAGTTTTGGAGTTCCCCATATTTTGTACATTTCCTTGATTCTATTAATTCAATCTATGTTATATTTGAGTAACAGGATCAGATATAACTCTGATTATAAACTCTGTGACTTTGAGAGAAAAAAAAATTTAAGGTAGACAAAGAAACTTGTTTTCTACTATCAAGTATTTAGCTAAGATTTTGAAACTTTGAGGTTGATATTTTCTTTAAGATTTCCAGTGCAGTTAGATAGAATCAGGGAACACTGAACTTTATATTCCTTACATCTTTCAGCAGTAGTCTAAAAACAAGTATATTTTTCACCAACACCTTGTTTTTAGTACATGTGTAAATTCAGTTACTAATTTAACTGCTTAACCACAGTATGCCACAGATTATCAGTCTACCATCATCAAATGCTAAATGGGTCTTCACTAAATTAAAAGTCAATCAGGTAAAAACAACAATTTCTAGATTCTCAATTTGTTAATATATTAATCTAATACCTTCTTTATTAATATTTGTTCTATCAGTAATATTTTTGTAGTTTAAGGCAACACAATCCTACATTTCCACCCCAAGTAGTTAATGCAGAGTAAAGATTAACTTAAAGAAATTGGTTAAAATATAAATATTGTTTAAATTTGTTAAAATAAAACTTGGTTAAATTGGTTAAAAATAGAAATAGGTTAAAATATAACTATTGTTTAAATATAACTATTATGTACCCATAAACATAAAACATAAATTGGTTAACTTACAAAATTTATGGAAAGATCAGAGAATCAGGCTTGGATATCATATAGAAAGAATCATAGCAGCAAGTGTAAATTTGCTACCTTAATTCATGACATTCTAAAAGTTGAGCCACTGTTACAGTTGCCCATCTTCCAGCACTTCTAATATTTTGCCAACTATTCGAGAACAAGTTCTCACCATGATGCTTGACAGAATATTCAATAACTTCATTGTCATTGCCTTATATTGCTTACTTCTGCTGTCAAATCTCATAGGGATGCTTCTCCTTAGTGGACCAGGCGGTCTGCAAACCTTAGCTGCAAGAGTGTCTGAACACATAATTTAGCCTTTTTTGCCTCTATACTGTAGGAAGGCAAGGTCAAAGGGGTTTAAATAGGTTAAATAGGTGAGTGAGCCAACGTTTAATGGTTAACATAGCTGAAGAAAGGCATTTCAAGCAGAAGGATTGGAATGGGCAAAAACCTTGAGGTGAAAGAGAGTGCATACTACCTAAAAGTAATAAGGCTATGACACTACTCAAGATGCTTCATTTTATAGGAGCTACAGTCAGATGGTTGGAGAAGTGTTTTATACTCTTTTTGGAGAAGTAAAATGCATACTAATTACTCTGGGAAAATCTTCTGTTAAAAATATCTTTTACAATCTTTTAGTCCAGAGTTTATGAAATTTACTTATCCAGATTAAACTTGCTTTGCATAATATTTATGAATATGCCACTGAATAGCATCTGTGGAACATGTTTGGGAAACTAGAGGCTAGTTTGAAGACATCAGAAGAATGTTGATGGCAAAGATGAGACTGGAGATGCTTGTTATCTTGTTCGACTTTTTAAAGGAATTAGAATTTTATACAAATGAAGGGACAATTATTAAGAAATTGTAGGCATTAGCTTGACACAATATTTAATTTACATCACAGGTACCTGTGTAAAGCAAGTAGCCCAGTTAAGGCATTGTTGTATTACTCCAGAAGAGAAAAGATGAGGCCGAAATATAAATAATATTAAATATTTTATTGAAAAGTCCTGCAAAGACATTAAAATAAAATTTAAAGGTCCAATGGAAGCTAGTGTGAAGGTAGAAAACAGCTTGCATTCTTCTGACCAATTCTATTAACCCCTTTCTTGTCCCTCACTATTTCCCTGCCTGCGTTTTGGGGTAGTAACATAGCATATGTATCTGTCAAAAAGGGTCCACGGGATACCAAATTAGGGAAGCAAAGTCAAGAGCAGTTATGGAACAGGAGAAGAGACCAAAGGGCAGAAATAAAACGTAGGTGTAAAAGTAAAGTGTCCCCTAAATGTTAATATAAAGTATAATTTTACCTTGATTGTATTTGAAACTTGGTCTTTCAGTGTTTGGCAGTGTTGGGCTGGGTAAAGTACAGAATTTGTGCACGTACGTTTCAGAGGGTCAAGAGAGACAGAGACCAAAACAAAATTACCCTTACGAACACTCAAGCCAGTGGTGGTTTGGAAGTGAAAAAGAAGACACAGAGTAAATAATATCTGATCATATGTTTCCTAGCATGATAAAGCACCTTTAAATATTTACAGTATGTCTATATCTTAATCTTCTTGTTATTAGAGTTGCTTAGAACTTCCAAGATTGTTCTTATTATTATGAAAATAATTCAGTTATCAGTGGAATTAGTGTCAGTGGTCCAAAACTTTGCTGAATAATACAAGAAGCTTATGTATTTCTAAAATAGTGTAATAATAATTTTAAAAAATTAGCTCTGAGCAGGAAATATATTTTAATTTGGCAGGAAAAAGTGATATTGAACTATTTGGTTATTTTTTTCCTTTGGAAGTTCATTGTCTTGAGATAAACAAATAAAATGCGAAACCTTTAAGTCAATGTTTCATATATCAAATAATAAAAAATGTGTTGAATTGTATAAAATAATTGATGGAAACTAAAACACCTATGAGTAATATATAATTTTTATTTCTGGCTATAATACTGTTACATTTTCACATCTTAATGTTTTTTTAAAAAAACTAAAGTCTTCTGGAATAAACCCTAGAGTTAACTGCTTAATTTAATTATTAAATTCTCTATCAAAATTTATAGTCTTACAAGGTAACACGTTATACCTATTTTCACATTTTAAATATTAAAAAAATTCTGTTATATTTTTCTTGGATAAAGGAGAGGCTCATCCAAAATTAAAATATCTTTTCAATTTCTATAGCAAATAATTGGGCACATATTGTCCTGAGAGACTAACAAGCAAAATAAATATCATTTAAAAACCTATATAAGGGCTGGGCGCAGTAGCTCACGCCTGTAATCCCAGCACTTTGGGAGGCCAAGGCAGGTGAATCACCTGAGATCGGGAGTTCGAGTCCAGCCTGAGCAACCGGGAGAAACCCCTGTCTCTACTAAAAATACAGAATTAGTCAGGCATGGTGGCACATGCGTGTACTCCCAGCTACTCAGGAGGCTGAGGCAGGAGAATCGCTGGAACCCTGGAGGCAGACGTTGTGGTAAGCTGAGATTGTACCATTGCACTCCAGCCTTGGCGACAAGAGCAAAACTCCGTCTCAAAAAAAAAAAAAAAAAAAAAAGCAAAACAAAAAAAACCAACTATATATTGCTGAAAAAGATTCTCTAGTCAAATAATATAGTTAAAGTACACACACAGGCTAACAGTAGGCCCTTCTGATTTTCTGAAATGTCACAAAAATTATTTTATTAGAATTATGCAAAGTTTAGCATGATGCTTGGCGATACCTTGCGCCATCTTATCGATAATGGCTTGTCTACTAATGCCAAGAATCAGAATAAACCAAGGTGTGTTTTCAACTTTGTTTCTCAGAATAAGTCAGAGAATAACCCTTAGTAAAAATTGTCAGCTGATGGTAGGAATAATCAAGATATGCTGTGAAATAGTACATCTCTAGAGATATCTGTGTTAAATGACTTCCAAAATCGATAGGTTAAAGATCTTATTTATGTTATGGGAATGAATTACAGGATGAAAATATATTTATATGTATAATTTAACATATATTTTGTAACACTTTAAACCTAATATCTTTCTTGAAGTACAGATTTATATGCTCAGTTATTCAGCATCTCTACTTTGAAATCAAATCTTAAAGTAGAAAATGAATAAAGCTCAGTTCCTCAGAGTTTTATTTTAATTTGCTTCTTTTACAATTTTGTTATCATGGTAAATAGATACTCCCTGCTTCACACAATTTAGGACAAAAATCTTGGTGTCATCTTAACTTTTCTCTTGCTTTCATAACCCATACTTAATCCATGAGCAAATACTGTCAGCTCTACTTTCAAAACTATCTAGAATACATCCAGTTTTCCTACCTGCAATTTTATCTGTCTTCTTATTCACTTATAAAGCCTCCTAACTGTTCTTCTGACATCTGCTCTTGGTCCCTTTGGCTTATTCTAAGCAGAATAGTAACAAGAGGTTTTTTTTTGTTTTGTTTTTGTTTTTGTTTTTGTTTTTTTCCCGGCTGTGAGAGTGTAGCTTGTATAAAACAAATTTCTTGATAAGAAAACTATTAAAGTTATATGAAGTATTTGAAAAAAGAACAATAGTTTTTATTAAATTGGGAATAGTAAAGAAAATATAATCTTAGAGAGAAGAGAGCTGTATTGAGACTCACCTATGTTCTCCATTGCTTTTTCCTGTTTAAATGTTTTCTGAATTAAAAGTGGCTAGAAGTTTCCAGCTTCCCATGACATTGTACAAAGCTGTAAAGAATATCACTGCCAAATTAACAAGAAAAAGCCAAATAATCTACAAAATAATAACCTTTCTTGAACCCACACAGAAAGCTGAGATTGAAAGACAAACAACTGGCCTGGAATACAAGGAAAAATAAGCATTCCCAAAGATACATAGGATTGAAAACTTGCTTTCCTAGGAGGGACACCATGTGTCATAGAAGTGGTAGGAAAAAAATATCTTCTGGGCCTGGCATGATGGCTCATGTGTATAATCCCAACACCTTTGGAGTCCCAGGTGGGTGGATCACTCGAGGCCAGGAGTTTGAGACCAGCCTGGGAAACATGGTGAAACCCTGTTTCTACTAAAAATACAAAAATTAGCCAGCTGTGGTGGCACATGCCTGTAATCCCAGCTACTCGGGTGGCTGAAGCACAAGACTTGCTTGAACCCAGGAGGTGGAGACTGCAGTGAGCCAAGATCGAACCACTGCACTCCAGCCTGGGTGACAGAGTGAGATCCTGTCTCAGGAAAAAAAAAAAAAAAAAAGAAAGAAATAATAAGAAGAAAGAAAAAAGAAAAACTATTAACAAATTTCTGAAGACTGAGTGTATCTTGGCTGAGAGTGTGGAACTCTGGGGAATGGGTGAAAGAAGAAGAATTTTTGTCCCCTCACGTGTTCTTCTCCACAGACTCTGCATGTACTCTCATCAGAAAAATTGGGAATGGGGTACATTGAAACTTCTCTTGATGATCTAGCTCAGAGACAGGGGAGCAGCTGTAAACAAAGCATAGAATTTTACCTGGAACTTTATTTGATATCCACCCTATGGAAGAAAAAGCTTACGTTGCTTAGGGGACAGAAAACTTTGCTTTCATAATGGCACAGATGAAGACACATATCAGATGAAGAAAGGGGATACTGATAGCAAGGTACCTCCTACAACTTGAAAGGAGTAAGACATTGTCCTGGGCATGGAACTTTAGAGATGCCCTATCATTGGCAGAGGGGTAGCATCAGTGGGAAGTCCTTATCCTAGAGTCCTGGGGAAGAATTTTCCTAAAACAGAGGCTGAAACAGAATAAGAAAAATCCACTCCCACACTGTATGATGAGTCCAGCACCATCAAATAATTAATAGCAAGACTCTATTGCCAGAGCAAAGGAAAACTGAAGGAGTGAGAGTGTGTCTTAAACAAAAGCTCACAAAGAGATTAAATATGAAAATAAAGCAGAAATATTAAGAAAAACTTTCTAGCACACAGTCCCCTAGACTAAACATACAGTAACACTGGAAGAATTAGAAGCTTATGGTGTATTACAGTAACAACAATGAAAGCACAGTTCAGTTCCTGGCTGTATTGACTCAAATTCTCATTGCCTCTCACTCCCACAGACAAGCCCTTTTCCAGGCAGAAACACTTTTATTTCATTCTTGAATATTGCAGAGGTTTTGTGATGTCCTAATTTGGCCACACTATAGCCTCTAGTTATTCAGTAAAACAGTAATCTAAGATTTGTTAAAATATTTTACAAATGTGAATTAAGTACATAATTAGTTGACATGAAATAAGGGAGATAATCTCATATAATATTGGTGAGTTTGATTCAATTGGTTGAAAGGACTTAAGAGTTGAAGCTTCCCCGAGAGAAGATTAAATTTAGCCTTTGGACAGCACGTTTCATCTATGCCTATGAGTTCAATCACACATTTCCTGATGGCCTGTTCTATGGATTTTGGACATTCCTAGCCAGCTCTCTCAATCATATAAGTTGATTTCTTTTTTTAATTTTTTAATTTGTATGGATACATTGTAGGTGTATATATTTTTGAAGTCCAGGAGATGTTTTGAGACAGGCATGCAATACATAATAATCACATTATGGAGAATGAAGTATCCATCCTCTCAAGCATTAATCCTTTGTGTTATGAATAATCAAATTATATATACCCTTTATTATTTAAAAGGTACAAGTAAGTTAGTATTGACTGTAGTCCTTGTTGTGCTATCAGACACTAGGTCTTATTCCTTCTTTCTGTGTATTTTGTACCCGTTCCCCATCTCCACCTTGCCCCAGCCTCCCAGTACCCTTCCCAGCCCCAGGTAACAACCCTTGTACTCTCTATGTCAATGAGTTAAATTGTTTTGATTTTTAGGTCCCACAACTAAGTGAGAACATGAGATATTTGTCTTTCCGTACCTCGCTTATTTCATGTAACATAGTGATTTCTAGATTCAACAATGTTGCCAATGACTTGGCCTCATTCTTTTTTATGTCTCAAGAGTACTCCATTGTATATATGTACCACATTTTCTTTATCCATTCAATCATTGATTGACACTTGGGTTGCTTACAAATTTTGGCTGTTGTAAGCAGTGTTGTAACAAATATGGGAGTGCAGATATCTCTTCAATGTACTGATTTCCTTTCTTTTAGGTCTATACCCAGCAGTGGGATTGCTGGGTCATATGGTAGGTCCATTTTCTGCATTTTAAGAACATCCAAACTGTTCTTCACTGGGGGTGTACTAATTTACTTTCCATCAACAATGTAGGAGGATTCCCTTTTCTCCATATCCTCACCAGCGTTTGTGATTGCCTGTCTTTTGGATATAAGCCATTTTAACTGACGTGAGAGGACATCTACTTGTAATTTTGATTTGCATTTCTCTGATGATCAGTGATGTTGGGCACCTTTTCATAAGCCTGATTGCCATTCGTATGTCTTTTTTTGAGAAATGTCTATTCAACTATTTTGCCCATTTTTTGGCCAGATTATTATACGTTTTCCTATAGGGTTATTTGAGCTTCTTCTATATTCTGTTATTAATCCCTTGTCAAATAGTTACTTTGCAAATACTTGCTCTCATTGTGTTGGTTGTCACTTCACATTGTTGATTGTTTCTATCACTGTGCAGAAGCTTTTTAACTTGATATGAGCCCATTTGTTCATTTTTGCTTTCTTTGCCTGTGCTTCTGAGGTATTACTCAAGAAATTTTTGCCTAGATTGACTTCCTGGAGAGTTTCCTCAAATTTTTTTGGTAGTACTTTCATATTTGAGCTCTTAGATTTAAGTTTTTAATCCATACTGATTTTTTTTTTTGGTCTGTGTCAAGAAATAGGGGTCTAGTTTCATGGTTTTGCATATGGATAGCCAATTTTTTCCGGCACCATTTATTGAAGAAACTCTATTTTCCCCAGTGTATGTTCCTGGAACCTTGGTCAAAAATGAGTTTAAGGCCGAGCACAGTGGCTCAAGCCTGTAATCCCACCACTTTGGGAGGCCCAGGTGGGTGGATCACCTGAATCAGGAGTTTGAGACCAGCCTGGCCAACATGGTGAAACCCCGTCTCTACTAAAAATACAAAAAGTTAGCCAGGTATGGTGTCACATGCCTGTAGTCCCAGCTACTCAGGAGGCTGCGGCAGGAGAATCGCTTGAACCCAGGAGCAGGAGCAGGAGGTTGCAGTGAGCCAAGATTTCACCACTGCACTCCAGCCTGGGTTACAGAGTAAGACTCCCTGTCCAAAAAAAAAAAAAAAAAAAAAAAAAAGCAGTTTACTGTGGCGTGATGGTGGATTTGTTTCTGGGTTTTCTGTTCTGTTCAATTGGTCTATGATTTTGATCAGTGCTTTAGCCTGCTGTGGCTGAGCTGATATTTAAGTTGCAAGACAAAGTCCTCCCCTCTCTTCTGTCTCCTCTCCTCAAGCATAAGAAAGGGCAGTGGTGATGCCAGCACACCCTTAGCTGCCCCAGCTGTCTCAGTAGGTCACATGATACTGCAGTCTACTGGCTCTAACCCAGTTCAGCACTTGGAGTCACCTAAAAGTTGCAGTCCTTGTGACTAGACCACCTTTCAAGTTTATTTAGAGCCCCAGAGCACTTTAGCCTACAGACATGAGTCTTGTGGGAACTTAAGTTCAGACTTCTGGGATTCGGGATGCTCCTCTGGCCAGGGTTGGTTTCAATGCTCCCTCCATTGGTGGACATAAGCTGTGTGGTTTTTTTTTGTTTGTTTGTTTATTTTGTTTGTCTTTCTGCTATAACAGGAGAGCACGGAGGTCAATGCCTCACAGTTGGTGCACTTCCCCTCCCCCAGCATTCAGAAATGCTATCTGCACCACAGTGCTGCCGCCAGGGATTGGGGGAGTTGTGACGTCAGTTATTGAAGACTGTTTTTATTACCTCTTCAGTGCCTCTTTCAGTGATACAAAGTTAAAACCAAGTACTATGAGTGCTCACTTGATTTTTTGGTTCCTATGAAGGTGCTATTTTTGTGTAAATAGTTGTTAAATTGATGTCCTTCTGTGGGGAGAGGAAATCAGTGGATCCTTCTATTCTGCCATCTTGCTCTGCTTCCCCTCTAAGTTGATTTCTTACAATCGATCTTTTGATATATATCTCCTACTGGTGAGGTCTTCCCTGGCTGAACCCTAACAGATACATCTATTGAACACAACTTGTTTAACTTCCAACCAAAACTTGTGAAACAAACAAATAATCTAGGGAAAAATGCAAAAAGAATACAAGCATATTAAGAGAGAAATCAATCAACAGTATCAGGCCTATTTATAATCCAAATATTGGAATAAATGAACAGGAGAATTAAAATAATATGATTCATGTATTTATAGCTCTAGTGGTAAAGCTGGTCAACATATGTGAATAGATGGAAAATTTTGACCCAATGGAATCTATAAGAAAGAATCAAATGAAAATATCATAAATGAAAAATAAGTGAGAAGAATAATGTTTCTCACAGGTTAATCAGTAAACTCAGCACAACTGAAGAAAGAAGACAAAAATCTGAAACTAGGTCAATAGAAATTTTCACCACTTCTATTCAACATAGTATTGGAAGTTCTGGTAAGGACAATCAGGCAAGAGAAAGAAATAAAGGGTATTCAAATAGGAAGAGAGGAAATAAAATTATATCTGTTTGCAGATGACATGATTTTATATTTAGAATACCCCATTGTCTCAGCCCAAAAACTCCTTAAGCTGAAAAGCAACTTCAGCAAAGTCTCAGGATACAAAATCAATGTGCAAATATCACAAGCATTCTTATACACTGATAACAGACAAACAGAGAGCCAAATCATGAGCAAACCCTCATTCACAATTGCTACAAACAGAATAAGATATCTAGGAACACAACTTACAAAGGATGTGAAGGACCTCTTCAAGGAGAACTACAAACCACTGCTCAAGGAAATAAGAGAGAACACAAACAAATGGAAAAACTTTCCATTATCATGGATAGGAGGAATCAATATCGTGAAAATGGCCATACTATCCAAAGTAATTTATAGATGCAATGCTATCCCGATTAAGCTAACATTGACTTTCTTCACAGAATTAGAAAAAAACTACTTTAAATTTTATATAGAACCAAAAAAAAAAGCCTGTATAGCCAAGACAATCCCAGGCAAAAAGAACAAAGCTGGAGGCATCATGCTACCTGAATTTATACTACAAGGCTACAGTAACCAAAACAGCATGGTACTGGTACCAAAATAGATATATAGAACAGTGGAATGGAACAGAGGCTTCAGCAATAATGCCACACAGCTACAACTATCTGATCTTTGACAAACCTGATAAAAGCAAGCAACGGGGAAAAGATTCCCTATTTAATAAATGGTGTTGGGGAAAGTGGCTAGCCATATGCAGAAAACTGAAACTGGACCCCTTACTTACACCTTATACAGAAATTAACTTAAGATAGATTAAAGATTTAAATGTAAGACCTAAAACCATAAAAACCTTAGAAGAAAACCTAGGCAATATCATTTAGGGCGTAGGCAAGGGCACAGACTTCATGACTAAAACATCAAAAGCAATTGCAACAAAAGCCAAAACTGGCAAATGGGATATAATTAAACTAAAGAGCTGCTGCACAACAAAGGAAACTATCATCAGACTGAATGGGCAACCTACAGAATGGGAGAAAATTTTTGCAATCTATGTGTTTGTCAAAGGGCTAATATCCAGAATCTACAAGGAACTTAAACAAATTCACAAGAAAAAAACAACCCCAACAAAAAGTGGGCAAAGGATATGAACAGGCACATTTCAAAAGAAGACATTTTAGGATTGCTTTTTCTATTTATGCAAACAAAAAGGCCATAGAAATTTTGATGAGGATTGCATTGGATCTTTAGATCATCTTGTGTAGCATAAAAATTTTAACATTAAGTCTTCCAATCCATGAACATGAATGTTTTTCCATTTATTCAAGAAAACTCTGAATTTGAGTTATGTTAAATGACTTGAAATGAAGGCTCTATTGTCTTTCTAACATGAAATAAGAAATTCATGCTGCTTATTAGCACCTAGCAGTTTAACAGAAGTTTAATGCTATCACCAGGTGGTGATAGCAAGAGATAAACATGCCTGGGAAATCAGAGCAATTTTATTAAAACAACAACAACAACAACTAAAACGTATTGAAGTTTAAGAGCTGAGAAATATGTGCTGTGAAAAATACCCCATTAACCTTCTGGCCGTGTGTTAATTTTGTCTTTATATCTGAGTTCATCACCAACTTTGTTTCCTTTCTCAAATGAAAGAGAAAAGGGCTTTAGGGGAACTCCTTCCTAAGAGTGTGAGATGGAATATGTAATTGAGAAAATACAGCAGAAATAAATGGTAATATAACAAAGAAGAAGATAATCAAAAGCAAGAGGATGTTATAGGAAAAAAATAAGGAGGACTTTGCCCATTTTTATTGGGTTATTATTATTTGCTTTTGAGTTGTAGAAGGTTTTTAAATATACTTTAATATTAAACTATTTTTAGAAAATGGTTTGCAAATATTGACCCTTATTCCATAGGTTGCCTTTTCACTTTTGTGATGATGTCTCTCTGGTTGTGCAGAAGCTTTTTAGTTTGATGTAGTCCTCTTGTCCGTTTTTGCTTTTATTGTCTGTGCTTTTGGTTCCATATCCAAGAAACCATTGCCAAAACCAATATCAAAGAAAAGTCTCTCTATGCTTTCTTCTAGAAGTTTTATGATTTTAAGTCTTACTGTTAAGTCTAATACATTTTTAGTTTTATTGTGTATAGTGTAAGAGTCCAATTTCATTTTTTTTTGCATATAAATATACTTTTCCCAGCAACATGTGTTGAAGAGACTGTGTTTTCACCATTGGGTATTCTTGATACCCTTTTTGAAGGTCAGTTGTCCATAAAAACATGGGTTTGTTTCAGTACTATGTATCCTATTCCTTTGGTCTATATGTCTATTTTAATGCTAATACCATGCTGTTATGATAACTATGTTTTATTATATTATTTTGAAATCAATAAGTGTGATGCCCTCAGCTATATTCTTTAGATCCTTGTGGCTACTTTGAGCTTTTGCAGTTCCATATAAATTTTAGGATTGCTTTTTCTATTTATGCAAAAAAAAAAAAAAAAAGGCCATAGAAATTCTGACGAGGATTACATTGGCTCTTTAGATCATTTTATGAAGTATGGACATTTTAACAATACTATGTCTTCTAATCCACGAACATGAATGTTTTTCCATTTATTTGAGTCTTTTTTTATTTCTTTCATCAATGTTTTGCAGTTTTTAGAGTGCAAGCCTTTCTCTCCTTTGGATAAGTTTATTTCTAAGTATTTTATTATTTTTGGTGTCATTGTAAATAAGATTGTTTTCTTAATTTCCTTTTAGATAGTTTGTTGTTTGTGTGTAGAAGTGCAATTGATTGTTCTATGTCAATTTCGTATTCTGTAACCTAATAAATTTATTATTTCTAACAGTTTTTTTGTGGAGGGTTTCCTACATATAAAATTATGTCATTTGCAAATAGACATATTTTTACCTTTTTTCCTATTTTATATATTTTTATATACTTTATATTTTTTTGTACACAGTGGTTTTGGCTAGAACTTCTAGTACTATGTTAAATAGAAGTGGTGAGAGTCAGTATCCTTGTCTTATTCCTGATCTTAGATGAAAGCTTTCAGTTTTTCACTGTTGGGCATGATGTTAGCTGCTATGGGCTTGTCAGAAACAGCATTTATTATATTGCATTTCTCCTATATTTAGTTTGTCAAGTGATTAAATGTGGAAAAAAGATTTGAATAGTCATTTCTTCAAATAATACATACTAATGCCTACCAGGTATATGAAAAAGATTTTCAACATAACTAATCATCAGGATTCAAATGTGCTCAACATCACCAATTATCAGCAAACCAAAACCACAATAATATATCACCTCATACCTGTTAGGAAAGCTATTATTAAAAAAAAAAAAAAAAGACAGATAACACATGTTGGTGAGGATGTGGATAATTGAAACTCATATACACTGTTGGTTGAATGCAAAATAATGCAGCCACTATGGAAAAATATATGGTGATTCCTCAAAAAGTTAAAAATAGAATTACCATATAATCCAGCAATCTCACTTTTGGGTATACATCCAAAGGAAAGGAAATTGGTATCTTGAAGAGACATCTGCATTCCCATGTTCATTGCAGCATTAGTCACAATAGCCAAGATATAGAAACAACCTGAATAGCCATTGGCAGACAAATAGGTAAAGAAAATGTGGTATATATACTATTTGGCTTAAAACAGAAAGGAAATTCTATCATTTGCAACAACATGGGTAAACCTGGAAGACATTATGCAAAGTGAAGTAAGCCAGTCTCATAAAAATAAATATTGTATTGTATAGGGTAACTAAAATAGCCAAACTTATAGAAGCAGAGAATGAAATTATTTTTTCCCAGGAACTGGGGATGAAGAGAAATGGGGAGTTGTTTTTAGTAGGTATAAAGTTTCAGCTATGCAATGCTAATAAGCTTCAGAAATCTTCCGTACAACGTGTTGCCTGTAGTTATCAGCATGATTTTATACATTTAAAATTTTGTTAAAAAGGTAGCTCTCACATTAATCATTCTTATCTTACACACATAACTCCACCTCCCTCCCCAACACACACACAGGAACACACAAAAAGCTTTGTAGGTGATGGACATGTTTATTACCTTGATTATGGTGATAGTATCACAATAGTAAGAATATATACAAACTCATCAAATTTCATATATTAAACATGTGAATTAAAATTCATTGTATATCAATTATACCTCAGTACAGCTGCTAAAAAAATTGGAATCATTTCACAAAGATGCTATTCTTTTGAATCAAGGTGAATTCTGATATTCTAAAAATGAAGAAGGATTCCATATTTTGCTATACAATAAAGTGGATTCCTTCCAATACGGAATTGTGTTACATGTTTCTGATGTTCGATTGCTTCTTCCAAAACATAGGGAGGCTGCTCAATGTAGATTTGACAAAGTTAATTTAAAAGTATTGTGAATTTCACAAACATGTATCCAAAATATGATAGATTTGACAAGGTTAATTCAATACTATAGTGAATTCTACCAACAAGTATCCAGAATATGATAAAGAGCATGCTCCTTGGCCCTATTCATCTTACTCATTGATTTTACCCAATTCTGTTGGTTTAAACAGGAAAAGAAAAGAATATATCTTCAAGTTGAATCTTGGTAGGAAACCAAAAGCAGGTCCAGATCAATTCTGTGTTCTTAAATTTGAAATACCTAAGTTTGGCCGACTAATGAAAAACCAGAAATGAGTCAGTACCTATTTAATACACATCATCTTCTTTCTGGACATGCATGATTCACCATCACAAAATAATGGGCTCCACGCCAGGAACAGAGAGTATTTCATAACACTTAGCATGTAGGTTGTAAATGTCTTGTGAATGCCTTACTTATCTTGTGAACAGATTTTTTAAAGGATAAAGAGAAAAGCTCACCATAGTAAGATGAACTTGAGTGAAATTGGAACGGGAAACGTATGACAAAAATGCAAAGGTAATGCTGAAAATTAGGAGAAGAAAAAGCAGCATGAAGAAGGCACAAGTGAAAACTCTTAATAGTCTGGGATCCTGCATAGCAGAGTCTCAATTACCTTCATAACTGACATTAGATTTGTGCTTCCTTTTTGCCTCTATCTTTTGTGTATCAGTGAAAGATCTCTTCCCCTTCTTCTCCAAAAGAAATTTTACTCACAGAATGTGAGTCTATTCTCTCTTACCGTTTCTAGCATATCGTTATGCTTAAGCCATTTTTCTATGCTCCAAACTTATTTACCTCAGCATGGTCACCTTTTCCGGTTTAATTATTTTTTAACATCAAGCAAGAAAATTAGCCTTTTTCTAATTAGTATTGTGTATTGTGTTTGTCTCCTTTACAAGCAAAAGTCTTCATTTATTGTCTCCAAGGTTCCCCTAATTCTCGACTGCAAACATTTAAAATTTAGCTTCTTTTGTTACCAGTTACCAAAAGTGCTTTAGCTAGCAAAAGGTATTTCATATTTTGTTACACAATGAATCATTGTTAATCCTTTTTCATTTGACCTCTCCACAGGGTTTAGCAGGTGATAATTCTCTCTGAACAGCTTTTCTCTGTGGTTCCCATGACACAATAATTGTCAGATTATACCTTGTTAATTTTTTTTCCCCCTTTGTCTCTGCCATGGTCTTCTCTTTCTTTGAAAATTGTTTTCAGGTCGATGTTCCTGGAAGAAAATTCTTGAACAACACCTCAATTTCCACTTTCTCCTTTGGAATTTTCATCCATGTACATGACTCATAGTAAATGCTAATGAGATCCACTTTCATTTTTTATCTATTTTGTGAACTTCAGACCCACTCATTTGACTTGGTCTAGCACAGTTAAGATAGAAAATGGATAAATTAGTTAATAAAGCTGTTTTCATGCTCAACCTGTTAATTTTTTTCATAATCTTTGGGTTGATTTAGTAAAATTATGAGAACTTTTCTTATTATTAATAGTAATCAATTAAAATATGGAATCTATGTGTAATTTGAACAAATTTCTTATTATTGATTCTCTTCTTTTATATACAGAGAGGTACATTCCTAAAATGATCAGTCTTTGCTCAGTTCTATAAAGAGAAGCAGGATTGTATCCAAGTGTCAACCTAAATGATATTGTCTATGGACAACTCATTTGAAATGCTATTTTATCTTGTTATTCTAAATACGAAATCCCAGCAGTGAAATCTAGGTGTTTCAACACTGAGGTCAACTGACTCCCTTATTTTTCTACAAACTATAATTGTGTTTGAGGATTGGGAAAAAATAAGTTTTTTGTTTTCAAACCAGACGTAACATAGAATAAACAGAGGGACTGATATAATGCTTGAAGCCACAGGAAATTGAACTTCATAAACCTCTAAAGGTACACCCTGTAGCAGATTAGTTTTTTATTTTCAATATTGAATTAGGGTATAATTTCAAATATTGCTTTTGGTTTTCTGCCCTCCCCTTTTAAAAAAAGTTAAACCTTTATCTTGCTCTAGTTTGTTCTTTTCTACTGGCTCTGTTGAAAGACACCAAACTAAAAAAAACACCATCAGAAATGGCATGGGAACTGAGCTGTTCCTATAAGAGAGATTATTTCCTGTTGTAATTATTATGCAGAGAAAAGGCTAAATTTTGGAATGCAAGTTCAGTTTATCTTTTCATAGCAATAGAAATAAAGTGTTTTTTTCTTCTAATTTGTTTGACATCATCAAATAAATTGTTTTTTTCAAAGAGGATCTCAAGTATTTAGTGAACTTTGACCATGATGTTCAAAACAAAGTAGTTTGAGAAATTCTGATTTGTCTGTTGTGATTCATTAAAGAGCAGTGACCTGTGATAAGAGAGGCTTGAATTTTTAAACTATTTTAAAATTATTCAGGTCCCAGAAAACATGAGAATTGCCTTTTAATCATTTCATCTAGAGATTCCATTGATTTGACTGGATATTACATCTCATTTCCTGCAGGGAAAAATCAGAATTAATTTAGTTTCACTAATTCTTGCCTTCAATAACAAGATTTCATAAGTTATTTGAAAGAATGAAGTATAAATGTTAAATTGCAAAATTCAATGGCTTTGGAATGAGTTTTCAGAAAAATCAACACTGAAAAATCTTGCAACTCTGTCAAGGCTCAATTTTATCAGCCTGGTGTGCAAAATAAATAGTAAAGCACCGGGTTACAGTAAGTATACTTACATATGTGTTGACAGACTGTGCTTATCAAAGTCTAGAAGCTCAAGAAAAGTGGCACAGCAATCATCATAGACAGCCCTGGCTGTCTGTCTTCAGCTCTACAGTGGTTTTACAAAAATGCAAATTGACCTCAAGCTGCCCTTGAAAATTGTGTGGTGAGGTATGGCCAGCATATACTACTAGACCTTAAACCCGAATCTGTCAAACTGTTGGGAATTGGTTGCCCAGTAAAACTGTTAAAAATGTATCTTTTCGCAAGTTAAATAGGTGGTCTGAGTTCGTGTACTGAACTCATTTACCATTTAAAATTCTCTACCTGGAAAGCTATTTCAAATACTAAGCAAGGATATAAAAAACGAATTATTATTTTTAGTGTGTGAGGCTAAGGTGATGTGACTCCTCAGAATAGAACTCTTAACTTGAAAATCAGTATTAGTACAAAGCTATTTATTTAAGGTAGATGAAGGAATAAAAAAGACTATTCATTTTAAATACTTGCTTCAGCAGACTGTATTTTCAATTTATCTGAGATAACTGAACATTTTGCTGAGCTAACATATAACAACAAAAGAAAACCCTCAATACACAAATATATTGTCAGTGTTTCCCTGGAGACTAAAGAATCCATAAACCTTAAGTTCAATCAATTTGCAAAAGGCTAAATACTGCACCACATGTAAGGTGAGATGGAAATGGTATAAAATTGAGTAAGTTATGTAAATGCAGTTTTACATACGCCATGCTTAATATGCATAAGCTGAATTCTTTATTCTCCTTAAATTCCCCCAAATAACTGCAGGTAAATTATGGGCTGTAGTGAAGGCTGAGCACCCTGACCCTGAAATCCAACACTTGGGTTTTTAGACTGACTCTTACTTAACAACTGCTTGATTTGGAGCAAGTCATGTGATTCATTTATTAATTCTGTTCAAGAAGCTTATATGTGGGATAATCAATGAGAATTGAGGCAAGCAGCTTAAGGGTCAGAGATCTAAATTCTGCAGATATTTTAAGTTGCCTTGTCTATACGTTTTTCTTTTTGCCCTCAGATGGTAATTTTTCAGCTTGATAATATTATTCATTTATTTAGTGTCAGTCATTGATAATCTGCATCTTTCTGTCTCACACTTGAGTTTTACATTTTTTAGGGTAGAATTTAGTAGTATGATGAGATTTTCCACTTTTCCTCTTGCTTGGTTGGTAAGATTTATATATACAGGAATCTTAAAAGAACATTAACAGCTGATACCAGAATTCTCTGTTGAGGGAACTATGTTTGTTTGGAAAAATTATATCTTAAATTCCTTGTGTAGTAGGTCAGGGTCAAGAAGGGACAAAGAGAGAGAGAGAGAGAGTGAAAGAGAGGGAGGTATGATATAAAGAAAGGAATTTGCTTTTCTATTTGAAATGGGGAAAGTGCTTATAGTAAGGGGGAAAGAACAAAAGATGAAGAGAGAAGAGAGTAGAGGGTGAAAGGAAGTTCCTTAGAGATTGAGAAGCTACGACAGCTACAACATACGTAAAAATAACAATGTTGCTTGTTCAATTTGAAGTTGCTTACATTTCTGTAACAAAACCGACTTCAGTTTTCAATAAAATCTATTATATACTACAATGTATACTCAAATACTCTCTGTCTGTGTGTATGTATGTGTTTGGGGGGGTTGTCTTGTTACTGGTAAAGAATACACTCATTTGCAAATATTTACTGAAAGTCTGCTATTTGCCAGACATTTTACTGGCTGCTGGAGACACAGGGTCATTTTAGGAAGAGGTGCATAGGAGCTTACAAGTCAATTGGGCAAGCATTTAATGTGACCATAATAAGTGCTATCATTGAGGCATGCATGAGTATCATGGAAACATGGAGGAGGACCATCTATATCACACATTTGAGTAAAGAAAGATATCTTAGAAGAGATTATGTTAGAACCTGACTTTTAAAAGATAGGTTTCTATCTCTTTACCTATAAAATAGGACATGTAGTAACTGCCTTAATTGTTTTACCCAAATGTTCTGTGGATCAGATGTGACAGTAAAAACACCATATACATAGTAAAACACTATACAGATATATAGCATTATAAAGGCAAAGATATTAAGTAGACCTAAAGGAGTAGGGCTGAAGTCAGGAAAAATCAGATAAATATGAATTTATCAGATAATATAATTGAAACATTATTAAACACTTATTCTGTATCTATTAAATGGAAAAAAACAATTTCTTTTTTTAAATTGCATATTTTTAATATGTTAACTAAGGACTATAATCCTAGGTTAAACCACATGAATTAGCTAATTTAGTACATTAAAAACAAATATTAGCAATTTTTAATGCTTCAACTTAGTATGTGCATTGCACATGGTTGTTTGACTTTTCTGAAATTAACTATTATGTTGCATTTAATCTATATTTAAAACTGTGTGACACTAATAATTTATACTAATTATAGACAAAAGTACCTAAAATGAGTATTCTTACAAAGTCTATTTTATGATTTTTCTTAAGTTGGCAAATCCTTTGCACTTTTCTTTCTTTTTTATTTTATTTTTCAATCCTACGAACCAATTTTTTAGAGTATACTAAAGGATTTTAAATATTTATACTAAGACTAATCACTTGTTCCCTGTTGACATAAAATAATTCACTTTTGGAATTTTTGCTGATTACTAGAGATGATTTCAGGTACTTGCCTGCTGGTTGGTCTTTGTATTTGGAAATAGGCCTAGTAATCGCACAGGGTAACTTGTACTCAGTTTTTGTAAAAACACTCAACAGAGAATAACTGTGAGAGAGGATAATTTGTACCTTACATTTGAAGGTGTTCTCTCTTAAAAGAGTGAGGCTAACTTCTCATTCTCCATCTATACAGAGTTAATTGTGGAGCCTTGTGGTAACTGTCATCTTGCTTTACAGTTGGGAACTTATTCCAATTCTTCACACATGGATGAACAGCTAGCTATGTGATAGATCATAGTGGGTACTGCTAGATGTCCATCAAAATACATTATTCCTTGCTCTGTTGTAATATAATTATACCCATGAATATGGCTGGACTATATTTGCTAAACTCTCTTGCAGCTAAGTATGGATATATGACCAAGCTTTCTTCAGTGAATTAAGAGCTGAGCTGATGTGTGCCAGATCTCTTATCTGAGTGTTATTTGTGATCACTTTATTCCCCTTCTCTCAAATATGATCACAGAAAAATTCTTGACTGGGTTTTAAGGTGCACAGGAGGACAATTCCCTACCAGATGGCAGATAAATACAATGGAAAGCACTATGACAAAAAACGCAATTACTTTTGCACCATGCTAATACTTTAATTTACTCTCCGTGGCAAAGAACAAGCCATGTCTAATGAGCCCAGCCCAGGGCTACTCATCCATACTGATTTAAGCCAGCATTCCTCAAATGTTGTTCTGAAATCAAACATTGTTAAATTTTCTAATAACTTGTAATTTGAAAATTTGGTAAACTTATGGATATTTAAAGATAACATTCATAATATATCGTGGATGTTGTTCAGGTGATAATTTCCTTCATTTTTCAGAGAGTTTTTAGAATTTAAGATACATCGTAAAAAATTACCAGATTAAAACTCAATGAGTGTTATACAAATATAACTTGAAAACTAATTGCTTATATTTTCCATGTTCTCTTCCAGTCTTTGTTCACATTTATATACAACTATTATATAACATTTTATCTTTACAGCTTTGTCTTTTACTCCCACCTATATTTTTATTAAATAATAGTGTAATAATATACCACTGAGAAAGTGTGCCATAGTTAGCTGTTCATATTTTCTAATTTATTTTCTAAATCTCTAAAAAAGTGATGTTTTTCTTTTAATTAGTTGCATTGTTTGTTTTGCATATCTGAATATATGATGCTTTCAGTTCTCAAAGTTTAGAATGAAAAGAATCAAGATCAGGAATAGAAACAGTATATCACAGAAAATAAATTATTATTTCATTAAATATAAGAGGAATTAAGTGCATGTTGGATAAAATGACGTTTCATTTTACTGTAGAATATATTTTATGATGGGCAAAATGGGTAATGATGCGTCGTTAAACTTATTTTGTTTGTGTATACTAAAAAATAAACAGCTATCACTAGAGGCCCTGTAGGTACATACCAGTAAGTTGACTCTCTCAAATATTTTTTAAATGGACTCAGATTTGGTCTGTGGTCTACATTTTAATTTTCATTGCAATATTATAAATGAATGGTAGGGCCTCCTCCCTTAAATTGTAATGAAGAATCTTATCTTAGTCCCCATATTCACTAGTGATTACAACCATGAAACTTGCCAAATATTTCTTTATACAGACTCTTGAGATTTAAGTTGTGACAGTCTGATTCCCTGGCAATGTTTAAGACTACAGTCAAGATTCTCATAAATTTTAAAATCACGGTTGCAAACTTGACCCTATCCAATTACTTTTCTGCATTGGAAGTGATTGCAATTCTGGGTCATGTCTAGGCTGTTCAGTATAGGTAAGATTTAAAAGCTATTTTCTGTATATTAAAAAAAAAATACTTCCTTGCCAAGATAGTGTGTATGATCATTTCTTTCTAATTCGTTAGCTGGTACATTTTGAGTAGAATTGAAATAGAAGTTATGGCATATTCTATGTTTTCTCCTACTTTTTCAAAGACAAGAAATGATTGTGGATCTCATTATAGTTGGAAGAGGAACTATTTTAGAATGAACCTTTGATATTTATGGGCGGACATTTATTATATCAGAAGCAATCTCAGGTGTGGATGTTTTTCAAATTATTAAGGTTGTAATATAAGCAATAAGTTTAAAATGTCTGAATTATTACTTCAATTCTTACCTAAGGAAAAAAAAAATGTCCGCATGGACAGCCATGCAAAGTAAGAACATTAGATGTTAGATAATACCCATGAGACAGAAAACACCAAGATATTGTACTAAGAATGTCTAGGTATATCTTTAAGTTGTGTTAGACCATTGCATTTCATGACTGTCATGACAGTATTTGCTAAGAGATTCTGAGAATCTCTTCTGAAACTAGTATTTGCTAAATATCATACTATAATTATGATTAGAAAACAGTATTGTGGTTTCCATATCATTAATCTTTGATAATTGTCACACCAAATGTGCAGTTTTTAAAAAGCAAAATAAGATTAATTGTTGTCACTGTAAGCTTTACTCACAAGCCAAAATCAATGTTTCTTTTCTTGTGTGTAAATTAAGATTGCATGATTATTGGAGGATGGCAATTAGGGCAAACCTTATGATCTATAGTTCTAACAAATACAAGATTTCCGCTCAAGAGACACAGGTTCATAATTCTCTCAATACTAAAACATAGGAAGAAACACAAAATCTATACGTATATTATTATAGACCTGGCAAGATTTCATTAAGAATAGCCTGGCTATGAAAAGTACATATGAAATTGTGACAACACAGTGACGAATGAGTCCCTTTCCCTTTACATTGAAAATAATAATTATTGAAGCCCAATGTTTTCGCACAAATGGCAAGGCTAGGATATAAGGAGATTTGTGGCAAAATGAAACTAGCAATAATCATCCTTCACAATTAATGTACCAATTTCATTCCTGTAGAATGGATTCTCAGATTTCCATTAGAAGGCTACTTCATTTATTTCTTCTGGAGCTGTGAGTCAAAAATGCCGATACTTGGTACCTACATCAGAAAAAAAGAACAAAAACAAAAAAACTTTCCTAAGGGGAGATACAAGGTTCTGGATTTTAAACAATTCATGTACACTAAGTTTGAAATCAAATATATGCTTATAAATCTTCTCCTTGGCTTAAAGAGAAAATGAGTAGGTGAGTGGACCTATGGAAAACCCCTTAACCCCTTCTAAACTTGCAAAGTGTGTGGTTTTGTCATAAGAATGAAAACTCATCGAACGTGCAGCGTAAACAAGATTATACAGGTGGACCTTCAATAAGTATGCCTCACCCCTGTGAGTCTCTCAGGACGTCCTTCTTTATTGAGCAGTCAAGGACATGCCAAGACTTCTGGAAGAACAGATATGGGATATGGCAAAACAACAACAACAACAACAACAACAAAACCTACAAAATTATAGCTTTTATACCAGCTTGGCAATTTTAAAATCATTGACATATTTCCATTTGATACATATAAAAGGATATATGTATCTTATATGTAAGCTATTGAACATCTTTCCAAAATACTATGAATTTACCATCCAAATAATGAAGTAAGGCACAGTTTAACCTCTCTAGTTGTACCTCCTACCTTTCCTAGTGCTATTAAATACAATTGTAGAGTTTGTGTTTACTATTGTCTTGCTTTGCTCATGTATGTATCTATGTACACAACATGTGTATCTATCACCTAATTTCTTCATTTTTTCAGAGTACATGGGAAAACACATATCTGTCCTTAAGAAATATTTCATTGACTTTTGCTTAGTTTTGTGCATTATAAAAATAAAATAATGTATGTGATTTTCTGTGAAACATAATGTTTCACATTATGTTTCTAAGAATCATACTTGTTGATGTATGTAGCCACAGCTAATTCATTTTAGTATTTATAGTACTCCATTGTGTAAATATTGTGTTTATTGATTTTTATGTTGATGGATGTTTTGATTATTTCAAACTACATTATAGGCTACATGTTGTTAATTTCCTATTATGTTTCCTGATATGCACTCACAAGAAATTATCAAAGATATATGCTTTACTTTCCAATGTAATTTAATTCCAATTCCATTTAAATTCCACCAGCAATGTATGAATCCCCATTGCCCCACAACTGCAGCTATTCTTAGAATTATTTGACTTTTAAAAAATGTTTGCAAATTTAGTTCGTGTAAAATGCTAATTCAGAGAGATAAATTGTCTTTCCCACATTACAAAACAGGATAAACATATTTTTATTCATTTGTTGGCCATTCATTGGTTGTTTCTTTTTTGGGAAAAGCTTACTCAAGCCTTTCAAAAAAATTTTAATTGAGTCATTGACCTACTTCTTAAATGGCGGGAGTTCTTAATGTTGTTTAATATTATTAATACTTTGTTATCTAAATATGCTGCAAATATTTTTCCTGTTTGTGGCTTGTCTTTTTACATATTTTTAACAAAACGTATCCATTTATTGTGATCAAATTTATCTCTCTTAATGGTCAGCTTGTTTTATATAATCTTAAATATTTCATAGATCAAGGATCATAATGATAGTCACACTTTTTTTAGGAATGTCTTAAAGTTTGCCTTTCACATTTAATTTTCTACATAATTTGAACTTGATGTTTGAATTCAGTGTGATTTAGGCATTACATTTCATTTTAATCATAGGGATAACTAATGTTCCATACCATTTTGAATGTTAATAATTTCCCCACTGCTTCAAAATTTCAGATGTGTTACATATATCATGCTTCTTACTAATATTTGCAAATATCTACTTCTGATTTTTCTATTCTTTTCCACAAGTTACATTGTCTATCCTTGTGCTGACAGTATGTAAATTAGTAAAACTAATATAGCTTTAAGCAAGCATTAATATTCTAATTTCTCCCTTTCATCTTTTCCAGAATGTCTTGATAGTCCTAGTCTTTTTCTCTGCTTTTAAAGTTTAGAATATTACTTGAAAAATCCTGTGTCAAATTGTTATGGTTATTCAATTATATCTGTAAATCAACCTGTGATTATCTAACGCTGTCATGTTAGGTTTCTTATTCAGCAACATGCATGCCTCTCTATTTATTCAGGTATTCTTTAATATATTCCACTCCATTTTACACTTATCTTGAAAGAGTTTTGGGTACATTTTTTAAAGATTGTTTCTGGTTCACTTATTATTTCAATTTAGATTGTTTTAAAATATATATGTAATCTCCAAAAATAATAAACATATTGTCTCTTCTTTTTTATACTTCTGGCTAAGGCATCAATACAATGTTTTTGTTTTGTTTTGTTTTGTTTTCTGAGATATAGTCTCAATAACTGTTGCCCAGGCTGGAGTGCAGTGGCAGGACGTTGGCTCTCTGCAACCTCTGCCTCCCAGGTTCAAGTGATTCTCGTGCCTTAGCCTCCCGAGTAGCTGGGAGTACAGGCATCTGCCACCACACTCAGCTAATTTTTTTTAATTTTTTACTTTTAGTAGAGAAAGGGTTTCATCATTTTGGCCAGGCTGATCTCAAATTCCTGACCTCTAGTGATCCGTCTGCTTTGGCTTCTCAAAGTGCTGGGATTACAGGCGTGAGCCACCGTGCCTGACCAGACACAAATACAATGTGAATAGAAATGTTGAGAGTGGCCATACTTGTTTTGTGTGTATAATAGAGGAATGCTTATATTTCTCCATGAAGCATTATGTAGGCTTTAGCATCTATACCACATCTACATGTTCAATTTTTAAAAATAAAATAAAAAATTGTTATTGAATTATACCAAATGTGCTGTCTGCTGCAAGTGAAATGATTACATGGTTTAGGGATTTTAATAATTGAATGTGATATGGTAATTAATTAAATATGTAATGTAAAACCAATTATTCATTTTTGTGATAAACCAAACTTGGTCATGATATATTATTTGTTTAATATTTATTCGTGGTTGGTACTTAACTTTGCAACATGAATATCTTTTTAATGTATGTCTTATCCCTTCTTTCAAATAGTAAAAACATCCTGGAACACGTGGACTGTTAACACCCTCCCAGCTAGCACACTATTATTGTCTAGTTTAGTCCTGTCTCATTTTCCTTTTAATCTCACACTTTAGGCAGCATTTTATCATATTCATATGTTTTTTGTTTAGATGTAATTACATATTCACTTTGTTTTCATCTCATAATTTCATGTCAGGGTGATTTTATTTCCTCCAGAACTACATTCTTAGAAACTTTTTTAGTGATGCATGTGGCTGTAAATTCTGTTCATTTTTCTGTACTTGAAAATGTACTTCTTTTACTCTCATTCATGAAAAGTATATTCTCTGGTTTCAAAATTTTAGGTTTACAGTTATTTTTTCTCAATACTGTAAAAATACAATCCCTGCTTTTTTTGGCCCTGTTTGTCAGCATTTGCTCACTGGGCAACACTAGCGTTAGTAACTGCTTCAAATACTTATTAAACACCTAATGTGCCCAGTGTTACTCTAGGCTTCACTTACTTCCCATTGTAGTCTATTACCTGAATATTTCTGTAACTTTCAAATGAGTTACATTATAACTTATCTCAGAACTAGTTGTTTTCTAGCAAAAGAACTTTATAAGAGAATCTATATCTCCATACTGATAAAGGTAGAAATCTTAATAATTTAAGGTTGATAATATCACAAATATAATATTATGTCCAGCAAATAAACAATTAAAAACAAAACACTGACATAACTACCTAACCCATATTTGAAATAATTATATGAATGTTTCAGTGGAATGCAAACTCATTCAGATAATAGCATCTATGGGAAACTGCAAGAATGATTCATTCCTGTTTGTAATTTAAGAATTGTATTGGCATTTTCAGGCAAGGTAATTGGAAACATCTACAAGCAGCTCATTTGTCTCAAGTGACAAGAGATTTTTATCTCTAATCAAATCAATTTCAGAATGTGAGTATGGGAAACAGAGAGAATGAAAAACATGACAGAAAAATATGCGCCTAATTGATTTACTTTATTCTACTTAACAAAAATTACTTAGCACTGATTATTTTTAAAATCTATGTTAGGTTCTGAGGATCTGAGCTTGAAATTTCCATATACCTTTTTGGGGGTGAGCAGCACAGGTAATTTTGTTTTTGTTTTTGTTTTGTTTTTACTTAAGTCGTTTTTGAGGAACAGGTGGTGTTTGGTTACATGGATAAGGTCTTTAGTGGTGATTTTGGAGATTTTGGTGCACTCATCCCCGAGCAATGTACACTGTAGCCAATGTTTAGTCTTTTATCCCTCAACCCCCTCTCCTGAGTCCCTAAACTCCACTGAATCATTCTTATGCCTTTGCATCCTCATATCTGAGCTCCCACTTATAAGTGAGAACATGAAATGTTTGGTTTTCCATTCCTGAGTTAAGTCGCTCAGAATAATGGTCTCCATCTCCATCCAGGTTGCTGCAAATGCCATTATTGCATTCATTTCTGAGGCTGACTAGTATTCCATAGCGCATATATATACATATATGTGTGTGTGTGTGTATAATACACATAAATATATATATATATATATAATGTTTTTTATCCACTCATTGATTGATGGGCATTTGGGCTGGTTCCATATTTTTGCAATTGCAAATTATGCTGCTATAAACATGCATGTGCAAGTGGCTTTTTCATATAATGACCTTCTTTTCCTCTGGGTAGTAGTGGGATTGCTGAATCAAATGGAAGTTCTACTTTCATTCTTTATGGAATCTCCATACTGTTTTCCATAGTGGTTGTACTAGTTTACGTTCACACCAGCAGTGTAAAAGTGTTTCCTTTTCACCACATCCATGCCAACATCTATGTTTTTTTAATTTTTTAATTATAGCCATTCTTGCAGGAGTAAGGTAGTATTGCACTGTGGTTTTAATTTGCATTTCCCTGATAATTAGTGATGTTAAGCATGTTTTTTCATATGTTTCCTGGCTATTTTTATATCTTCTTTTGAGAATTGCCTTTTCATGTCCTAAAATTCATACGGAACCAAAAAAGAGCCTGCATAGCCAAATCAAGACTAAGCAAACAGAACAGGTCTAGAGGCATTACATTACATTACCCAACTCCAAACTATACTACAGAGCTATAGTCATCCAAACACCATGGTACTGGTATAAAAATAGGCACATAGGCCAATGTAACAGAATGGAGAGCCCAGAAATAAAGCCAAATACTTACATCCAATTGATCTTCCGCAAAGCAAACAAAAACATAAAGTGGGGAAAGGACATCCTATTCAACAAATGGTGCTGAGATAATTAGCAAGCTACATGTAGAAGAATGAAACTGGATCCTCATCTCTCATCTTATATGAAAATCAATGCAAGAGGGATCAAAGACTTAAATCTAAGACCTGAAAACTTACACATTCTAGAAAATGGGAGGCCAAGGCAGGTGGATCACCTGAGGTCAGGAGTTCAAGACCAGCCTGGCTCAACATGGTGAAATCCCATCTCTACTAAAAATACAAAAATTAGCCTGGTGTGGTGGTGGGTGTCTGTAATCCCAGCTACTCTGGAAGCTGACGCAGGAGAATTGCTTGGACCTGGGAGGCAGAGGTTGCAGTGGGCTGAGATCATGCCACCACACTCCAGCCTGGGTGACAGAGTGAGAATCGGTGAAAAAAAAAAAAAGAAAGAAAAGAAAAGGGAAGAAAAAAGAAAAACTCTTCTAGATATTGGCTTAGGCAAAGAGTTTATAACAAAGAATCCAAAAGCAAAGGTAAATAAATAGGACTTAATTAAACTAAAAAGATTCTTCATGGCAAAAGAAATAATCAGCACAGTATACAGACAACCCACAGAGTGGGAGAAAATTTTCGCTAACTATGCATCTGACAAAGGACTAATATCCAGGTCTACAAGGAACTCAAACAAATCAGCAAGAAAAAAAAAAAATCCCCTCAAAAAGTGGGCTAAACACAGGTAATTGTGGAAAAAAAAATCTTGTTCTTAGACATACAAAGCATGAAGGGAAAAGCAACCTTTAAAAATACAGGTATACCTTGGAGATATTGTGGGCACAGTTACAGACCATGCCAATAAAGCAAATGTTGAAATAAAATAAGCCACACCCTTTTTGGGGGTTTTCAGTGCATATAAAGGATATGTTTACAATATACTGTAGTCGCTTAAGTGTGCAATAGCATTATGTCTAAAAAAAAGTACATATCTTAATTTAAAATACTTTATTATTAAAATGCTAATAGTCATCTGAGCCTTCAGCGAGTTGTAATCTTTATGCCAATGGAGGGTCTTGCCTGGATGTTGATGGCTACTGAGTGAGGGTGGTGGTTGCTGAAGGTTGGGGTGGCTGTGTCAGTTTCTTAAAATTAGACAATGATGTTTGTCATACTGATTCACTCTTCCTTTCATGAAAGATTGCAGCACGTGATGCTGTTTGATGGCATTGTATCCAAAATAAAAGTATTTTGAAAATTGGAGTCAGTCCTCTCAAACTCTGCCACGTTTTGAGTAACTAACTTCACATAACATTCTAAATCTGTTTTTGTCATTTCAACAGTATTCACAGCATCTTCACCAGGAAGGAGTAGGTTTCATAAGAAGCAACTCCTCATCCATTAATGTTTGATCATAAAATTGCAGCAATTCAATCAGTTACCTCTTTAGGCTCCATTTCTAATTCTAATTCTCTTGCTATTCCCACCATATCTGTAGTTACTGCCTGTGCTGAAGTCTTGAACTTCTCAAAATTATCCATGAGGGTTGGAGTCAACTTCTTCCAAACTCCTGTTAATGTTGACATGTTGACTTCCTCCTATGAATCATGAATGTTCTTAAGGTCATGTAGAATCATGAATTCTTCCCAAAAGCATTTTAATTTACTTTGCCCAGATACATCAGAAGAATCACTTTTCTATGGCAGCAATAGTCTTGCGAAATGTATTTCTTAAATAATAAGATTTGAAAGTCACAATTACTCTTTGATCTGCTGGCTGCAGAATGCATGTTGTGTTAGCAGGCATGTAAACCACATAAATCTCTTTGTCCATCTTCTTCAGAGCACTTGTGTTGTCTGGTGCATTGTCCATGAGCAGCAATATTTTGAAAGAAACCATTTTTTTTTTCTAAGCAGTAGGTGTCAACAGTGGGCTTCAAATATTCAGTAAGCCATGCTATAAACAGAAGTGCTGTCATCTTGGCTTTGTCGTTACATTTCTAGAGCACAAGAGTAGATTTAGCATAAATCTTAAGGTCCTTAGGATTTCTGGAATAGTAAATGAGCATCAGCTTCAACTTACAGTCACCAGCTTCATTAGCCCCTAATAAGAGAGTTAAGCCTATCCTAGGAAGCCTTGAAGTCAGGCATTGACTTCTCCTCACTAGCTATGAAAGTCATAGATGGTGTCTTCTTCCAACAGAAGAATTCTAATTCCAATTGAAAAACTGTTGTTTAGTATAGCAACTGTTGTTTATACTAACAACAGTTCTATCAATTATCTTAGCTAGGTTTTCTGGATAGCTTGCTGGATCTTCTTCATCAGCACTTGCTGCTTCACCTTGAACTTTTAGGATATGGAGATGACTTCTTTCCTTAAGCTTTTTGAACCAAGCTCAGCTAGTTTGCAACCTTTCTTTGGCAGCTTCCTCACCTCTCTCAGCCTTCATAGAATTGAAGAGAGTTAGGGTGTTTCTCTGGATTAGGCTTTGGTTTAAGGGAATGTTGTGATTGGTTTGCTCTTCTGTCCATACTTCTACAACTTTCTCCATATCAGCAATAAGGCTGTTTTTCTTTCTTATCATTCATGTGTTCACTGGAGTAGCACTTGTAATTTTCTTCATGAACTTTTCCTCTGCATCGACAATTTAGCTGTTTAATACAAGAGGCCTAGCTTTCCTACCTCTTGGTACAAAAGGCATATTGCATATGAGCTCTTCAAAATATGAAACGTTTCAATAACATAGTCTATATAATATATGGAGTTTCATATAAACATTGTTTTATTATTAGAAATGTTATTGAACACCTACCACATCAAAAGTGTCATACATTAACCACAAAATTACACTGAAGTTTATTAATATTCTTCAGCCACTTCCAGATGGATTTGGATGTTGTTTGGAACAAAATAAATATCTACTTACAAAATAGCCACATGCAGTATGCAAATTTCCCCCAACTTACTACATTTTTTAGCTTTATGTCTAAAAATGGAGACTTTGATTGGTTGGAGGGAGGTGAAACCAAGCTTCATCCAAATTAGGATTTCTTAATCAGTGAGTGATGATAATCTGTTTCTGAAACTCACATTGACTTTCAAAAACACAATGATTTTAGGACAGTTCTGGCTACAGTTTTCAACAGCAGCCTAAATCTCTGTTGGAGGAATTGAAGATTCTAGCACGGCAAATCCCTGATGATTCTGCCCCCATGTGTGTAGACCCGGGATGATTGATTTAGGTGAAATTGGCTGGAACAGTTTTGTACCATCCACAGAGAGAAAAAAAAAACAAAAAAACAAAAAACAAAACTCTAGGGTGTTGATGCACATGATACTTCAAGTTTTATCTTCAAAATCAGAAGTGAAAAATCAACAAAATTGTTAAATGTTTCTCTCAGGCATTCCTTTATAAAAATTCCAGTTTTGAAAATGGCAGTTTATTTTTTGGCATAGAGACTGTCATTTGAATTTGATGAGCCTTTATTTTTGCCAATAAATTACTCACAGTAAGTTGTAAGTAGCCTTTCCCTTTCACTTAGAAAGTATGAATCTAGGCAATAGTTTTTAATTTCCCCTTGAATAGCAGAAATTTATTTTTATTTTAAACTAAGGTTATGGTTCAGAATAAGTCAAATCAAAAGAGTTGAAACGTGATTAAATTATCCTTATAGTCAAGGAAGTACTAAACCAGATTATTCAAATTCCTGCAATGTCATTTTATTACCAAATATATTTTCTTACCTGCATAAATTTATATACAAGCCACTTCTGACTAAAAATACTTTGATCAATCCCAAATAAAGAGAAACAAAACAGGTTTATAGTTCTCTTATCAAGTATCTACATTTTCCTAGCAGCAATCATTTTGAGATAGCAACCAATGAATCTAGATAACTCTTAAGCTTTTGATTGCATGCATGCATAGCTTTCACAGTTTTCCATACCACTAAATCACAATCTTCTTGAGGTAGATATAATGTTTATTTTTTATTTGCCACTGTCCTTAAAGTCATTTTACCACATTAGTATTTATTATTAAGATACTAATTAATTTAAATAGTTTAAATTTAGTTAAATTTTGCAAAGGTAGAAAAATATCAGATATTTTAGTTGTAAGCCTGAAAAAAAATACTGCATGGGGCTATTGAATTAAGTATGTCATTGACAAAATTATCTCGTATGTGAGGGCAGCATCTTTTCTAGAAAGCCATATCTCATCTCACCTTAGGCTAGTCTCAAAAACTGTAGTGCAGTAATCTACTAACTTAACTTTTTTTCAGTAAAATGAAAATTCATTGAGAGTATAAATTGATTGCTTACTCATTTCTGGAATCCTTTATATAGAAAGTGTCTACTAAATGTCTGTTAAATAATTCAATATGAAATAAATCAATATGAAAATGTTTCATACTGTAGTACAGCAGTTGTAAAGTGAGAAGCTATTTAAATATGCAAGATGAGTAAAAATATATTAAGCCAGGTATACAAATTAGAAATGCTGGCGTAAATTGGGCTCTCTTGGCTTCAAGAACTTAACAAGGTCTTATGACTTTAAAAGTGGAATGTAGAACAAAGGTGCTTGGGGTGTCCATAGAGGCACATTGTGGATGTGGCAATGGGCAGGTAGGTCCAACAATACATAGATTGAATTTTAACTAAAGTAGTGAGAAAAAGGTTTTATAGTCTGATGTAATGCGATTTTTTAAAATAATGTGATCCTTTCTGGATATTAGCGTTTGGGAAGTAAATGTCATATGTGCTACATTTTTAAAGCAAAAGTCCTTTGCTATTTCTCAACTCTGGCATCCTAGAAAAACATATAAATCCGCTCAACTATGCCAATATTAATTGCCTTTGGAGATCTTAAGTCTTGTCGCTTAGTCTTAGTCTTTTGGCACTAAAGCCTGGATAGTTTCAGAAATGTGACAACTGTCCTCTCTAAGCCTGTATTTTCTTTCACATAAATCGAAGGATTTGAATCTAATGAACTCCAGTACTTTCTATTTGCATTATCCTATGATGCTTTGGTAGAGAAGACATAGTAAGTGAACATGCAGAGCCATCAGAGTGAAACAATTCCTTATTAAAAACATAAAATAGCTTGTCAATTGCAACTAACTTTCAGTGAAAAAAGAATGCTCCCAAATTATAACAAGGAATCATAGGGGTTAATGTCACATTTAACTAATCTCTTTTTTTCTTCAAATTTATTTTAATTTTTTATTCACATTTATTTTATTTTTATTTTTCATTGTGGCAAAATATACATAACATAAAATTTACCGTTTCAACTATTTTTAATACAGTGAAGTGGCATTAATTACATTGACATTATTGAGCATCGATCACCATCTGTCTTCAGAACCTTTTTATCTTCCCCAACTAAAACTCTGTACCTATTAAATATTAAACCCCATTTCACCCTTCTATCATTCCCTGTCAATGTCATTCTACATTTTATGTTTATTAATTGAAATATTCTAAAAACCTAGTATAATTGCAATCATTCTATATTTAACCCTTGACGACTGGCTTATATCATTTAGCATGTCTTCAAGACTCATTCACATTATACCACATACCACATTTATTCCCTTTTAAAGGCTAAATAGTATTCCATTTTATGTATATAGTACATTTTGTTTATGCATTTATCTGTTGATGGAAATTGCTTCTACTTTTTAGCTATTATGACTAATGCTGCTCTAAAAATGGATGTACAAATATTTGATTCCCTGCTTTCACTTTTTTTAGGTATATATGCAGAGGTGAGATTGCTGAATCATATGATAATTTCATGTTTGCTTTTTAAATATAGTATGGAATTATCATACTGTTTCCAGCAGCAACTTCACAGTCCTACCAGAAATACCAATTTTTTCCACATTCTGACCAACACTTGTTATTTTCTGGTTTTGTCTTTTTGTTTGTTTGTTTTTAATAGCAGCAATGTTAGTGGGCATGAAGTGGTATCTCATTGTGGTTTTGATTTGCATTTCACTAATGACTAGTGATGTTGAACATATTTTCATGTATTTTTTGGTCATTTGTGTATCTTCTTCAGAAAAAATATGTCTTTTGCCATTTTTTGGTTTATTGTTGCCATTTTTGAGTTTTAGGAATTCTTTTATATAATCTGGGAATAAACCCCTTATCAGATATGTTATTTTCCCACATTTTCTCATATTCCCTGGACCGTCATTTTACTGTTAATAGTGTCCTTTAATGAATAAAAGTTTTTAATCTTAAGTCCAACCTATCTATTTTTTAATTTATTTTTTGGCTGCAATTTTTTGTTAAGTCTAATAAATCGTGGACAAATTCAATATCATGATTTTCCATATATTCCTTCCTAAGAGATTAACAGTTTTAGCCCTTATGCTTAGATTTTTCATCCATTTTGAATCAGTATTTGTGTATGGCATAAGGTATGAGTCCAAGTTTATTTCTTCTTCTTTTTTTTTTTTTTTTAAGGAAGGATTTTCCTCTTGTTGCCCAGGCTGGAGTTCAGTGCCATTCAATGCCATGTTCTCAGCTCACTGCAACCTCCGCCTCCTCAGTTCAAGTGATTCTCCTGCTTCAGCCTCCTAAGTAGCTGGGATTACAGGAAGCCACCACCATGCCTGGCTTTTTGCATTTTTAGTAGAGATGGGGTTTCACCATGTTAGCCAGGCTGGTCTCGAACTCCTGACCTCAGATGATCTGCCAGCCTTGGCCTCCCAAAGTGCTGGGATTACCTTTTGCATGTGGATATCAATTTTTACCAACATCGTTTGTTGAAAAGATTGTCATTGCCTTATTGAATGGTCTTAGCACCCTTGTCAAAAATCATTTAACTATGCATGTGAGGATTTATATTGGGGCTCTGTATTCCCTAGACCTATATTTCCACCTTTATGCCAGTACCACACTGTCTTGATTTTGATTACTGCGGGTTTGTAGTAAGTTTTGAAATTATGAAGGGTAAGATCTCCAAGTTTATGCTTCTTTTTAACGATTGTTTTTGGGAATTCTGAGTCATCTGAGATTCCCATATAAATTTTATAATAAACTTTTCTATTTCATCAAAAGTCTTAATTGAAGTTTTTATGGGGATTGTGTTGAATCTGTAGATTTCTTTGGATAGTAAGACTAGTATTGGCAATATTGTCTTTCAATTTATGAAGAATTTATGAACATTGTCTTTAATATCTTTCAGGAACATTTTGTAGCTTTCAGTATACAAGTCTTTTGCCTCTTGGTTAAGTTTATTCTTAAATATTGTATGCTTTTCAATGCTACTCTAAGTGGAACTGTTTTCTTAATTTCCTTGCTCCCTTAATTGTTAGTCTAGAGAAATGCCATTGATTTTTACATTTTGATTTTGAATCCTACAATGTTGCTCAATTCATGTATTAGTTTTAGAATTTTTTTGCTTGCAGAGTACTTAAAATTTTCTATATATAAAATCAACTGTGAACAGAGATAGTTTTACTTCTTTCTTTCCAGTTAGATACCATTTCTTTTTTTGTTTGTTTCTCTCCTCTATTTGCTTTGGGTAAGGCTTGTAGTACTATGTTGAATAGAAATGGCAAACTATGTCATCTTTGTCTTGTTTCTAAAAATAGAAGAAAAGCTTTCAGTCTTCCACCTTTTAGTATAATGTTGGCTATGAGCTTTGCATATATGGCCTTTATTAGGTTGAAATTGTGTCCCTTTATTCCAAATTTGTTGATTTTTTTTTTACCATGAAAATGTGTTGATTTCTGTTAAATGCTTTTCTGCATCAACAGACATGATTATATGTTTTCCCGCCAACCCTGTATTCTGTTAATGGATATCCTGCATTGAATGATTTCCATACGCTGAAGCATCCATGCATTCTGGAACTAAATCCCACTTGGTCATTGTGTATAACACTTTAAAAGTGATGTTGAATTTGGTTTGGTATTATTTTCTTGAACCTATTTAGGTTAACATTTATAAGGACTATTGAATTGTAGTTTTCTTCCACTGTCTTTGTCTGGCTTTGGTATCATGAGAATGCTGATGTCATAGAATATGTTTGTGAGTATTCCCCATCATGAATTTTTTGGAAGTGTCTGTAAAGAATTGGTTTTAATTTTATTTAAATATATACTAGAATTCACTAATGAAGCCGTCTGGTCCTGGGCTTTTATTTTTTTCAGAAGCTTTTGGTTACTGATTTAATCTCTTTATTAGTTAGAGGGTTAATCTCATTTTATATATTTCTTCATAATTTAGTCTTGGTAGGCTGTGTGTTCTAGGAACTTGATCATTTCATCTAGATTATCTAATTTGTGCATAGGACTCCCTTAATTTTTTTATTTTGAAAAAAATTTTAAGCCACATAAATTCAAAAAAGTAATATATTTTTACCTGAATGCTTTAAATGTTGATATTTTGCAATGTTTGCTTTCTTTTTGTCTTACTGTATTCTTTTTGAATCTTTTACAAAGTAAAATGCAAATATTATATTACTTATTTTTAAATACATTATCAGTTATCTACTTAGTATCACATTTTGTACATAATCAGAATATTAATGATGCTTTTAAGACATTTAAAACAGATATCATAATATTACCAAAATATACATCATGTTCAGATTGTAACTGAGAGCCATCAAGGATGCATGTTGTATTTAATTTTTTTTTTTGTATTTGAGTTTCCTCTTTCCTAGAGCTGTGCCCCTGTTTTTTTTTTTTTTTTTTTTTTTTTTTTTTTGTGTGTGTGTGTGTGTGTGTGTGTATTTATGTGAGTGTGTGGTGTTTAACTTATTAATATTTTTCAATAAACCAGGCTAGTTTTCTTGCAGGATGTCCCAGTCCTGGACTTGCCAAGTGGTTCCCTTATGTTTAGATTTGGGAAAATATTTTGATAAATTCTATATAGTTTATATTGTGTATTAATCATTGAAATATATCAAGAACTATATAATGTCAGTTTCTTCCAGTGTTGTAATGCTATTGTCCAGAATTTGATAAAGGTGGTATATATCATACAGGTACATTTGACTTATGTATATATCATACATAGTTTTTAGATAATTTTAGACCTTTTTTCTACCTCCAACAAACTTTCACTCTGGTTTTAGTATACATTGTTGATTGTTACCATCATCAATTGTTACAACAGTGATTGCAAAATTCATCTGATTTTAATTGTGCTATATTCTGAACATTTGTGGCTCCCCACTGCTAAAACTCAGAACCCCCAAAAAGATGGTGTCAAGAGACAGGACCTTTGGAAAGCGATCAGGTCCCTTATAAAAGAGGCTTGAGAGAGACTGTTTGCACTGATGCCATGTAAAGATACAGAGAAGGTGCCATTGATTATGAATGGGCCCCTTGCCAGACACCTAACCTGTTGGTGCCCTAATATTAGATTTTCTTGCCTCCAGAAAATGAGCAACACATTTCTATTGTTTGTAAGTTACCCACTCTTGAGTTGTTTTGTTGTAGTAGCCCTAACAGACCAAGACAAATTGCTATTTTTATAGTTTGGAAAATGTAATGAAACAAGTTAACGTGTAATCTTATAATATTAAAAAAAAATACTCAAAGTGTGGATATCTAAAAGAAAATGAAAATAGATGTCTAAACTTGGGAATACCTTGAATCAACATTGAAAGATACACAAATGAGTGCTTTTGCTTTTCATATTGTCTGTATTACAATTTAAAAAAATCATGGTAATTATTTTTCACAGTTGGTGTAAAAGACCTTATTAAAATATTTTTATTTTAATGCCTGATTATGGTATGTCACTGTAAGTATGCTTGTTAAAAATCATTCCTGTATTCAATCATTAATTAATCTAAACAAACAACATTTATTATGTGGCTATTTGTCTTGGACCAAACAAAGTGTTGGTGGTAGAGAGAAAAAAGACACTATTCACGCTCTTTGGAAAATTGCAACTTGATTGAAAAACAGATGACTGTAATTATAGCATGAAGAATGGCACACCATAATCAATAAGTTATAAAAGAAGTGATTTCCTGAGCATGAGTTTTGAATATATTTTTGATGTAATCAATCTCAAATAATGTATGATTTCATAAACTTAATCTTATTAGAATAAACTTGATAATATAAGCTTAATGATAGACAAATTGATGTTCTAAGTACAGATTCTTTTTATTCTTTTATTTAATGGAGTGAAAACTCAATGAGAGCATATGTAGAAATTCTGAGGTCTTGGTTCCCTACCTACTGTTATTAGTTTCCTGTTTCAAAATTATACAAAAATTTAGCTTTTTTCAATTTTACAAGTTAAACTGCTTTTTTCTCACTGTTTTAAAATAATATTATTTTGAGAAAAACTAATAATCAAGGACTCTGTTATCCTCAAATAATAATTATTATGATTTTTGCCTGAAACTATTTGCATCTATTTTTATATACGTATTTAGCACCTAGGATTATAGTACCCATATTCTTTCAAAAACGTACACTGAACTAAATTCCAGCACATTAGCTGGAGGTAAAAAAATATGTGTAACCTTCATGCTATAAATTTTGAGTCTGCTGTCTATTCTGCAGGCTTTCATTCCTGGTTGTGAATAAAACTGGTTTTCTTGTACAATGAAAGCATCTGATTATCATTAGGCTTTGTGTCCCAAGCCAAATCTCATCTCAAATTATAATTTCCATAATTCCCATAATCCCCACGTGTCAAGGGAGAGGCCAGGTGGAGGTGATTGAATTATGGGGGTGGTTTCCCCCATGCTGTTCTCGTGGTAGTGAGTGAGTTCTCATGAGATCTGATGGTTTTACAGGGGGCTCTGCATGCTTTGCTGGGCACTTCTTTCTCCTGCCACCTTGTGAAGAAGGTGCCTTGCTTTCCCTTTGCCTTCTGCCATGATTATAAGTTTCCTGAGGCTTCCCCAGCCCTGCAGAGCTGTGAGTCAATTAAGCCTCTTTCCTTTATAAATTACCCAGTCTCAGGCAGTTCTTTATGGCATTATGAAAACAGACTAATAAAGTATCCCTGATTTGTTGTGGTTTGACTTTATGATAGGTTTATTGGGTGTAACACCACTGTAAGTCAGGGAGCATCTGTAGCTCAATGTGACCTGAAGACTAACTTTCTGGCCTCTTTGATTTTTCTCTGGAATTTTCTGAACAAGAATGATGCTATGGTTATGTAAAGAAGGTGACCATCAACATAGTGGTTTGCAAAGATTTGTAACTCTGCAACGTGCATTTTTATTCTCTAGTTTCCCTACATTTTGCATTACCACTGAAAGTTTCTATTAAGGTATGCATGCATATATGTATGTATAAGTGCATATATAAATATATAATTAAAATAAAATTTATGTTTTCATACAGATTTTGCATAAAGTATAAATTTGTATTTATATAAACACATATAAAATGTACATACATATGCCATCGTGTACTACATAACAATATTTGGGTTAACAATAGACCATATATATTATGGTATTCCCATGAAATAATAATGTTATATTTTTACTTTATCTTTTCTATGTTTTGCTATGTTTAGATGAACAAATACTTACTATTTTGTTATAATTGCCTACAGTATTCAGTACAATAACATATTACACAGGTTTGTAGCCTAGGAGCAATAGTCTACACAAGACAGTCTAGGTATGTAGTAGGTTATACCATTTGGCCTTGTGTAAGTACATTATATGATGTCTGCATAATGACAAAATCACCAAACAATGCATTTCTCAGAATATATCCCTATTATTAAGTGATGCATGACTGTATTTACTTTCTTTCTTTCTCAGGAAGCTTCAAAGCAAGCTGTTGCCATCCACTAATACCATTAAAAAATTTAAATTAATTAGCTAGTCAGCTATTAATGTCTCAAGGGCACATAGCATAGCTAGTTTGACAGTGGTTAAAGGTTAAAAGTACTTCAATCATTATCTGTACTCTGCATTATAAAGGTGGTAATAGCCTGATATGAGACAGTTTAAGACCTGGAGGAGCTATTGGCTTTGGACAAGCTCCTTAACGTCCCTGGATTTTAGCTTCTGTAAAAAATAATACTACCTGGAGGTTTCTGGATACAATTAAATGTGATAATGCATGTTTAATGCTTGTGTTAGTCTGTTTTCACACTGCTATAAAGAACTACCTGAGACTGGGAAATTTATAAAGAAAAAAGGTTTAATCAACTGACAGTTCTGCATGGCTGGGGAGGCCTCAGGAAACTTATAATCATGGCAAGAGGCAAACACCTACTTCATGAGGCAGCAGGGGAGAGAGAGTGAGGAGGCAGGAGTGCCACAATTTTAAACCATCAGATCTCATGAGAACTCACTATCATGAGAATAGCATGGGGAAAAACTACCCCCATGATCAAATCACCTCCCACCAGGTCCCTCCCCTGACATGTAGAGATTACAATTTGAGATAAGATTTGGGTGGGGACACAGAGCCAAATCACATTAATGTTCTTTATCGTTGTATTTATTCTAACTCCCACACCTTCTCAGTATTTCCCATCCTCCCTCTCAATACTTAGAGTTCCAACTATAATAAAATTCTTGCAGATATATTCATACCAGTTCAGAGTTTTGGGACTTTATACATGCTAGTCTTTTTATTGGAATGTCTTTTCTTCTAAATCATCTGCAAAATTTTTATTCCATTTTCAAGTTTTAAATCCCTTGGGAAGCATTCTCAGGCTGATTCTAGGTAGAGTTGACTACTCTCACCCATGTGTCTTCAAAATCCGCTATATATCCTTAACATAGCCCTAAGCCACTGGGTATGCAAAGAATTTTTGTGCATCTGATTCCCGTTCTCTCTTTTGAGAGAGCATAGATCATATTTATATAGCTGATATCTGTGATGCTCTGCATAAAATAGTGGTTGCTGGATAGCAACTATTCAAATAATGTTTATAAATTATTTATAAATGTTTCAATATATTAGACCATGCACATAGATGGAAGGCCAAAAAAAAGTGATGTAACGAGGAAAGGTGCTTAAGGCACAGGAATTACATATGAAGAACAAGGAGCCTTGGCATAGAAAGTATTATAAAGAGAAATTTCATGTCCTATATAAACCTTGCCTATTGCAGAAATGACATTTAGACGTGTCTCGTTTCTGTTTAGATAAGACATAGGTTATAAAAATTCACTTTAGACTTAGTAGAATTCTGCTCAGTGTAGATTTCTTGTTTACAATAGAAACAGTGGAGGCAGGCATGTCTCCAGTTATCTAAGCACTCCTGCATCTCAAAGGTCTGAAGGGATTTAAAATGTACATTTATTTTTGGTTGAAAAGAATTCACAGACTTTTGTATGCCAAAAGTTCACCTAATTATGTCAAAAATAGTTTGCAAATGCACACATATCTTTTGTCTTCCTCTATAAAACATAATGAAATAGTCGCAATTTACTTGTAAAGGCTGGCTGTAAAATGAATGATTTTGGTAATTTAGGGAGAATGCAAATCATCAGTACACAATTCATAGCTTGAATATTCTGGACTGTTTGATGACAGAAAACCAGCTCTTCTGATTCTTAGATGTGCGATTACAGGGCAGCTTGAGTCCCAAAACTCCTTGTAGCCTAAGATGTACTCCTACTGAGTGAGCTGTGTCATTGCATCTCTTAAGAAATTTTATTCTTGATCACAATTTAAGTCAGTGCATTATTAATTTTGTTGGCAACTTGATTTGGATATGTCATTGTGGCATTCTTTTTAAGATTCTCTGTAACATTTGCATGAAGGGAGCTAAATGGGCGATGAGAAATACATCTTGAGCAATCACTCAAGAGGCAGTCCTGTTAAATGACTTTCTTGAGTGTTCTCCAATGACTCATGCCATTTTCAGTCATTGAAAGTTATTTTTTAAATTGATTTATCATTTCCACCAACTATTATTGCTATCTCCACAAACCAGACCCAAAGATAGTAGACTGGAGGGGCACATAACATACTAAGACACGAGCTGAGGCAGCCAAGTGAGTGCTGGCACCGGCCCTCTTTGAACCCAGGCAGCACAGCTTGCAGCCCCCAAATAGACCCCTTCCTTCCACTTGAGGAAAGGAGATTGAAGAGTGGGGAGGATTTTGTCTTGTATCCAGGATACCAGCTCAGCCATGGCAGGATTGAGCAATGGTCAGAGTCATGAGTCCCCTGCTCCAGGCCCTAGCCTCCAAATGATATTTCTAGACACACCCTGGGCCAGAAGGAAACCTGCTACCTTCAAGGAAAGGAATCATACCTGGCAGCATCTCCCAGTTAGCAATCCCCCTGCTAACTGAAGAGCCACTGGGCCCTGAATAACCAGTAGTGATACCCAGGTACTACATCGAGGGCATTGGGTGAGTCTCTGAGTCTTGCTGACTTCAGGTGAGACTCAGCACATTAACAGCTGTGGTGGCTATGGGAAAAGTACTCCATCTGCTTGAGAAAAGCAGAGGGAAAAGTAAAGGGGACTTTGTCTTACACCTTAGAGATAGCTTGGCTCTTCAGTTAGCCATACTTGGGTAGAGAACCAAGTAGGTCCTTCAGGTTTCCAATTTCAGGACTGGACTCTTGGACACCATTTTTAGACCTGCGCTAGGCCAGAAGGAAGCCCACTTCCCTGAAGGGTGAGTCCCAGGCCAGGCACGTAAGTATTCATAATTAGAGGCCTTGAGACTTAAGGGAAAATTGGTGGTAGTCTGACAGTACTTCTTGTGGCCTTTGGTGTCAGTGGCTATGGGGTGAGGCACCTCTACCTTTGGAAAGGAGAGGGAAGAATGAGAAGGACAGCCTCTTGTGGTTTGGGCGCCAGCTCAGCCACAATACAATAGATTACCAGAAAGACTTTTAAGGTTTTTGGATCTAGTCCTTGACTCCTGGATAGCACTTCTGGACCCAGTAGGGGCAGGGAGAACCTTGTTGCCCTAAAGTGAAGGACAAAGCCATGGCTGGCTTTGTTAGCTGCTGACTGTAGAGCCCTAGGGCCTTAGGTGAACATTGACAGTAGCCAGGGAGTGGTTACAACAAGAATTGGGTGAGAATTAACACTTTGCTGGCTTTAAGTCTGACCCACTGCAGTCATAGTGCGGGTGGCCATAGGGATGCTTGTGTCACTGCACCCCCACTTTAGGTGGTTCAGAATAGAGAGACTCTGTATGTTTGGGATAAAGTAAGGGAAGAGAAAAATAGTCTATGCCTGGTAATTCAAGGAATTCTTCAAGATTTTGTTTAAGACCATTAAGGCAGTACTCTAGGAGTCTGCAAGAACCACAGCATTATTGGGCTTGGGGTGTCCCTAAAGCAGATACAGCTTAGATAACAAGAGCCAAGTCCTTTCAAATATTGGAAAGCCTTCCCAAGAACAGTTACAAATAAGCCCAGACAGTGAGAACTACAATAAATAGCTAATTCTTCAATGCCTAGACACTGAAAAACATCTACTATCATCAACACCATCCAGGAAAACATGACCTTGCCAAACGAACTAAATAAGTTACCAGGAACCAATCCTGGATAAACAGAGATATGTGATCTTTCAGACAGAGAATTTAAAATAGCTGTGCTGAGAAAGCACAAAGAAATTCAAGATAACACAGAGAAGGAATTCAGAATTTGATCAGATAAATTTTAAAAATAGTTAAAATAATTGAAAAGAGTCAAGCGGTAATTCTAAAGCTGAAAAATACAACTGGCATACTGAAGAATGTATCGGGGTCCTTTAATAGCAGAACTGATCAAGTAGAAGAAAAAATTAGTTAGTTTGAACTCAGGCTCTTTGAAAATACACAGAGGAAACAAAAGAAAAAAAGAATAAAAATCAATGAAGCACACCTACAGAATTTAGAAAATAGCTTCAAAGGGACAAATCTAAGAGTTATTGGTCTTTAAGAGGAGGTAGAGAAAGAGATAAGGGTAGAAAGTTTATTCAAAAGGATAATAACATAGAACTTCCCAAACCTAGAGAAAGATACCAATATTCAAGTAGAAGAAGGTCATAAAACATCAAGCAGATTTAAACCAAAAATAACTGCCTCAAGGCATTTAATAATCAAACTACAAAATGTCAGGAATACGAAAAGGATTCTAAAAGCAGCAAGAGAAAAGAAACAAATAGCATAATTGGAGTTTCAATATGTCTGGCAGCAGATTTTTCCGTGGAAACATTACAGGCCAAGAATGAAAAAAATAATACAAAAGATCAATGAAACAAAAACTTGTCTTTTAAAAAAGTCAAATAAAATTAACAAACTTTTAGCTAGACTAAGAGAAAAAGAAAGAAGATCCAAATAAATAAAATCAGCAGTAAAGAAGGAGACATTACAACTGATACTGCAGAAATTCAAAGGATTATTAGGGGCTACTATGTGTAATGATATACCAATAAATTGGAAAATCTAGAAGAAGTGAACAAATTCCTAGATAAATACAACCTACCAAGATTGAATGAGGGAGAACCTGAACAGTTCTTAAAACCTGAACAGACAAATATCAATTAACGAGATTGGAGCCATAAAAAAATGCCTTCCAGTAAAGAAAAGCCTGGGACCTGATGGCTTCACTGCTGAACTCTATCAAACATTTAAAGAAAAACGAATACTAATTTTACTCAAACTATTCTGAAAATAGATGAGGAGTAAATACATCCAAACTCATTCTATGAAGCCAATATTACCCTGAAATCAAAACCAAGACACCTCAAAAAAAATACTAAAGGCCAATGTAACTGATGAATATTGATGCAAAAATCCTCAACAAACAACTAGCACGCCAAATTCAATAATACATTGTAAGATTATTTATAATGACCAAGTGGGATTTATCCCTAGGATGCAAGGATGGTTTAACATGTATAAATCAATTAATGTGATACATTATATCAACAAAATGAAGAACAAAAACCATATGATCAATTTCAATTGCTGCCGAAAAACCATTTGAATCAACATCTCTTTATGATAATTACCTTAAAAATCTGTAGTATGGAAGGAACATACATCAACATAATAAAAGCCATGTACAATAGACCCATAACTAGTATCATACTGAATGGGGAAAAAGTGAAAGCCTCTCTTCTAAGACCTAAAACACGACAAAGATGCCCTCTGTCACCACTGTTATTCTGCATAGTACTGGAAGTCCTAGCTAGAACAGTCAGACAAGAGAAAGATATAAAGGGCATCCAAACTAAAAAGAAAGAAGTACCATTATCCTTGTTTGCTGGTCATATGATCTCACATTTGGACTCCACCAAAAAACTATTAGAATGGATAAACAAATTCAATAAAGTTTCAGGATACTAAATCAACGTACAATAATCACTAACATTTCTATATACCAACAGTGAATAATGGGAAAAAGAAATTTAAAAAGTAATCCTCTTTATAATAGCCAAACATAATATTAAATACCTAGGAATTAACCAAAGAAGTGAAAGATTTCTCTAATGAAAACTATAAAACATTTATGAAAGAAATTGAAGAGGACAAAAAAAATGGGAAAATATTCCGTGTTCATGGATTGGAAGAATCAATATTGTTGAAATGTCCATACAGCCCAAAGCAATCTACAGATTCAATGTAATCTGTATTAAAATACCAGCAATATTCCTCACAGAAATAGAAAAAAGAAAACAGTTCTAAAATTTATATGGAACCACAAACAGCCGAGAATAGCCACAGCTATCCTAAGCAAAAAGAACAAAGCTGGAGGAATCACATTACCTGACTTCAAATTATACTAAAGAGCTATAGTAATGAAAACAGCATGGTACTGACATAAAAACAGATACATAGATCAATGGACCAGAGTAGAGAACCCAGAAACAAATCCATCTAAGTACAGTGAACTCTTTTTTCACAAGGGTGCCAAGAACCTACAGTGAAAAAAAAAGCCTCTTTACTAAATAGTGCTGAGGAAATTGGACATCCATATGCAGAAGAATGAAACTGTCAGCATTTAAAAAAAATCAAATCAAAATGGATTAAAGTCAAATCTAAGACCACAAACTGTAAAACTACTGCAAGAAAACATTGAGGAAAATCTGAAGGACATTGATCTGGCCAAAGATTTCTTGAGCAATGCACCACAAGTACAGGAAACTGAAGCAAAAATAAACAAGTTAAAAAGCTCTGCACAGCAAAGGATACAATCAACAAAGTGAAGATACAACCCACATAATGAGAGAAAATATTTGCAAACTCCCCATCTGACAAGCGGTTAGTAACCAGAATATATAAGGAGCTCAAACAACTCTGTAGAAAGTCATCTAATAATATAACCAAAAAAAGATCAAAAGGTTTGAATAGGCATTTTTCATAAAAAGACATACAAATGGCAAACAGCCATATGAAAAAGTGCTCAGTGCCATTGATAATCAGAGAAATGCATATCAAAACTGCAATGAGATATTGTCTCACCCCAATTAAAATTTCTTATATCCCAAAAAACAGGCAATAACAAATGGTGGCAAGGATGTGGAAAAAAGGGAACCCCTTATACACTGTTGGTGGGAATGTAAATTAGTACTATCACTATGGAGAAAAGTTTGAAGGGTCCTAAAAAATCTAAACATTGAACTGCCCTATGATCCATCAATCCCACTGGTGGGTATATAACCCAAAGAAAGGAAATCAGCATATTAAAAAGATATCTGCACTCTCATGCTTGTTGTAGCACTGTTTACAATAGCTAAGATTTTGAAGCAACTTAAGTATCCATCAGAAGATAAATGGATAAAGAAAATGTGGTACTTACACATTGGAGTACGAGACAGCCATAAAAAGAGAATGAGATCTCATCATTTGAAACAACATGGATAGAACTGATGATCATTATGTTAATATGAAATGAGCCAGGCACAGAAAGACAAACATTGTATGTTCTCATTTATGGGATGTAAAAATAAAAACAATTGAACTCATTGACATAGAGAGTAGAAGGGTGGTTGCTATAGGTTGAGACAGGTAGTAGGGGGATTGGGGTAAGGGGAGATTGTTAATGATTCCAAAAAAAAAAAAAAAAGAATGAATGAATAAGACCCACTATCTGATAGCACAATAGGTGACTATAGTCAATAATAATTGTGCACTTTAAAATAAAGAATGTAATTGGGTTGTTTGGAACTCAAAGAATAAATGCTTGAGGGAATAGATACTTTATTCTCCATGATGTGCTTATTTCACATTGCATGCCTATATCAAAACTTCTCATATACCTCATCAATATATACACCTACTATGTACCCACAAAAATAAAAAATAAAATAAAGTCATTTCTTATTTGTTGCTTCCTGTTTACTGGGTATTTTCTCCCATCCTACCTATATGGACAAAAAAAAAAAAAAAACACTTTCTTATTAAACACATTTTTCCCTTACATGTCATTGAAAATTGACAAATTATATAATATAATCATATTTCTTTTGTTGTTGTCATTGTTTTGAGATGGAGTCTCTCTGTGTCCCCAGGCTGCAGAGCAGTGGCTTGATCTTGGCTCACTGCCACCTCTGCCTCTGGGATTCAAGCGATTCTCCTGCCTCAGCCTCCCGAGTAGCTGGGGCTACAGGCGCCCGCCACCACGCCTGGCTAATTTTTTGTATTTTTAATAGAGACGGGGTTTCACCGTGTTGGCCAGGATAATCTCGATCTCCTGACCTCATGATTTGCCCGCCTCGGCCTCCCAAAGTGCTGGGATTACAGGTGTGAGCCACCGTGCCAGCCCCAATATAGTCACATTTCTTGCCAGTATGTATAGACATATTTGTGACATTTATTTTTACATAGATATTTACAAGCAAGTAGTATAAAATGAAGGAAAAAAAGATGAGTATCAACATCATGCTGAAAAATTTATAGTATTAAGAATGAGACCAGCCGGGTGCGGTAGCTCATGCCTGTAATCACAGCACTTTGTGAGGCCGATGCGGGCAGATCAGGAAGTCAGGAGATCAAGACCATCTTGGCTAACACGGTGAAACCCCATCTGTACTAAAAATACAATAAAAAAAGAAAAAGAAAAAGAAAAAAAAATTAGCCGGGCGTGGTGGCGGGCGCCTGTAGTCCCAGCTACTCTGGAGGCTGAGGCAGGAGAATGGCGTGAACCCGGGTGAGCCGAGATCGCGTCACAGCACTCCAGCCTAGGCGACAGTGCAAGACTCCGTCTCAAAAAAAAAAAACAAAAACAAAAACAAAAAAGAATGAGACCTAGATCCATCTTTAATGAATCCATGACCTTAAAACGTTAAAGTTTCTGAGCTACAATTTTCTAATTGTTGAAGAGTATTGTAGTACCAGTAGCTGTGATAACAAAGATGCCCTGAAATTGATTTATTAAAAAATTAGTATAAAATGGTAGCTGTTTTCATTTTTACATTTGCTATTTTATTTGCCTTTATTCATAAATCTCTCTTTGATAGACAGCAATAAGCTAGAAGTTATGCAATCACTTCCTAACTGCGTTATATCCCCTAAACGTGAGCAGCTAAGGCACATTATATACCACCAGGTATTGAATATACCACAAGGAATTAAGGGAATTTTCACAAGCCTTGGAGCCAGGCAAAGTGAGCATACAGAAATTATTATTTGATTTACAAGAATGCTCAAATAATGAGTATTCTATTTTAAGTCTTTACTAATTTTTTTTAAAAAAGAAGAAATAATTACTTGGTTTAAATGGTGGCTATGAAAAAGAGTTCCAATGTATCTATTTCTATTGGTAATTAGAACTCATTGAATCTAACAAAATACTGCTTTGGTGAATAAGAATTATTGTATATCTTATATCTATAAAGAACATTTAATTCTCATTGTAATTGATTTAATGATAAATTGTAGGGCATGGTAATACATTATTGATGATATCAAGATTCACGGTAGAATTTATTTATTTAAAGCCAAAACACACTAATTGTTTTTTATTTACTCAGGCATTTGGTAGTTATTAGACACAATATATTGACTAATACTTATGTTTTCTTTTGGTATTGATAGTACTGGTTCCCCAGTTAGTATTTTCTAGGAATTACTTCTATCCATTACACAAGGATATTGTATTTTTAATAGAATGTGACTCTGGCACTCACTCCTGCCTTCTGTTACTCCACATTTGGATAATTAAACAAAATGTGGAAAGAATTTCTGATCTAGGATTATTAAACTTGGTCCAAGAGTATATAGTAAAGCTCTTTCCAGCAATTGAAGTTGTGAGATGCAAAATTCAAACACCATAAGAGGACGTGTTTTCATTATAAAGAGAAAGTCTGCATGAGTGAAAACAATGAAGTGTATTCAAAGAAAAAAATGATAATAAGGAAGATAAAGTCTTAGCTTTGTTCAAGTTCCTGGCCCAGTTGTTCTGAGGATTAGCTGTGTCTGTAAAATTTCAGCTACAATGTTATTCGCCATTATATTTCTATTTAATGCAATATCCTTCAATGCATTAAAAGATACATTGAATTTTTCTAGTTGCAATTAAGACTCCAGTTAACATTTGTACTTAAAATTCCTCTTATATTTGGAGAAAAACAACAACAACAAAATACTGTTATTTTGAATGGAGATAAGTAATTCTTACTTATTTCAAAAAGGATTTTAAGTTATTTGATGGACTCAGTAAATTAACACTGGAAGTCCCTCTGTGAGGACTTACTATATGATTGATTGTATTACAATTAAAAATATTCTTTACAACTTCATAAATAGAAAACATCTACAGATGTCTCAATTGGAAAATAAAATATAAAGCTAAACAAAACAAAAGAAGCAAAACTAATTTGAGTGGTTCCCCCCCAAACATTCCCCCTTTCTTATACATGAATCCTCTAAGTATGCTCAAATACAATATCAAATGTTAATAATTCAATATATCACCATTAGCTGTAGTTGCCTTGTTGTGTAATAGGTCTCTTGACATTTATTACCTCTAACTGTACTTATGTACCCTTTGATCTTCCCATTGCTCCATCTCCCCTAATCACCAAAGCCTCTGGTAGTTAATGATGATATAATATATTCTTGAAAAATGTAAAGAGAGTGATTGTTATGTGCTCTCACCACAAAAATAACTATGTGATGTAACGTATTTGTTAGCTAGCTAGATTTAACCATTCCACAATGTTTATATACTTCAAAAATCATGTTGTACACAATAAAAACATACACTGTTAGTGTATCAGCTGGGCGTGGTGGCTTACTCCTATAATCCCAGAGCTTTGGGAGGCTGAGGCGGGTGGATCGCCTGAGGCTGAGGCAGGTGGCCTGGCCAACATCGTGAAACACCATCTCTACTAAAAATACAAAATTAGCCGTATGTGGTGGCACGCCTGTAGTCCCAGCTACTTGGGAGGCTGAGACAGGAGAATCGCTTGAAGCCGAGAAGTGGAGGCTTCAGTGAGCCAAGATCTCACCACTGCACTCCAGCCTGGGCAAGACAAACCAAGCCTCCATCTCAAAAAAAGAAAAGAAAACAAAACAAAACAAAACAAAAAAACAAAACAAACAAACACAATTCACTGTTATCTGTCAGTTAATTTGTTTTTATTAATGAAGGTTGCAGATAGAAATAAGATTGCTATTCGTCTGGCCTTATGACTTCTGACATAAAAAGATAGGCATGTTGGCACATGCCTGTAACCCCACCTACTGAGGAGGCTGAGGCAGAAGAATCACTTAAGCCCAGAAATTCAAATCCAGCCTGAGCAACATAGTGAGACCCTATCTTAAAAATAAACCAACCAACAAACAAACAAAACTGTTGAAATACAGAACTACAAGAAGAGATGATAAATTTATTTTTTTAAGAAACTAACTTTGTAGTAATTTATTATGGAAACCACAGAACACAGATACAACCAGATAGCTTAGAAGTATTTATAGAAAAATTTGAGTAGTAACTTTTTTGGAAGTTAATCTTTTCTCTAATACTCAATGATTTAAAAAAATCACTTTATTAAACCTTGTTAATATTTAAATTGGTACATTTTAATACAGTGTGGTAAGAATGATGGTGTTATAGAGAGTTTTAAACATTGACTTCACAGAGATAAACACAATTTAAATGTATAACATGTTTTGTCAGAGGAATTATGGAATTTAAAAAACAAGACACCTAATTCAGATTTGCTGGACAGAAAAGATTACTGAAATAAACAGAAATCTAAGCAGGAACCCAAAGGATGATTAAATCTGAGTTTATCATATGAGTGGGGACAAAGTGTTGAAAGAGTAAACTATATATGAAAAAGACTGGAATTTTAAGTAACACATGAAGGTCAAGAAGTGAGAAATTCAAAATAATTATATGTAAAGTGTCAAGGTAAGTTGCCCATATTAGGACTAATTTAAAGAAATACTTATTGAGAGCTTAAATTTTTTTCATACCACTAGTCTTTGTGACTTTATGGTTAATCATCTATAGATCAGATAAACATGAGGAGAAATAGCTAATTGGCATTACAAGTAAAAGATCATGAAGTTACCCAGTTCTCCTGACTACAAGCAATTCATTCTAACTCATATTATCTATATTTCCAAACAAGTATCAGTAGAGTACTGTGTCATTTTGCCTATTTTAAGAAACTGATGCCACCAAATTTATTTCTTTATAAACAAAATCAAGGCACATAATTACAATTTCAGAGACTTCGATCACATTAGCTATTCTGAAAACTTACATCATCATTCTGGAAACACCACTTGCCACGCACACACAAAAATAGTAACCCATTAAATTTGTAAGACCCAAAATACCTGAAACATCTGCCTTTTAAGGGGTTGAACTTGCAGAAGAATTTACACAGAAGATACACTTAAATGACAATCCATCATCAACACTAACCCAAACACATTAAGTATTTTTATATATGCTTTAAAATGTCAGTAAAGATGACTCATCCCTTGGAAGCTACTACCAGTGGAGACTGTCTTGCTTTAACTTTCTCTCTTTCATGGTTCACTTTTCTATGACCAGATGTTATTATAGCAACAGACATTATAATAAACCATTTACAGAATATCCCAGAGTACTTTATAAACACTGATTTCCTGGAGAATGATTTTCAATTTTGTGCATGTTCTTTGTATCTTTAAAGTCTTGAGTCAGACTCATCCATATGTCCACCTATCACAGCCACCTGATAGTCAAAATGTGTAAGTTAGTATCAAAATTGATGTTGCAAGTGTAAACTGAAAGGAAATAACATTATAGAGTTTACTTTTAAAGATCATGTGTCTTCAGGCAAATGTAAAATTGGTGCACTATATTAGTCATAAGCACTATTAGTTATAAGCACTATATCAGCAGCAAGAAATCAAACAACTTTAACGTGGCAAAATTTGGGCAATCTGACACTTGGACATGAATTTCCCTTTAACAACCTCTATTCTATCCACAACAATATCTTTCTTTATCATATTTTCAGTACCCTACCAGAGCCAGTTAAATGGAAAATTGTAAAAATGTTTTTAGGGCAGTTAATGCTTTCTCTCCCACTTTTCCAAAGCTCTCTTCTTGCTAGTCCTCATCCCTGGATAGTAGGAGTTATATACGTACTCTTTTCTTCCTTTAGAAAAACACAAGGAACAATTGTTCATGAATACCTTTCTTCTTTCATTTCAGGGTTTTTTTTTTTGGTTCAGCTATATCTAAATAATTTGTAATAATTTGTCTTACCAATAAGCAAGTTTGTTTTTGTGAACAGTTGTGCCAAGTATGACATTGTGGCAAAATTACCTCATTTGCAATGGCTGATATCATGAGAATATTGACCTTTTATTAGAAGCCAAAGTTGGTGTATTACCTTAACAATATCAGTAGGAAACCCAGGCTGTTTCTACACATCCATGCCTCTATCCACACTGAGAGCTTTGAATCGCAGACTTGCCATCTGATTACAAAATGGCTGGTAGAGTTCCAGACATGCCATCAAAAAAATAACAACCAAGCAGTAAGGAAAAGACAAGAGCAAAAGGCATCTATCACATTTACAAGAAAGAACAGATTTTTCAGCAAAAAGTCTTCTGCCATGCATATACACACACTGTCCAGTAGAATATTCATACATCTTATTAGCAAGAGCTGCCACATACTTAACTTGAATTAAGCTCTGGATAAGGATAAGTCATTATTTTTGGTTAACAATCATGATCCAACCCCAGGAGAAAAGTGGTAGTGGCTATCTGATAAAATTTGTCAAATATAGTTTGCAGTTTTGTGCAAAATGTTCAACATAGACAATGATGTCTATGCATGTATTTATGTGCAAGAAAACAGGGAGTCAAGGTAGAAGGGAGATAGGTGGGCATGAGAGAGCATGAAAGAGAGACAGAGAGAGATAGAAAAAAGAGAGATTTGATTTATAATACTCAATATTCAGAATAATATAATTGTATAAATAACAATATCATTTATATTCTCAATTATATTATTCAGTCTGTAATACTCAAGTATTCAAAATAATATGATATGGTTTGGCTCTGTGTCCCCAGCCAAATCTCACCTTGAATTGTAATAATCCCCACATGTCAAGGACAGGACCAAGTGGAGATAATTGAATCATGGGGGCAGTTTCCCCTATGCTCTTCTCATGATGGTGAGTGAGTTCTCACAAGATCTGATGGTTTTATAAGGGGCTTCCCCCTTCGTTTGGCACTGGTTCTCTCTCTGGAAACTGTCTAAAGAGCTGCCTTCTGCCATGATTATGTGTTCTGAGGGCTCCCCAGCCATGCAGAACTGTGACTCAATTAAACCTTATTTTCTTTATAAGTTACCCAGTCTTGGGTATTTCTTCATAGCAGTGTGAGAACAAACTAATACAGTAAATTGGTACCACAGAGAGTGGGGCGCTGCTGTAAAGATACTGGAACATGTGGAAGCAACTTTGGAAGTGGGTAACAGGCAATGGCTGGAATACTTTGGAGGGCTCAGAAGAAGACAGAAAAATGTGGGAAAGTTTGGAACTTACTAGAGACTTGTTGAGTGGCTTTGACAAAAATGCTAATAGTGATATGAACAATGAAGTCCAGGTTGAGGCGGTCTCAGATGGAGAGGAGGAACTTCTTGAGAACTGGAGTAAAGGTGGCTCTTGCTATGTGAAGAGACTGGTAGCATTTTGCCCCAGCCCTAGATATCTGTGGAACTTTGAACTTGAGAGAAGTGATTTAGGGTATCTGGAAGAAAAATTTCTAAGCCTCAAACTGTTCAAGGGATGACTTGAGTGCTGTTAAAAGCATTCAGTTTTATGTATTCACAAAGATATGGTTTGGAATTGGAATGTATGTTTAAAAGAAAAGCAGAGCATATAAGTTCAGAAAATTTGCAGTCTGAGGATGCAATAAAAAAAAACCTCATTTTTGGCAATAAATTGAAGCCAGCTGCAGAAATGTGCATAAGTAGCAAGGAACCGAATGTTATGCATCAAGACAATAGGAAATATGTCTTCAGGGCATGTCAAGAGACCTTCACAGCAACCCCTCCCATCACAGACTTGGAGGCCTAAGGGGAAAAAATTGTTTCTTAGCCCAGGTCCAGGGCCCCCCTGCTGTGTGAAGCCTTGGGACTTTGTGCCCTGTGTCACATCTGCTCCAGCTATGGTTAAAAGGGGCCAAGGTACAGCTCAGGCCATTGCTTCAGAGGGTGTAAACCCCAAGCCTTGGCAGCTTCCATGTGGTGTTGGGCCTGCGGGTGTGCAGAAGTCAAGAGTTGAGGTTTGGGAACCTCCACCTAGATTTTAGAGGATGTATGAAAACACCTGGATGTCCAGGCAGAAGTTTGCTGCAGGGGTGGAACCCTTATGGAGAACCTCTTCTAGGGCAGTGTCGAAGGGAAATGTGGGGTTGGAGCACCACACTGGGACACTGCCTGGTGGAGCTGTGAGAAGAGGTACATTGTCCTTCAGACCCCAGAATGGTAGATCCACCAACAGCTTGTACCATGCACCTTGAAAAACTGCTAACACTCAACACGAGCCTGTGAAAGCAGCCAGGAGGGGGACTGTATCCTGCAGGACCATGGGGCAGAGCTGCTCAAGTTCATGAGCACCCACCTCTTGCATCAGTGTGACCTAGATGTGAGACATGGAGTCAAAGGAGATCATTTTGGAACCTTAAGGTTTAATGACTACTCTGTTAGATTTCAGACTTGCATGGGACTTGTAGCCCCTTTGTTTTGTCCAATTTATCCCATTTGGAATGGGTGTATTTACCCAATGCCTGTATCCCCATTGTATCTAGGAAATAATTAACTTGATTTCATTTTACAGGCCCATAGGTGGAAGGGACTTGCTTTGTCTTAGGTGAGACTTTGGACTGTGGACTTTTGAGTTAATGCTGAAATAAGTTAAGACTTTGGGGTACTGTGGGAAGGGCATAATTATGTCTTGAAATGTGAGGACATGAGATTTTGCAGGGGTCAAGGGCAGAGTGATATAATTTGGTTCTGTGTCCCCACCCAAATCTCATCTTGAATTGTAATAATCCCTACATGTCAAGGGCAAGAACAGGTGGAGATCATTGAATCACATGGTGGTTTCCTTCATGCTGTTCTTGTGATGCTGACTGAGTTCTCACAAGATCTGATAGTTTTATAAGGGACTTCCCCCTTTACTAAGCACTCAGTCTCTTTCCTGCCTCCCTGTGAAGAGATGGCTTCCACAATGATTATAAGTTTCCTGAGGCCTCCCCAGCCATGCGGAACTGTGAGTCAATTAGACCTCTTTTCTTTATAAATTACCCAGTCTCAGATATTTCTTCGTAGCAGCTTGCAAGCAAACTAATACATGATATAATTGAGAATATCTTCCTTATGAAGGATTATGTTAGCACTTGAAAGACACAAATCAGAAGGGAAGGTGTAAATGTTTGAATTTTCTTTACTTCTGATAACACCAGTGGGTTTGATATTTAATACAATGTGAGAAATACTATTTTACTGGTAAATGAGAGGTGTTCAAGGAATGTGAGTTGACTGACAATATGGTAGAAGCAGTCTCCATTAAATAGATTGTATGAATGCATAAAAAGCAATATAATCTTTTGAAATGGCACTGAATGCTTAGGATATCAATTGTTTCAAGGTAAATCAGTAACAGGAAATTATTCACCTCTTCTAAAAAGTATGTTCTGGATTATATATTTAAATAATTGATCCTTCTTATCTAAGTTATCAAATTTGCAAGCATAGTATTTTTATCATATTTTAAATGAAATTAAAGGTTCAAGAGTCATCTGTTTCTGATATAATACACATTAAGGACTATTTTTTCTTCTTAAGTAATTGACTTTTTATGGTTATTTAATGCCTCTTCATATTCCAGAACATTTTCCTTGTTCTGAAGTCTGATTTATCTGAAATTAAATAGCTACTTAAATAGCTACTCCAGCTTTTATTTTCTTTCTTATTTTATTTATTTATTTATTTATTTTTGACATGGAGTCTCGCTCTGTCACCCAGGCTGGAGTGCAGTGGCATGATCTTGGCTCACTGCAACCTCTGCCTTCTGGGTTCAAGTGATTCTCCTGCCTCAGCCTCTGGAGTAGCTGAGATTACAGGCTTGCGCCACCACACCCAGCTAATTTCTGTATTTTTGGTTGAGACGGGGTTTCATCATGTTGGTCAGGTTGGTTTCAAACTCCTGACCTGATCTGCCCGCCTTGGCCTCCAAAAGTGCTGGGATTACAGGCATGAGCCACCGTGCCTAGCCCAGCTTTTTTTTTTTTTTTTAAATTTGTTTTAGCATGATTTGTCTTTCTCTATCCAATCACTTTTTATTCCATCTATGTTTTTATATTTGAAGTGGGTTTCCTGTAGATAACACATAGTTGGATCTTATGTTTGTATCTATCATGATGTTATTTGTCTGTTTTTAAAATTCATATTGTACTATTTACATTAAGAGTGATTATTGTCATCATTGGATTAGTGTCTATTATTTGTAACTGTTTTCCATTCATTGCCCTTATTGTTTCTTTTTTGTTTTCTATATTTTTCTGCCTCCGCTGCTTTCAATTTTGCCTTTGTATAATTTCATTTTATTTCCTCTTTTATTATAACAATTGTATTGTTTCAAAAAATTTAATGAGTTTTTTACAATTTACAATATACATTTATAACTAATCTGAGTCCCCTTTCAAATAACTATGTCACCTCACTGTTAGTGTAAGTATCTTACAACAGAGCATTCCAAATTTTACCCTATCAAACCTAATAACACTGCAGTCATTTACTTCATTTATCCATACTCTGTAATCACCACATATATTGCTGCTACCTTGAACAAATTGTTATCTGTTAGGTCAATTAAAAATATAAATTAATTTTTTTAATTTTAACTGTATTTCTTCTCTAATTTTTTTTTTCTTTAGGTACATCCACACTTCGGACCTATATTATTTTCCTTCTCTGTCAAGGACTTCTTTTAACATTTCTCACAAGACATGTTTACTGGTCACAATTTCCCTTATTTTTTGTTTATCTTAGGAAGTCTATTGTCCTTACTTTTGAAGGATAATTTCACTGGATAGAGAACTCTAGGTTAGTGGAGTTTTGTTTTTGGTTTTCAACACTTCTCTTTAAACATTTAACTCTATTCCCTCCAAACTCACTGCCGCCTGAAATTCCTGGGCTCAAGCAGCCCTCTTACGACAGCCTCTGCAGTAGTTAGGACTACAGGCATAAGCCATCATTCCTGAGTAGTTTTTCTTTTTCTTTTTCTTTTTTTTTTTTTTTTTTTTTGAGGCAGAATCTCACTATGTTGCCCAGGCTGGTCTGGAACACCTGGCTTCAAGTGATCCTCCTGCCTTCCACAGCACTGGAATTTTAGGTGTGAACAACCCTGTTGAGCTAATAACCCTCATGGTTTCTGACAAAATACTTAATGTAATTCTTATCCTTGTTTCTCTATAAGTAGGGTGTTTGTTTATTTGTTTTCTCAACTTCTTCAAGATTGTCTCTTTGCTCTGATTTTATGCAGGTTGAAAATAATATGTCTATGTGTATGTTTTTAGTACTTATTCTGCTTGGTGTTCTCTGAGCTTGTTTGATCTGTGATTTGGTGTTTGTCATTAATTTTGAAAATTTCTCGGCCGGGCGCGGTGGTTCAAGCCTCTAATCCCAGCACTTTGGGAGGCCGAGGCGGGTGGATCACGAGGTCAGGAGATCAAGAGCATCCTGGCCAACATGGTGAAACTCGTCTCTACTAAAAATACAAAAAAATTAGCCGGGCATGGTGGCAGGGGCCTGTAGTCCCAGCTACTCGGGAGGCTGAGGCAGGAGAATGGCGTCAACCCGGGAGGCGGAGTTTGCAGTGAGCCGAGATCACATCACTGCACTCCAGTCTGAGCGACAGAGCGAGACTCCGTCTCAAAAACAAACAAACAAAAAAAACAAACAAACAAAAAAAAGAAAATTTCTCAATCATTACTACTTATTTTTTCTGTTTCTCGCCTATGATATCTTTATTACATCCATGTTATACCTTTTGGAATTAACCCATATTTCTTGGATATGCTCTTCTGTTTTCATTCATTTGTCTTTTGCATTTCAGTTTTGCAAATTTCTATTAACACATCTTCAAGTTCCTTTTTTTTCAAGTTTCCACACATAGGGTAGATCAATGATTCGTTTCTTTGTCTGTGGCCAGTCCACTGATGATACCACCAAAGACATTGTTCATTTCTGTTATGATGTTTTTAATTTGGGGTATTTTGTTTTGATTCTATTTTACATTTCCCATCTCTCTGTTACATTAGCTATCTATTCTAGCATGTTGTTCATTTTTTCCATTAGAGATTTTGATATATGTGTGAGTTGTTTAAACTTTTCAGTTTAATAATTTCAAAGTTTCTGCCATATTTAAGCCTGGATCTAATGCTTGCTTTCTTTTCTTTTCAAACTGTGCTTTTTGTCTTTTAATATGCCAGGTAATTTTTTGCTAAAAGTGGGCATGCTAGCCGGGTGCAGTGGCTCACGCCTGTAATCCCAGCACTTTAGGAGGCAGAGGCGGGAGGATCATGACGTCAGGAAATCGAGACCATCCTGGCTAACACGGTGAAACCCCGTCTCTACTCAAAATATGAAAAAATTAGCCGGGCGTGGTGGCGGGTGCCTGTAGTCCCAGCTAGTCGGGAGGCTGAGGCAGGAGAATGGCTTCAACCCGGGAGGCGGAGCTTACAGTGAGCCGAGATCGTGCCACTGCACTCCAGCCTGGGCGACAGAGCAAGACTCCGTCTCAAAACAAAACAAAACAAAACAAAACAAACAAAAAAAAGTGGGCATGCTGTAACTGAGTTATAGAAACTAACAAAGACATGACTTGAGTGTGAGGTTTTCTGTTTATCTAGCTAGGAGTTAGGATTCATTTATTCTTTGTTATAGCTGTAGTGTAAGAAACTAAAAGTTTTCCTAGTGTTATTGTTTTAGTGTCCTTTGTATTTGGGTTTTCTCTGGGACTCTTTAAATAAGCTCTAACCCCTTGCTATTATACAGGAGCTCTGTTGTTGTGACGATATGGCATGTGTGAGTCGTGGTGGTGGAGGTAACATTGTGTAGTCCTCCAATTAGGTTTTAGTGAGCCTAAGTTGGGTATTTCTCTCTTTCTAAATTGAAGGCTAGATGGGGTAAGGGTTGGATATTTCTCTTCCCCTAGGTTGCTCAGGTTTTGGTAAAACTCAGATTGTTTTGGCAATGCTAAAATAGTTTCTTTTGACGGTAGGCCTGACTAAGGAGAACAGAGAGCTCTGTGAGTATATAAAAATGATCACTTTTTTGCATTGGCTTTTCTATTGCTATAGTTTCGGGGTAACAAGTTGTCCTGTGGCATGAATTCTCTAATGTATCTGATAAAAGTTGTTGACATTCTGTTTATTTAGCTTCTTTCTTCTTCTAAGAAGAACAAGAATGCCTTCCAAGCTCTTAATGTAATTTTAGTATTAAAAATTCTCATAAATGTATAAAATTATCCCATGATAATCGTACATTTTATAAAAAATAAAATTTAAGACAATTTTTTTGAAAAAGTAGAGTTACTATGGATTTCTGTTTGATAGGAGTTTGTGTAATTGTCTAAGAAAAGAGAATAAGCAACTGTGGATTGAAGTATATAAGACAGTAAATTATATATGTCATTCTTCACAAGAACCTCTATGAGCTTTGAAGAAGAGTACTTCATGTGAGAAGAACATGTCATGAGAGACATGTTTATTGAGAATGTACCCCATGTTTGACATGCATATGGATTTGATGACCATTTTTAATCTCTTGGTTCACTTCAGCAAGTTGTGCTGTGCATACACTAGGTCTCTTCTAGGCATCAGGAATTCAAGAATAAAGAACTCCCAAATATTCCACATTCTTTTGTTTTTACATACCAGGTGGCTGAAAATATTGGCTTATCTTGTGTGATTTTATTAGAGAAACATGACTAGCCAAGCTGCCAGTGTTGTAGACTATAAACTATATGTTTAACATATTTCAAAATTAAAAATGCACATATTCTTTTATTTGGAAATTCTATTTTTACAAAGTCAGTTATATCAATGCATTAGCTTATGTGCAAAAGATCTATGCTTAAAAATAATCACAAAAATTGGAAACCGCCTCCAACTTAATGTAAAACTATTACAAACAAACTAGTATTAATTTACAGCAGCCTTGCCAGGTAGTCCATGACAAATATAACTTTTTTAAGAAAGAAATTGAAGTACAGAGAGATAGATGAAGTAATAGCTAAGTACTGCAAAGACTGTACCCTGGTCTCCTATTCTTAAATGAGTACATCAGATTGTGTTATCACAAATTGTGTTCATTTAATTCTGCCTATTATTTCTGTTTTAGTAATTTTCTTTTCTCTGTACTTGAATTTCTAAATTTTATTTTAAAATGTAAATTGACAAACTGTAGTTGTATATATTTATGGGGTGAAAAGTGATGTTATAATTTATGAATAAGATGTGGAATAATTAAATCAAGCTAATTAACATATCCATCACATCAAATATTTATTGTCATGAGAATTTTTGAAAGTTACTCTCTTAGCAATTTTGAAATGTAAAATATATTATTTACTATATTCATCATGTTGTGTAATATGTCTCAAAAAAAAATTCCTGCTGTCTAATTGAGGATTTATATCCTTTGGTCATTCCCCCCACCCTCCTTCCTCTTGTAACCACCATTCTGCTTTTTGTTTTCTTTTAGTTCTACTGTTTTACTTGCATTTATAAGTCTTTCATTATTCTTTCTCTTTCAGTGTCCTTATATTAATGTTATTGTATTTAAGCATAATAAATGTGGGTTTTTACTCTACTTCAAACTTTCTTTGAGTACATCCTAACATTCTAGAAATATATGGTAATTTCTGATAACAATAATTATTAAATTTATTTCCTTAATATTATTTGTCCTTGAAATGTTTAGATTAACAATGATTCACACTTTGGAAAAGTAGCATTTTATTTGACATTTTCAAAGAGCAGAGAGTCTTTCGCCTACTAACCTTTAAAAAAAAAGATGAAGTTTAGGCTTGTTGATGTCATTTGACTACTGTAATCATTTCAGCAGTGACCCTTTCTACTTTAATGAACCCTTACGTTTAATCTGAACAAAACTGGCATGTTCCTTGCATTTTTCTAATACATTGTTTTTAAGAATTTTGTTTTTTTTCATTGTTTTCTTTACCTGGAGCTGTGTCGAACATTTTTTTAAGGGTGAACCAATTTCTACTGTATAACATAACACAGAGAATGTGTTAGAACAGTATTATATGACACAGAATTCACTTGGGATAAAGCTTTCTTTACATTATGCCAGGGCAACAAGTTCTTTTAGGTTAAATGACCATGAAGTAAGACAAAATGCTAACTCTTATTGGAGTGAGCTGGGGATAGTAGACACAGTCTATTTATGATATTTTCTCTATAGGTTAATGTGAAAAACCACTTGACAAAGTGCTGCTTTCTTTTCAAGAAACATTTCAAATTAAATATTCTGAACTAATAAATTTAATATAGTTCTTTTCACTAGACTTCTTACAATGTTGACTTTTGAATGTTACACTCAAACTTTTAGTCTCTAGCTGAGAAAAAGGCCAATGGGATTTGGAAATTTACAAGCGAATTATCATGATAGTAGTAGTAAATAATAAAACTCTAAAGAGACATAAATAAATTTAATATATCAAAGATTTTAAGTAAATGTGTATTTTAAATAATACTATGTTCAAGTTTTTGTTTACCAAATTAGAAGCTGAAATAACATAATGTGCCAAATCGCATATTCCAAAAATGACCACAGCCGTATTTCAGTTCACAAATTTTTAGAACCTTGTCACCACACATTAAATGGTGTCTATTTCTCCTCCTTTTGAATCTGGGTGAGACATAATGACTGTTGCAATGAATAGAATGTGCTGAAATAGATAATGCTGGGTGACTTTCAAGGATAGGTAAAAACCAAAAACAATAAAAGTACAGGTCTCTCTCTCTCTCTGTCTCTCTCTCTTTCTCTTTCTCCTCTCTTCTCTCTCTTTTTATGACTGCTAGTACTTGGAATCCACACACCATGTTTTGAGGACGCTCAGGCATAGTAAGCCTGTGTATAGTTCCTCCACCTGACAGAAAAGTTTCGGTTCACAGTCAGCCTCCAACATTACACATGTAAATAATGAGCCCTTATATGATTTCAACCCCTAACCTTTGTCCCTATTAGTCCTGTGCAAATGGCAGATGGATGTTTGTTATTGTTTTAAGCCACTGCATTTTGGGGTAATTGGTTAGGTAGTCGTAGTAACCAGAAGAAAGAGCAACAGGCATTCTTATTGTTTCCCTGCTCTTCCAGAATATGAACAAACTCCAGAAAGGCAAAACCAAAATATGTCTTATTCATAGCTGCTTCTCCAGGGTTTGGTAAATACTAAAAAAAAAAAAAAAAAAAAAGAAAAAATCAGGTAAATTAATGAATAGAATTTTGACTAAACTGTTTCATAATGAAGCTTACAAGAATGTTGTGATGCCTCTCAGAGTCTTGCCTGCCTTGAAATGCCTTAAATATTTATGCTAGAAAGAAAGATTTTGTTTACTATCACAAATTGGATGTGTCTTAGAATCCAAGGAAATTGCTGGAAACCATAGATTAATAATAGCCATAAGAGGCTGATAACTCACCCTCTCTCATGTTCTCATTAGCCCCGGAACATAATTTGTTCTTGCTCAGGAAGCAACTTCTCAGTGATTTGCCTTCTTCAAACCCTCACAAAACTTTTCCCCTCTTCTTGAAAGGGGACACTGCTTAAGCTTTCTCACTTACCCACCTGTTCACACTGTAAATATATGAAAGTGTGTTTTCACATTTTTAATGTGGTTTGCTTTTGGGTGATTAATTTAAACTTATTGCATGTTATTTTTAATACTTTTCAAATTTAGAAGACAATAGTGACATAGAAAGGGTTGCAATGAATCTATGTTGTCCCTGCTCTGCTGTCTCACCCAGATTTCTTTGGGAATGAGGCAATTTAGGCATTATTAGTATTTTCTATAGATGTTAAGTAGCATTTGAACATCTGTCCTCCATCTTAAAGCTCTCATTCTTCTATTATATGTAGAACAAGTGGTTTCTTTCATTTTTATTGATGAATCAGCCTACACAGCTGCCTTTTCTGCTCTAACTTACTTCTACAGTGTTGACCTTTGCTAGATTTTGTCACTGTTACTTCATTCACACCTATTTACCCTATCACCAGGTGGTTTTAGTTGGCAGACCTTTCTAAAGGTTAGGTAGTAGCAGAATGTAATTATCATATGGTGCTGGAAATAACTTTAGTTTTTTGTAAAGATGAGGTCTCAATATGTTGCACAGGCTGGTCTTGAATACTTGGCTTCAAGTGATCCTTCCACCTTGGCCTCCAAAACCGTTGGGATTACAGGGATGAGCTACCATTTCCCATGGGAAAATAACTTTAAATCCAATGTTAGGCATCACTTTTTCTAGAAATACATCATGCATGTCCTAAGAAAGGTAATTTTTCACTGCCTATTCGTTTTCTTCTTGCTCCAGACCCTTGTCATCTTGCCAAGGCCTTTCTTTCCTTTTCCTCTGCTAATCCCCAGACCAAACTCGAGTTTTCTTATTAAGCAGAGAATTTCAGTTTTCCTTCCCTTAAACATGTCTAAACTATATATAATCATCTGCAAATCCACAAATTATTATTATGGTTTTCAGCTTATCACTAAGTGTGAGACTGACTTTGTGGGTGTCTGAATGCTTTAGAAACACACAAGAAAAAAAACTTTCCATGGCTTTGAGGAAAAATAAATGGTACTTTCTAGAGAAAAAAGAGGGATGCCAATCTCTTTCTTTGAGGCAAAACAAATGGCAATGATGTCATCAATAAAGTACGGAAATGTATGTTCTGTTTATTTTGTTCTTCTAGTGCACTGTCAAGTATATTGAGTGCAGTAAATATCTAAAAAATAGTAAACAACTAAAAGATAAGGATGTTTTGAAATACACTAGAAATTTACTTCATAATTCCTGTTAAAACTAGTATCATTGAAGAGTTCCATTGAGTAGGAACTGATTAATGAATTCTTAATATGTAATTATTTATCAGCTAAAAATTTGAGAAAGAAAAATAATTTTTGGAATTTTTTCTAAATATAGATATACTTTATGGAAATATATATAATTTATATATAAAAATTAGTTAAAATATGAGCGGATTCTATAGTTTGAAAACAGACTTCATTTATACAAGCATGATAGTGTTCTAAAATATGTATCTTGAGTTGCTTTTATTAATATCTGAATGTAGGAAATGAGGAAAGCACTAGCTGGCCTACAGTTGTGTAACTATCACCCTTGCTCTTTAATACACCAAATTAGAGCTCTTTTTATGCATGGATCTAATCTCTGAAATTGCCTTGTAGCCATCAGAGAAGTAATCAAGTAATCTTGTGACCAAGTGGAACATGGGGAGGATCCCTGACCCTTGGATCATAAAAGCAACTGCTACATTGCACAACCCCAAACGTAACCATTCACATCACATTTTTAGCAGTGGCTCTGGAATAACAAACCTCAAAAGGCTTTTCATAAGAGGTTTTAATAACGTATATTTGAATAGGATAATTTTAGTTGTAAAATAAAACATTAATAATCTATTTGTTTTCAGAGACCATCTCTAGTTAGAAGGTGATATAGTCTTTACCTCTAAAATGAAAACCAATTTATTAATGTCCATAAGATGGAGCATGCTATTAAATATACACTTATCAGTATCACTAGATATTGAAAAGGAAGAAGAAACAAAATGTGACTTTTTGTACTAGAATTATAACTTAATGTATTACATTAAAAATACATAGTCTTTAAGTATATAAGAAAGCCTCTTAATTCACTATATAAAGGAATTATAAGAGTGCAGTTGACCAACTTTCTGTTCCCATCCACATGTGTTCATTTTTCTGTATATGCACCCATTCTCACTTTACTTGCCCCATATTTATGGCTACTTTCTTCTGTAATGCTGTGTTTTTCTGACTCAAATGCCTTCCTTATTCTTATGTATCTTTAATCTCTCCCTCTTTATTGCCTTTAGTTTCCCATTTTAGTACATGTTTCTAACCAAAATATATATATATATATATATATATATATATATATATATATATATATTTCCATCTATATCACATTTAGTTACCAGTATTTAGCTCTACATTCTTACTCAGCTTACCCTTTCAGAATAGTTTAGACTCACTAATTGACTTTCTTATATTCACATTAATTCTTCAACTAAGAATACTTTTCATCATTTTTCTTCAAAGTCTGTCCAATCCAGCTTCATCAAGAACATTAATCCTCTATATTATCTAATGCCAATGTGAATGACTCAGCTGTTATCCTAATTGAAATCCAAAGCATTAGGCAGTATGCACCAGTTGTTCATTACCAAAACTTTCCTGTTCCTTACCTTCTAAAACATGACACACTCTTCCTTTTCCTTTTCCAATCAGAATACTTCTCCTTGGTTGGTGTGTATTTGATGTCCCTCTATCTCATATAACCCACTCTTAAAATTTCATCAATCATTTATATAGTCATGACTCCCACATTTCTGTCTTCTGCTTGGCAAGGTTTGAGATAAAGGCACTCAGCTTCATGATAGAACTCTCCATCTGGAGAGTTTTCAAATAGGAAATGGCATACATTGCTTATAAAGCATGCTGAGTCATTAAAATTGTTTAAAAAAGCAAACCAGAGACTGGAGGAAAGATAACATTAGCAGTGACCTTTATAACAAAGGGGAGCCAGTGTGTTTCTTATTTACATAAAATTAATTGTTGAGCAAAAGCAGGAAAATTTTCCACATGTTTATTCCTATTGAACTTTTTCCTGAGACTTTCCACAAGCTTTCTGTCATGTTTCAAAAGTACAGCTTCACTTTGAAGAATATCTTTTCAAAGGAGATTCTAATAAGAATAATAAATCAAGCCAGTGTTCAAAAGCAATTTGCGGTTCCCTAATGTAATTATTTATTATCTAAATTTTGCCTTTTCAAACACAGCCTGATTTTGAACTTGTAAGCAAGTGCATCTAAGGATCAGAATCCAAATTAATAGTTGTTAGCTAAAAACAAAGAAAAGAAAAAAAAAGTTGTTCCTAGACATTCTATTGTTTATCAATAAACCAAAATATATATGTTGCACACACACAGACACACATATATATAATAGATATATATATTATATATATATGAGTAAAGTGAAAGAAATATATGTAAAATAATCTCAGAATTACAGTAACACGTTTTGGTGGCAGATGATTATAGAACTTCAGAGCTGGAAGGGGAAATTTTACAAATAAAAAAATTGGAGAAAATGACTTTGCCAATGACACAGACATCGACAAGCCATAGTGTTTATATCCATTGGATCCCAGTTTTTTAAATCTCATTAATCAAAATTATTAGTCTTTAATTTTTCTCTTTCACACCATCAAGATAAACACAATATCATTAGCATATAAAATATATAAAGTAATCTTTTTCTCTTTCTTTCCTATAAATGCCACTTGCATGTTGGAGCATTTCTTTACTAATCAGAAACTAAGCAAATACACTCTCACTCATGAGATAACAACAAATATTTCTGATACCCCAAATACTATTTCACTATTGATTTTGCCACCTAATATGTAATACAACTACTTTTTTTTTTTTTTTTTTTTTTGAGATGGCGTCTCGTTCTTTCTCCCTGGCTAGAGTGCAGTGGCACAATCTAGGCTCACTGTAACCTCTGCCTTCCAGGTTCAAGCTATTCTCCTACCTCAGAATCTCAAGTTTTGGGATTACAGGCGTGTGCCACCAAGCCTGGCTAAGTTTTGTATTTTTAGTAGAGATGGGGTTTCACCATGTTGGCCAGGCTGGTCTCGAACTCCTGACCTCAGGTGATCTGCCCACCTTGTCCTCTCAAAGTGCTGAGATTACAGGTATGAGCCACAGGGCCTGGCCCTATAATTGCATCTTATTTATCAAAGATAATCTGACATAATTTACATATATTTACATCTTAATATTTCTCTTAATTTTATACAACAGCATATACGCATGTTTGTAAAATTGTACAAAACAAGACAACAGAATTTTCTGTAATAATGTAAAATGTTGCAAGTTTATAACTTGTTATAATGTGCATACTAGTTAGGACTCAGTCAATTTCCAGAAAGAAAGAAAGAAAAAGCACATGCCAAGTCTATAGGTAATGCAGCATGTCTGGAAATAGTAAAATAAATCACTTCAGAAAGATGAATTGTTGAATGAAAGGTGAGAGAACTTTTCCTTGTACAACAATCAGGAATTCACTGTACAAAATAAATTATCCCCTGTCAGCTATTTTAATAGTGGTCTCAGAGAAATAAAAGGGTTTTAAATATAAAAATTGTCTGTAAAATGTGTATAGGTACTTTGAACATCAAATACCATAATAATACATTTAATATTTATTAAGCTTACTTCAAAATAACTTTTCATTGCTTTACCAACTTTATTAAAATAAAAAGACATTAAAGCTATTTATTCCCTGACAACATTTTCAGAAATCTGATTTATTCTTAAATAAATACATAAACGTCTCTTGGAAAAAAGAACTCATTATGTTGTAAAGGTAGTCGCAAGATGAGCTAGCTATGTGTTCCAGTTAACAAAAAAATTTTTAAAAAGCATAACTTTTGCCTATACATGTTTCTTACAGTTAAAATAAATTTGGTTAGATCATCTAAAACTGCAGAATGTGAATTTCTTAAAAAATGTTCTAAAAATACATTGATTACATTTTGATAAGTGTAGTAAAATTAGAGTTTCCGTAAAGTAAAAAATAAAGGGTTACAAAACCTTTGCTTTAAAAGATTAATGGTCTGTTGTCTATTTCCATTTTTGAATAGTTTCTAATGAGAACCTTCATTTTGAATCTCTAAAAGCACATTTTGTCACTTTGGGGGATACTAGAAATACTATTTTATACTCCATTAAAGGACAGATAAGTCATGCCTGGTTCATAAACTAAAGGCACTAATCTAATACATTTTTCCATATGGGTTGGATATGCCTGGACTGTGGGAAGCATTCAGTCACTGCAAAACTGATCTGGGTTTTTCACCTTAGAGTTAGACTGACCTTGAGTTCTGTAGGACTCTTGAATTGGTGAATCAATTGCAAGAGTTCTAAAATCACCTTGGCTCACACTCACACTATCGTCCTTTCCCTCTTGTTTATCCCCAAATATACATAGGCAGCCAGACAGTATGACTTATGACTTGAGAAGCCAGACAGGACATCAGCCAGACAGGTCTCTTTTGAGCTAAGCATTCTAAACTTGAAAGAAAGCAGATATATCTCCTGAATACTGTAAGCGTCCTATCAATCACATTCCCCATCTTTTTTCTTCCCTGAAATCCACAGTGATGTTTCCCTTTTTAAGCACTCTATAAAATGCGTTGTCCAGGCCAATATTTTTTACCATTAGCAATATCATAAAACATATAATATTTATATGGCATAAAGGGATAAACGAATGGCTCCTGGCTTCCCTGAGGGCTGAGGGGTCAATATCTTACCCAGCTCAACAGTCTCTGACTTAGAAAAGTGGTTGAACATTATGTTGCATATGTTTGAATTATTTCATACATGTTAATATTGTCTCTCAAAAATCTGTTTTTGAGAGTATCCTCCATATCTTTATGGTGTTCCATATTTACCTATTCAGTACTTCTTCTTCTATAGCAAAAAATAAATAAAATAAAATTATAAGAAGAGAGAATAACAGAAATATTTTGTTAATTCCTTTTTGCTGATAGGCGACGTATAAAATTTCATTGAATCTCACAATGAGAACCTGTATTGTAACTTTAGGAAACATATTTTCGTGTTTCTTTTGTCCTAACTGGGAAATGTAATTTTAATGAAATTCATTTTTGGTTTTCATGTATTTAAAATTATTATAATTGCTCTCTCAAAAGAGGATTAAGTGCATAGTATATTTGAAAAGCCAGAAACCAATAGTATTGCTAAGTGGCATGGTTTTACTATAGATTGTTATCCCTCCCTACCATTTTCCCCTCCAGTAAAATTTCTAATAAGTGCCTTTACTGAATGGTCATGAAATTTACACCTTTGATCCTTCTATCGAAACAGATTATTTATTGTGTAATAATCAGAACAATTCCCATCTAATTATTAAAATGGCATTTATTAGAATAATATTCTTTACATTTACCACAAACTGTACTATTTAGATTCAGTTCCCTGGATATTTAAAACAACAACAACAATAACAATAAAATCCTAAGTATTAACTGTCATATTAAATTGTATAGACTGCACATGTAATTTGGTTAGTTTTAAAATTTCTTATTTTGGGGTGGGTTTGACAACTTTTTACAGGAATCTATACTACAAGATTAGGTAGAATTTCTATTGAAACCAACATTTCTCTGATAAGCTTCTGCATTGCTTATAATTCTTACATACATTAATTGTAAGATGTCTCTGAACTTATCTTGACAGTGTAAAATACAGACAAGATGAAATGTTAGAATTCTCACTCAGAAGCTGTCAAGGAGAAATAATAGCCATACCAATAGTCCATACACTGTATGACAAGATTTTAGAGTTTGTTGATTTTCGTTGTGCTGCTGCTTTTCAAAATTGGCAGTAGGGTTCGGCTTAGTCTTCTTATTATAGCAGCATACTCAGTATGGTGGCGTTTTGAACACTATATAAACATACTCTTTGACAACAATCAAGTTTCTCAAAAAGATTCTCAAATGTTAAAAAACTGTTTTTAGTTAGACAGTAATAAACTACATGGGTCAATTAAAGTCAGTGGGACACAGAAGATAGAACAATTATCTGGAGTCAGGAGATCCAGATTCTGGTTGCAGCATTGCTTTACTAACTTTTCAAATACTTTCTATGTTGAGTAGGAGTGGTGAAAGAGGGCATCGTTGTCTTGTGCCGATTTTCAGAGGGAATGCTTCCAGCTATTGATATTCAGTGTAATATTGGCTATGGATTTGTCATAAATAACTCTTATTATTTTGAGATACGTTCATCAATACCTAGTTTATTGAGCATTTTTAGCATGAAGGGGTGTTGAATTTTATCAAAGGCCTTTTCTGCGTCTATTGAGATAATCATGTGTTTTTTTTGTCACTGGTCCTGTTTATGTGATAGATTATGTTTATTGATTTGCACATGTGGAAACAGCCTTGCATCTCAGAGATGAAGCCGACTTGATCGTGGTGGAAAAATTTTTTGGTGTGCTGCTGGATTCGGTTTAACAGTATTTTATTGACAATTTTTGCATCAATGTGCATCAGGGATATTGACCTGAAATTTTCTTTTTTTGTTGTGTCTCTGCCAGGTTCTGGTATCAGAATGATGCTGGCCTCATAAAATGAGTTAAGAAGGAGTGTCTCTTTTTCTATTATTTGGAATAGTTTCAGAAGAAATGACACCAGATCTTCTTTGTACTTCTGGTAAAATTCGGCTGTGAATCCATCTGGTCCTGGGCTTTTTTCGGTTGGTAGGCTATTAATTACTGCCTCAATTTCAGAACTTGTTATTGGTCTATTTGGGGATTCAACTTCTTCTTTGTTTAGTCTTGGGCAGATGTATGTGTCCAGGAATTTATCCGTTTCTTCTACATTTTCTAGTTTATTTGAGTAGAGGTGTTTATAGTATTCTCTGATGCTAGTTAGTATTTCTGTGGGATCAGTGGTGATATCCCCTTTATCATTTTTTATTGTGTCTATTTGATTCTTCTCTCTTTTCTTCTTTATTATACTGGCTAGTGGTCTATCTATTTTGTTCATCTTTTCAAAAAACCTGCTCCTGGATTCATTGATTTTTTTGGAGGGTTTTTCATGTCTCTATCTCCTTCAGTTTTGCTCTGATCTTAGCCAGGTCAATCAGGCAAGATAAATAAATGAAGTGTATTCAAATAGGAAGAGAAGAAGTCAAATTGTTTTTGTTTGCAGATGACATGATCATATATTTAGAAAACCCCATCATCTCAGCCCCAAAACTCCTTAAGCTGATAAGCAACTTCAGCAAAGTCACAGGATACAAAATCATTGTGCAAAAAATGACAATGATTCCTACATACCAATAATAGACAGAAAGCCAAATCATGAGTGAACTCCCATTCACAGTTGCTACAAAGAAAATAAAATACCTAGGAATACAATTTGCAAGGGATGTGAAGGACCTCTTCAAGGAGAAGTACAAACCACTGCTCAAGGAAATAAGAGAGAACACAAACAAATGAAAAAACATTTCATGCTCATGCATAGAAAGAATCAATATCGTGAAAATGGCCATACTGCCCAAAGTAATTTATAGATTCAATGCTATTCCCATTAAGCTACCATGGACTTTCTTCACAGAGCTAGAAAAAAAACTACTTTAAATTTCATATGGAACCAAAAAAGAGCCCTTATAGCCAAGACAATCCTAAGCAAAAGAACAAAGCTGGAGGCATCATGCTACCTGACTTCAAATGATACTAGAAGGCTAGAGTAACCAAAACAGCATGGTACTGGTACCAAAACAGAAACATAGATGAACGGAACAGAACAGAGGCTGCAGAAATAATGCAACACAGCTACAACCATCTGATCTTCTAGAAACCTGACAAAAACAAGCAATGAGAAAAGGATTCCATATTTAATAAATGGTGCTGGGAAAATTGGCTAGCCATATACAGAAAACTGAAACTGGACCCCTTCCTTACACCTTATACAAAAATGAAATCAAGATGGATTAAAGACTTAAATGTAAAACCTAAAATGATAAAAACCCTAGAAGAAAACCTAGGCAATACCATTCAGGACATAGGGTTGGACAAAGACTTTATGACTGAAACACCAAAAGCAATGGCAACAAAAGCCAAAATTGACAAATGAGATCTAATTAAACTAAAGAGCTTCTGCACAGCAAAAGAAACTATCATCAGAGTGAGCGAGAAAGCTACAGAATGTGAGAAAATTTTTGCAATCTATCCATCTGACAAAGGGCTAATATCTGGAATCTATAAGGAACGTCAACACATTTACAAGAAAAAAAAAAACCATCAAAAAGTGGGCAAAGGATATGAACAGACACTTCTCAAAATAAAAAATTTATGGGGCCAACAAACATATGAAAAAAAGCTCATCATCACTGGTTCTTAGAAAAATGCAAATCAAAAAACCACTATGAGATACCATCTCACACCAGTTAGAATGGTGATCATTAAAAAGTCAGGAAACAACAGATGCTGGAGAGGAAGTGGAGAAATAGGAATGCTTTTACACTGTTGTTGGGAGTGTAAATTATTTCAGCCATTGTGGAAGACAGTGTGGTGATTCCTCAAGGATCTAGAACCAGAAATATCATTTGACCCAGCAATTCCATTACTGGGTATATACCCAAAGGATTATAAATTATTCTACTATAAAGACACATGCACATGTATGTTTACTGCAGCACTATTCACAATAGCAAAGACTTGGAACCAACCGAAATGCCATTCAATGTTAGAGTGGATAAAAAAAAATGTAGCACATATACACCATGGAATACTACACAGCCATAAAAATGAATGAGTTCATGTCCTTTGCAGGGACATGGATAAAGCTGGAAACCATCATTCCCAGCGAACTAACACAGGAACAGAAAACCAAACTCTGCATGTTCTCACTCATAAGTGGGAGTTGAACGATGAGAACACATGGACACAAGGAGGGGAACATCATACACTGGGGCCTGTCGGGGATGGCAGGCAAAAAGATGGAGAGCATGAGGACAAATACCTAATGCATGTGGGGCTTAAAACCTAGATGACAGGTTGATGGGTGCAGCAAACCATCATGGCACATATGTACCTATGTAACAAACCTGCACATTCTGCACACGTAACCCAGAACTTAAAGTATAATATTAAAAAAATGGAAAAATAAAATTAAAAAAGAAATATTTTCTGAAAAATAAGAATTGGTCATATGGTCTCTTTATTTCTTTAAACAGTAAATCTCATGATTACTTTTATCCAGAGGTTAAAAAAGTGATCAAATAATCAAAATTAATTCTGTACATATTCTTAATATTTAAGGAGAAATGGAAAAGTGGCTATGCCAGGGTGAGCATGCACTTTGTTCCATATATCTAGGAAAATAATTTAATTCAGCAAATTCATATTTATAATCCTCTGTTGTGCTTTGTGTCATTAAAGGAATGCTATTGGTGTAAGCTGCTATTACAGGGACCTAGGAAACCGTATTGCTCTTCCATAGACCTTGTGGATGATTTTAAATAAAAGGCAGTTTCTTTTTTTCCAATTTCCCTCCTGAAGGATAATGGAAACATCAGTTTCTAATTTTTCCAGGATAGTAAGAAAGTTCAACAAATGATATTAAAAATGAAATTTGAAATGTTTATTTAAGCAACTTAAAATATGCTATTGAAAATAAACTAAGAACTAAAATAATTTTGCTCTATATAAAATGTGAAAATTCTCATTGTGGTTATTTTTCCCTAGCATAATAGAAAAATCACAAAATTCAGATTTAAAACAAAGCACAAAGTCCAAGCTCACCACTTACCATCTGTGTGTTCTTTGACAACCTATTTAATTTCTCTGAGTCTTTCTTTACCTGTAAGAAGCACTAATGAAAATGTGCCCACCACATGAGTGGATATAAAATATAAATGTTACAAAGTTACTTGTACTTAGTATATAGAAAGAAAAATTTTGATTTCCTTCCCCTGTGACTTTAGAATGAAATGAGGGTAGAGATTTTTTTTTTAATACCTCTCAACTTTAAGGCAATATAGGGTAGGTTATTCCATACCCATTATAATTTTAGAGACTTCCAGAGAAAGTTCACACTCATTCTTAGTCTTTTGTTCCAGGTTATTTAACAACACCAGTAAGCAGTTATTTCTTATGCATTGACTATATTGAACCTACAATAAGTAGAACATGTTTTTCTGCGTTGCTCTCATCTTGTCAGATCCCACTTTATATCTATTGTCTATTCACCTATGGATGCAGTTTTAATTGATTCTCTCTGAATTACCTGATTTTGTTTCAATGCCCTTGAATGTCTATGTTTTTGGCTTCTTGCTCTTAATTGTTCTCAAATACACTGCAACAAATAATAACATTGGGATAGAAGTAATAAAAAAGGATCTCACAATAAAAAGTCAATGTTAATGGCCCAGACATGAAGCTACTTCGGTATTTAGAAAGTGAGACTTCAGCCCTTATCTTCTGATTGCCCATGAGTAGAACTAGAATTTGGTTCATGCATTGGGCATACCACTAATAGTAACAAGGGCTGAGTTGAAATTTCACAAATAGTGATGTTTAAAAAATTCAACTGTACAAAAATGTAATTTTATTTTCACCTAGCTCTCAAGCTAACATTTTTCCCAATAGGACTTTATTTAGTCATTTACAAGTAAATTTAGTTCAATGAGGCAGGACTCACAAATTTGTGTCCCAGGTTACAGATGTACCAAGATATTCTTTTAGACCCTGAAGCCTGTAGAGAGGGTCTGAGGTAACAGAGTTTTTGAGTTACTTGTTTAAGTTACAGGTAATATCATTTTCCACATGAGCTTGGATGAAATAATATTTTAGAAATCTCTGGAGTAAAGATTGACTTTGTCCACTTTGTTGAAAATCAAAACACCATACATATGTGGATCTATTTCTGTACTCTGTATTCTGTTTCATTCTTCTATATAGGTATGTACACCAGTTACACTTAGCTTCATAAGTTTTGAAATCAGGTCTGACACTTTTGTTCATCAATATCATTTCTCTCATTTATTCCCTATTTTTACCAAATAAATTTTAGAGATAGACTTAACCGTCTTCACAAATGCCTGCTAAGATTTTGAAAGAGATTTTGATAGAGATTAAATCTATGGATAAATTTAGGGAGAAATGACATCTTAACAATATTAAACTTTCTCAACCAGAAGCACGATATATCTCAAATTATGTAGTTTTAAAAAAAAATGTTCCTAAGCAATATGTTGATGTTTTCAATGTACAGGTCTTGCACATTTTCCAATAAGTTCATCCCTAGGTATTTTTTATGTTGATAATGTGAATGGCACGATGTATATATCAATATTAATTATACTGATAATATAGAGAGATTCAATTTAGTTTTATATTTTGAATTTTATTCTGAAATGGTATATCCAGAGAAAATACCCTTCAAGCACAAAGGAGAAATAAAGATATTCCCAGATAAGCAAAAGCTGAGGAATTTAATTAACACTAGAACTTTCCAAAAGAAAAGCTGAAGGTAGTTCTACAATCTGAAAAAAAAAGGACAATAATGAGCAATAAGAAATCATCTGAAGACGCAAAACTCACTGGTAATAGTAATTACACAGAAAACAGAATATTATAACACTGTACTTTTGGTATGTAAACTACTCTTATCTTGAGTAGAAAGACTAAAAAATTAACCAGTCAAAAATAATAACTACAACTTTTTAAGACATAGACAGCATAAGATATAAGTAAAAACAACAATAAATTTAAAAGCAGAGGGATGAAATTACTGTTCAGTTTTTATTAGTTTTCTCTTTGCTTATCTGTTAGATTGTTTATGCAATCAATGTTAACTTGTTAGTTTAAAATAATGGATATTAGGTGTTATTTTCAAACATTTACTATTATTTTCAAGTATTTATTATTATTATTGAAAATTTATTTTCAAACTTCAAATAAAAAAAGACCTAAAATAGAAACATAAAGAATAAAAATCAAGAAATTAAAACATACTACAAGAGAAAATCATCCTCAATGAAATGAAGACGAGAAGAAAGAAAAGAAATAAGTGAAGACCACAAAGCAACCAGTCAATGAATGACAAAATGGTAGAAGTAAGTTCTTACTTATCAGTATTAACATTGAATGTAAATGAACTAAACTCTCAAATCAAAACCCATACAGCGGCTGAATGGATTGAAAAAAAAAAATAGGCAGGACCCAATGAGCTGTTGCCTACAAAAAAACACACTTCACCTATAAAGATACAGATAGAGTGAAATTGAAGAGATGGAAAAAGGTTCAATAATAATGGAACCCAAACAAGAACAAGAGAGGTACACTTAAACAAAGTAGATTATTCAGGGTATAAAGGGAACCTAACTCAATACAATAAAAGTCATATGTGCCAGACCCATAGCTAGATCATACTGAAAGCGGAAAAACTGAAAGCTTTTTCTCTAAGATCTGCAAGGAGTCAAGAATGCTCCCTTTTACCACTGTTACTCAACATACTAGTGGAGGTCCTCGCTAGACCAACCAAGAAAAAAAGGAAAGAAATAAAGGGCATCTGAATTGGAAAGAAAGGAGTAAAATTATTCTTGGTTGCAGATAATATGACCTTATATTTGGAAAAACCTAAATACTTCACTAAAAGAAAATTAGAAGTGATAGGCAAATTCAGTAAAGTTGCAGGATATAAAATCAACATACAAAAATCCATAGCATTTCTATGTGTCAATGGCCAACAATCTGAAAAAGAAATCAAAAGAGTAATCCCATTTACAATAGCTACAAATAAAATACCTAGGAATTAACTTAATCAAAGAAGTAAAAGATCTTTACAATGAACACTATAAAACATTGACAAAAGAAACCAAAGAAGACACACACACAAAAAATGGAAAGATATGCCATGTTCATTGACAGGGACAATCAATATTGTTAAAATGAAGATACTGTCCAAAGCAATCTACAGATTTGATGCAATACCTATCAAATACCAATCACATTTTTAACAGAAGTATAAAAAGCTAACTTAAAATTTATATGGAACCACACACACACACACACACACAAATAAATAAATGAAAATAACAAAAGAATAAAAAAAGCCATCCTGGGCATAAAGAACAAAACTGGAGGAATCACACTACCTGACTTCAAATTATACTATACAGCTATAGTAAACAAAACATCATAGTACTGGCATGAAAACCAACACATAGATAAATGGAATGAATAGAGAACTCAGAAATAAATTCATACATCTGTAGAAAACTCATTTTCACAAAAAGTATCATGAACATACATTGAGGAAGGTACAATTTCCTCAATAAATGGTGCTGAGAAAACTGGATATCCATATGCAGAAGAATGAAACTAGATTTCTATATCTTGTCATATACAAAAATAAAATAAATATTGATTAAAGACTTAAATCTGAGACCTTGAACTATGAAACTATTACAGGAAGACATTGTAGTAACTGTGCCTGGCTCATTTCACTTAAAATAATAACTTCCAGATCTGTCCACTGGAAGTTATTATTTTAAGTGAAATGAGCCAGGCACAGTTACTGGAAATGCCCCAGGATGTTGGACTGAACAAAGATTTCTTGAGTAATATCCCAAAGCACAGGCAACCGAAGCAGAAATGGACAAATGGGATTATATCAAACAAACAACAACAACAAAAAAACAACAACAGCTATTGCACAGCAAATGAAACAATCAACAAAGTGGAGAGACAACCTGCAGAATTGGAGAAAATACTAACAAACTATCCATCTGACAAGGGAGTAATAACCAGAACATATAAATGATTCAACAGGAAAAAATTAATAATCTGATTAAAAAATAGGTCAAAGATCTGAACAGACATTTCTCAAAAGAAGACATGCAAATGACAGACCTATGAAAACGTGCTCAATATCACTGATCATCAGAGAAATGCAAATCAGAACTACAATGAGATGTCATCTTATGCCAGCTAAAATGGATTTTATTTAAAAGACAGACAATAGCAAATGCTGGTGAGGTTGTGGAGAAAAAGAAACCCTTGTACACTGCTGTGGGGAATGTAAGTTAATACAACCTCTATGGAGAATAGTTTGGAAGTTCCTCACAAAACTAAAAATAGAACTAACATACGATCCAGCAATCCCACTGCTAGGTATATATCCAAAAGAAAGGAAATAAGGACAGGTGGGGTGGCTCACGCCTGTAATCCCAGCACTTTGGGAGGCCAAGGCGGGCAGATCATGAGGTCAGGAGATAGAGACCATCCTGGCTAACACGATGAAACCCCGTCTCTACTAAAAATACAACAAATTAGCCGGGCATGGTGGTGGGCACCTGTAGTCCCAGCTACTCAGGAGGCTGAGGCAAGAGAATGGCGTGAACCTGGGAGGCGGAGCTTGCAGTGAGCGGAGATTGTGTCACTGAACTCCATCCTGGGCGACAGAGCGAGACTCCGTCTCAAAAAAAAAAAAAAAAAAGAAAAGAAAAAGAAAGGAGATCAGTATATCGAAGAGATAACTGCACTCCCGTATTTATTGCAGCACTCTTCATATTAACCAAGATTTGGAAGCAACCTAAATGTCTATCAACAGAGGAATGTATAAAGTAAATGTAGTATATATATATATATATATATATAATGAAGCACTATTCATCTGTAAAATATGAGATCCTGTCATTTGCAACAACATAGACGGAACTGGAAGTAATTATTTTAAGTGAAATAAGCCAGGCACAGAATGACAAACTTCACGTTTCTCCCTGATCAAAATAAATATATCAATGGCGTACTAACAAAAATTTACAGAAAAGGAAGCTAGGACTCAGGATAGTTAAGTACATTAATGTCATATAGCTGTTAAACATTAGGTCTGTACTGCATTTTTGACTTAAAGATGGTCAGACTCCACATTTCATTTTCCTGGTACTTTACTGCACTATATGCAAAATAAAATTTTCTCAGACAAAGATACAAACTGCATTGTTTGTTCCAATAATAGTCAACTATAGAAACAGATGGGGTTTTTTTGTGTCTGTTAAATAATAAAATTATTTCATTGATTACATTTAAGGAATTAATGTCAGTATAAAGACCCATTTCTCAATAAGCAAGTGACCAATTCTGCCTCCAAGCAAACAACTATATTTCTTTTTTTTTTTTTTATCATTTTCATTTCCTTTTTTGCTTTCTTTTTTGAGAGAGCATACTTTAGTTGTGTATGTAAAGTGGCATGGAATTAGGTCAGAAAAAATTCAAATAGCAGCCAGTTCTTGAAATCTTTGTTTCTTTTCCAAATCAGTGAGCTAGTAAAAGGTCTCTTTCAATGAAATGGAGTTTTAAAATTTAATAAAGCCTAACTTACCACTTTTCTTCTTTCATGGATTATGCTTTTGGTATTATATCTAAAAAAAATTACCAAGTGTAAGGCTACATAAAATCGATCTGTTTTATTCTAGAAGCCTTCGAGTTTTGCATTTTACATTTACGTCAGTGATCTATTTTGATTTAAATGTTTTGTAAGTGTAAAGTCTGTTGTTCAATTCACTTTTTTGCACGTGAATGTCCGATTGTTGTAGCACAACTGTTGAAAATATTCCTTTCCCCTCTGAATTACTTGAGTTCCTTCCTTAAAGATCACTTGACTATATTTGTGTGAGTGTATTTCTGGGCTGTCTACTCTCTTAGATTGACATATTTGTCATTATTTCTTTTTATACTGTTCTTGATTTCTAGCCTTTCCTTTTGAATCTTTCTTATTATAATTAGAGTCTTCTTCACAAAAGACATGATTAAGAAATTGTAGTGGTTAATTTTGTGCGTCAACTTGACTAGGCCATGGGGTGCCATGATATTTGATTAAACATTACTCTCCGTGTGTTTGTGAGATTTTTTCTGGATGAGATTGACATTTTAATTGGTAAATTAAGTAAAGCAGATTGTTTTCCCCAAAGTGGGAAGGCTATAGTATGAGATAATTTCTTATGTTACTTTTTCACTACATCTATTTATCTATCTAAATATAGATATATTAAATAGATATAGACATAGATATAGATATATCCTATTTTTAATCTGGAGAACCTGACTATTACAGAAACTAAAAGGTCAAATCAAAAATGGGAGAATATATATGCAAAACTCATAAGAACTTATCTAAAACTTTAACAAAAACTCTTAAAACTTAACAATAAAAAACAGACAACCTAGTTAAAAATAGATAAGATATGACCTGATATCTCACCAAAAATGATATAAAGATAGCAAATGAGCATATGAAAATATACTGAACACCATTTGTCATTATAGAATCACAAATTGAAATAACAAGATACCACTACACATCTGTTTGATTTGCTAAAATCCAAAATACAGATAATATCAATTTCTGGTAAGGATATAGACCAACAGTAACTCTCATTTATTCCTGATAGGAATCCATATGATACAGCCACTTTGAAAGAGAGTTTGGCAATTTTTTTACGTAGTTAAATATAGTCTTAACATATTAGTGAGAAAATCATGCTCCAACATATTTCATCTCAACTGATTTGAAAACTCAGGTCCACAAAAAACCTGCACACAAATGTTTACAATAACATTATGTATATTCTCCCCAAACTGGAAATAATCAAGATGTCCTTCAATAGGTGAATAGATGAACTGTGGTACATCCATATAATAGAGTGGCATTTAGTGATAAACAGAAATAAGCTGTCAAGGCATGCACAATCATTAATGAATCTTAAATGTATATTCCTAAGTAGAATATTCCTAAAAAGGCTACATACTGTATGATTTCAACTATATGCTCTACTGCAAAAGGCAAATCTGTAGAGATGAGAAATAGATCACTGGTTGACAGGAATCGGGGGAAAGAAAAGGATTGGATTAATGTGGCACTAGGGATTTTTTAGGGCGGATAATCTATTCTGTATAATACTGTAATCATTAACAGATGTCACTATATTTTTGCAAATACACAGAATTTTACATTACACAAATTGAGGTCTGCAATTAAAAAATCCTTTAAGAAGTTGAGAGATTCTAGGATCAATGCAGAATATGACAGCAGATAAAACTAACTATATTGCAAAGGTATAAAACAATCTCACTAAAGGTGGTGGTGGGAAAAATGCTGACCTAAGTAAGCTTTGAAACTGTAAGTCTAAGTGAAAAGTAAACTGTAAATGATAAGTGTATTCTAGTTGACAAAATTGTTTTTCACAGGAATATGTGTTAGTTCTGTTTTGATACATATGTACTAGAATTGAGTAAGTAAAAAAGCGAATATTGCTCTGTGAAAACTATATTTCTCACTATTTCAGAGCTTTGTATACAGATAAGCAAGAGAAGAAAACAGAAATGATTCACATAATAGTGAATTAGAGATAGAGATATGATCTCATGAGTATAAATCATGCTTATCATAATAGAGATACAGATGTATATGTACAGAAAATATTTACAGATATTGTGTATACACAAGCTAGTATACACACATTCTTTCCTCTTTCAGCTGATGGGCTTCAGAAGCGAAAACACTATTAGCAACAAGAGTCTTTAACAATCAGATATGATTTCTTACACCATTCCTCATTCAATACAAAACAAAGAGCTTATTGGAGACATGGCTGATCCTAGGAACAGAGCAGGAAATATACGAGATGAACCTGGAGTGTCTTGCAGTGCCAGAAAGAAAAAAAGTGCTCCAAAAAATGCACAATGAAGAAGGCATATCAAAATGTCACAGGAACCAAATGAAAGAGCTCCCAATGGCTAATTCTGGAACAGTGTAAGCAAAACAAATTAAAATAATACATAGTATTGTTGGATTATAATAGAAAGTATAAAATAAATATGCAGGAGTACATAAAAGTATTAGTAAATTATTAAATGTGTACACAAATAGAGGGGAAGAAAAGAGGCAAATATCTTATACTGTATCTTATATTGACAGATCCTAAGTAATTTATATGAAAGCGGCACTCTCGAGGAGGGTAACATTACTTGCCACTCTTTGGAGCCTGGGCTGCACATAGTTAATTCTTTCCAAAGGAAAGAGAAAAATAGTGACTTTAAAGTAGTGCAACCTGAGAATCACTACCTCAACCAGGAACTCAAGGTTATCATCTACAATGATAAATCATGTGGATGGTATGCACCCTTGATTTTGTGATGGGATTAGATTTTACCTCTGTAGTCTTTCTCTCAAAAACCCATAAACTCAGTCTAATCATGAGAAAAACAGCAGACCAATCCCAATTAAAGGAGAATCTAAAATATACCTGATCAGTACTCCTCAAAACTGTCAAGGCAATCATTAACAGGGAACAATAGCAGTATTACAGCCAATAGGAGCTTAAGGAGAAATGATAACTAAATGGAATGTAATATCCTGCGTGGGATCCTAGAACAGAATCAGGACATTCAGTGAAAATAAGGAAATCTGAATAAAAATAAAATATGGGCCTTAGTATAATAATATATCAGTATTGCCTCATTAATTTTAGCGAATATACATAATCAGGGAAACTGAATATTGGGTATGTGGGAACTCTACTATCATCAATTTTTCTATAAATCTAAACTTCATATAAAATAAAACATTTAAGATTAAGCCCCCCCTCCACCCACCCCCCCCCCCCCAAAAAAAGAGAAAGAAACAAAGGGAAAGAAGAGAAAGGGAGAAAGGAAGAATATAAGAAAGGAAGAAAGACATCAATCAAGCAAGGAAGCAAGAAAGAAGATTAAGGAAAGTTAACTGCCCCTTTTAATCTTAATTTCATTCCTTTATCCTTTTGTAGCACAACTCCTGAGAGATTCTCTGTAAGGCACTGTGTCTATGTCCTCACCTCTCATTCATTTTTTAACTTACTCTGTGTTCCCCACTCATCACTCCAATAAACTCAATCTAGGACACCAGAAACTTGCATCTGTCCAAATCTAAAGGCATAGATTCTGTTCTACTGCATTTTCTTGCTCTGCAACATTTTATGCAGTTGACTATACCTTCCTTCTTAACAAAAAAGGATATTTTCTTGGTTTCCTTATTATTCTTCTTTTTGTTCCTTCCTCTTCTTTAGTGGCTAGTTCTTTTCTGGCTTTTTTATCTCTTTTTTTCCACAAAATGTGCTGTTTGTGCTGGACTGAAATTATTGGAATGTCTCAAGGTTAATCCCTAGCTCTTTTAGTATTATTTGTCTATATTTTCTCAAGGTGGGTATGTAAAAATGATATTTATCTTCAGTTCAGACCTCTCTCCTGGGCTCTGTACCATTAAATAATAGTTGAATAGCCAATGGTGATTTAGTCATAAAGGTACAGAACATAACTATGATTTTCTCACATGCATATCTGCCCCATCTGAATATTTCTTAATTTAATAAATGATGCAATAATCTACCCAGTTCTCAGGCCTCGCCGAAGCATGATAATTAATTGCTTACTTGACTTCAGACCTTACATCCAATTCATAAATAAGTCTGATTAACTCTAACTAAAAATTGTTCATAATTCATCCACTTATATTGATTTTTACTACTATAATTTTAATTTAGATCAATGTCATCCCTTACCTACCCTACGTCAAAATAGTCTTCCTTTCTTCTTTCTAGGGTAGCAAAGGCAACAATTAATAAAGTAAAACAATTTATATTTCTTCCTAGCTTCCAAAATATGTAGTGGCTTTCTATCACTTTACAATATTTCACAAGGCCAAATAGAATCTGACTCTTGTTTATCTTCCTAACTTCATCTTTAACTGTTCTTTTTTGGCTTATGCTTTTCCAGGGAAATAGACTTCTATTGTTTCTTGAATATACAAAGCTCTGTGAAACACTTACAGATTTCTTTTGCTATTACAGAAACTTTTTTCGGAATCTTTTGTCTCATATCATTGTATCTTTGAGAAATGTAGAGTTCCTGGTGGTAGGGAATGCTTATAACTTTATGTTGTCTCAGTATCCATTTGTAAAATTACTATAGATTCAGCATATACATGTGTATGTTTGTTATATGGATATATTGTATAATGATGAAGTTTGGTTTTCTAGTGTAACCATCACCCAAATAGTGAACATTGTACCCAATAAGTAATTTTTCAATCGTCACCTTCTTCCCATCCTCCCACATTTTGGAGTCTCCAGTGTTTATTATTTCCATCTTTATGTTCATGTTTTCCCATTGTTTAGCTCCCATGTGAAAACATGTGGTTTCAATTTTCTGTTTCTGAGTTATTTCACTTAGGATAATAACCTCCAGCTCCATCTGCATTGCTGCAAAAGACATGATTTTGTTCTTTTTTATGGCTGTATAGTATTCCATGTTGTATATATTCTTTATTACATTATCTATTGATGGGTACTTAGGTTTATTCCATGAGTTTGCTGTTGTGAATAGTACTGTAATAAACATATAAATCCAGGCATTTTATCATATATATATAGATAAAAATATATATATTTATCATATATATGACATATTTTATATATACATAGAGAGAGAGACTGCTGGGTTGAATGGTAGTTCTATTTTTAGTTCTTTGAGAAATCTCCATACTGTTTTCCATAGAGTTTCTATAAATTTACATTCCCACCAACAGTGTACAAGCATTCTCATTTCTTCAAATCCTCATCATCTGTTGTTTTTTGACTTTTTGGTAATAGCCATTCTAACTGGGTATGATGGTATCTCATTTGTAGTTTTAATTTGCATTTCTCTGATGATTAGTGTTATTCAGCATTTTTGCACATTTATTGGCTTCTTGTATGTCATCTTTGGGTAATATCTGTTCATTTTCTTTGTCCACTTTTTAATGTAGTTATTTTCTTTGTTCTTGTTGAGTTGTTTGAGTTTCATTATTTTAGATATTGTATTCGTTTGTTTCCATACTGCTATAAAGAACTGGTCAAGTATGGGTAATTTATAAAGGAAAGAGGTTTAATTGACTCACAGTTCAGTATGACTTGGGAGGCCCCAGGAAACTTACGGTCATGGCAGAAGGCAAAGGGAAAGCAAGGCATATTTTCACAGGGTGTCAGGAATAATTGCTGAGAGAAAAGGGAAAAGCCCCTTGTAAAACCATCAGCTCTCAGGAGAATTCATTCACTATCACGAGAACAGCATGGGGAAAACCACCCCATGATTCAATTACCTCTGTCTGGTCTCTCCCTTGACACATGGAGATTATGGGGATTCTGGGGATTACAATTCAAGATGAGATTTGGGTGGGGACACAAAGCCTAACCGCATTGGATGTTAACACATTGTCATATTCATAGTTTGCAACTGTTTTTTTATTATTATTCTGTAGGTTATCTGTTTACATTATTGAATAAATAATGTTGATTGTTTAATCAACAGTGTAAACAGATAACCTAAAGAATGAAAAAAATACAGATTTTGCTGTGCAGAAGCTTCTTAGTTTAATTAAGTCCAATTTTTCTATATTTGGTTTTGTTGCATTTGCTTTTGAGCTGTCATAAATTATTTGTCTGCACCACTGTCCAGAATAGCATTTCCTAAGTTTTCTTTTAGGATTTTCATAGTTTCAGGTCTTACATTTAAGTCTTTAATCTATCTTTAATCTATCTTGAGTTTTATAATATTTATATGATAAGAGATAATGGTCCAGTTTTATTCTTCTGCATATTACTATCCAATTTTCCAAGTACCATTTATTGTCCTTTCTTTATTGTCTTTTGCCGACTTTGTCAAAGATGAATTGATTCTAGGTATGTAGCTTTATTTCTGGGTTATCTATTCTGTTCCATTTATCTATGTGTCTATTTCTGTACCAGTATCATGCTTTTTTGGTTATAATAGCCTTGTATTATAATTTGAAGTCGGATTATTTGATGCCTCCAGCTTAGTTCTCTTTGCCTAAAATTGCTTTGGCTATTTGGGCTCTTTTTTTGTTCCATATGAATTTTAATTTTTTTTTTCTAATTCTGTAAAAGATGACACTGGTAATTTAATAGAAATAGCATTGAATCTGTAAACTGGTTTGAGCAGTATGGTTATTTTAACAATAATGATTCTTCCAATCCATTATCATGGGATGTTTTTTCATTGTTTGTGTCATCTAAGATTTCTTTCAGCAGTGTTTTGCAGTTCTCTTTGTAGAGATATTTCACCTCCTTGGTTAAATATATTCCTAGGTATTTTATTTGTGTGTGTGTGTGTGGCCACTTTAAGTGAGACTGAGCTCTTGACTTGGTTCTTAGCTTGAACATTATTGGCATATAGACATCCTACTGTTTTTTGTACATTGATTTGGTATGCTGAAAATTTATTGATGTTTTTATCAAGTCTAGGAGTCTTTTGGAGAAGTCTTTAGGGTTTTCTAGATATAAGATAATTTTATCAGTGAACAGAGATAATTTGACTTCCTTCTTTTCAATTTGGATGCCTTTTATTTCTTTCTCCTGTTGAATTGCTCTGACTAGTACTTCCAGTACTATGTTGAATAAGAGTGATGAGAGTGGGCATCTGATTTAGTTTGGCTGTGTCCCCACCCAAATCTCATCTTGAATTCCCATGTGTTTTGAGAGGGACCCAGTGGGAGGTAATTAATTATGGGGTCAGGTCTTTCCTGTGCTGTTCTTGTGATAGTGAATAAGTCTCATGAGATCTGATGGTTTTAAAAAGGGGAGTTTCCCTGCACAAGCTCTCTTTTTGTCTGCTGCCATCCATGGAAGACATGACTTGCTCCTCCTTGCCTTCTGCCATGATCGTGAGGCTTTCCCAGCCACATGGAACTATAAGTCCGTTAACCCTCATTCTTTTGTAAATTGCCAGGTCTCAGGTATGGCTTTATCAGCAGCATGAAAGCAGACTAGTACAGCAACCTTATCTTGTTCCAGTTCTTAGGAAGATGTTTAGCTTTCTCATAATAGAGGCAGGGTTTAATCACCCCTTAACATATTTTTCAGTTCCACCTCACAACCAAATGGCTCAAGCCAGTGGCCAGAGATAAGAATGAGGAAACATCTCCCCTGCCCAGAAGACTAAGCTCTCCACTTTCCCACTACTCCCTTTAAAGGGACCATTCAGGCATTTGCCCATGAACTTAAAGTGACCCAAACCCTATGCCCTAATATATATGGTTAGTTGCTGTGATCTCTTCTGTCTCTCCAGCTGCACTTCCAGACGTCTATGTATGTGGCCTTGGTATTCTGGTTACCCCTTAGGGTCTGTAAGTACTATAAACTCATGCTTTTACCTTGCAGACAAGGCTGCCCTGAAGGGACCCATGCAAGTGGATGTTCTTGCATGCATCCCTTCAGAGCAGCCTTGGCCACAAAGGTGCCCTTTCTCTGGGCCTCTGGTGGCTTCAGTACTAACCACCTAAGTTGATGAAGAAACTCTCAAAGAGTTTTGTTCGAAACACTAATATTGCTTCAATGTCACTTCTTTAGAGAGGATTTCCATGACCAAGAAATGTGAATATTTTCTCTAGTCTTTCTACTCCATCAGTCTATGTTTATTTTATTGTTTTCAATAGCATTAATATTATGGAAAAGTTCCTTATCCCTTTGGTTGCTAGTGTAATGTCCATTTATCTCCTTCTTGACACCTGCACTATCAGTTACTCTCTGAACACAAGCTCCAGATTTGCTACAACTTACATCATCTCCTTAACAACTAAATCTTTAGGGCTAGCACAGTTCCAAGAACATAATAAATATTAAATAAACTGAATATGCAAATCTGTATATTAATTAAACAGTATTTGTTACTTAAGTAAATATTTAATATCTGTAGAGACAAATCAAGACAAATCACAAAGATTGAGACTGAGACATATTTACTTACCATGATCTAATGTTCTAGAATTGACTTCTGCAATTAATAATGTATTTTATTATGTCATAGCTCTTAGTAAAAGAAATGTTATGCTTTCTAATGTCTGAACTAAATCTCTCAGACATCAAGTTATTGCTGGCTATTCATAGTAGGAATGGAGAAATGTGGAAATTCTCCATTCTGGAAGATTGTAGAAATCAGTGGAAAGGAAATTTAGTTTTGGAGTCAGAAACACATGGGTTTATTTTGTGCTTAGAAGGTAGATTTATTATTCTTTAACTTAAAAAGATTAACCACAATTCTGTAAGCATTGATTCTTTGCATTTGTGAAACATGTCCACATATAATTAATGTACATAAATGCTATCATGAAAACATGCATATAATTCTATAGGACCCCAGTAGTGTGCAAATCACTATGGCCTGATGAAATTAGGAAGACTTCAATGAGTAGAATACTTTTGAGCTGGATCTTGAATTTTGAGTAAAAATTCAACAGAAGTTTGATGAAAATGACAGTACAAGGAAAAGGTACAACATGCAAGCACAATGTAGCATAAAAACATGAAGGCTTGTTCTAAGTACACAGATGTATCCCTTGTAACTGGAGCATCAGTTTTATGTGGTTAGAAACTATAGTAACATAATATGTCATTTCCAGATTTTAGATTTACTAATGTAAAGTTCTGAATATTAAACATATGGACACTTTCTCAGTCATCATAATTTGCCCTTAGACAGCTGGTTAAAGCACTACTTATTCAGATATGTTCCACTAATAGAAATGATAGAAACTACTTATTGCCCCAAAATCTTCAGAATTATTTATTTAATATTATTTCTTTAATAATGCAATGCCCAAATTTTAGCTGAGCACATTATTACCCAGCTATCCCACTACATTGCCTCGAAATTTTGGAAGCTAGATGTGGTCATGTGGCTACGTTTTGGCCAATACAATATTGCCAGATAAGTAAAATGTGTTACCTCTGGATATGCTCTTAAAAACATGTCATTCATTGGCCCATTTTCTCCTTCTGCAGGGCTAGAGTGTGAACATAATGGTTGGCAGTGAAGAAAACATCTTAGAATTTACAATGGAAGTTACGTGCTTCAAGATGATAGAGTAAAAAGATAAAATTAGCCTGGATCTCTAGTCCACCTAATTAACATAATAGAAAAATCAAATTCTATCTTGTTTAAACTACGGATCTTTTCTTTTTTAGCTACAGCAGCTTAGACTGTATAGTAACTGATATAAAAGAAGCCATTAAAAAAGCACAATGAAAGTAGAGATGTTAAATTGGGCTTTTCTTGCTGCCCCAAAATTGACCATGATGACCCAAAGTTATAGGTGAGAAGATAATAAATACCCTTATATTATGAAGGAGACTACCTAAGAATTAGAGTTACATACTTCTGCTACAGTTTATCAAGAGGTTAATAAACTGGCACTACTATTACCATGTACCACTGTTCTAATAAATCTTATCAAACTGTAAACAAAATTGAGAAGTGGAAAGAAAGTCAACGTTTGTAAGCATTGTTTGTACTAAATATTTTTATGCCCTATTACATAATGATCTTCTTTGAAAGTAAGAGAAGATAGAGACTCCAAGAAAATAAATTATAGGGCTCAAATGAGTCTACAATAAAAAGGAACTAGTATTTTGTTCTCTGATGGAGTATGCATAAGCAGAAGACCTGTTTATCTGCCTTTAATCTATCTGAGCTGTGATATAGATCAATAAACCAGTTATTCACATATACATATGATACAAAGGAGCACTTTACCCTAAAAATATGTCTGATTAATTCTCAAGTTCCTTAACTATTTGAGATCCACCAAAATCAAAAATTCATAAAGTAAATGCAATGCATTTTAAAGTTGTTATAAAATCTGAAAATTAGTTCAATCTAGTTACTTTTGTATATATTGAAATAAATCACAATTTTTAAGTGTTAAGTGGTGCCAAATTACACTGATGGAGTTCAAATATCTGTGTAATCCTTTGTTACTTTCTATAGAAATGAAGACTAATTTACAGTAAAATTATTAAAAAATGTTTGGTAAGCAAAGTCAATTTAAAGTGCTACTAATTTATTGGAAAATATGAAGCTAACATCTTAATTTTGGAGTAAATTAACAAACAATATTTGCTTTCTAGGCATCTTGAATTCTCTTGCTGAAGATACCATTTCAAATAGAGAAATAAAAAGATGCTAAAATATTTGCCTTTATAAAATGAGTAAATTTTCTTGAATAATTTATTTGATAATTTATTTATTAACAAGAAATAAATTAACTTATTATTTTTTCAAAATATTCCAAAAATTCCTAAGGTTTTAAATATCTTTTGCAAAGGTCATAAGTGACCAAAATCTAAACATCTACAATGAAAACTTATTATTAAGTTAATAATAAGTATATATTTGAGAAAATAAAACCTTTAAATGCTCCAGAGAATGATAAATATGTGATTGAAAAACAGTAATTAAAATGGTTTACTTGTTTATGTAACATACATAAATTATATTTTACTTTTTAATATATTACTTAACTTCTTACATTTCAGATTTGAGCCAAGAGAAAAGCTAGGGTTTTCTTTTTTTTTTTTTTTTTTTGAGACAGAGTCTCGCTCTGTTGCTCAGGCTGGAGTGCAGTGGTGCAATCTCGGCTCACTGCAAGCTCCGACTCCCGGCTTCACGCCATTCTCCTGCCTCAGCCTCCCAAGTAGCTGGGACTACAGGCGCGCGCCACCACGCCCAGCTAATTTTTTTGTATTTTTAGTAGAGACGAGGTTTCACCTTGTTAGCCAGGATGGCCTCAATCTGCTGACCTCATGATCTGCCCGCCTTGGCCTCCCAAAGTTCTGGGATTACAGGCGTGAGCCACCGTGCCCAGCCTGAAAAGCTAGGGTTTTCTTTGTCCTCAATTAATTTGAGTTAATAAGTGAATAGTTATTTAAGCAATAACAAAAAATATTATTTACACAATCATTGGCATATACAGGTACATGTCCTTTGTTCCAGAGTGATGTGAGTTCAGAAATGCTATGTTTGAAAAGATAGTAGAAAGCTTCTGAAAAACCACTTTAATAATGTCTTTTCCATATATTTTCACAAAGGTTCATTAGAGCCTCTGGCCTACTAAAGGATCAGTAATGGCATGTTTTAACAGAAATAGTGATGATATATGAAGATTGGAATTAGAGCCTGATATGAATAAACTTTGCCAGTACAGATGCAAATTGGAATATCAAAGAAATAAGGTTTAAAATCCCACCAAACTGTATCTTTAATGCTCAGCAAATATTAGTCATATTAACAAAGAATGCAATAATTTCTCAACCTCAGTAATTATGAATCAATTATTTTAATAAATCGCCTCTCCTCTCTCTCTTTTCTCTCTGTCTCTCTCTCTCTCTCTGTCTGTCTCTCTCTCTCTCTCTGTCTTAGTGGTTCTGTCTCTCAGGAGAACCCTGACTAATACAATGATGATATGTGTATATGAATTTGTTCTAATCCAAAGAAACAGCAGATCTATTTGAAACAAAACCATCTATTAAAGCAACCATCATACCAACTGGTTCAAACAAGAAGCCCATTATCTTAATTGAAAATATTTGCAGTTTTTTGTTGGTTTGTTTTTGTTTTTGTTGTTTTTCCATTATCTTCTTTGACAACAGCCTTTAGGAGTTTCTCTCAGAATTAACCTTGACTAGGACCCAAGGAAAGAATGAGAAGTTTTGATCTTTCTTCCTGTTTATATTTTTTATTCTTACTCAGCACTACACATATTTTCTATGCACCAAGAGGGAGAAAAACATACAATAAATTACATGAGTCTTACTTTGATGACCACAAATAAATTCCCATTTTCTGACATGTACCTTATATTCTGGTTTCATAACAAATAGAGAAAATGAGTCAATGACATTTACTTAAAATCTTCAGTAGCTAAAATAGGACATTGAATGACAGAAACAAATCATTGGATATTTAAACAATTACTATATTCAAATAGTACTATATGGACACTAATTAGTTGTAATTCACTACTGTATTAATTTATCTTGTTGATCCTATTACCGCAGGCACAAGTGTTGATGTTCTATAACTTGAATTTATTTGCCTAAGATCTAAAGTGATGGCTATGACTAGTTTCCATTCATCAATTCCCATTTTCATTATGTTTGAATTTCAGATAAATTTGATTTAAGATCAGTAGCCCATAGCAATTTTACTGAGATGAAAGAAGATGAAAATAGAAAGATGAAAAATTGAACTGACAAGGCTGTGTGGAAAGTTAGTGATATACAGTCACTAAACCCTCTCTCTGTTGGATTTCATAAACAGCTCACAGAAGAGGTGCAAAATAAAAGACAAGCAACATTCACTCATTGGATGATTATTTAACATGCCATTTACAGTGCAATATTTAAATGCCTACATTAAGTGATCTCACTTAAGACTTTTTTTTAGTATACACAAAGCAAACTTGCATTGAGGAAGACATTCAATACAAATGTACACCATTCCTAAACCATTAGGTCATAAATTAAAAGCTATATCTAGAAAGGACAATAATTTGAGTTTATAAAATATCAGCACCAGGGAAACATATTAGTTAGTTGTGTATGTGTAATAACTTAAAGTTTTAATTGAAAGTAATGATATATAAAAAATTAGGATACAAATGAATATAATTTAATAATGTATTAATTCATTCACTCAAGCAATATTTAATGAGTGCCTAGAACACAATAAAAATTGGCAGAGATTTTTATTCAGTGGTGAACAAAACTGACACTGCCCTTCCCACATTGAGCTTGAATTCCAGTGAGAGTCATAGAAAATAAACTATCACTTTTGGCCAAGCAGGATAAGTGTAGAGGAGATTATGAGGTGCTAGAAGAGCAAGGTTTGGCTACCAACCCATGATTTGGGTGGTAGGAAGAGGGTTAAGGACATCACCTGATGACAGCAACTTCCAAATAGATTTGTATACCAGTAAATATTAACCAAACTAAATGAAAGGATCAAGTGCTTCAGGAAGAATGAGCCAGATCATAAGGACCTTGTAAGTTACATTTATTACTTTTGTAATTTAACTAAAAGGCACATCAATCGAAGTATTTAAAGCTCAAGAAGACATGGGAATATCTTATTAAAATTGTGTAGGCTACAGTATAGAAAAGAAATAAGAGGTGGCCTACCTTGATGGCAACGGGATGTTTTGAGAAGCTGTGAATGTTTTGAAAGGTGATAGTTGTCTGAATTTGGATAAGCAAAGGAGATAGAGAAAAGTGAACAAATTTAAATGATAAATAGGCTTTAGAATTGACAACACATCGTGATTTAGTAGATATGTGTAGGATCGAGAGGCCATATAGGAGAATAGGATGGAGTAGAATATGCCCCAGCTTTGGAGCTAAATCCACTATAAAGATAGTCTTACTATCTTTAGTAGTTCTTGAGTTATTGGGACAAAATAGATTGAGAAAAGGGAAATAATGAATTGCTTTTTCTGCGTATTTAAGTGGGTCTGCTGTGTAGGTGTTCTCTGTGGGACTAGATTATGTGGGTTTAACAATCCAATGCTGTCATTTACTGTGAATTTTAGGTGTGTTATTTAAGCTTTCCATAATCAAGTATGGATATCAATAGAAACAAAAGCATAGGGTTACTGTGATTATTCAAAGAAAAAATAGAGTGAAACATTCAGATTAGGGCCAGGTACATAATAAGCACTCAATAATCTTACATATTGTATCATTATTAGATACATATGAAATATTCAAGAAGACATTCCAGAAATGAGACCGGCTACACAGATTTTATGTGAACAGTGTTTTGGCTTGGAGGTATAGATTCAGGAATTATCAGAACAGAGTTATTTGAATGACAAAATAACAGCACTTCTAGAATCATGAAATAATATAGAGACAAAAGAGAAATGGATCTTTGCTGGCAGATTAAAAATGGGCAATTAGAAAGTTAGGAGAAAAAGAGAATATATTATATCAGCATCAGTGAAGAAATCTGTCAAAATGGATATGCTTCAAAAATAAAATCCTATATGTGACAAATGAAAATGGGCTGGAGAAAATCAAGGAGTCAAGGTAGATTTCAAGATGTTGTACAACCTGGTAAATGACAGTGCTATTTCTAAGGTTGGAGGAAAGATGAGGTTTGAGGTGGGAAAAATTAGGCATCACCAGTAAATGTCGATATAAAAGAGGATTTGATCACTTTTAGTTTTAAAAATGGAGAAAAGAAATAGGATATAATCAAGAAAAATATGCACGAGTGAGGATGAATTAGGAAAACGCAGAGAACATGTCACTGGAGCCAAAGGAAGACGGAGGAAGAGTTAACAGAGTAACAAATAATGTTGAAGATGAAGACCTTGGCATAGGCCACCAGCAGCAGAGAGAACCAGATAGGACCAGAGCCAAGCCAAGGTGGCTTAATCTCATGTTCAAAGTTCCCAGAAGGAATGTGTATATGTGTGATACAAAGTGATAAAATTAAATTCTGCTGGTTAAAATCAAAACCTAAAATAAGACAAACACTAAAACACACGATGTAATGAAGCCTAGCATAATGTTTTTTGAACAGTCGTGTTCTTGATCAAAAAGCATAATGAGTATGATCTGTGGCAAACTCTCTCGGTCATATATACTTATTTGTATAGGCAGGTTATTCTCTTCAAATATCAGCTCCCTTAGCTATAAAATAAACCATACTCCATTATGTCAAAATTTGAGTGCTTTTTTTTTGTATCAAAGAAATTCTGGTTTTAAACCATGTAAAATACATCAGATGTCTTGATTACAACTGATTAATGAGTATTGCACAGTATGTATACTGATTTATCTACTGATTATCATTTAAAATATATATGTTTAAATGCACCTAAAACCTAAACACCAACAACTAAAAAGCAGGTTCTCAGTTAGGGTGTAATTGGAAAGCACTTTCGGCCAGGTGTGGGAGCTCATGCCTGTCCCAGCACTTTGGAAGGCCGAGGCTGGTGGATCACCTGAGGTCAGGAGTTTGAGACTAGCCTGACCAACATGGTGAAAGCCTGTCTCTACTAACAATACAAAATTAGCTGGGCATGGTGGCGCATGCCTGTAATCCCAGCTACTCAGGAGGCTGAGGCAGAAGAATCTCCTGAAGCCAGGAGGTGGAGGTTGCAGTGAGCTGAGATGGCACCATTGCACTCCAGCCTGGGCAACAAGAGGGAAACTCCATCTCAAAATCAAATCAAATCAAATCAAATCAAATCAAACAAAATAAGCACTTTTTTTTTCTACATTTGTCAACACTTAATTCTTAGTCACCAGTTTTTGACAGACTAAACAAGATAAGCTAAGAGTCATGACCTGAGTTGGTATCATGAAACATTTTTGAAAAGCATTTTCCACTAAAGACCCACGCATTTTTATTTCTTCTGATGAGTTTTCGCCCTTGAATTAGAAAATTGATAATTTTACTATGATGCTTTGACAATTTATTACTACTATTACTTCTATTTTCATCATCTTTTTGTACTTTTCAGACTTAGAAACATGAACATTTTATGTTTCTGCTGTTATATGAAATATTGTCAGCTAATATTTTAGTCTTATTTATCTTTGTTTTGTTAATCAGTCATAGGCCAATTTTCTGCAAAATTGATTTTCATCTGTCTCTTGGTATAACACAATATTGTTGATCATGCAGTTTTCTCAATTAGACATGCTGTGCATCTCTATCCCGCTGCATTTCACCTCATTTGTATACACTTAAAATTTTAGAGATAATTATTAATCAAAACACAGTTATTTTGCTTTCAGTAGCAAACAAGAAATGAGACCATGTTGCTATGATTTTTCTCCAACTAGAGTTGAAGAAATGGTCAGACCATTTTTATTAGCACTAGTGTATATACCATAACTATAATATATTGTTTACTTAGTGACCACAGCTATTTCCCTTATGAAATAAAAGATATTCATCATTCAGACCATAACTTTGTTAAATGTTTTCTTTTCATGTATGTTTATGTTGAAAACACTTATAATATATGAGAGTAAATCTAAGAAAGTAGTTTATAAAACATTTTATCTTACTAAATTCTGAATATAGTATGTTTCTATTCTATAGCTATTGCATTATAAGATTATGACATAAAAGTCAAATAAAGACAGCTGGGATATAATTAAACTACAGAGCATCTGCACAGTAAAAGAAAGTATCAACAGAGCACGTAGACAACCTAAAGAATGGAAGAAAGAAGATACTTGCAAACTATGCAGCTGACAAAGGCCTACTACCCAGAATCTGTAGGAAACTTAAACAAATCAACAAGCAAAAAACAAACAACCTTATTAATAAAATGCACAAAACTTTTCAAAAGAGAACATAAAATTGGGCAAGAAACATATAAAAAATGCTCAGCATCAGCAGTCATCAGAGAAATTCAAATCAAAACCACAGTGAGATACTATCTCATACCAGTCAGAAAGGCTATTACTAAATAGTCAAAAAACAGCAGGTGCTAGTGAGGCTGCAGAGAAAAGGGAATGCTTATACACTGTTGTTTGGAATGTAAATTAGTCCAGCCACTGTGGAAAGCAGTCTGGACTTTTTTAAAAAAAAATTAAGACAGAACAACCATTTGACCGAGCAATCCCATTACTGTAGACATATCCAAAAGAAAATATGTTATTCTACCAAAAAGACATGCACTCATATGTTCATTGCTGCACTATTCACAATTTCAGACATTTGGAATCACTCCAGGTACCTATCAATAGTAGATTGGATAAAGGAACTGTGATACATACATACCATGGGATACTATGAAGCCATCAAAAAGAATAAAATAATATCCTTTGCAGCAACATGAGTGGAGTTGTAGGCCATTATCCTAAGTAAGTTAACACAGGAACAGAAAATTCCAATACTTCATAGTTTCACTTGTAAATGGGAGCTAAGCATTGAACAAACATATATGTATACATAAATACAGAAACAATAGAGACTACTAGAGGATGAAGGGAGGGGGTAGGTTAAAAAACTACCCATTAGGTAGTATGCTAACTATCTTGGTGATGGGATTTGTACTGCAAACCTCAGCATCATGCAATATTCCCATGCAGCAAATCTGCACATATACTTTCTATATTTAAAACATAAGTTGAACTTTTTAAAAAAATGTAAATGGAAATATAATAAGCAATTTCAGTGGCTTGACACAAAGTAATAGAATGTTGGACTTTATTCTACTCCAAAAATGCATTTATTATGTTCTTCATGATAATGAAAAAAGAATTGAAGGAGATCTATTAACTATAAGCTGCTTTAAGGAAATAAAACCATAATATAGTAACATACTTGGTATTTCCTCAAATGAATCAACTATTTAAAACTTTTAGAAAATTAGAAAACTTTAAATTTGACTGTGTAGTTGACGGTATTATTAGATTGTTCTCATCTACAAACAGGTAGTAAACATTAGGGCTCTCCTATTAAAAGGATGCCTTTCTTAAGAAATACACTTTTGATTAATTATTTTTGGATGTATGGATAAAAATCTGAGTTTTCCCAAAAATAATTCTCTATGAGTAACATAACTGTGGATACAAATGAAATAAAACAGTCATTTGTTGATAATTACTTGTTGAAGCTGCTGATGCATTCACAGCCTTTATTATACTTTTCTTCTTTTTACTATATTTTTGAAAATTTCCATTATATTTGATTTCAAAATCTTTCCTTAAATCTATAATTTTATTTTTGAAATGTTTTCCAATGTTAGGTGAGGAAGAAGAGAACCATATTGACAACAGCATATAAGGGTAATTATTTTCCCAGTATGATTTAATCAATGAAACAGAAATAATAACTTATCAGATGAATGTATTATAAAAGTAATGTATTAGAAATGAAAATATTAGATTTTCATAATTGTGATCAGAATGATTGTGCACTTGTGACACATGATAGATCCACAAAAATATTATTGGAATTAACTACATAACTTAGGAAACAAATACATGCTAAACAACCAATCAGAAAGAAAAGAATATGCTATCTATTGATAATATTATCACAAATACTAGTATTTGTGAAAGTTAATTTTCAATAAATTAAAATAAACAAAAAAGATAAGAATACAAATTACCATAATCCCAGAATCCAGAAATACTTATTCCTAATATTTTGATTAATGTATTTTCACATTTTTCAACTTTTTCCATACTTTTACTATTTTGTTGCATAATCACAATAATGTACATGTATGCCTACTTTTAACAGTTAAAATTATAAAGTAAGTTATAAAATAAATATTTGCTTATGCCAGTTTTGTAGGTTTGAATTCTATGTGCCATAATATTTCACAGAGCCTTTTTTAGATATTGATATTATTGTGTATGCATAATATGTTCCTTTTGACCAAATATATAATTATTTTCAAACACTTGAAAATTTATTCATTAATTTTCATTGCAATAGTTAATTTGATAAAAATGTCAAATCTCTTGGAAAATAATGTGATATTATTATACTGATAATTTGGTCATACTATTGTCAAGAAAAATATTTAAGATGAGACTATCTAGTTGAATAAAACTATATTTAAATTCAGACCTGTAAATCCCAGTGCTTTGGGAGGTATAGGCAGGAGAATCCCTTGAAGCCAGGAGCCCGAGGCCAGCCGGGGCAGCACAGCAAAAGCCTGTCTGTTAAAATTTTTTTAAAATTAGCCAGTTGTAGTGGTGCATGCCTGTAGTCCCAGGTATTTGGGAGGCTAAGGTAGGAGGATTGCTTGACACCAGGAGTTTGAGGTAGCAGTAAGCTATGATAGCACCACTGCACTCCAGCCTGGGAGAGAGGAAAGGAGTTTATTAAACTACTTAAATACTTAGGGACCCTGTCTCTAAAAATTGAGTAAATTAATGAAGCCTATTTGTCTACCATTTAATAATTCAATATTTTTATGACATCTTATTTGTGGACTTTTTTCCTAGTGACATATTATTTAGAGTCAATTGATTTAACAGATGCAAAAAAAGGATTATTGAAGAAAAATTAGTTTTTTGTCACATCAGAAACAAATTCTTGTATCATTTTCTTATACAATTTGGTGAAAATTAATTATTGAACATGAGATAAAAACCAACTCTAGCACAGTTTAAATTAGTCAATTCTAAATTCTACCTCTAGCCTGCTGGATATTAACCTTTCTATGATACAGGTACTTCCATAGGTATGTGATTTTCATTTTATCTGCCTTCTGCCTACAGTTGAATTGTACGCTAACCTTCCCTTATTCTCATGTCAAGGTGATAACATTGTTCCAGATAGGTTTGGGTTACATAATGTGGTGGTTAATTTTGTGTCAATTTGACCAGATCACAGAGTACACAGATATTTGGTCAAATATTACTCTGGGTTTTTCTGTTAGAGTGTTTGTTTTTGGATAAGATTAACATTTAAATGAATATACTAAGTAAAGCAGATTGCCCCCTTAATATTGGTGAGTCTGGTTTGATTGGTTGGAGGCCTAAATAGAAGAGAAAGGCCAATCCCTGCCTCCCACCAGCCAACTAAAAGAGAACTCTTCTTGCCTGATGGGCTTTGAACTGGAACACTTGTTTTTTTCACACTAGAACTGAAACATTGACTATTCCTGGGTCTCCAGGATGCCAGTCTTTGGACTAGAATGGCACCATCAATTCTCCAGGTTGCTGACTTATCCTGAAGATCTTGGGACTTGCCTGCCTTCATGATCACATGGGCTAATTCCTTATAATTTATCATTCAATTATCTATCTATCCATCTCTCCATCTATGTATTTATTTACAAAGCAATATACAAATAATTGAAATTTACTGCTCAAATTCTGCATGTATTCTGAGAAAAGGTGGATGCAATAAAGAAACTGTAATAGTGTGTGGCTTACCCAGAGTGAGACACAGTCAGAAATGTTTTTTATAAAAATTAAATCTACATAATCAGAAACCCATATGTGTGTACTCCATAGATTATTAATATGAATTCTTTCAATCATTTACATATTCATTGTTAAAATACTTTGTATTGATTACTGCATTACTCAGCTTCTGTTAAGTATTAAGTGATCATCCCCAAAAATCATACATATGCAACATTAGGCATTTATTTCTTGTTCTCGGGTTTCCCTGTTGGTTTGGGCAGTTTGGCCACATTTCAGCTCCATACATAGCTGCCAAGAGCATGTTCTTATAGAAGATGTGAAGAGGGCACAAAGGATTCATCCTCTCCCTAAATGTCATAGATAGGTAGGTAGGTAGGTAGGTAGGTAGGTAGGTGGGTAGATAGATAGATAGATAGATAGATAGATAGATAGATAGATAGATAGATAAAAATTATAGATAAATAATATATAGGGGTTCCATGTAACTTGTCGTGTGAGGTCTAAAATTAAATATGTGCTGCCTTGACATTTGGTAAAATGAGAAGGGCCTCAAATGACCTAATTGGCAAGATATCTGCCTGCTCTGCTCTTGCAGATGACACCTAGTCAAAGATACCTCCTTATCTCAGAGAACAGGTATACTTTCTGCTTATCTCTGAGTGGTGGGTTTCAGTTTCCTGTTAGCCTTCAGAATTATGCAAACAACATAAGGACTTCCCCACAAGGAAACCAAAAGTCGCTCTACTCTAGATTCTACAAAGCCTGCCTCCCACAGTACCTGGTTGTTCATTCCATTCCCAAATGCAGCTGCCAAATTTGGCATGGGTTGTCCTCCTCCACTGGACTGTGAGTGTAAGTGACTAATGAACTGCTGTCCATTTCATCTGTCCAGTGTTAAGAGTCATGTGTTCAGCCATCTTCATAATCCTAAGGCAGGAATTCCTCCCTTATTAATGGGGTTAATAGGACACAATAAAAATATAACATATGAAAAATAGGTAAAAGCATGAATTGAAATGCTTAGGCATTCAGGGCCTTTTCTAGATTTTGTTCTGACAGTGCACATGTTGCAGCATATTCATAAACAATATTAATATGAGGCAAGTAACAGAGAGAAACAGATCTGAAGGTTTATAATTTCAGTTATTGCATTTTAAAATAATAATATACCTCAACATTGCTTCTCACCATTCCCCCTTAAATTCTCCCACCTGCCCTAGTTCTCTTTTCGAGGGAATAAGTCCATTCTTTTTCCTGTAATAAAATTATAAAAGCTAATAATATTTCTAATGTGTATTTAAATAATGGTTCGGAGCCAGTTTATTCAAAAATCACATGTTGACTAACTTAACCATAGTTTTGGAAAGTATGCAATTTTTTACCATCTGGCAAAAAAACCTGTCTTCATTAATTTTGACATTAATAATGATTTTTAATAAAACTTCTCTGAGTTGTAAGCTAGAATATGATGGACCACTTGAGGCTCTATTGTATATATATACATATATACTTTTTTAACCTAGTAACTCAAATAGTATTTAATGTGTTATAATGCACATAGAATTTATCTAGAGCTGGTATAAATAGCAAGGTACAAATATGATTTATCATGTTTCCATATCATTTTAAGTATTTTTTGGCTATCATGAATATTTATAAATAAGTGAAAAGATTATTATTATTTGCAACTCTGTTCAAGTTTCACTGTTGAAAAGCTGAGACTGTATAAACATGTCTAAAAGCTGTACTATTCCAAAATCTTGTAGATGCAAAGTTATTTTATTTAAAAAAGTATATAGAGAGAGTTATCCTGAGCTTCAGACTTCTGTATCAGCATTATCATCTAGAATTCTATTAGTGTTTCCATTTTGGTCTAAAGCATCATTATCTCTTTCCAGTATTGTTTCAATAGCCTCCTAAACTGATCTCACTACATCTTCTCTATACTCCCTAGAAACTGTTCTTCATCCTGCTGCTATTTTAATTTCCTTTTGAATGTGCATAATTTTGTGGCACTCTTCTAATCAAAATTATCCAATAACCTCCTATCTCAGAGAGAAAAACAAAGTTTATATATATATATATATATATGTGGTTTTCAAATTTGACTCTACATTCAGTCATCAGGGATTTTCAAATTTGTTATGGCTAAACCTTAGCCCAGATCAACTGAATCAGAATTTGTGGAGTTGGTAACCAAGCAATGGTACTTTCATAGTGATCTTAATGGGCAACTGGGGCTGATAACCACTGACAATTGTGTTCTAGCTCCTACTTCTCTATAACTTTATCTAGCACATTCTTTCTTGCCAACTCTACTGCAGTCACATGGCCTGGTGGATAGTCCTCAAACTGCTACTGCCATTAGATAAAGAAGGATCTCCTTTTCTGAGCTGGATATTTTAAATGGTTCTAGTCGGCCTTCCTGTAGCAATACTCTTCCCCTAAATGGGAGTCTGTGGAGACAGAGAATGTACCAATGCACATACCAATTCTAGAATATGCTACAAACACCTGGAATCCCATGATTCCCTATCAAAAAGATTCTAATCCCACCTCCAGGGCCTACACAAGCCTCTTCCCTGGACCATCTTCACAAGTGTGGTGGCCCTGAGTGGCCAAAGGCTGTGTTCATTGGGAAGTGAATAAGAGATTGGATATGCAAGGTAAATTCCCACAAACACATGTGACCCTTTGTGGTGTGATACAAAAGCCCAGGGTGGAAAAAGAAAAGGGGTGAACATCAGTCTGGTGTCCCACTTTGAGGGCTTGCCCTTCCCACAATGGTATATGCTCCTGTGTGGAATTTCAGAGTCCCAAATTCCAGGTCATTATAAAAGTTTAATTGTCAAATATAGATTATAATGATTTGTTAACTTGATTTATAGTTTTAAAGTATTTAAATATATGGTTTATAAACCTCTATTTGTACTTTGGTCCATGACCCTACAAATGTTAAGAATGGGCGATCTTGAACACGTGAAGCATGATATTGTCTTGAGGACTTTGCGCTTTTGTTCCCTCCGCTGGTACCTCCCAGAGTTCTTCATGGCATTGTATCCCACTTCAACTCTCTGTTTAAATATGATTTTGTCTATGAGGTCTCTTCTAATACTCTTGTTTTGAATGATAATTTGCCTCCTCTCCAAATTCTAACATGTTCTGTTCTCTAAAGTTTGCAGTATATTTCTCCAAAAGCTTATCATTGTTGTGTCCTCTGGTGAAAATATTATCCCATGGAAACAAACACCTATATTTTGCAGAGCCCCAAATTCTAGGAATTTGAGAAAGAAAAGCAAAATGTCACGAGTGAATACAAGAGGTAGTAGAAATGACTCTCATTTTCACCCTTTGATTTCTGGACAGTTAATTTTGAATAGGAGAAGAACATAAAAAACTATATAGTGGTTTCTGATATGAAGCATATACCATATTATGAAAGTCATTATTTCAGTCTGCAAGGTGTTTGCTGCCCAGCTGGTACCATAACTAAGTAGTCAGAAACAGCTAACCCATCATGCTCTCAGGCTACCTGCTTCAGTGTAGTGAGGGAAATGGTAAGACTCGTTATGTCAACAAGTGTGAGCTCTTTGCCTAACCTTGTTTGTTATAAAATAACTTCCATATTCAAAAGGAATGATGTGAAGAATACTGAGGGGGTCATTAAGGTATTTGATAAGTCCATAGATGATGAGTTTGACTAAAGCATTTTGGATAGGAAAGTTAAATTAATAACCAGAGTATGTCTTCTAGAGAAGACAAAGCACTGCCCTTTTCACAATGAAAGCTGTTCAATGTAATCAGCATGCCAGTATCCCCCTGGGGAATGGCACAGTATTAGAACTTAGTATTGATCTCTGCTGTTGGCATGTTGGTCACTCACCCATAGTTAGCCAGATCAAGCTGGCTGTCAAAGCCCCATATTACTGAGCACAGCGTAACATCCATCCCTGCTGATATAACCACTAAGTTCCTATGCCCACTGGGCTACAACAGAGATATCTGGGCAGAGACTGATTTGCATCCACAGAACAGTTCCGCTTGTCCACATGGGTTTTAAGATTGCCATCTGCTGAAATGCTTTTTGGCTTTCCTTCATATGGAACACAAATATCATTATATTTTGTGCCCATTCAGAGGAAGTTTATCTACATAATTCTTCCCAGAATTCCTTGTCACCAGTTTCCCAATTGTGTTCCTTCCACATCCCTGATCATCCAACCAGATAATTTGCCACTTGTCATGAATGACTTTAGACCATTACGTCTGGCATTTTCTTCTTCTGGTAAAATGAACAATCAGATGTACTGCTCAAAATTCTGTCCACTGGACAGATTTTCCTTTATCATTATTTTTAAATGATTTTCCAGTATGAGGCTAAAACTTTGTAGCTCTCCACATTCAGGTAGTATCAACATATTATGTAGAATCATTTATAATGGACATAAGAAACCATATCAAGTATTGAAAGTGAGGAAGCAATTTAACAGGCATATGAACAATGGACATGTGGACCACTTTCTAAGATGTCTTATCTGAGCCTTCAGGACTTACTTGAACTCAATCTCATATATAACAATTTTGCTTGATGATGAAGTGCTGCTTTGCTCACCTAATTTTATGGTTCAGTCAGCCAGACGACAACCTTTTCATGATGTTCACATGATAAATTTGTTGTTAATGGTCAAGCATTCAGTCTCTACTCAGGCTCTGTAACATGCGCAGATCTTTTTCTTAAATGAGAATAGTTATCCCTAGAGGGTGGTGTAATTTTGTTAAAATCTTTAGAGGTGCATTATGATTATCTGCACATGCCTGCCAAGTGCTCTGTACAGCATACCTGGTTGTCATAGAAATGTCAAGAAAAATTGGATCTGCTGAGTCATATGGTCCAAGTGGCAGAGCAGTTTGCAAGCAACCTGGACCTGCTGAAGAGCCTTTTCTTGATTGGAGCCACACTCCAAACTAGTAGCTTCTCAGGTTACTTGATAAAAGTTTTGGATTAGCAAGCCCAAGTGAGGTATTTGTCACTTTGTAAATCTAAAAATCTCAACAAACTTCATGACTCTTAATTTAAGGAGGGGACAGTTGCAGCAATTTGTCTTTAATTGAGAAATTGTATCTTACATTGTCCCAGGCTGCTAAATCACTACAAAGCATGATGAAAAAAAAAAACTAACTAAACTAAAAATCCATGTAGTTGGCCTGTAAGCAATGAGAATAAATGAAATTTGAACTTGCATTTTTCTCTTACTGCTTTGAAGCCTCCAACTTTATAATGTGCATGACCTACACTAGAGTTGATGCACTTTACCATGGAACTTCAAAAGCACTTGGCCAAGTACTTGAAGATGCTGAAGACAGAGACCTAGTGGGAGCGCCAGGTGCTGCAGATCCAACTACTTCCTCATGCCAACAAGATAATCTGGCAGACTTGTACAATATGAGCCATCTGAAACCATACCTAACTTTACATCAAATTTCTGAGTTTAAACATGGGCTGCTGCTGCTTCACTTCCACCTTCTAAATCTTGCACAAATTTATTTTGTAGCCAACACTACACTAGAACCTTAAAGGAAAGGCAATTTGAAATTGCATAATTCCAGTTTAGCTAAATTTATACAAGACAACATCACAGTAATTATTGCCATCTTAATTTCCTCTTTCTTTAACAGCCAGAATCTAGGTAATTATTTTGAAGTCATACTCATGTTTCAAAATTTAACAAGATGTGCTATGTCTTTTGCAACTGTAACTCAATTATTGACACCAAACCCTTCTTTCAAGGTAGTTAAGTGATAGCTCATCTAGACTTGTAAGTGCACCCAAGGTAACTTAAAGAATAATTCATACATATAAAAATCAGATCAAATTATTAAATATTTAAAAATTCTGACAAAATATTCATGAAGTATTTTATAATTTATCAAAATACATCGCTTTACACATTTCTTGGTGCATGAACCTCTTAAAAATGAATTTATAGTCTATGTCATTTTATCAGTTTATGGAATGTATTTCTACATTCTTTCAACACATCTATGAATTGACTACCAGATGCCTGGAACATGGTGCAGAGTTTATAATAGTAATCAAGGTAGGCAAGCCCCAATTGTAAAACAATTAGTATTCTGGAAGATAAAGGGGAGGGAGGATAGGAAAAACCAAGTAATAAAAAGTAAAAGTACTATACTATACCTCAAGTGAAGTTTTATGAGGTAAAGAAAACAGAGTACTGTGGGAGAGAAATATAAGTCTATCTAAAGGAAGTTACTTTTGTTAGATAAAATTTGAATTGGAAAAGCAATAACAAGAAGGTGATCACTGTAGGAAAATCTAAGGTAAGAGATCTAAGATAAGAGTTCTCCAGCAAGATACTAAGGAAGGGGAGCAAGCTTGGCATGTTGCAGGAGAATAATATAAACAAAAAACAATGGAGTGTCTGGAACATAATGAGAAAGGGAAGAGTGTTGCTGGATGAAGTCAGAAAAATAGCTGGACTCAGAATATGTAGCATTTTATAGGCTATTGTAAATAATCAATATTTATTATCTTTCACAGCCTTGAATTTTTGAAGTGTAAAGACCAGATGTTTTGCAGAATGCCCCTCTCATTGGGCTTATTTGATGTATCCTCATGATTAGATTTAGGTTATGCATAGGGATGCCAAGGTGGTAATATTGTGTCCTTCTTAGTGAATTATATCAAGAGTCATGATGTCTCCAACTTGCCGTCAGATGTCTCCAAAAACAATCAGTGTAGTGGGGGAGGGAGAGGAGAAAGAAGGTTGGGAGGAGGAGAGAACAGAGAGGAGTGATAAAACAAATGGGTAGAAACATTAAAAAAATTACCATTCATATATCCTTTGCTTAGGTATGAATGTTCTTTGTTCTATTCTTCTAAATTTTATGTAATTTTGAAATTATATCAAAATAAAAATGACCCAAAATAATAAATAAATAAATAAATAATATTGATTATCTAAATGTGATATGGAGACAATTATTTTTAGTATAGGAATGGTATGATATAAATTACATCTTAAAAATACCTTCTCTTTTATGAACAGAATAGACCCTTTAAAAGTGGTCATATGTAGAGACAGGGAAATTAATCAGGAGACCATAATGCTAGCCAATATAAGAAGTAATGGTGACTTCAACTGGATTTTATTCCTAAAGATAGAAAGAAGTGGCTCTCAGATATGTTGGAAATAGAAAAATAGGGCTTATTAATGTACTGAATTTAAAGTTATTTGAGGTAATAACCAATCAAGAACCTTCTTGGTTTCAATCATGAGCAAATGTGTAAAATGTGTTGCCATTTGCTGAGATTGAAAGCATGGATTAGGAAAAGTTTTAACAAGGAGTTTAAGGGGATGGAAATTATGAGCTATGTTTCGAAAATGTAAAATATGATATTACTATATAATACCCAAGTAAAGATATGGATAATTTGAACAATATAAATATTTTGTGAGCCCAAAAAAGTCAAATGTCATCAATTTCATATGGTTTCATCACCTAATATTATGTGGTTGTGTATATGAATCTGCAGTTCAGAGAAAAGCTCAGATTTAGAGAGAGATTTGGGAAGCATTGGAATATTGATGTTATTTAAAGCTATAAAACTGGATGTGATCACATAGAAAAAAATGTAAATAAAAAATGACTTTATAGGTGAGCTAACAATATGATATGTATAAATAAAAATTGAGGCTGAACACAGTGGCTCCTACCTGTGCCTTCCCCAAATTTTGGGAAGCCAGGGTGGGAGGATTACTTGAAGTCAGGAGTTCAAGACAAGCTTGGGTGACATAGGGAGATCCTGTCTCTACAAAAAAGAAGAACAAACAAAAAAATTAGTCAGGTAGTCCTAGCTTGTAGGGAGGCTGATGTGGGAAGATTGCTAGAGTCCAGGAGTTGAAGGCTGCAATGAGCTATAATTGTTCCACTGCACTTCAGACTGGGTGATAGAGTGAGACACTATCTCAAGAAGAAAAGAATAGATTGAGAAAACAAGTATAACAGGAAAATTCAGAAAAAGCAGATGAAGTGATTAAAATTATTTGTACTTTCTTAAACAAAATATTAAAACTATTTTTCAGTTTGATCTTTTGGCATTGCTGTGTTTCATTCCCTGTCACATAAATAAGTAAATACAATTTTCTGAGTCACTGTGAGTCTGTAAAGTTGGCTCTTGATTTAATAAAGAATCTTAGCAAACCTTTTCAAATTTCACAACCCTAGGACTTACCTAACTGCAATATTCAATATTTTATATGCTGCTCCAACTTCTACCAACTGTCCTATAAACTACTAACAGTTTAAGATAGACTCAAAAAGAAATACACAACCATAATACTTTCTTATGTTTTATTGTGCAATAAATTTGACATAGATGTTCCAAACCCATATTTACTTGATAAATGGTGCAGTGTAAACTGATAATTTCCACCTTCTCTTCTCTTTTCATCAACAGATTGTTGACTTTTTTATCTTATATTCAGGAGCTCCATCAAGGACAAGTATATACTTGCTATATACATCAAAGCAGCATTTTTCAAATTCCTACTACTCAGTAGCAAAAACAGAAATGTAACAGGAAAATGAAAATAGCTTACTAGATGATATAAAATTGCTCCTAGGATAAATCTGGAGGACCAGGCTGAAAAAAAAAAAATAAGCAAGAACAAGGTAACTAACCAGTAGACAACAGACTACTGAAACAGACTGGCTAGATGGTACTCTGAATATTAATGTTTCTGGAAACAGCCCTGTCACCACTCAGGAATGCCACTCTTGGAAATGTGACTCTTTTGATTTGAATAACCTGAAATTTTCTTGAATAGCTTTCACTGTCCCTTAACATTCAATGCCTAAGAAAGAAACATGTGAATTCAAGCTCAACCCAAGTTTATATGTCTATGAGCTATTAGGGTGTGAATGTAGGATTGGGCCCTGCCTGCCCCAAGTTCCACCATCACACTAGGGATTCCTTCACAGTTTAAAGGATATTTACATGATGGATAATTAACAAGTAGCAAATATCTACTGTAACCAAAATTATACATGCAATCTTCTTTTATTTAGAAAAAAAGATCCTATATGACATAATACAATTATTTATTGTACAACTGAAACAAATTTCATTTCCAAGGGAAAATTGCCTAAAATTTCAGTAATTTTTGCATCCAATTCTGTGTTTGAATTCTCTAGAAAATACTTACTGCTTTTTACAGGAGGAAATTTGTTACAATATAAATATAAGTGCAAACACTAGCCAAGATTTAAAAATGGATAAAGGCTCTAGTTTTTGTGTTTATGACACATAATTTACAAATTACCTCCTCTATCACCCATTTCAAATTCTTCTGGCTTTGAGACAGCAATCTCAACCTGACAGGGTTATCTACCTAATTGTTTGATCCAAACTTACGTTAATGAAATATCTGTGACTTTGGTGTTCCTGCCTGTACAGATTACAATAACATTTAGGCCTCCGTCTGTTGTGCTAGTGGGTGCAGTAGGGGCTCATCTGAATTCTACCCGTATTCTTCCCTCCATTATGTAATATTTACCTATTTGGATGGTGAGGATTGATCATCCCAGTCAATATAAATATCCCGTTTTGACTTTTGACTTAATCATATGAAAAGCTACATTGGCCAGAGGCAATCTCATCTAAATCAAAGTGGCTCATCTTGGAAGCATTCTTCAGAGCCCAGACTTTCAAATGAGCAAGGCTACAAATCATGGGGGATAAGAATACATTTTTTTCCCAAGTATGTATTTAGGTGTAATTCAACTTCTGTCCTTTGTCTCCTACTGCATTCTGCTTATGGGAGGACATTTTTCAAAGATTGGTTGTTAGTTCAAAACACATTTTATAGTCTTCAGGACAATATTATAACTATTCAAGTTTCAGGCTTATGTGTTGGGGAATGGAGGGAGATACATTAAATATTTAGAGCTCATCAAGTTGACTAGTGTTATGTAGTCCCTCTGGTTGCTTTGGACAGCAGGTGGAACAGAGGCCCTATAAATAACCAAGCAGTGACCAAAAGGAAATGTCATAGAATAATATAAGCTATGCTTATTTATAAAATGGCTTTAGGTGGATTTTTTCACCTAGAGCCCTGATGGGCTTATTAAAGGACACTTTTAAGAAATTTATTCTAGTTCTCAAATACTAAGTAATGTGGGCTTATCTTGATCATGTATATGGCTGCCTGCCTCTGAGATAACCTCCATTGGTCTCCACCTCCTAGTATTGATACCATTGTACCGTCCATTCCCACCTTCTACTAGGGTTGATCTATGTGGCCAGTAGAATATGACAGATTGATGGTATGTTGCTTCTGTGATTGAGTTATAAAATATATTGTGACCTCCATCTGGGTCCCTCTTTTTGTTTTTGTAATTTCAATAGCTATAGGAGTACAAGTGGTTTTGGGTGACATGGATGAATTGTATAGTGATGAGGCCTGGGCTTTTAGAGTATCCATTACCGGAATAGAGTACATTGTACCTTACAGGTGATTTTTCATCCTTCATCCACCTCACACCTTCCCTCATTCTGAGTCTCCAATTTCCGTTATACCTCTCTGCATGCCTTTGTGTATCCATAGCTTAGCTCTGACTTCTAAGTAAGAACATGTAGTATTGCATATTCCATTTCTGAGTTACTTCGCTTAGGATAATGGCATCCAGTTCCATACAAGTTGCTGAAAAAAACTCTTTATTTTATTCTTGTTTATGACTGAGTATTTTTCCATGTTGTATATATACCACATTTTCTTTATCCACTCATCGGCTGATGACCATTTAGGTTGATTACACATCTTTGCAATTGTGAAATCTGCTGCAAGAAACATATGCATGCAGGTGTCTTTTTAAAATTGTGACTGCTTTTCTTTTGGGTACAAAACCAAAACTAATAAATGGGACCTAATTAAACTGAAAAGATTCTGCACAGCAAAGAAATATTGAATAAACAGTCTACAGAATTGGAAAAAAAATTTGCAAACTTTACATCCAACAAAGAACTAATATCCACTATCTACAAGGAAGTCAAACAAATCAACCAGAAAAAAAATCAAATAATCCCATTAAAAAGTGGGTAAATGATAACAACAGACATTTCTCAAAAGAAGATATACAAATGGCCAACAAATATGAAAAAAATGCTCAATATCACTAATCATAAGGGAAATAAAAATTAAAACCTCAATGAGTTACCACCTTACTCCATTATGGGTACTGGGCATTATTAAAAAATCAAAAACAATAGATGTTGGTGTAGCTGTAGTGACAAGGGAATGTTTATACACTGTTGTGGGTATGTGGATTAGTATCTCACTTTTTTAAGTGACTTATCAGGGAGAAGTCAGCTGCAAGGGAGCATAGCTTTATGTTGAGACTCATGTGATAATCAACTGGGACTTTCTGCCAGTGACCATACAAGTGAGCTACGTTGGAAGCAGATGCGTCACTCTCTGTCAACTTTCAGGTGACAGCACTTTGACTGACAGCTTTACTAAAATGTTGTAAAAGATCCTGAATCAGGATCAGCTATATAAACCACTACTGAATTTCTGATCTCAAAAACTATGTGAGATAATAAATGCTTGTTGTTTTAAGCTGCTATTAATAATTCTTAGAGCAATTTACACAGGAATAGAAAATTTAGTCTGTTTAGAAGGTTGTCTTAAAAACATTAAAGAGCTATATTAATAACTGTTACTAGAAGCCCATAGTCCTTCTTATGATTTTGGACTATTGTCATAGAATCCTTGGGATGTCAGTTTAACATAAGATATAATTTTAGTACTACTCAACGGACATAATTAAATATCAAACCCATTAACCAAAGAAAGTGGGATACATTTTTTTCCAACAGAAATTTTGGTATGCCACAGCAAGAAAAACTTTAAAGCATAATTAAGATATCTTGGTGTAAACAGATGTTTTAGAAAACACACAGTAGGAAAATGAAAACACAGTGAAACAATTTTTGAAATTAAGATAATTAGTTAAAAATCGAGCTTCTTAGACAAATAAACAAGGAGTCCATCTTTCACGACAAACAAGAAGGCTCGCTTTGTGCTCAGCATTGCCGGCATGATTTATTATAAGGAGAATATTTTAGCCCTGTGGAATTATCTTCAATTGTACATCAGCTAGTTGAAGAACAGAGGATGAGAACGGCAGAAGGAGGGGTTTTAGAGAAGAAACTAAAAACACGTTTTTACAGCAGGCTTCTGGAAATATAAGTGACAGTTTTTTTGCTTTTGTTTTTGTTTTTTCTCTATTCAAGTTATAAGCAATGCCTTGAAAATTTGGGGTTTAGACCTAATCTTGTTCAATAGTCCAGAGTATCAAAGGCTCAGGATCGATCCTATAAATGTAAGATAATTTATATGCAATTATAAATAATACTTGTTTACAGTCAGAAAGTTAGGAAAACAAAGTTTAATTCAAAAACCTTCTTGACGGTTTCAGACTTAACATCAGATAAATACCTTGCACTTTTCTCAGCTCAATTACAACAGGAATGTTATTCTATATTTCTTGTTAAGGATGATCTGCCAGATTGTGAGGCCAACCAACTCCTGCAGATGATTAGGGTCCAATAAACGCATGGACCAAAACTTATTGCAGAAGACTTAGATAAATTAACAGCAAAGGTTCCATAAAACAGACCTGGAATGAGTCTTAGAGGCAAATGATGGGTCAGAAATGTTAGATGATAAGGAGCATTTGCAGAGGGCTCTGGGACTAAGTCGCCAAGTAATTGACCTGGAAGATGAAGAAGCAGATCTCTGCAGAGCTATTCAGCTAAGTATGCAAGGCAGTTCCAGAAATTTATCTCGAGATATTCTATAGACCTCAGGGACAAATCTCACTTCAAAAGAGCTTTGGAAGGGAAGAGAAACCTATTTGAAAAGCAGCAGCAGCGGCAGCGGCAGCGGCAGCGGCAGCGGCAGCGGCAGCGGCAGCGGCAGGTAGATTCACCAGGACAAATTTCATATCCATGTGAAAGGCTGACCACAAGTTCAGGAGCATTTGAGAGTGATCTAGGTGATATGAGTGAATAAGCCATGTTTCAGGCAGCTGTGACCATGTCTTTAGAAACTGTTGGAAATAATTTGAAAACAGAAGGAAAAAATATCATTCAAAAATAATTTAGGCTGGATGTGGTGGCTCGCATCTGTAATACCGGCATTTTGGGAGGCCAAGGTGGAAGGATCGCTTGAGGCCAGGAGTTCGAGACCAGCCTGGCCAACATGGCGAAACCCCATCTCTACTAAAAATAGAAAAAAAATTAGCCAGTTGTGATGGTGCACACATGTAGTGATAGCTACTCGGGAGGTTGAGGCATGAGAATTGCTTGAACCCCAGGGGCAGAGGTTGCAGTGAGCCGAGATCATGCCACTGCACTCCACTCTGGGTAATAGAGTGAGACTCTGTCTCAAAAGAACAAAAAATAAGTAAATAAATAATTTAAATACTCCTATTTTTCCAATATTATCCTGTGTGATTACAGCATAGGATTCCAACATTATACTGTAGGATAACACCACAGGTCCATTTTGGTAATGTGTCAAATATATGAGGAAATAAGACTTTTAGGTGGCTTGCAAACAAAATAATGAGAAAGTGGGAAAATGCATCAGTTGTAGGACTAAATAACGATCTTTCAAATATTAGCCAAAGAGGCATTCAGCAATTAAAGAAATTTAAAATATTTTTTTAAAAATTGAGCTTCTTTTCCTCACCATGATTAACTTAGGCACTTAACCAGGCCTTTCATATTCCTACCTAAGTACTGAATTATAACAAGAAGATGGTATAATCCATGGATTACTTAATTCCAATATAATTTTTAAAAATTTTCTATGAGTTGTGTTTTCTTCCAAAGTTAACAGTTGTATTCATTGCATCATAGAGAAGAAGTATGATTTTCTGTATTTTTTTATTTTAACAATGAACACATAGATAGGTACCTCTATTGACACATACACTTGTGAGTATGGCTCTATTTATCTATGGGATTTACCACCTGATGAAGTTTTGTAATTATGGCAATTTAATTCGATGCTTTTCTCTAATTAGGCCCACTGTAAAAACATTTTAAATTGAATTTAATTGTATTAATAACCTATGATTGACACTGGACTACTATTATTTTAATAGTTGTCATCAACTCTCTTAAATACTTTTGGCAGAAATATATTTTTCCCAACACTGTGTGAAAGAAAAATCACCTGAAAAGCAGGATAAATTATAAAATGCCAACTCTTACAGTTTCTATTTTAAAGACATCTGAATAGTTATAAAGGACCACTTAGGAAAGATATAAATACATCGGTCTCTTTTTCTCCACTTATACTATGCAAATTAGCCCTGAATACCTGAAGACCCCTGGTTGAATTATGAAAAGTAGCTAAATCATTTACAGGCATGTATGCGTGTGTGCATGTGAATGCATGTGTGTGAGTGGTGATAATGACATAGAGCTGAGACACTGGAAAGTCTTTTGGAGGGGAATTTGTTGCACATTTTAGTGTGTATTTTAAAAATAAGGCAATAGATAAGAGAAAATATTTGTAAGTAGCAGAGCCTCAGAATCCTTGACAAATCAAAAATATATAATAAGAAAAATGCATCAACAATGGCATACATATCTTGTCATTGATTGAGAGATCATATCAGTTGGTTGGACATTGGAAATAATGGAGAGAAATAAAATACTCTCAAGAATTTACAATGAACAGTAGAAGAGAGCACAATAGAATCCAGGTGCTTCCTCTTCCAAACTAGTCTTTGGCTATATACAGAGATGTGACAGTGGTTGGTAATTAGGTTAGATTGTATGCCTGGAAATGAGGACAATGCCAGTAAAACAAATACCTACTGTATTGTCATCATTCTACTTTCTGTGAAGGATAATATGGAGAAAACTAGAGACAAAATGGTTCCTATAACAGTATAATCATAGCAGTGGCTACCACCTGGCATTCAGAAATAATGGCTTCCTGCACCTAACTGCACCTACCATTTGCAAAGCTAATTCTGCATTCTTGTTAATGGAAATCCATACCTTGAGAGAAAATGCTAGGTATTGTAATTCATAATATTCTGCTATACTCCAACAGCACAAGATCATTTCAATTTCTGTTTACTCATCTGTCAAGGTTTTATAGGAACACATTTTTTAGCCATAACACCTGCATCTAGAATCTCACATGTGTTATGCAAAATATACTTAAGATTTTCGGTTTGTTGCACATGCACTCAAGATATGTGTCTTATGCTAAATAGTGATGACAACAGGTGTACCAAATCAGCCTGTTATGTTTGTGGAGCTCAAAACAAAATACTGCTGCATGTCTTTTGCATTTTAAAAACCTAACAAACACCATACTTCAAGATGATTAAATCTGGAAATCTATTTTTAAGTGTTCCTCTTCTCTCCTTTGCTTTCAACTCTGATGGAAGTCCTTCCTGCTCCCATTTCCATCTGTACTATCCCCTGCAGGTTCATGAATGAGAATAATTTCTACCTAAAAACACAATTAAAAATGAAAGAAAAAGCCTTATTTTGAGTTTTTCATAACTCTTGTTTGAATGACTAATAGTGGTTAGAATGCTGGAGTTATGTTAGGAGATTTAATGGTGTATTCAGTCACATTTAAATTATTTCTTTTTTTTAACATTTTATGTGAGCATTTAAATGTTGGATCTTTCAGGTAGGGAAGCTATACAAACAGCTACACAAGGAGATCTCCAACACAGAATTTTCTACTTACCTGGTCTCTGTGTCTTGTGTTCCTGACAAATCTGAATAATGTGTCTTTGGGGCAATAACTGAATCTAATTTTCTATATTTCTCTGTTCCAGCACCATGTTTATGTGCAGATGAGGCATATAGATTTTTCTCTCTGTATCTCTTTCTCTCTGCCTCTCTCTCTTTGATTTGTTTATAGTATATAGATATTATATAGCTATAAAGACTATATATAGAGATAATATATGTACACACATAAATATTTAACAAAATTATAATAAAACTTTTAAATTTCACCTTGTTAGTTTTCCTTCACTCTTTTCCTTCATTATTTTTTGAGGGTTTTCTATATATTTCATTTCAAATGAATTTTAAGTATTACATATACTACATGGTACGTGTGTGTGTGTATATATATATCTCATATATATGTGTGTGTATATATATGTGTGTGTGTGTGTATATATATATATATACACACACACACACACACATATACATAATGCACATTTTACTTATGATTGAAACAGGAGAGTTCCCTTATTTCCTTTGCAGGACGTGTGACGGGGGATTGGCTTGCCTCTTTGGTTGCACTGCAGCTCAAACCTCTAGGGGGAGCATGCAGACAGACAGGTGCAGAGGCCCAGGTGAGTGCTTTGGTCTCTCAGCCCCATGGTAGTGTCTAGGGGTGACTGCCTGCAGCCCCAGTGTTACAAAGCTCTTTCAGCTCTGCCGTCTGCAGACAGATTGAATGTTAATCAGCTCAATGGGCCATCTGCCTTATCACAAGGGCAGAGGGCCAGTGTGACAGCCTTCTGTATCCTGAGTTCTTGCCCAGTGTCCCAGAAGAATCGGATCACATGTGGCCTGAAGGATGAGTGTAAGGTTTTATTGAGTGGTGGAGGTAGCTCTCAGTGAGATGGATGGGGAGCCAGAAGGTGGAGGGGTAGGGGAGATAATTTTCTCCTGAAGATTATCCAAGGGGAGATTAACCAAGAATGACCGAACTCCTCTTGACATTCAGCTGCCTCTTTTCTCCTTCTCTGCCATGCCATCCTGTTGCTCTCTGCCACACCATCCTGCTGCTCTCTGTCACACCATCCTGCTGCTCTCTGCCACTCCCTGCCACTCTCTTCCGCTCTCTGCTGCTCTCCACAGCTCCTCTTGATGTACAGCCATGTGGGTGTGTGTCCACTAAGGTCTCAGGTTTACATGGGTACAGGATGGGAGGCATAGTGTGCCAGAGTGGTCTTGGAAAATGCAACATTTTGGCACAAAAACAGGAGTGCCCATTCTCACTTAGGTCTGCAGGCAGAAGCCTGAGGATGGAACCCTCACCGGGGATCCTGCCCTTCTCTACCCAGCACTTCTCTGCTGCCTCCCATATCACCATCATATATATTTATAGAATATATGATATACACTAATATATACTTATTATATTATATACATTTAATATTATATATATATATTATACACACACACACACACACACACACACACACACACTTGATCTGGACATTTCTAAAACCAGTTTTAGATTCTGACTATATTTAAACTTGATATTTTCTACAAGAGCCAAAAATTGAACAAGACTTTTTCATTCTCAGGAATATTTTAAAATAACAACAAAATGTTTTAATTAGAATTTGGTTTTTTTTTTTTTCAATTTGCCTTTGTCTTTTTAAGTGAGGGGAGTTGATTCATAATTTTTAAAATATTGGGCTTCTTTTTGAGAGGTGTCTGTTCATATCCTTTGCCCACTCTTTAATGGCATTGTTTGTTTCTTTCCTGTAAATTTGCTTAAGTTCCTTGCAGATTCTGGATATTAACCCTTTGTCAGATGGATAGATTGCAAAAAATATTATCCCATTCTGTAGTTGTCTGTTTAGTCTGATGATAGTTTCATTTGCTGTGCAGAAGCTCTTTTTTTCAATTAGATCCCATTTGTCATTTTTAGCTTTTGTTGCAACTGCTTTTGGTGATTTCATCATAAAGTCTTTGCCCATGCCTATGTTCTGAATGGTATTGCCTAGATTTTCTTCTGGGGTTTTAAAAGACATACATGTGGCCAATAAACATATGAAAAATAGCTCATCACTCATCATTAAAGAAATGCAAATCAAAACCATAATGAGATGCCATCTCACACCAGTCAGAATGGCGACTATTAAAAAGCCAAGAAACAACAAATACTGGTTAGGCTGCAGAGAAATAGGAATGCTTTTACACTCTTGGTGGGAATGTAATTTAGTTCAACCACTGTGGAAGACACTGTGGTGATTCCTCCAAGATTAGAACCAGAAAAACCATTTGACCCAGCAATCCTGTTACTGGGTATAAACCCAAAGGGATATAAATCATTCTATTGTAAAGATACATGCACACGTATATTCACTGCAGCACTATTCCCAGTAGAAAAGACATTTAATCAACCCAAATATCCATCAATGATAGACTGGATAAAGAAAATGTGGCACATATATACCATGGAATACTATGCAGCCATAAAAAGGAACAAGATTATGTCCTTTGCAGGAACGTGGATAAAGCTGGAAGCCATTATCCTCAGCAAACTAATGCGGGAAAAGAAAACCAAACACCACATGTTTTTACTTATAAATGGGAGCTGAACAATGAGAACACATGAACACAGGGAGGGACACAACACTTACTGGTGCCTATTGAGGGAGAGTGCGGGGAGAGCATTAGGGAAAGGAGCTAATGAGTGCTGGGCTTAATACCTAGGTGATGGATTGATAGGTGCAGCAAACCACCATGGCACACATTTACCTATGTAACAAATCAGCAAATCCTGCACATGTACCCCAGAACTTTAAAAAAATTATAATAATTATTAAAAATAAAGAAAATCTAACAATTCTATTTATTTATTTTTATTTATATTTATTTATTTTTTGAGACGGAGTCTTGCTCTGTACCCAGGCTGGAGTGCAGTGGCGCGATCTCGGCTCACTGCACCTTCCGCCTCCCAGGTTCAAGCGATTCTCCTGCCTCAGCCTCCCGAGTAGCTGGGACTACAGTTGCACACCACCACGCCCAGCTAATTTTTGTATTTTTAGTAGAGACAGGGTTTCACCATGTTGCCATCATGTTCTCTATCTCTTGACCTCGTGATCCACCCATCTCGGCCTCCCAAAGTGCTGGGATTACAGGCATGAGCCACGGCGCCTGGCCAACAGTTTTTATAAGGTTAAACATATACAAATCAGATGGACAGTCAATCCATTCCTAGGAATTTACACACTATGTCTGCACAGTGATCTGTATGTGTGTATGCTCATGATACTTTATTCATAATAGCCCAAACCTGGAATGATAGAAATGTCCAATAACAAGTGAATGTATAAACAAACATGGTAGAGTCACACAAAGAAAAAAATATATGAGTTTCAAGAAGTCTCTTCTCCAATGGAATGGCAGTAGAGACAATAAGAAAGGAAGAAAGAAAGCTGAGAGGTTGAAAGTGAAATGTTCTGTGTTTCTGTTTCCTTTCAGTAGATGTAACTATGCAGTATAAATATTTCCAATAATATTTCTTTTTAATTATTTCTAAAATAAAAAAATATTAATTCAGTTAGGTATAGTTAGAGCCAAAACAGTTTTCTTTTGAATTTTTAAGCACTTGTAGAATTAACAAAACAAAACAAAACCAAGAAAAGGGTATGAGAAGATACATTGAATAGCAAACAAATTAGAATATTAAGAAAAACAGGATTAAAAATGATCTTCACAGTTTAGAATATAAATGAGCCTTTATACTTTGTGTTTCAGTATCTGGATAACTGGAAAAAATAACATTAAGAAAGCAGGTATTGTATTAAAAAAAAAAGTGAGGAAAAAATCTAGAAGCATGAGATTTTCACTGATTTCAAGCATACATGAATGCCTGAATCAATTGGGATTCCAGCCAAATGAAACAGAACAAGGCAGCAGAAACAAATCATGCTGTGCTTCATGAAGGATATTAGCAGCTTCATAATTGTGCCTTGAAATGCTTTTCTTTATTTCTGTCTAATTGCCATTAAATTCATCATTTCACAGAGAAGTTAAGGCCAAAACTAAAGGAACATTTCAAAATTTTTATTTCTTATTTATCAGTGACATAATAATTGCACATATTTATGGAGTACAATGTGATGTTTCAGTGCATGTATACACAGTATAATCATCAAATCCGGGGTAATTACCATATCCATCACTATTAACATTTATCATTTATATGTGACAACATTCAAAATCTTTTGGCTTTCTTGAAATATGCACTACATTGTTATTTGTTATAGTCACCCTATCATTTTAGGACTCATTTGATCTGTTGAAAAATCAAACCAATTTCCTATCTTAAGTCATTCACCAGAGGAAAATGATTATAAATTACCTGAAAAATTATATGGGTGGGTGCTAAGAGATCCCACTGTTGCTTACCTTTCTATTATCCTTTTATCTCTGTTGGAAATCTTGAGAAAAATATTTTCCATTTTTAAGATGGGAACATAGTGGGAGGATTAGTGATAATTTAAAGGTTATCGCAGTAAATGGCCATTGACATCAAAATTTCTGATTGTTAAGTGATGTATTCTTTCAACAATTTAATGCTATTGAACTAAATTACCTTCCCACAGAAGTTTTTAAAAATTGACACAAAAACAAACAAACCAAAAAAAAATGGGTAGGTATGTGAGTTGTTGGGTACATTAATTTGCTTCACATTAGTGACAATCTTTTTCACTATGTATATGTATCCCATAACATAATGCTGTATAACTTAAAATTTTTCTTTTTAATTGCAAATGGAGGAAAGACTTCAGAATGTGCTTTAGGGCTTGGAGAGGAAAAAGGTGCTCTCCTATCAGTGCTGTTGGCACCAATGGATGTTTCCGTATTCACTAAGTTTACATACAGAATTATGTAAGTCCTAGAAGCTATACTCCTGGATAAAAGGTAGTGAAAGCAGGTAATAAGGTAACAAAAAAAAAAAACCTGATACTTATGTCTCAGGTTTACCCATGTTTCCTTAATACTTATAGCAGGAAATACAGTTTTAGCTTTAATGAAATAACTGAGTTTGGATTTGCTTCTTTATAGCATCAATGCAAGATAACCTGTCTCTTCTTCGGAATGCAGCCAAGTAAGTCTCTACATTCCTCCAATTCTTCAGATTATCCCTGCCAACACTGGTACCTGGTAAAAAGTAAAAAACTAACCAATCCTAAAGTGTCACTCTGCCAGTGGCATTCTGAGTCCCACATGTGTTAACAAACTAAACTAAGAATTTTCCAGTTGTTTCTTTACCAAAAAAGAAAAAAATACTTTATGCAACTGCATTATTCCGTTAATGCTCTTCCAATATGCATGCGCTAGTTAAAGACAGGTTGTCAGCTTGGAAGTAGATTTTTTTTTGAGTCCAAATAAATCATATTCTGCCATGGGATATTACTCAAGTTGTAGTATTTCTCCTAATATTATGATCTAGATTGAAACTCATAGTCATTAAAATTGGAAAGTTTTCCACCTAAGCTACATACAAAAATGTAATTCGTAATTTCACAACTCAAATATACTCGGGTTCATTGCCCTCCTTTGCCATTTTGTATTCTTAAAACCCATTTGAGAACAATGATATTTGTAAGGGCATAACTGACACATGTTAGAACCTCTTTCAATTTAATATTGTATTATGAACAGCAATATCTGAAATGCATGTAGATACACTTGATTACCAGAGTGAACACCTTCTTATTTAGAAATAGTAATAAATATTTGGTTATGTGGAACTGCATATGCAAGACTGGATAGATCACTCCTATTTCATTCTATCCAAGAGCCTCATTGGAAAAGGATACAAAAGAATCATTGGAAGGGGACACGAAATAGTTCATCTTTATTTGACTGGTCTTTCTTTCTTTCTTTCTTTCTTTCTTTCTTTCTTTCTTTCTTTCTTTGTTTCTTTTCTTTCTTTCTCTTTCTTTCTTTTCTTTCTTTCTTTCTTTTTTTCTTTCCCTCCCTCCCTTCCTTTCTTTCTTTTTCTTTTTCTTTCTTTCCTTCTTTCTTTTCTTCTTCTTTCCTTTCTTTCATTTTCCCTTCCTTTCTTCTCTGTGCTTTCTTTTTTGTTGAGATTCAACTTTCCACCATCCCATGGTCAAGGATGATGACAATCAAATCCCACTCTGACCATAAAGAGCAATAAAGGACTCTAATATATTTTAGGGGGAACACGTGAAGAATAAACTTCCTCTTTGCATAACCTCATTTCCATAGTGAACTAAGTGACCCTCCTCATCTGGGGTAAGTTGTGAAGAAACAAAGAAGGTGAGGGAGTGAAAAACCTTGACCTGTTATATAAATAACAAGGCCCTGCGTTTATAGTTCACAATATCCCCCTACTCTATGGGTAATGAGTTATTATTAATAATGTGAGCATTCATAATATATCATATCATATCATATCACATCTCTGTCTATATATTCATACTGCCTTCTCACACTTGGATAACTAGAAAATAAGTATTCTTCTTCTTTCTCAAGGCAGGGGCTATTTTGTTCAACTTTTAGATATGAAAGATTTAGAATTTTCTATTCGAGAGACAAGAAAGGAGAAACTTCAGAGACTATTGTCTTATTTATCTCATTTTATACTTTCCTCACTAGAAAAAGTAATGAATAAATAGTTCTTAATAATTTAAGTCAGGGACTCTAGGTTCAGAGAGTTTAGCAATAGTTTTTGCTAATTACTGAAAAGAGTTGTGTTCTTATCATTTTTGAAGATCCGGGTCCTTTTGATTTACTGATGAAAGTTGTAACAACTTTCCATAGAAAAATCATCATATGCTTTCAACATGTGTTGTATACAGAATATCCAGTTTCAAGGGATTCACATATCTCATGGAGCCTACTTATGGGCTTTCTAAATGGACAGTTTCATGATTTTTAGAGGAATTTAATACCGTAATATAAATAGTTTGAATAGTATATAAAAGTGGATATTATGAGTCACTGACAAAATTCTGCTTTAAATCTGAAGGATTTACTTTTGCAGTGACTGGATGTGGTACCAGAGTCAGCCTTTAATTCTCACCTCTAATCCAAATTGCCTTAGACAAAAAGAGCTACTTCACAAGTTCATACTTCTTTTGGGGGACATTCCACTTCCAACAACGGGTTGATGAGCTGTGTACATGTACCTAGCCACTTTGCATGAATTCAGGATAATTCTGAAGGGCTATTCAAGCTACAGATCTCCTCATATGCTCTTCTGAGACTGCTTTACAGTCCAGCTTCCCACTCTACCCAATCCTGGTTCCATCCTTCCCCTTCAACAGGTGGAAATCTGAAGTCCACTACCTACTAAGCCACGTGCACTCTACTCTCCATCCCAGAGACTCTTTCCAGGATTCCTGAACTGATTTATGTGAGAAAGCAGGCAGCCAAAGGAGTCATCAGGCTGATGTCCAATTGGCTGCCTTTTGTGTCTGAACCTTGAATTCTTCCTTTCAGGGAATACTTAAGATAGTTTAAGAAAAATATCCAGAAACCGATAGTGAAAAACACTGGAAAGACTCAAGGGCTTAAAGCTTCATGTTCTAGTTCAGTTCTTTTACTCATGAGCTTAGTGAATTTGAATAAATGTTAAGTGTAACATTCCATGTCCTAAACAAGGTATATCACAAAGCAGGAGTAGAATTTTTCCTAACATTAGCTTATATTATAAAGTTAAACCTGAGAATACCAAGTGTTCTAATGTAAATCAGATATTTTGCTCCTTTGGTTTACTTACAGACAAGGTGACCTTGTAATGTATCATTCATAGTAGAGCACTTTAGAAAGTGATTGAGAAACCATTAATAATCCTACCAACACAACATGAACAATCTAAAACTATACCAGATAAGCCAGAATAGATTGTCCACCTTATTTATAAGCTCCCCGGATAAAATGTGTGTTCATTGCATGTTATATGCCATGCCACATGCCCTGATAAAGAGAAAATGGTTCTCTCCAAATTCAGAGGCTGATGATATTTGGACTCAATCATGGAAGTACAGAATCAGAATAAAAATGTCTAGCTTGAACCTGAGTCTATGGTTTAAAGTTTTCTGAAGAGACAGCCTCATGGCACTGTGACACTCCTTCTATATCACATAGAGAATTAAATAAGAGAAACTGAGCATACATTATATTATACATTATATATATATAAGTGTTAATAGAAGTTTACCAGCTCTAATATTTCGTGACTTACAAAGTACTTTCAAATTAGTGTATCTCATAATCAAGAGGAAAGTTTTTTTTAAATAAAAGTATCTCTACTTAGACTGCATTAACATCCAATAGGCTTAAAATACATTGTTTATTATTAGCACATTGTTTTATTTTTATTACATGATGCCTTCACTCAACTTTTTACATGTCACATAATTTAAAGAGTTAAGTATAAAAACAGCTGTTGGAGTATTTATTGGTCTAATAAAGATTGACTTTCATTCTCACCTAAGTTCAAAACACACTGAAAGATGAATGCAATTGTCAGACAGAGATCAAACTCTCAGTTTATTTTGTAATAAAGCTCACCCTAGGAAGCACTTTTTGGGCTCTGATTTACTCATATTTAACCCTGAATTAGACACATGTATTCACCAGTCACTGGCACAGGAGGAACACTGTAGGACCATCTAATGGAAATGTCCTATCCTTTTCACATTATTGCTGCAATGAGAGTAGCTCTGAAAATAATCTCAGAACAGGCAAGACATAAGAAGAAAGAAAAGAAAACATGAGTTGTGTTTCCTCACTGAAACTTATCAGCTAAATCACTCTTCCTTCCCTGGAGTTGCAAGTGAGGGAACTCAGAATGGTCATAAATATTATATTACCAATTGTCTTTCCCTATGAAATGCAGGATGAATGTTTCTTACTAACTTGGAACTCTTTAGACTTATGTAGAGAACTTACAGAATTCTTCAATTTTATCTAATAAAGTTTGAGAAATGGTACATATTCATAAGTCAAAAAAAGATTTCTTACCGACACGTAAAATACTCAGTACTATAGATTTAGCAAAACCCATTTGCTGATACCATCTATATTTCAAAATCCTGTGTTAGCACAGTGCCTGGTTCATAACAAAGCTAAATAAATTTTATATATTTTTGTTTGTATTATGATAACCCTCATTTTGTATAACAGGAAATTAATGCTGAAAGTACATAGCAGGTATATAACTATATTGGCCAACAGTTTGGGAGCCTGAGAAGATTGAGATTAAGGTGATGGCATCTAGTAAGGGTCTTCTTGCTGCATTAGCCTAGGGCAAAAGATAGAAGAGCAAAAGAGACCAAGACCAAATTTCCCATATGTAATTGTACCAATTCTACCCATAAGGGTAGAGCCTGATGTCCTGTTTTTCTCTTATGAGTCTTGGCTCTTAATATTGTTTCAATGACAATTAAATTTCAAAATTAGTTTTGGAGGGAACAAACATTCAAACCATAGCAGAACTTAATATATATATAAAAAAAAACTAAAGGTTCTGTATTAGTTTGTTTTCATGCTGCTGATAAAGACATACCCAAGACTGGGCAGAAAAGGAGGTTTAATTGGACTTACAGTTCCACATGGCTTGGAGGCCTCAGAATCATGGCAGGAGGTGAAAGGCACTTCTTACATGGCAGCAGCAAGAGAAAATGAGGAAACCCATGATAAACCCGTCCGATCTTGTGAGACTTAGTCACAATTACAAGAATAGCACAGGAAAGACTGGCTCCCATGATTGAATTACCTTCCGCTAGGTCCCTCCCACAACACATGAGAATTCTGGGATATACAATTCAAGTTGAGATTTGTGTGGTGACACAGCCAAACCATATCGGGTTCATATAAAGAAATACAAACATTCAGTTGTGATAGGCACTATGGAGGACACTTTTTCCTGCCATAATTTGAGTATTTGTTAAGAAAGATTTCCCTGAGAAAATACATAATAAAGTTGTGGTCTTAAATAAAAGCATAATTTAACTGGTTAAAGAGAGATGCATAGAAAGACTATTTAACTAGGAAAGACAGGTAAAAAGGACAAGAACAAATTCAAAGTGGCCAAAAACCAGAAAAGATCAAGGAGATCAAGGTAAAAAAAATGTGTGATATTACACACAAACAGTAAATAGCCTGGACCAAAAAACACAGGTGAGAAGCAAGCAACCATCGTCTCCCCGAAAAACTAAACATAGAAAACGTGATGTATCTGGCTCATGGAATATGTAGACCTTATCATTTATTATAACTAACTTACCAATTTTTGTTATTACTTTTTACTAGAATTATGAGATATTTTTCAATAAAATAGTATTTTCTAAAATATATATTCTAACAATCAATTAACAAGTTACATAGGTAAATATAAATATATAAATATGTTACATATATAAATAATATAGCAAATTAAGCATGTAAACAATATAAACAATTTATAATGGAGACTACAGTGAGCCACAATATTTGCAAATTAGGCAATTAAAATGTATTGCATAAAGCCTAACACAGGTTAGTGAAATTTCATGAAGAATACAACACATATTGCCAGCTGTTTCTCTACAAATTCTGCATTTCACTGCATACATTGGACATCTGATGACTTTTGCTAAATTCATGGTCATATTCAAGAGTACAAAAAGGTGAGAACTTTGCACATATTCATTAGTAACACCTGGGACTCACTGGGTGCCAAGAAAACATATTAATCAGAAAAAATGGACTTGAATCGGAGTGGCTATTAAGAAATAGAGTAGCTTCTTATCACTGTGTTTCATATCAAGTATTATAAAGCTCTTCAATTGTCAAATGATGGCTCTTGTACCAGATGGACGTTTTGCAAAAGTTGTATTAGTCCGTCTTCACACTGCTGATAAGGACATCCCCAAAACTGGGTAATTTATAAAGAAAAAGAGGTTTAACGTACTCACAGTTTCATGCGGCCAGGGAGGCCTCACACTCTTGGTGGAAGGTGAAAGGCATGTCTAACATGGCAGCAGACAACAGAGAATGAGAACCAAGCAAAAGGGGTTTCCTCTTATAAAACCATCAGATCTCATGAGATTTGTTCACTACCATGAGAACAGTAAGGGGGAAATCACTCCCATGATTCAATTATCTCCCACCAGGTCCCTCCCATAACACATCAGAATTATGGGAGCTACAATTTAAGATGAGATTTGGGTGGGGACATAGAGCCAAACCATATCATTCTGCCCCTGACCCCTGCCAAATCTCATGTCCTCACATTTCAAAACTGATCATGCCTTCCCAACAGTCCCCGAAAGTCTTAACTCATTTCAGCATTAACTCAAAAGTCCACAGTCCAAATTCTCATCTAAGACAAGGTAAGTCCCTTCTGCCTATGAGCCTGTAAGATAAAAATAAAAAACAAGTTAGTTACTTCCTAGATACTATGGGGGTACAGACATTGAATAAATACACACTTTCCAAATGGGAGAAATTGACTAAAATGAAGGTGCTATAGATTCCTTGCAAGTCTGAAATCCAACAAGTCAGTAATTAAATCTTAAAGCTCTGAAATAATCTCCTTTAACTCCATGTCTCACATTCAGGTCATGCTGATGCAACAGGTGAGCTCCCACAGCCTTGGGAAGCTCTGCCCCTATAGCTTTGCAGAATATAGCCTCCCTCCTGGCTGCTTTCTTGGGCTGGCATTGAGTGCCTGTGGCTTTTCCGAGTGCATGAAGCACCTCTGTGTGGGGACTCCAACCCCATATTCCCCCTCCACACTACCCTAGCAGAGTTTCTCCATGAGGGCTCTGGACATCCAGGTCCTCCATACATCCTCTGTAATCTAAGTGGAGGTTCCGAAACCCCAATTGTTGACTTCTGTGAACCTGCAGTCCCAACACCATGTGGAAACTGCCAAGGCTTGGGACTTGCACCCTCTGAAGCCATGGCCTGAGCTATACCTTGGTCCCTTTTAGCCATGGCTAGAGCAGCTGGGACACAGAGCACAAGGTCCCTAGGCTGCATAAAGCAGGGGGCCCCTGGCCCAGCCCATGAAACTATTTTTTTCTCCTTGGCCTCTGGGCCTGTGATGAGTAGGGCTGTCTCAAAAGTCTCTTACATACCCTGGAGACATTTTCCCCATTGCCTTGGCAATTAACATTTAGCTCCTCATTACTTATGCAAATTTCTGCAGCAGGCTTGAATTTCTTCTCAGAAAATGGGTTTTTCTTTTCTATTGCATTGCCAGTCTGTAAACTTTCCTAATTTGTATGCTTTGTTTCCCTTTTAAAACTGCTTTTAACAGCACTCAGGTCACCTCTTGAATGCTTTACTGCTTAGAAATTTCTTCTGCCAGATACCCTAAAGCATCTCTCTCAAGTTTGAAGTTCCACAAATCTCTACGTTTCCAGTCTCTCTTTTTTTTTTTTTTTTTTGGAAGAAGGAATACTTTATTGTAGCATCAATTTTAAATAAGATTAATCCAAAACTTTCCCATTTCAATCTTTACTAAAACATATCAAGAGTCACCTTTACTCTTTACCAGTTCCCAACAAGTTTCACATCTCCATCTGAGACCTCTTCAACCTAGATTTTATTGTCCATATTATTATCAACATTTTGGTTAAAGCTGTTCAACAAGTGTGTAGGAAGTTCCAAACTTTCCCCCATTTTCCTGTCTTCTGAGTCCTCCAAACTGTTCCAGCCTCTGCCTGTTACCAAGATCCAAAGTCGCTTCCACATTTTTGGGTATCTTTACAGCAGTGCCCCCCTCTACCAGTACCAATTTACTGTATCAGTCCATTTTCACGTGATAATAAAGACATACCCAAGATTGGGTAATTTTTAGATAAAAAAAGGTTCAATGGACTTACAGTTTCACATGGCTAGGATGGTCTCACACTCATGGCAGAGGTAAAAGGCATGTTTTACATGGTGGCAGATGAGAGAGAATGGAAACCAAGTGAAAAATGTTTCCCCTGATAAAACCATCAGATCTCATGAGACTTATTCAGTACCATGAGAACACTATGGTGGAAATTTTCCCCATGATTTAATTATCTCCCACCAGGTCCCTCCCACAACACAAGGGAATTATGGGAGCTACAATTCAAGATGAGATTTGGGTGGGGACATAGAGCCAAACCATATTAAGTAGTGTCACATAGTGAAAGGTCATGGATAAGCATTTCATAATACCATATGTTGACTGTCAATGGAGAATTTATTTTATTTGAGAGTGCAACAACAAATGCTTTAATTTTATTCTTTTCTTTCTTTCCCTTTCTTCCTTCCTTCTTTTTTTTCCTTTCTGCCTCAAGTGTCCAGAGAGTTTTGTGGCAATTATGCTGAAGTTACACTGATGCTGCATAGAGTAATAGAAAAACTTTCTCAACATTTTCAACTAAGGTAGACAATATATGAATTCAAAGTTATTTTGCTAATTTAGTTAAATTGCTCAAAAATCAAAAAAGGGAAGAGCCTAAAATAGAAAGGTATTTTAGTATGGACATAATACTCAGAACATAGTTGTATGCAAAACCCTAGAATTGGAAGTGACAATATTTTGACAATATTTTAAACTTCAGGAATTATCATTATAATTTTTTTCTACCAACTCCCATACACTTACTGAGAAATACTAAATATGCTTTTCTAACTAATTTAACATTGATAACCATATGTATTCAGAAGCTATAAACAAAACCCTAGGAGAGTCAGCCTTCATTATTTCTCTCCCTTAATTTACAAAATCATCAATACTTGCCAATACTATTTAAAAACATCTCTTGAATTCCAGCACTTTGGGAGGCCAAGGTGGGTGGATCATGAGGTCAGGAGATCGAGACCATCCTGGCTAACATGATGAAACCCCATCTCTACCAGGCATGGTGGCATGCACCTGTTACCCAGGAGGCTGAGGCTACTCAGGAGGCTGAGGCAGGAGAATCGCTTAAACCTGGGAGGCACAGGTTGCAGTGAGCCAAGATTGCCCCATTGCACTCCAGCCTGGATGACAGAGTGAGACTCTGTCTAAAAAACAAACAAACAAATAAACTCTCTTGAATTAATTGGCTTCTCTCCATCAGCACTGAAACTATATTGTCCAAGCAGCCATTATCCCTCACTTGGACACATCTAAATCTGTATTCCTTCCTGTCCACATTATCTATCACTTTTTTAGTCTGTTAGCTTTATAAAACCTAAAGCATAAACTACATAGTACACATAATTCCCATACTACATGCTTCCGTAACTTTCCATTACACACAGACTAAGATCTTCATTACTTACCACCTCACCAATCTTATTCCTTCTGGCTTCATTTCAAGTCAGCATGCCCTCTTATCAGTATAATCCAATCATACTGGCTTTCTTCCCATTCTGTCAACATATTGCACTCTCCACATAATCTTTGCTATGAGCGGTTTTCATGCCTGGGATGCTGTCAGCTTCCACTCTCCTGCATCATTCTCAATGCCGTCTCATTCTCATCCTCCAAATCTCTACTCAAGCCTCTTCTTTGAGATGCTTTTTATAACAATGTTATTGAAAGTAGATCAAATTAAGCCCTTTATTCCCTTCATGGCAGTTATTTTATTTTTCTTCTTATTATTTTTTGTATAATGTTTTTGGTCTGACTTCCACAGTAGACTGTATGTTCTATGAACGCAGAAAAACTTCATAGTTTTTAATTTACCTTTTTATCCTCAGGGGTTGGCACATAACAGGTGTTCAAAAATTATTTCAGATAAATAATTAAGACTTCTTTTAGAAGTCTTTAGAATTAGGAAGTCTTCAGAATAAGAAAGTAGAAAACAGTCCCTGGGTAAAACATGGATACACCATCACACAGACACACCCACACAAACATACATGCATGTAACATCCAAATTCTAACACAATACAACTTTAAGGAGCACGTTTTTAAAATTAGAATAATGAGAATTAATATTAGGTTGGTGCAAAAGTAATTATGTTTTTTCCCTTTATTTTTTATTTTTATTTTTATTTTTATTTTTTGAGCTGGAGTCTCGCTCTGTCACCCAGGCTGGAGTGCAGTGGCACGATCTCGGCTCACTGCAAGCTCTGCCTCCTGGGTTCACGCCATTCTCCTGCCTCAGCCTCCAGAGTAGCTAGGACTACAGGCGTCTGCCACCACGCCCGGCTAATTTTTTGTATTTTTAGTAGAGACGGGGTTTCACCGTGTTAGCTAGGATGGTCTAGATCTCCTGACCTTGTGGTCCACCCACCTTGGCCTCCCAAAGTGCTGGGATTACAGGCGTGAGCCACCGTGCCCGGCCTTTCCCATTACTTTTCCACTAACCTAATAGTAAATAGTCATGCCCTTTTATTTCACATTTTTTATATAATAAAGTTAAAATCAGTAAACATAAGATTTTTGTAACAATTAGGTAGGCAGAGAAAAAAGAAAGAAATATTAATTAAAATTAATTTGACTATGTATACACTGTGCTGTTGCTTTTTCTCCTCCAATTTTGTCTTTGAATAACAAAATATTCAGTGCTCAGTTCTGTAAACAGTGTTTTTTTTACATAAGCCTACTCATCTAAATACCAGGATACTTATTTTAGCACACAGATACTGTCCAGTCATTCTGAGTGTCTAGAGATAATAATATTTAAAGGGATTATCTAACTTGAACAATTATGAAGAAGGGAAATAGGTTTATAATAAGGAATGGAACCCTACTTAGAACAAAGATTATGCAAATTTTAATACGTGTATGTGTGCGTAAGTAATTCTAAAAAATAAGCAAATTTTAATGTCTCTTTTATAAGGAATTAGGATTAACCTTTGAGACTGCAGCTATAGAAATTATCTTTTTTTTTTTCCTCTTTATAATTCATGATTTTTTGGCTAGTAATTCCCATTTATAGTGAGATATCCGTTTCCTATCTCTGGACTCCCATGAGTTTTTAAATGTATTTGCATCCTAGTCACATCTTGGAAGGTAAAGCTCTATAACTTAGCATCTTTTACTTTCTATCATAAGCATAATAATCTCTTGTCTGAGTTTGTATTGCTCTAAAAGAATACCCGAGGCCAAATAATTTATAAGGAAAAGAGGTTTATTTGGCTCATGGTTCTGTAGTCAGTACAAGAAGTATGGTGCAGGTATCTGCATCTGTTGAGGGCCTCAAACTGATTCTACTTATGGCAAAAGGGGAAGGGGAGCCAGGGTGTGCAGCAATCACATGGTAAGAGAGAGAAATTAAGAGAGATGGGGGAGGGAGGTACCAGGCTCTTTTTAACAACCACCTCTCCTGAGAACTCATAGATTGAGAATTCACTCACTGGCCTTCATGCCAGGGAGGGCCTTAATCTATTCAGGAAGGAGTAGCCCCAATAACACAATCACCTCCCATGAAGCACCACTTTCAAAATTGAAAGTCAAATTTCAACATGAGATTTGGAGGGGTCAAACCACTATACCCAAATGAAAGCATCACTGATACAGCTTTCTCTTGCTGTCTAAAATATGGAAAGATGTTTGAAGACCCATTAGCAAACTGACTTTCAAATTTGTTTTACGCTTAACTTTTCCAAGGCACATAATACCTGATCATAAAAAATGATGTGATATTATATTTTAGAAATACCCTGTAAATAACATGCCTTTCTCCCCAATCACCTAGTTAATGTTTCATCTTCCTTCCAAACTGTTCATACATCAATTACATGACAAACACTTCTTCCCTTGTCTTTCTTTCCACAGTGTTAATCATTGTGTCTTCAATACCATTTTTGTCTGTATTAGTTATCTGTTGCTGTGTCAAAAATAGCCCGAAATTTAGAAGTTTGAAAGAATAAACACTTAGCATTTCACAGTTTCTGTGGGTCACAATTTAGAAGTAGCTTAGCTAAGTAGTTCCAGCTCAGATTCTTTCAGTTTGCAGTTAAATTGTCAGTTTGGACTTCCATCACCTGAAGGTTGAATTGGGGATTGATATTCACCTCTTAGATGTTTCACTCACATAGCCATTGGCAAAATGCTTCAGCTACTCTCCATATGTATTGTTCCACAACCCTGTTTTATTGTGCTTGAAAAATGGCAGATGGCATCTCCAAGGGTGAGATGCAAAAGAGAGGGCAAGGAGAAAACCACAATGTCTGTTATGTCATAATCTCAGAGGTAAAACACCATCACTTCCACGGTATTCTGTTTATTAGGTATAGGTCACTTAGTCCACCTCACAGTCAAGGAAAGAGGAATAAGATCCCACCTTTTGAAGGAATATTAAATTTTTTTAGCATACTTTAATAAATTTATCTTACAAGAAATAAACATTAAGAAAATAAAAGCATTATTTAGATTCCTCTCCTAAATTCAAAGCTCAGTTTTGGCACATAGTAATACCACAATAAATGTTTAATTTACTTTAATTGAAAATTTATTTATTTTTTATTTTATTTTATTTTTTTACTTTTTTATTATTATATTTTAAGTTTTAGGGTACATGTGCACAATGTGCAGGTTGGTTACATATGTATACATGTGCCATGTTGGTGTGCTGCACCCATTAATTCATCATTTAACATTAGGTATATCGTCTAATGCTATGCCTCCCCTGTCCCCTCACCCCACAACAGGCCCTGGTGTGTGATGTTCCCCTTCCTGTGTCCATGTGTTCTCATTGTTCAATTCCTACCTATGAGTGAGAACATGCGGTGTTTGGTTTTTTGTCCTTGTGATAGTTTGCTGAGAATGATGGTTTCCAGCTTCATCCATGTCCCTGCAAAGGACATGAACTCATCCTTTTTTATGGCTGCATAGTATTCCATGGTGTATAAGTGCCACATTTTCTTAATCCAGTCTATCATTGTTGGACATTTGGGTTGGTTCCAAGTCTTTGCTATTGTGAATAGTGCCATAATAAACATACGTGTGCATGTGTCTTTATAGCAGCATGATTTATAATCCTTTGGGTATATACCCAGTAATGGGATGGCTGGGTCAAATGGTATTTCTAGTTCTAGATCCCTGAGGAATCGCCACACTGTCTTCCACAATGGTTGAACTAGTTTACAGCCCCACCAACAGTGTAAAAGCATTCCTATTTCTCCACATCCTCTCCAGCACCTGTTGTTTCCTGACTTTTTAATGATCACCATTCTAACTGGTGTGAGATGGTATCTCGTTGTGGTTTTGATTTGCATTTCTCTGATGGCCAGTGATGATGAGCATTTTTTCATGTGTCTTTGGCTGCATAAATGTTTTCTTTTGAGGAGTGTCTGTTCATATCCTTCACCCGCTTTTTGATGGGGTTGTTTGTTTTTTTCTTGTAAATTTGTTTGAGTTCTTTGTAGATTCTGGATATTAGCCCTTTGTCAGATGAGTAGATTGCAAAAATTTTCTCCCATTCTGTAGGTTTCCTGTTCACTCTGATGGTAGTTTCTTTTGCTGTGCAGAAGCTCTTTAGTTTAATTAGATCCCATTTGTCAATTTTGGCTTTTGTTGCCATTGCTTTTGGTGTTTTAGACATGAAGTCCTTGCCCATGCCTATGTCCTGAATGGTATTGCCTAGGTTTTCTTCTAGGGTTTTTATGGTTTTAGGTCTAACATTTAAGTCTTTATTCCATCTTGAATTGATTTTTGTATAAGGTGTAAGGAAGATTTATATTAATACTTTGTAGTCACAAACAGTGAACATATCATCTCTTAATTGGTCACCTTTCTGTTAAATTTGTTAATTATGTCCTTTTAAAAATCTTATAAAATGGTCCATGTGCAGTGGCTCAGGCCTGTAATCCCAGCACTTTGGGAGGCCCAGGCAGGTGGATTGCTTAAGGCCAGGAGTTTGAGCCCAGGCTGGCCAACATGGCAAAACCCTGTCTCTACTGAAAATATAAAAATTAGCTGGGCATGGTGGTGCGCATCAGTAGTCCCAGCTACTTGGGAGGCTGAGGCATGAGAATCAGTTGAACCCAGTAGGCAGAGGTTGCAGTGAGTTGAGATCATGCCACTGCACTCCAGCCTGGGCGACAGAGGGAGACTCTATCTCAAAAAATAAAATATATATATATATACACACACACATATATATATGAATATATATACACATATATATGAATATATATACACATATATATGAATATATATACACACATATATATAATTACGTATAATTACATGTGATAGGTCATTAAACCTATTAACATTTTTATGATTTTGTGATTTTGAAGTCAAGTTTTAGAAGACTGTATTTTTCTGATGTCTCCCTAGTTACAATTCTGTTGAGTCAAAAGAGGATACAAGAAAGAGTATGTAAGCTTTGTTCAATAAAGTTTGTAAAAATATTTTGGCCATAGGATTACTGCAATGCAATATAGAATTAGAATTAATAATATAAGAAGTCCTAGCAAGCATACCAAATATCCAAATTACTTCACATTGTTCAATTGTATAACAGAAGGAACAAATTTGCCACAATCTGATTTTTATTGTGAGCTTTATAAGAGCACACCAAGCTATACAGACAGTAATTTAGATATATAGTTATAAGGATAAAGGAAAAACTTTGTAAGTCCTGGAAAGAATAACCAGTTTTTAACAGCAAGGCTGTTTTTTGTTTTCAGTATAATGATGTTGTAAAATACCTACTTTATTCTGCTCCTCCTCTTCCATCATAAGAAATTTTCTGGGTATTTTTCAGAATAAAATAGCAAGCTGGGCAATTCTGTATTTTCATCATAAACCTTCAAATGAAAGGTTGTAATATCATCAAACTATGATTATTTTGAATTCCTTCAAATATACTCCTGTTCAATGTGGTTTCAGCAAATGATGTTTAATTTTCTGAAAGTATGGTTGTGAAAATAAGGGGGAAAGGCATTTTGTGTATATGATCGAAGTTAATACATGCCAATTATTGCTAATGTGTAAAATTATCAGACTTGGAATATATCTTTTACTCTAAAATACTTCTAGAAATGAACCAATGAAATACAGATGTGCTAGGATGAGAAATGTGGGGTTTAGGACCTACTTGTGACAATTCAGAAAAAATAGATGTTGACATGGAGATGATTTACTTATATGGAAAGCAGGGATGTTAGCATATGCGTGATATTACAGATCATATATGACATGCTGTGCTAGGTGTGCAATGGATCTCTAATAGTAAAATTTCATGGCTGCAGACATGTACACACACACAAATGTGTATAAATAATGCTATTATGCTAGGCATTTATTGCACTTACATTTTATTCTAGGCTTATATGTGTAGACAGTGTCTTTCAAAAATAATTTAAATTTGGATGATTTCCTGGAGAAGAGGATAAATTACTCCAGACCCTTCAATGAGCACATATGCTTAAGAAAATATAAACAAGTGGTAATATGCTTTATACAAAGAAGAGCCTTCTGATGTTAATCTCTTAAAAGAGACATAAATAGGAAGATAGGAAAAAACGCTTCCTCATAGTCAGAGTCAAAGCACTTCCTGGTGATTTCTTCAGCCAATTCATGTGGATGTACCTGTGTGATCATTTAGCTTCTATGGAGAAGTAAAATGCTTCTGGGAGATGAAAAAAAAATCATCGATTATTTTAACAGCTGTCTTAGACCATTTAGTCTGCAATAAGAAAAATATTGTAGACTGGGCAGCTTATGTACAACAAAATTTTTTTTCTTACACTTCTGAAGGTTGAGAAGTCCAAAATTAAGGTGCCCACATATTTGATGTCTGTCAAGGGCCTGCTTTATAGATCACAGATGGCACCTTCTTGCTGTGTCCTCACATGATGAAAAGATAAGTCTCTCTCAGTTCTCTTTTATAAGGTCACTAATCCCATTCTTGAGGGCTCTGCCCTGCTGATCCCATCAACTCTCAAAGGTCTTACCTCATAACATCATCACACTGGTGATTAGGTTTTAACATATGAATGCTGGGGAGACAGATTCATACCGTAGCAACAACTATATAATTAAATGAGACCGCAAAGGTAGAAAGAAAAGAAGTGGACACACTTTCTGGTATTAAACCTTGACTCATATTCTGACTCAATAATTTCATACTGAAGTGGTATCAAGGAAATTAATAAATCTTCCTTAGCTTTTATTTACTCTTCAATCCATTGTTTAATGGGATTATTGGGAAAATCGAAGTGATATTGCATATGAAGCTCTAAGAATTATATGTAGAACATAAATATAAACAACTGTGATTGATCAGAATAATTGCAACAGCAATGCAATTTGCTTGTTAAAATGGAACAAAACTCAAAAATCACATATTTTAGGTTGAATGTTTTCATCTAAACACAGCTTTAATGATTAAACAAACAAAAACACTCAGGTAAATTGAAATTTTAATGCATTTGAATAACCAAGTCATACCAACAATTGGCAAAAAAGAAAAAAAAAAAAATCTTAGCCTGCCTTGTGTGAATTTGCACACAAAATATCAATGTGACATTTCTTCTTTGAAAGATTTTTAAAACAATAAATAGCAACAATCAAAATATTTTCAGGGAGTTAATTTAAAATAAAGAGCAGAAATGACGTTATGGGCAGACAAGTGGTATCAGGAGAATGTGGTATATATTGATATTACAATTGATAGTACAGATCTGTAGTTGATATTACAGATCTGTTTTTTTTAATTAAATTTTCAAAACTGTTATTCCACATATTTGCTCTTTCAACAAATATTTAATGAGCACATCTTTGTGGTAGGCACTCTTCTAGGCACTGTGTATATAGTGGTGAACAAACTAATGTTCCTGCTTTCATGAAATTTACTTTCTAGGTAATGCAAATATTCATATAAGTATAATGTAGTGATATAAATATGATTTCAGTAAATGTAACTAGAAGATAAGTAAGAAAAACTTGAATATAACTATCATAATATAAATCATGTTTACATTCACTATGTTTTGCTGAATTCTGTACTAACCTAGTGTAGATATTAATAGAAAGGAATAAATTCAATAGCTAATAGCAATAACAAACAAAACTTACAGAGTTTAAACTTAACAAATGGAAACATTTTTTACATGTAATGTTCTCATTTATTTTACTAATATACATAATGTTAGTTATGATGCTTTTATAGTTACAATTTCCCCCAAATTTTAATAATGAATGGGAACACAATATTGCATTTAGTATTTTTTTTATTTACTATGAAGTGTCTTCTTGCTTCATTTTCTTCAAAGTATTTAGTAGGAAAATTAGGTATATTGTGTACCAAGTAAATTTTAATGTACCTTATTAAATGAAATATAATGTCAATCTTGCTTTTTAATTACTCAGACTTTTACTATGAGTTTTAACTTTCAAATTAGCTGCAATGGCAAAGTCTGCTAGTACCCCACTCCCACTCCATCCCCTCCTATAAATGTTTTCCATTTGACTGCCCAGAATACATAGTAATAGCCTACTCTCTCTTGCTTTCTATCCTCTCTTGCTTCTGTGTGAATAACTTCTTGCCAGTGGTATATATGTGAAAATGGCAGTTTGGGGAATCTTAGCAGATGGCTAGCATGTACCATTTTTTTCCACTATGTTCTTTGATATTCTTGCTGGAAGGAAATGGTTATGGCAGTGGTATTAGTCCATTTTTATGCTGCTGATAAAAACATACCCTAGACTGGCAATTTACAAAAGAAAGAGGTTTAATGGACTTACAGTTACACGTGGCTGGGGAGGCCTCACAACCATGGTGGAAGGTGAAAGGCACATCTCACATGGTGGCAAACAAAAAAAGAGAGCTTGTGCAGGGAAACTCCCTTTTTAAAACCAACAGATCTTGTGACACTTATTCACTATCACGAGAACAGCACTGCAAATCCTGTCCCCATGATTCAATTACCTCCCACCAGGTCCCTCCCACAACATGTGGGAATTCAAGATGAGATTTGGGTGGGGACACAGAGCTAAACCATATCATTCCACCCCAACCCCTGCCAAATCTCATGTCCTCACATTTCAAAACCAATCATGCCTTCCCAACAGTCCCCCAAAGTCTTAAGTCATTTCAGCATTAATGCAAAAGTCCACAGCCCAAAGTGTCATCTGAGACAAGGCAAGTCCCTTCCGCCTATGAAACTGTAAAATCAAAAGCAAGCTAGTTACTTGCGAGATACAATCGGGGTACAGGTATTGGGGAAATACAGCCATTCCCAATGGGAGAAATTAAACAAAACAAAGGGGCTACAGGGTGCATGCAAGTGTGAAATCCAGTAGGGCAGTCAAATCTTAACACTTCAAAATTGTCTCCTTTGACTCCATGTCTCACATCCAGGTCATACTGATGGAGTAGATGGGTTCCCATGGTCTTGAGCAGCTCCGCCCCTATGGCCTTGCAGGGTACAGCCTTCCTATAGGCTGCTTTCATGGCAGATGTTAAGTGTCTGTGGCTATATATATCTGATCAGTTCTTTATATATATCTATATATGCTCTCTGTTCTTGAGGAGCAAGGAGAGCCAGTCCAAGTCCCAAAACTGAAGAACTTGGAGTCCAATGTTAGAGGGCAGGAAACATCCAGCACAGGAGTAAGATATAGGCTGGGAGGCTAGGCCATTCTAGTTTTTTCATGTTTTTCTTCCTGCTTTATATTCTAGCCATGCTGGCAGCTGATTAGATGGTTCCCACCCAGAGTAAGGGTGGGTCTGCTTCTCCTAGGCCACTGAGTCAAACGTTAATTTCCCTTGGCAACACCCTCACAGATGCACCTGGGATCAATACTTTGCATTCTTCAATTCAATCACATTGACATTCAGTATTAACAATCAAAGCAGTTGTGATGATTGAAGCTGAATTAGCTATCTTTAACCATTAGGTAAAAATTGCATGCTAAGAATGAAGGGAAAACATAATGCATACAGTTTTAAAGAGTTTCAAATTTTCTATATATTTTTTAAGACAGAGTCTTACTTCGCCACGCAGGCTGGAAGGCTGGAGTGCAGTGGCGCCATCTCTGCTTGCTGCAACCTCTGTCTCCCAGGTTCAAGTGATTCTCATGCCTCAGCCTCCGGAGAAGCTGAGATTACAGGCGTGTGCTAACACACCCAGCTAATTTTTGTATTTTTAGTAGAGACAAGATTTGACCATGTTGCCCAGGCTAGTCTTGAATCCCTGAGATCAAGCAATCCTCCCATCTCAGCCTCCCAAAGTGCTCAGATTACAGGCATGAGCCCCACACCTGGCCTAAAGAGCTTAGAATTTTCATGAAGCTAAATTGGTTACCTCAAAACTTATTTTATGTGACAGGAATAGTCTTCTGTCTTGTTAATCCACTGTTGTTTGGCATTTTATATGACTCAATCTTCCAGAGTTGGTTTCCAAAATTTCAGAAGTATTTTAGTCTTTGAAACATAAAGTGTACTCTTCGGTGAGATAAATTTCTATAAATTATGACAAGATTTACCTGATATAGATTAGTCCACTTGGCAAATAAATTTTAAAATTTCAAAGTGGGTGCCCTTACCAGTGCAATTACATTATAGGGTAGATATGTTTTTATAGATTACCTGAAAATCTTACTATCATTTATTAATTTTCTTTCAGAATACATATTTCCATAAATCATGGAAAGATATAACTTTGAAAACTATATTCTCTGTCCTCTATATCCCAACCTCTCGCCCACCACAGAGTTGTTATATAGCTAAGGAAATAAAGATACTGAGAATAATTGAGAAAATTTAAGTGGACTGACCAAGGAAACTGAAAATTGAAGAGGAAATTAGGTAGAGACTCAGACACACTGGGCACTGGATGATAAAGAACAGCTTGTGTGTCTGTAACACTAGCTTACTACCTCAAGGCACTGATTAAATTCAATTAAATCCAGTATTGTGCAGTGTGATGGGGGTATACAGAAGTAACCAAAATAGATGTTTTCCCCTGCCCTCATGGAGCCTTGAAAAACAGGGAAAACAAAGTAAATAAAATTACAAGAATTTTGATGTAATGAATAGGAGAATACAGTGTGCTATAAAAGTGTGTATAAAATGGAATTAACAATGTCTTTCTGGAGTTCACAAAATGAGGGATTGATGTTTAAGGTCAGATTTTAATATGTACATGTTATTTTGATAACTTTGGTCACTAAAATGTTTGCAGACTGTTTTGGGGAAATTAAAGAACTTGAACCACAACATAATCTATTTGCAATGCATAAAAAAATCCTATATAGCTGAAGAGTAGGGAGTAATGAAAGTATTGAGGCTGCAAGATAGGTAAAGGTCTCATGTTGGGGGTCTTGGTAAGTTTTGCTATATTAAAGAGTAATACATATCATTAAAAGATTTTAAGCAGAAAGATTTAATAGACACGGATCCGCTAGAGCCTGGGACCTCACAAAACTGAGTCACGTCATCTCAATCTCAGCCGGAGCTGCGTTTTTGGCCACTTGAAAAGTGAATGTGGATCCCAATGCCTCTACCAATTTCAACTCAGTTTTATAGCGGTGTGAGAACCATATCTCTCTTCTCTTTGCCATAGTTACAGTCACCCTGTATGTGACAAGTGAAAAAGACAATAGAATGGAGACATTTATTTTTCTGAGACTAGTGAAGCCTGCTCTGCCCACTGTTTTGACACAGGGCAATCTCTTGGAGACTAAGTATATTGTGGATTGAGTGTCTTTACATTTAACTTCTTAACTACAGTTTGATTTCTATTTTCAACCTTGCATAGAATATGGTAAGAAAATTTAAGCCTGAGTAAATTTCCATGTAAAAACCCTTTATTATATACCAGCATGTAGGCAGTTGTAGGTCCAATTCCTTTTTGTCAACACAATAGCAGGTTTTTTTTTTTTTTCATTTTGCCTCAAAAACAAAGGTCAATTGCTTTTTCAATAGCTATACTCTATGTTTCCTATCCATTAGACATGCGTCATGGCAATGATTTCTTAAGATATTTTCCTGAGGTTCAAATTTTCTTTTGAGTAGAAAAGAAAGTGAGATCCAGCTGCTTTTTTCATCGTATATATTCTCACTTGTTCAGGCTGTTATTTTTTTCAGTTTCTTTTTTCCTCTGAGGTTATGTATGTTTATGCTATGTAAAAGGCTGAAGCCCCTGGCTCCCTTAGGGCAAATCAGAATTCCTATATGAGCAGCACACTGTAGTTTGTAATGTTTCATTGTTGTACTGTATTAAATACTGGTAGCTGCTTCTCACTAGTACCTTGCTCCTGAAATTGTCTCAGTGAGATTTGAATAGCAATAAGCTGTGTCATTAACCTTAATCATGAAACCATGTCTACTGCATTTAAAAATAAATGCCTTATTTTGTGATGAGATATATGAATCATCAGCTTGGGGAGAAATTTATCTTTAACTCATCTAGTGGTTTTTGTGTTTGGTGATCCTTAACATTGAAATTGCTCTTAAAAATAAATCTTTTAGTATCAATAATTAAAAGGCAATCTATATTTGACATATATTAATGATCCATATTATCTGTGTACCAACATAAATTTGTGGAAAAGAGTGTGACAGGATTCTTGGCTTGGATAAAGCATGTGCTTACCTCCTGTCAAAATAAGAAATTGTGCTTATTTTTAAAGGATAAATCAGGCTGTGTCTAGAAACAAAAATATAATCTTAAATTCCTCATAAGAGGCTAGCACACCAAAGAATAAGATAAAAATAAAATATTCTCACTACATTACTATTTGTACCTAAATGTCAATGCCATAAATTTAGCGGTTACTACCCAGAGAGGAATGGGTGATTGTTTAGAAAAGTAACCCAATTTATAATGTGTTCCAACTTTGCAATATGTTTTACAGTGATAGGATATCCAAATTAAATAAACAGCATATTTCGTTAGTCAGTTGTCAACTGTTCTAACAACTGACTAAATATCTAGTTATAATTCTGACATTTTAACATTTTACATTACCTTTTTTTCTAATTCCATCTGTATATCCACACACATAAATATTAACTTATTTATTTAATTGGCATTTAGGTTAAAACACTAGACTTTTAATTATGATCATATAAACTTATTCTAACAAGTGAATTTTAGTTTAGTCATAATAACTTTACATTTTAAAAATAGTTAATTTTTTAAAAATCTCATTTTTGGTATCTCTTTATATCTTATGAGGAATTTATGTTGTATTTAATTATAGTTGATTTGGTCACAAGCCTTTCTAAATAATTAATTTCCAAATGACAATATTTGTAGGAGCAATGATGGCAACTTGAAGAACCTAATAATTATTTTCTGAGATTCTGTCTATATACTTAGACAGGCAATTTTATCACTGACTAAATTGGTCATTTAGTGTGCATGATCTTTCATGTCTTCATACCCACTTCTGGAGACTATTTCTAGCACCACAGGCATATCCTGCCTTCTTACAGGTAAACTCAAAAGATATGGCAAGTGAATCAAGGTTATGATGATGCATCTTTAAAAATAGGCAAGGTAGAACTATTAAATGAGTAAGCCAACCTAGAAGTTGTCAAAAAAATATGTATGTACACATATAATTTATCAATGGCTTAAGATCATGTCTTAGAAGCGTTGGTATCTCCAGAAAATGTGGAAACCAATATGAGAAAATTGAATAAAACGGAAGATAGGCTGAATGTAGTAGGCAAATCATTTGAAAGAAATGAGAGTAGTCTTATAATACAAGTATTTCAATTGTTATCTCTGGCCAGTAGAAGGACAATCTGTTGCACTTTGACATGCTATTTTTAGATCACTTACACATTTTAGCCCCATTTATTCAGAACTTCTGCTCATTAAAGACCACCTTTCTTCGTTATTTTTCCAGTTATTCTTGGTCTTGCATCTCTGGTCATGTATGTAATTCTCTAATAATGTCACAATCCTTAAGGTGGAGCTTCAGTGAAACATTAAACCATTTTTCTGGTTTTCCTGCTTTCAGTGACTATGTGAATTCATCATGCCACCCTTCAGTAGTAGCTAGAATATTAGTGGTATTTTTTTCATTGTGTAAGCCAGCCAAGAGTACTTGACTTTTTGAAGAATATTGATTCAGTCTTAAGTAGAAACTTGACAGATGGATATAGGGTGGACCAATACACTTCACAGAGCATATAGTGTGATCAATCTACAGAGGCATATATGGGCAAGCTGATTCTTTCAGAATGAGTAGGCCCATCAGCAATAGAGTAGATTAGAGATGTATGTAAGACTCAGTCAGATTCAGTTTTTCTTTGTCCTAAAGTATACTTTTTTCATACAGAATTATAATATACATATTACCTCTATTTATAATTCATTTTATAATGATATATTACATAGAAATTGTTTACTTAAAAATTTATATATTATATATTTTATGATTTTTAGAAAAATACCCCAAATAAATGTTGATTTAATGTTATATATCCAAACACATATTTCAGATATTATACATAGGTCCTTCATAATATAATCTACAACTCTAAATGTAATACATTTAATTGGACATAAATTTACTTTTTTGAAAATATCCTTCAAGGTAAAATGGGAGATTGCATAATATTTGAAGTCATTTTATATTAATGCATATGTGAGGCAAGGCTTATAAATCAATTAAAGTTGTTTAATTTTATTTTATTCTGTAATTTACCACACTGCTTGCTTTTTCAGAAAAAAATAATAATTCATATTCATGGCCTTAATAACACGTTAGTTAAAGCAGTAATTTCTCTTCTTTTTATTCTATATTCTGTTATATAAAAGTGTTATGTCTTTGGGCAATTAATTTAGCACTTGAGATTTGAATAATTTTCTTATAGAAATATTAATGGCATTTTGATAAGAAAGTGATTATTTAGAAGTTTTTTAAATTGTGATCTAAGCATTTTGTATCATTTAAAGGGTTAAAGCATGCATTTATGTAAAAGTATTCTAATATTTTCAAATATTATTTCTTCTCATAAGGCTGTATTTTTTACTAGATACCATTAACTTTTATGGCAGTATTTCTTTTTCTCCAGATTGTATAATATTAAGAAAGAAATTATTATGTTAAAGGGAAGTTGCTGGGTTTTTTTGTTTTGTTTTATTGTGACAGAGTCTCGCTCTGTCACCCAGGCTGGAGTGCAGTGGCGCGATCTCGGCTCACTGCAAGCTCTGGCTCTCGGGTTCACGGCATTCTCCTGCCTCAGCCTCCTAAGTAGCTGGGACTACAGGCGTCTGCCACCACACCCGGCTTTTTTTTTTTTTTTTTTTTTTTTTTTTGTATTTTTAGTAGAGATGGAGTTTCACCGCGTTAGCCAGGGTGATGGTCTCGATCTCCTGACCTCATGATCTGCCTACCTTGGCCTCCTAAAGTGGGATTACAGGCATGAGCCACCGTGCCCGGCCTGTTTTTTTGTTTGTTTGTTTTTTTGGTTTTTTTTTAAATAAGTTGGTGCCACTATTGTTCACACTGTTGGAAAGAGAAAAAGATAACTTATATACCATTCAATTTTGTTCTTTTAAAGTGCAAAATTTTGTGGGTTTTAGTACATTCACAGAATTCTACAACCATCACATAATCAGTTTTTGAACATTTTCATCACTCCCTAAAAGAAATTGTGTAACCATTACCAATTTCTCCCCAGAGTCACTCCTTTTTGCCTTAGAAATTCTCAATTTACAGTTAAATTCCCAAGCAAATGTAATGTTTTTCTCTCTGTTATTCTTTATTTTCTCAATTTGGTAGATAATGCAAGTGACAGCAGCAATTTTAATCCCCTATTCTTTGGCACAGTATAGCTAGTTTTTAGCTACAACTAAAATAGTTTATAATTAATCTATTTTTTGATAGCATTAAAAATGACATGAAAAATCTTATAACTTCCCTTCAAAAAGACCTCTAAGTATCTCTGAAGTGGTGATATGTATATCTAATTGTAAGGGTGATTTTATTTAATTAACATTAAAAATTAGGACTTATAATAAATGTAATTTACTGTTACACACTTACATATATCACTATATAATACTAATTTTTACTGCAAGAACACTGATGGACAACTGAAATGTACCTATGATCAGAGAAAGAAAAAAACATGCTATATTGTTTATCACTGAGTGGAAAAAAGAAATTAGGAAAGAACTTCTTTCCAAGCAATAATGACACCATCCTTATCATCTATTCATATCTCCAAGTCTCAAATTTCTTTATTACAATGATATAAAACCACCTACAGGGCAGTGTTCTCTGTGATCCATGGATGCAAGGTTTCTTCCAAATAAGGCTTTCTGCATTGAAAAAGCTTAATATTTTTTCACTCATCACATTCTCAGTATAGCTCTCTTGAGGGTAAAATTCCTAACGTCACATTAAATAGCTATGCCTCCCAAGAAGAAAGTGGCTGCATAATGATAACTTTATTATTGAGGAAATATGAGAGAGGTACTTTACAGAGGAGAATTGATATATTTTGTAAATATAGATGATTTCTACTACACAAATATACCTTATGCCAAAGCAGGTCAGTACGCTGAATCACAATGATCTTGCATAATTGTGTTTGGAGGGTAAGATTCCCAGCACTGCAATTAGGAGTTCTCCAAAGCACACTATACACATGAGGTGTGAATCACTGATAACACATCTCATTAATGACCTAACTTAATTATTACCTGGGTTCTTCTAGAGACTAAATCACCAATTTAAAGTGTATTTGGGGCTGCAAATCACATCTGAAAGAGACAAAATCCTGGGTAAACATTGCTGCAATAAGGATTGTTTTCTAGACATTTACCCATGAGACTTTATGATGGCATTATAAATGCTTACTTAGTGTACATTATAATGATGTTTCTCAATAGTGGGAGTCTCAGAATTATTTTGATTTAATACTCTATCTAGGATTATACTCGAAGTTTCACACCAAGCCCCTGAAACAGATGCTGACTCCAGGGTACAATTCTTTTCAAGGCAACCACATGCTGCCTGCAGTATAAGACACTTCTTCCACTGTGGCAGCAAACCGCCAGTACTGCAATAACTGACTTGGAAATGGATTTAATAGATGCTTCCTAATGGTGAGACTTCTGCTGTCAATACGATAGTGTACACTTTGTTTTCAAGGCACAATTGTCCACAGGCAATCATCTATGAGTTCAAGTTTGATAAATTAACCATAACAAGACTTACATTTTACTGTAACTTTATAATTTTTAAAATGTTTTCATATGTTATATTTTGTTTTTGTTACACAATGTATAAAATATGATTCCTCAAAAAATATAAGTGAGAAATGCTCTGTTTTTTGCCTTGAAATCTCACCTCACTATGTGAATAAACATATTTTCAATGAAGCTAAAAGAAAAATACTTTGAAAAAACAATTTTTCAAGGTTATAGCTTTTCTCAATTTAAAAATGTTCAGCTTTAAGCGGGCAACAAATAGTTCTGATGAGATTTTATAATTGTTTTAAAATGTGTATTAAAGATAAGCTACACAAAGGGCAATAGACATAAACAAGCACTTCATAGAAAAGGAAATTCAAATGAAGAAATAATCCTATGAAGATATGCTATACTTTCTTAACAATCTGGTAAATAGAAATTGAGCTACAATGAGATGAAATTTTTTACAACCACTAGATAGGCCTCAACCAAAGTACAGGCAAAGAGATGGAAAAATAGCATCCTCCAGCACAACTAATGGAAGTGTAATTGGTACAACTACTTTAGGAAATAACTTGAACTTGTTTGATAAAGCTGATCATGCATACAACCTATGACCAAGCAATTTCAATCTTAGTTACATAATGTAGACAAATTATACATATATGTATTATATATGTTATATATACATATATACACACACATATACATATATACATCAGTTGACAGGCAGGGCAGAAGGCTGTTCATAACAACATTTTTTATAATACAAAAATTGAAAACATTCTATGGATACATTAACAGGAAAATCAAAAATTATACATATAAAATATAACAAAAATGTAATAAAAATGAATGGAACAAAACTACTCTCACCAACAAAATGAATCTTGAAAATATGATGTTGAGAATAGATGAAAATGTCATATCATTTCTATAACATTCAAAAGCAAGTACAAATAATAGTTTTTCATGAAAACATAGATGTATGGAAATGTTCTTCCCAAAAAAGCAATGAAATGATAAACATTAAATTCAAAATAGATTTTACATCTAGGTTAAGTCAGAGGAATGAGTTAGTGAGAATGCATATCTGTATATTTTATTTTTATGCTTCCTGAATTTTATATACTTGAATATATTAATTACTGTACAAACATATACAAAATTATATAAAAATGCTATCTAGAGATATAGAAATCTTCATTTTATGTTTAAAATATCATCAAAAAATATAAATCCATTATTTTTCAATGCCTAACTCGTAAGTCTAATTTTATCACTGTTAAAGTCAAAAATATATCAATATATATTTAACATTGATATCAAATATTTTCATATTATTGATTTTATTTAAGAAAAACATAATTTGCATTCTATCCTCTTATGTTATATTTGATAACTATTTGACAATTTGAATTTCTTAATCATTTTTTAACAGGACAATTATTTGTGTCTTTGATATTGTGCACATCACTTGATTTAAATCAACCAATGGATTTGGAAAATTCAGTAGTTCACAATATTCATTTAAAAATAACTGAAAGGTTCATATTCAAAAAACCATAGTTTCATATATTTGATAATCTGTAAAACTCTTTAGAAAGATGTGAGCATTTTCTTATGACCTAGCCCTTTTCCGGGAAATATACCTTGATTCCTAATTTGCATTTTGGAATGAATCCTGTGTTCTCATTTTGGCTTTTGTACCATCACTACAGATGTTCCTACATATTTTTGCCAGTTTATTTAATGATGTGTTAAAAATGAACCTAAACTCTTCAAAATCCCCTTTCTCTTTTTTGTTATATCTTTGTCCAAACTTTCACAAAGTAATAAATCTTTCTCTTATTTGCCATATAAAATATTACATAGAATAAGCAAAATAGACTCACATCATTTTCACTTCATTAGTTTACTTATAATCTTTTCACATATTCCCAGTGCTCATTAAATCATCATGCTGCTGAGTCTGTTTTCATATCTGGCTGCCACCTAAAACATTTATTATTGTCATTAAAAGGATATGAGGTTTTGTCTATTTTATTTGCTATTTTTTCTCACATTATTTAGTAATGCAAAATATTTAATATATCTATGTATTAATATTTTAAATATTAAATGAATTTAGTTTTTATAAATGCCTGACAGATAAGTACAGAACATGCTGGGTCCATAAAACACAGCTTTGAAAAAAACCTCCATATGTTGATAAATTGCTAGAAAAAATAAAGAAGGAAACATCTAAAACAGTATTGTATACCACTATAACTACTGTCTTTCACATTTTCAATACAGCCATAACAATATTTTAATTCAAATACACAGAAAATATAATGTAAGGCAGGATTCTGCCTAAAGGGATTTCATGTTCAATTTTTACCCATAAAATAATGACCAAGAGTCAATTCACATCTCATAACTTTAGCAGGACACAGGATGTCTTGTTCCACTGTCCTATGCTCTGAGAGAGAGAAGTGTCATAGTTATCTATTGCTGCATAAGAAATTATGTCAAAAATTAGCGCCTTAAAATAGCATTTATAATCTCAGTTTTATAGCTAAGTCATCTCAGTTTTATAGCAAAGGCATAGCTTATCTGGGTTCTTTGCTTCAGAGTATTTCACAGGCTGCAATCAAGGTGTCCCCTAGGTTGTAGTTACCCGGACGTTCAACTGGGGAAGAATCACTTCTACACCCATTCTTATTGGTTAAATTCTGTTTCTCACAGGTTGCTTTCATTTCCTGTGTTTTGATTCCTTGTGTCTTAGTCCTTTGGGACTGATATAACAAACTACCATAAACTGGGTGGCTGACAAACAACAGAATTTTATTTCTTTTAGTTCTAGATTCTGGGAAGTCTGTGATCAATGTGCCAGCACATTCAGTGTCCGGTGAGGGCCCACTCTCTTGATTCATAAGTGGCACCTTCTTATTGGGCCCTCACATGGTAGAAGAGGCAAGGGCATTCTCTGGGACTTCTTTTGTAAGGGCACTAATTCCATTTGGAGAGGCAGAGCCCTTATGACCTAATCATCTCCCAAAGACCCCCATCTTTTTATACAATAACCTTGGCGATGAGAATTCAACATAGGTACTGGGGGAGTCGCAAACATTCAGAACATAACACCTTGCTTGCTACTGGCTGAAGGTAACCCTCAGTTTCTGGCCATGTGTTTCTCTCCTTAGGGAAGTTCACAACGTGGCAGCTGGTTGAGTCAGAGCTGGTAAGAGGGCAAGAGAGAGTGTGAGCAAGATGGATATCTCCAGCTTTAGAACCGAATTTTGGAGCAGACAGGCATTACTTTTGCCATGTATTACTTTTTAGAAGCAAGTGACTAGTTGTAGCCCAAGGGGGTTACAACGGGAGAGGATTTCACAGTGAATACAAGGAAGTGAATGTTGGGAGTCATTTCAAAGACCTTCAGAATAACCTATTTATTTCTGATTTTCCATCTACAACTTGGATTTCAAGGCATAAATACTAATTTCAGAATTTTCATGAAAATAGAATGATAGGTACATTCTTACAACAGTGTAGGGGATTCATAAGTGATGTTGAAATATACGTTTGACAAATTTGTTTTCTAAAGCCAAAATAAAGTTAATAGAAAATTTTGGCCGTATATGAAGGCTAAAACTGAAATGTGATACATGCCTGCTTGATTTTTTTTGCTACTGACAATATATTATAATTAAAAACTGGTATCTATTATAATTAATAGCAGGCATCTATCTTCCTGATCTTAAGTAAAATGTTTGATCATTAAATATGATATTTGATATAGTTTTATAGTATATAGCAATTACATAAGGAAATTTCAGCCTACTTTTAGATTTTTGAAGAGTTTTTAAGTTACATTTGTGTTTTGAAATATAGCAAATTTTTTATCTACATGTAGATAAAAATGATAACAATATCATTTTTTCTGTAATTTATAAATATGGCAGATTGCATCAGTAGATTAGTCCACTTGAGAAACAAATCTTAGAATTTCAAAATCTACATCAGTGGAGCTCTTTGACATTGCATTATCCTTGAATTCCTGAAATGTTCATACATATGGGTGTGTATGTACATATATGTGTGTGTGTGTGTGTGTGTGTGTGTGTGTGTGCGCGCATCTCAAAAAATATTTTAGGAACATAACTACAGTATTTTTATAGTATGTTGATGTTACTCTATTTTTTCCAAAGCCATGGCTATCTTTATCTACTATGCTATTGTTCCCTTTAAATTTCACCTGAATGGTAGTAAAATTACTGCCCTCATATTAAATCAATGATGTGTTTAGCTTCAAGGAACAGAAAAACGTGTGGTAGGGACTTAAAAACATAGAACTTTATTTCTCTCATATAAAAAAAATCTGCAGGCAGACGTTTTTTATTCTGATTCAGCAGCTTAATAATGAGAGGGCAATAGTTGTTAATACCATCTAGTGTTCTGAACCAGACACAGAATGGGTATTGAAGTTTCTGCCATGCCATCTATATTGCAGCAGAAAAGAATGGGGAGGAAAACTGACAGATGCCTCTGTCAGAAAAGTAAACTGTTCCCAGGACACTAATTATACTTATGTGTCATCATCTGGCATTGTCCCATTAAGCCATCTTGGTGAGAAAGTGATTTGGATATGAAAGTTGGAAGTAAACACTAGCAATGTTTGCCATATCCAATTTCCTTTTGGCTTATAGTTTGCCTAGCATAGAGTTTCAAAACTCTTTATTTTTAACTAACCTGTGGGATTATGTTTTATGTGTATCCTCTGCAGACAAACAAATAAATATTAACAGGTATTTTAATCATTCTCTTTTATGATTTTAATTTCATTTGTTTTGTGTTTGTTTTGTATTTATTTTTTCTTAGAATTATTTAGAAATTATGTATCATATTTCAATTTCTGGTAGTAATAGATAAGTTATTATATCAGCTTTATATAATGTTGTAACAAATTATCATACATTTAATCATTTTAAAACAACACATATGTATTCTCTTTCACTTCTGGGGTCAGAATTCCAAAATGTATCTTGGTGAGCCTAATAAAGGTGTCAGAGGTGTTCCTTCTGAGGGCTCTAGGAGATAATCTATTTTCTGACCTTTTCCAGCCTCTAAAGGCCATCTGCATTCCTTGGTTCATGTCTACTTTCACCATCTTCAAAGCCAGCAGTGGACCATCTTCAAATATCTCTCCAAGTCTTGGCTTCTGCTTCCTTCTTTTGTCTTTTAAGGACACTTAACAATTACATGAGCCCACCAGGATAATTCACAAGGTCTCTAAAAAGTAAACTAAAAAGATGGATTTTGGAAGCAAGCTAAAACCTGGTAAAGCAACACATAATCTTTTCTCTTGCAGATTTAACCTAACCGTAGACTGTAGTCAGAGCATTTTGTCACAGTGGTGGTGGCCCAGACAGCTAAAGTTTAAAATGAAAAGCCTGTTATAGAACCAAAAAAAAAAAAAAAACAGGAAAAATCTTCAGCCAGAAAGTATAGAGGAAATCCCAGAGAGAAGAGAGCTGGAGGTTGAAAAATCCTACTTCTCATGTGTATATTAAACTGTACAAGTTCCAGTGTTACCTCTGTGCTCCATACAAACATGACAGATCAAAAGTAGAACAGCAAATTTGTAGAAAACTGAACCTCAGTTTAAACTGCCACAAAAATTGCCAACCTTGTGAGCCTGTGTTGCGAAGACACAAATAAATATGTAAAGGCTGGGCTGAGATTAAGCGACCACCCAAGATTCAGACTAATACCAAAAGTAGTACATTAAACAGACCCAAAGGAGCAGAGCAAAAAACCATTTGACAACTGTACTGATATTGGGAATACAGATCACAGAGCCAAGACAGAATTCGTAGTCTTGACCAAACCAGGGTAAATACCTACTAAAACAAATAGATCAACATCATCATTATTTTTTTCTTTTGAGACGGAGTCTCGCTCTGTCGCCCAGGCTGGAGGACAGTGGCGCGATCTCGTCTCACTGCAAGCTCCGCCTCCTGGGTTCACTCCATTCTCCTGCCTCAGCGTCTCGAGTAGCTGGGACTACAGTCGCCCGGCACCACGCCTGGCTAATTTTTTGTATTTTTTAGTAGAGACAGAGTTTCACCATTTTAGTCAGGATGGTCTCGATCTCCTGACCTCGTGATCCGCCCGCCTCGGCCTCCCAAAGTGCTGGGATTACAGGCGTGAGCCACTGCACCTGGCCAGATCAACATTATTAAGAGCAAAGTGTTGGCAAACTAAAGCTCATGGGCCAAGTCCATCTTACGGCCTGTTTTTATGTAAATGAAGTTTTATTGGATACAGCACACATATTCATTAATAGACCATTTGTGGCTGTCTTTGCACTAAAATGGCAGAGTCAATTTGTCACAACAGGACCATAGGGTGTGGAAAGCCTTAAATATTTACTATCCAGTTCTTTAGATAAAAAGCTTGCTGACCTCTGTTTTAGAATATTTTAATAGTCTATAGTCTTTAAGTTTGTAGCCAAATCCACAAACTTAATATTCAAAACTTTGATGATAAAAGCCAAATTTAGTCAATATCCAAACACTGAGGGAAATTACATTAATCCTCAAAAAAAAAAAAAAAAAAAAGAGAAACAACAGATGCCAATCCAAAATGACCCAGATACTGGGTTTATACGGTTAAGACATTAAAGCAGATAATATAACTATTCTCCATGAGGTCATAGTAACTACAGTTGAAATAAATGAAAAGATAAAGTTCTCAGTAGAGAAAATGAAACAATAAAAAATGGAAATTTTAGAAATAAAAAATATGTTTGAATTAAATATATAAAGGATAGGCTCAAGATCATAATAAAGATAAAGAAAAAAACAGTAAAGTTGAAGTTTAAAATTATCAATTACAAAGAGCAGGTAGGAAACATTTGCTTCTTTACATATGTTATAATCATACAATATATTGCATATTATTGGTAATTTTCAAACAATATTAATATATTGTGTTATTATATGAAATGGGGCAAGGGGATGTAATGATTGTAACACTTCTACATTTTGTTAGCAGTCAGAAAATATTAAAACTAAAAGATTATAAAATATTAGAGTATCTCTAAACCACCATTACAAAAATTATGTAAAAAGTTTACTCCCCTGAGAGAGAAGATTAAAATGGATTGCTAAGATATATACAAAAGATACAAAAGAAAGAAGGAGTGGGAACTTAGGGAACAAATAATAGAACACCAAACCACAAATAAATATCAAAATGGTAGAAGTCAAATTATATCAATAATCACATATATGCACATTTAACAAAACCGTTAACTATATACTATCTATAGGAAACTTCTTAAGGAATAATATAAGGAATGTTCAGACTAGGAATTCCCAATGCTTATGTCAAATTCATAAATGTTTGCAGCTATTACTGTATCCAAAGGGATACTGTTCTACAATTGGCTTGCTTGTATCATGTACCTCCTGGGCAAAGGAGGATAGTAGGCAGTCTAACATATGAACGCAAGATTTTTGTGTTACTTGAGGGAGAGCAAATACTATTTTTATAATTGTGGCAGCGTAACAAATCATATGAATGTTTAAGTCATTTCTGATTGAAATCTGCATTAAACATGCTAATTGTATTATATATATACAAGTATGAATGTATGTATGTGTATGTGTGTGTGTGTTTGTATATGTAGACATATTTTTGACATTTATTTTTATCTACAAGGTAGAGCAATGTCTTATGATTTGAGTTTTAGTGATGTTTTTCACAGAATGCTGACAATAATTAAAAGTGCATTGTATATTTCAAAATTGCTTAAAGATTAAATTTTAAATATTCTTACCACAAAAAACCCACATGTATGTGAGGTGACAAATATGCTAATTAGCTTGATTTAATCATTCCACAAGGTAAATATATATTGAAACATCTCATCGTGTCTTATAACCAATTATATTATTTGACAAATAAAAATCACTGGGTGCCGTGGCTCATGCTTATAATTCTAGAACTTTGGGAGGCCAAGGCAGGCAGATGCTTGAGCCCAGGAGTTTGAGACCAGCCTAGGCAACATGGTGAAACCTAGTCTTTACAAAAAAAATACAAAAGTGAGTTGGGCATGGTGGCACACACCTGTAGTCTCACCTACTCAGGAGGCTGAGGTGGGAGCATCACCTGAAACCAGGGAGGTTGAGGCTGCAGTGAGCTGTGATGGTGTCACCGTACTCCAGCCTGGGCAACAGAGTGAGATCTTGTCTAAAAAAATAAAAAATAAAATAAAAAATAAAATAAATTTGAAAAATTTAGCATCAAAAAAGGAAAATAAATCAAAAGTGTAATATTCTCACCTTCAAAGTTGGGAGTTAAGAGACCATTTTTAGAGCTGATTATATATATTTTTAAATTTTGACATAAATCTTTGTTTAGAACTGAAACAGCAGGGGATGCTGTGGGTCAGGATGGAATTGGCGGGGCTATATGGGAACATGCTCACATCTCTGGGTGTCTAAACAAGCCAGTACTTTTATGCCTTTGGTTTCCTGGAAATTGTAAGTAGGGAATTAATACTGGGACAGGAATATTGGTACATAGTATTCTATTGTGCAGAATTGTGACTCATAGATGTAATTTGTGTTTATATATTTTGTATTTTATTATTATTTTCAACTTTTATATTAGATATAGGGGTATAAATGTGTTAGTTTGTTACCTGGGTATATTGTATGACACTGAGGTTTGGGTTACAAAGGACCTTATCACCCAGGTACTGAGACTAGTACACAATAGTTAGTTTTTAACCTTTCCTCCCCTCCTTATCTTCCCTCTCTCTTAGTCCACACTTGGGCAGATCCATATTATGGATGTAACAGCTTCTCAAATATTTCTGGGATTCTTTATTTGAATGTTAATATTTTGCTGTTGTTTTTTATTATATTTTTCTGTATTTATCCGTTGAATTATCCATTTTCATTAGATTTTTTCATTTTTTATACCTTGTTCTCTTTCTTTAATTTCTCAAATATCTGGTGTGACAACAAGGAAGTAGTGTATGTAACTTCACAGTACAGCACATCTATTGCCAGATTTCATTTTAGGAAAGACATACAAAGTACCAACCATCATTCTTTTGAATCAAATAATTGCAGAAAGCAGAAGACTTTGCTTTAGTATATCAACTTTCAAATTTTCCTTAGTGTTTCCCAGGCTACCAAGACAGATTGTTTAATTACTTTGGGAAAAACAAACAAACGAACAACAACCAAAACCAAAAAACCTCTGATTTTTTTTTTTTTTTTCCCCAGCAGCACTAATGTAGTGAGAGGGAATAATGGTCTACTTTGTGAGTATGCCATAAGTGTGTGAGAGAGTGTGTGTGTGTGTGTGTATGCAATCACCGTTCCATTTGAAGGTGCCTATTAGTGCACTTTATTTTAGCTGCATGTCTTCCATAATTCCTGATGTTATCAATTTCTGACCTGAGCTGTTTTCTCAAAGAAAGTTTTGCAAGGTGAGACAGCTACTCAAAGCACCTTATGACATTTTCTTCACCTATGTCATCTACCACCACTCATTCCATCTGGTTTCCACTTTTCAGGAGTTTATTGAACATATATTTTCCTGCGTTTATGTATTTTTTAAACTTTTACTCTAATGAGGTCTAATAGAGAAAATACAGTAAATTCTTGTTTGTTTGCTATTTTACACTAAAATGTTTGGATTTATGTTAAACACACAAAGGTTTTAAATTTTATTTTAAAATTTTTCTTATTTATAAATTGCATATGTTTATGAATATGTTTATGAATGTAAAATTCAAAAACATAGTTGAATATATACAAATGAAATACACATATGTATATATGTGTATTTCACATATATACATATACACACATATACATATATACATATATACATACATATACACATATATAAACATACATATACACATACATATTACACGTATGTATATATGTGTAAGTATACATATATAATCGAACAACACATGGATGCTTTTATTTCTTGCATTCTAATACTTCTAAATAAATTTTTCCAAGTTAAAACCTAAAGATATTTTCCATTTATTAAAAAAAAAGAAGCATTCTATTCATTTTCTGCTCATTTTCTACATGCAGAAAAAAATAATGTGATAGATTCAAGAAGCGGAATTTACCTTAGATTATAAGAGACAGAAAATGGAAAATGCACAATTACTATTTTGAAGTAAACAACAATGAACATGAAAGTATATTAAATTACTACATATTTATATTTACTTTTAAGCTAATTATTTTATTAGTAGTATATTTTCTATCTCTGTTTGTTTAAATGAGCAGTTCAGAGGATGGTACAGAAAATAAAAAGGTAGTAAACATACTTTAAGGAACATATGTGTCTTAGTCCATTTAGTGTTGCTATAAGGAAATACCCGAGGCTGGGTAATTTATAAATAATAGAGGTTTATTTGGCTCACAATTCTGCAGGCTGTAAAAGAAACAAGCACTCCTGGGGGAGGGCTTCAGGCTGTGTTCACTCATGGCAGGAGGTGAAGCAGGGCTGGCATATGCAGAGATCACATGATGAGAGAAGAAGCAAGAGAGAAGGGGAGGAGGTACCAGGTTCTTCTTAACAATCAGCTCTCATTGGAACTAATGATTGAGTACTCACTCACCCTTTACCCCAAGGAGGGCATTAACCTATTCATGGAGATCCCCTCCCTGACCCAAACACCTCTCATTAGGTGCTCATCTCCAACATTGGGGATCAAATTTCAACCTGAGATTTGGGGAAGAGAAACAACTAAACTATAGCAATATGCTTTTAAAAATAGCAAAAGAAGGAAAGGTCTGAAGGGGGAACTTCAAAAGAGAAAATGAAATAAATGCCAAAAGGAAATTGAAAGAGAAAAAAAATTAACAATTAGCCATTTAATAAATGTTTTAGGAGTAATCATGATATGCTTTGTAGTTATTTATATTTATATTTATGACCTTATGCCTTTTTAACAATGTGGAGGAAAAGTAGTTCACAATTATAATTATACTAATTATAACATAAATTATTATTTATTTAACAGTTATTATGTTTGTGTTAATGCATTGAGTGATTTTAATTATCATTGTAATAACAAGCAACATATTTTATGTTAATGATGGAATCAAAACAGAGAAACTGACATATTCTGAGTAATGAATTGCTGTTAGTGGAAACAATCTGTATGACTATTAAAGTCATAATCTCTCACTCTGATTAGAAAAGTCAGGAAACTTAGGTTTGAGGACAGAAATACTCATCCGGTATTTGTTTAACAGAAAACTATTATATTTTTTCAAATATCTTGCAATTTAAGAGATAGAGTGAATACCCTAAAACAGTGGATGAAAACCTGAAAATGAATTAGTACAAATAGAAAATATATTGGGACCTTCTATTAATTTTTAGTGTATTTTAATATTGTAAGTGAAATAAAGAAAATTCTGATTAATCTCCCATCTTTCTGTATTCTTTAAAAATAGACATTTAGGCCGGGCGCGGTGGCTCACGCCTGTAATCCCAGCACTTTGGGAGGCCGAGGCGGGCGGATCACGAGGTCAGGAGATCGAGACCATCCCGGCGAAAACGGTGAAACCCCGTCTCTACTAAAAATACAAAAAATTAGCCGGGCGTAGTGGCGGGCGCCTGTAGTCCCAGCTACCCTGGAGGCTGAGGCAGGAGAATGGCGTGAACCCGGGAGGCGGAGCTTGCAGTGAGCCGAGATCCCGCCACTGCACTCCAGCCTGGGCGACAGAGCGAGACTCCGTCTCAAAAAAAAAAAAAAAAAAAAAAAAAAAAAATAGACATTTAATTATGACTGTGCATATTCATTTTATCAACCTACAATTAGAAGAAAGACCTGTCTTCATATCCCCATAATTAATTTAATTAAATGTAATTAAAATAACAAATGGGTAATGTAACTGAAAATTAGCAAATAATTAGACATTAACAAAACCTAGACATTAACAAAACCTAGAGAGACAAAACCTGATGACAATTATATAAACTTTATTTGGTGTAACAAAAGGTCTATTTAAAAATATATATTATAATATATAAATGTACACAGGTTATATAATATATATTTATATGTGTTACACATAATTGTATAATATGATCTTTATACTATATATTCATATTGAATTTTTAATGTTCACTGCTTGACAGAAATTATGTTAAACCTGTGGATTAATTTGGGAAGCTTGACATCTTTACTATGTTCAGTCTTCCAAACCAAATATATAGCACGTATGTCCCTCTTTATATTTAGATTTTATTTCACTACTTCTAACACTATTTTGTAGACTTTAAGAAAAAAGTCCAATTTGTTTTCTTAGATTTACTTCTTGTTAGCATTAGAAATACCTAAGCATGTTTTCTGAGTAATTATAAATGATAAATGTATTTTTAATTATTGTGTAAATACATTCATTTGTAGTATATAGATACAAAATCAATATCTCTATGTCGATCTTGTTACATAATGACCTTGCTATTGGGACTCATTATTTCCAGGAGGTTGTTTTGTTTAGCTAAGGTTTCTTGAGATTTTCTTTGTAGCCACTTGTGTTATTTGCATATAGAGGCAGTCTTATTTATTCCTTTCTGCTCTGTATATATTTATTTCTTTTGCTTAGCTTACTGCACAGCCTAGAACTGCCAGAACAAAGTTGAGTAAGAGTTGAGGGCATGTGTTCTTTATCTTATTTCTGATCATAAGGGAGAAAATATCATGCTAGTAGTTTCTATTTTATTTTTTAAGAATGCTCTTTTTCAAGTTGAGAAAGTTTACCTCTATTTCTATTTTTCTAAGAGTTTTTTATCATGCACGAATGTTGAATAACTGTCCCAAGTTCCTCCCCGCCCCACAGGTTGATATGATGTTATTTTTTAAAACATTACTGTTAATATGGTAAATCACACAGAATGATTTTTTGAATATTGAACCAGACTGCATCCCTGGAATAAGCATTACATGGTCATGATCTATCACTCCTTTTGCATATAGCTGCACTTTATTTACTAATATTTTGTTAAGGATTATTATATTTATATTCATAATGGATATTGGTCTGTAATTTTCTTTTATTATACTGTATTTATCTGGTTTTAGTATCAGTGTAAGGCTAGTTTCATAAAATAAATTGGACAGTGTTCTCTCATTGGGCAATATTTTTCAATTGACTGTGCCAACCTCTATCTTGAATTGTCTTGGCTATTCAGAAAATTTACAGTTAATTTAATTATTGATATGTTAGAGTTTAATACTGACATTCTTCTGTTTGTCCTCTTTGTTTTTAGTTGTTTGGTTTAGATTATTTGCCTTGTTGTGGGTAACTTGAACAATGTTTTAGGATTTAATTTTGATTTATATGTAGTATGTTTCAGAGTATCCTTTTCACCAGCACATCCTTAATGCTCCCCTCAGCTTGTCTAAAATCTAAATAGGTTTCTTTCTATGGACCCTTGGCATCCGTTTTCTTACAGAGCATTTACTTAGAAAACTTGCAATTGTATTTTTTCTGCATATTTCAAATGTAACTCATCTCCCAGCTCTGTTACAGTTTTGCCATCCAGGAATATCTTTTACAAGGACCTGGAAACCATCCTTTTGAAACATAATAATCAAGTTAAATAGCATACCTATCATCTACCAGTCTACGGGAAGTTAGGAGCTTAACTTCTATAAGCGCCAATTAGCAAACTCAGGTGGCCTAATCACACTGGCCAATTTCCCCCTAATATCCTCCAGAACTTTTCCACTACCTCACCCCAGTGCTTAAAGACTCTCCTGCCTTTTGTATCAACAGAAATAAGTTTGATGTCTCTCCTATTGCGATAGTCTCCCTACTTTATTGCAATAGTTTTGAATAAAGCCTTCTGTGTCATTTTTAGCAAGTGTCTGGTACAGTTTCTCTTTGAAACTTCCTGTAGCTTTTAGAGTGGTTGCTCTAGGCATTTTAGATAGATGGATAGATAGATAGATAGCCAAAACAACAGAGTCTACTGATGTTGTTACTTTACCAGTTCAAAGGAAGTATAAAAACCCTAATCTCTTTATGTCCGTTTACCCTCATTTATATATTTAAAAAAAAAATTCTGTAGGTTACATTTTAATCACACCAATAAATATTATTATTTTTGTTTCAATAATTAAATTTAGATAACTCAAGAAGAGAAAGGAAGTCTATTGTATTTACCTATAAATTTATTTACCATATTTTTTTTCCTTTCTCATGTTCTAAGTTTACTTATTTTATTGTTATCTTTCTATCTAGAAAAAATTTTTAGCCATTTTTAGCATAGATTTGCTGGAGAAAAATTCTCTTTGTTTAACTTTTTCTGAGAATGTCTTGATTGTCTCTTCATCCTAAGGAATATTTTTATCTGACATAGGATTCTGGGTTGACACTTGAAAAATGTTGTGCTGCTTCCTCTGTCCTTCATGGGTTTTGATGAGAAATCCACTGTCACTTGAACTATATTCCCCTTAAGGTGTCATTTCTCTCTTATTGTTTCCCAGGGTGATTTTCTTTATATCTGGTTTTCAGAAGTTTGACTATGCTGTGTCTTGGTGTATAATTTTTTGAATTTATCCTAGTTGGTGTTTGCTCTGCTTCTTGACTCTGTAGATTTAAATGTTTTGCCAAATTAGGAAACTATGTTAGTTTATTCTTGCATTGCTATAAAGAAACATCTGAGGCTAGGTAATTTATAAAGGAAAGACATTTAATTGGCTCACAGTTCTGCAGGTTGTACAGCAAGCATGGCACTGGCCTCTGCCCAACTTCTGGGTAGACCTCAGGAAACTCACAGTCATGGTGGATGGTGAAGGAGACGCAGGCATATTACGTGGCCAGAGTAGGAGCAAGAGAGAGCAAGGGAAGTTGCTGCACACTTTTATAATAAGCAGATTTCACAATAACTCACTCACTATCACAGGAACAGCACCAACGGGATGGTACTAAACCATTCATGAGAAACTGCCCCCATGATCCAATCACCTTTCACCAGGCCTCCCCTCCAACATTTGGGATTGCAATTAGACATGAGATTTGAGCAGTGACACAGAGTCAAACCATATCAGAAACTTTTCATCCACTAGTCTTTTGAATAATTTGTTTAGCTGTACCCTCTTTATGGTCTTCTGATATAAGAATGACACAAATATTAAAACTTTTGCTATAGTTCTATGGTCTCTGAGGCTCCATTCACTTTTTTAACTCTATTTTCTCTCCTTTGCTCAGATTATGTAATTTCTATTGTTCTATTTTCAAATTCACCTATTTATTTGTTTTTCTTTGTTTCTTCCATTCTGGTGTTCGGCCTACACACTGAGGTTTTCTTTACTTATTTTTATCAGTTATTGTATTTTGTTGAAACTATTTCTTTCCTGAGATGTTTTTTTTTTCACTCATTTCAAACATTTTTGTAATTGGTTATCATGGCATTTTTATGATGGCTGCCTTAAAATATCTTGGTCAGATAATGCTGACATCATTGTTATCCTGGTATTGGCCACTATTGACTGTCTTCTCTCATTCAGTTTGAGATTTTTTTACTTGCATTGCTATAAATAGTTTGAGATCTCTATAATTCTTTTTAGGACAAGTGACTGCTTCTTGCTACGGTTTGGCTTTGTGTTCCAACCAAAATCTCATCTTGTAATCCCCACGTACTGATGGAGGGACCAGGTAGGAGGTGATTGAATCATGGGGGAGGTTCTCCCATGCTGTTCTAATAATACTGAGGGAATTCTCACAAAATCTGATGGTTTTAATAGTGGCAGATTCCCATGCGTGCACTCCCTCCTGCAGCAATGTAAGACATGCCTTGCTTCACCTTTGCCTTCTGACATAAGTTTCCTGAGGCCTCTGCAACCATGTGGAACTGTGAGTCAATTAAACCTCTTTTGTTTATAAATTACACAGTTGCAAGTAGTATCTTTATAGCAGTACAAAAAGGGACTAATACACTTATTAAAACTTTAACATTTTAGGTATGAGGTAATGAGGTTCTGGACTTTATTTAAAATTTCTGTTTTTGCTGTTTCTCTCTAATACAGTTCTTACAAATAAAAGGAGCCTGCTGCCTCATTACCATGAGGAGGTTTGAATGTCCATAGTTCCCACTCAGCCTATGTTGACACCCAACAGGGAGTGCTTGTTGTCACAACTTCGTGTAGGTGGGAGTTCTAGTTCCCCTTCATGCCTTCAATGATATACTGTCTCTGGCCAAGAGGTTCAGGAGTATATCATTAATAAACCCCATGGATACTTGAGGGAAAGTAGCCTCATAACTGCTGTAAAATTGAGATAAAATTTATGACTCTTTGGCTGGCCTTTCTGACACTCTCAGTGGGGTGAAGAAAGGGTTACCTCCTTAATGACAGGTTGGTTTGAAAACCCAAGCTCTTCATGCAATCTCCACTGACACCACATATTTCCTGGCTAGGATGGAAAAATCTGACTCCCTACTAGGCTTTCTCTCCTACCATCCCAGCGCAAGAGCTGAGAAGGTTCTTTACAGCATGAGGATGCTAGAAATCTAAGCTCCCGCTGGGAATTTGCTTTTATGGTTGGGGGTGAGAACACCATTTTTGTTTATTTGTTTGTTTGCTTTTTTTTGTTTTTCTGTGTTTTTTGCTGGAGTAAAGCTGTTTTGTCAAAGTTTTCTGTCTTAATAGGCCACCCTTTTCTTGAACCTTTGGCTATAAATGAAAGCTTTTAGGGGAGCCTTGGCTGCATGCATTGGTATTTTTCAGTGTTAGCTTCTTCAGCTCCAAGTCTGGAAAATACAAGGCAAAACAAACAAACAAACAAACAGCAACAACAACAAAAACAAGCAGGAATTAACAACCATGCCCTTTTTGGGTCTTAATGTCCCTAGCCATTCTCTCTTTTCCTACGTTTTAAAGTCTCATTATGTTTGTTTTATATATGATATCCAGGGTTTTTTTTTTGTATTTAATGTGAAAAAGAGGAAAAGTGTGTTTACTTCATTTTGTCAGAAGCAGAAGTCCCCAGTTTTTTCATTTATTTATTTTTAATGGTCTATCCTTTATATTTCAAATTTCCCCGTTGTATGAGGTTCTTGATTCTGTGGGGATGGAATGTGTACAGTGCTGTACGATGAACAGGCAAGGAGCTAGTGTTTGTAACACACGACCCCTAAGTGATAGAAATCTGTTTCCTGTTTTCTTTTGTGGTACTAAGCCTCACTTGGAATGAGATTTCTATACCTAGAAGAATCAGTCAAGGAAAGAGGGCAAAGTCTCATAATACATATATTACCATGGAGATCCCAATATTATATATGGGAATTGGTCAGGTTTCTGCTATAATAGAAGTACATAGCAAATCCACCTCAACAACAAATATTTTTTTTCTTGTGCCTTGATCAGTAGATGGGATAAAATCAGCTCCAGGCTAAGTCTGGTAAGGTTCTGCCCTACATGTCTCATCATACAACTTGCAACAAGAGATGTCTTCTCATGGAGATGGTGGAAGTACACAAAGAGACTAAGCCAAATTGCCCAAGCACATTTAAAGTTTCTATTTGTGTCACATTGTATAACATTCTACCATCAAATGCAACATGAATAAGACAGGGAAATATACTCCGTAACTGCAGTCAGAGACACTCCAACATTAAATTGCAAAGATACTGAATATATAATTCTATATCAGTGAGAGAATACAGATTGAGAAAAAGTAGACACTCTAACACAATTAGTGTTATGTCTAGAAGTGAGAAAGCAATTCTGACTGAAAAATCCTCACTATTAATATCTGTTCCACCAAAACAAAAGTAAATTATAACATTAGAACAGTTACTGAACATGAAACCACTTGGAAGTTCTAAAGAATCATTCAAATACCTATGTCTTAAAATTAAAAAAAAAATGGATGGATAAAAGCATTGATTATTACATCTACCAGTATATTTTAGTTTGAATAGAGATCTCTGGAAGTAACCAACGGAAAAAATATTTGCAAGAAAGCATTATGTATGATGCTAAATTGCTAAAGCCAACACCATTGATTTGTAATAAAATAAAATGGAAATTTGTCAGTTACTTAGTTTGGCTAATTATACTTATCAAACTTATATTAACTCCCTAATTCCTAAAGCTTTACTTCACTTACTATTGTGAAAACCCAAATGTGGCACATTCTATTTTAAAAGGCAGAGATAATTCACACTATGTCAAATAACTCTTTAAAGAAATAGCCGAAGGTTATATTGACAGCAGAAAAATGAAGTGGAAAATTGGGATAATTACTTAGATAAGTCAAGTGAAAAATAATATTAACCCTTGCCCCAGTAACTTGAAATACTAGACAATTAAAATGAATCCTAAAACAGCAGAACAAGTGTTTCAAATCTCTTAGCCAATTTCTAATAAGTTTATGCCAGAGTATATCATGATTTAGAAAGAAAAATATATTCATAGTTTGTGGCACTATAGATCATGTATGCTAAACATGTTTTTCACTTGACTTTCCTACTTTGTTGCTATTGAATTGAGAATATTTTCCCAGTCAAAAGCTCCATGATTTTAACTGTTTCTAAATCTTTGAGTCTTAGAATATGCATATTTGAAGAAGTGACAGGATAGATTTGTTGTTATTAGATAAGGTTTAGAGACTGCCTTATTTTTATACGTTTGGACTTTGATAGTATATATCACACAAATAACTCTTTCTTAGCCTGAATTAATGAAGCATACCACCACCTTTTAGACAACCCTGTCAAACTAGAATGTAGCTAGGAAATGCTGCTGACTCAGTATGGTAAAACTAATACAATTAGTAAGTTCTACCAATGGAAACTGAAAGACCACTTCCTAGTCTTGTTTATTTAACAATAACAGCTAATGTACCTTGCATAATTAATAAATTCTAATATTGCAGTAGTTATTTTACAGGTATTATGTCTTTAAATCCCTGCAAAAATCTGATTAGCTAAATTTAATTACAGCCAGTATCCAGATAAAAAGTAGAAGGTTTAGAGATATTGATGCTTTGGCAAGATCCATTCCGTACATAAAGGTAAGAATGCAAATAGTGTCCATCTAGAACCTTAAATTCAATTCCATATTTTATGTAGTTTCTCATGTGTATAACAGATGTTTGGAAGGAGCTAGATGACTCCACTAAAATTATGTGTTTTTTTTTTTAAATTTCATGTCTAGAATATTTAGAACATTTAGAATGTGTCCTGAAACAAGAAGTTGTGTGCTGGTGGTAGCTTATTTCGGAAGTGATCCTGGGAAGAATAATGGGAGAAATGGTACAGTGAGACAGAAGAAGAATGTCTAGGGAAAAAAAGTTATTTTATTAAACTCTCTGATGCTATGGATAGCTGGGACTCAATTCCATTGGGTATCATCCCAGGAGCCTTGTAGAATGTTCCTCACATGTGAATCACCAAAGAATGGGAAGTCTAAGTCCTTTATCAAACACCCTTTTCCCTGGTTGAGGTTTACCTCTTTGGGCATTAACTACTCTGAACTAAGTTGACACTATCTGTATTCTAAGTGTCATTTTATGTCTCTGGAGAAATCCCTGAGGTGCAAAACAAAGAGCTACCAGGGCACAAAGCTTGAGATATGATGCTGGTAATATGCATGTCACTGACAACATTGGCTGGACTAGAAACAGATGAACTGAGGGTACCATATACATCTGCCATTGCCACACTCTCCAGACTCCCAGTGATGCCTCAGTGAACTCACAGAATCACTTTCAGGTATTTTACATTTTCAAGGGAATCACAGTGGCATCTGTTCGATATGACAAAAGCTACTTTCATGTATGTGTATTTTTTTCAAATAGCTACCAAGTTGTCAGGATATAAGCACTTATATTTACTGAGGTGCTTATTCACTACTTAATAAATGGAGCTGTTAGCTTTGTTTTTGGGTTTTTGGATTTTTTTGGCAAGGGGTGCAGTAGTGACATGAAAAATACTACTCAAATGCTAAGAGCACAATGGGCTGAGAAAATTTTCAGGACTTCTGAACTATTGTATTTTTACCTGTTGCACACCACACTGCAAAAGCAGGATGGACCCTCAGTTAAAAAATTGGTTTGGTAGTTGAGATTGATGATGTCACACAAACACAAAGGGGGCATAAAACATCTTATTATTCACACAACAAGGTTTTCTAGGGAGACCAGGGAATCTCCAGTTAGGTCCAAAAATGGCTTGTGAGATCAAGGAAATGATACTGGCTTGAGGTTTTTATGGTTGTTTGGGAAAAAAAATGAGTATTTCCAAACATGGCTTGAGTTTCCCATTTTTACCAAAGAAGGGAATACCTGGCTTTATTATCAGCCTGCCCAGATGTAGGACAGAAGGGGAAGATACATAAGGCTTAAAAGTTGTTATTAGTCAATTTTTTTGAGTCAGCCTCTTTGTTACATTACCTAAGTAAGTTGTTTTTATAATCTAATAAGACTCTAGGGTTTAATTTTAATATAGAATAAAGTAATGTCATGTATACATTTATATACATTTCACTTGGGCATCCAATATCTATTCATTAAGTTAGGCATCAACCTGGAGGCTGTATAATCCTGATATGATCTCTCATAAAACTTGTAATCTAAATGAGGAGTTCCGTAAATTTAAGCTGGAAACTGTGGTAAGTTTTATGAAGGCTACAATGAGGATGCTGTTACTGAGCAAGTATGTAAGGTAGCAGGATATCTACTTTACAAATATGTGGTTTTCTAATGCTTCACTGAAAAGGTGACTCTATGCTGATTCCTGAAGGAGGGGAAGCAGTGAATCATATAAAACACTAGGGGAAAAATTTTCCAGGTAGGCTGAATATTATAGAGAGACAGAAGGCAGAGGTTTTTTCTTTCTTTCTTTCTTTCTTTTCCTTCCTTCCTTCCTCCCTCCCTCCCTCCCTCCCTTCCTTCTTTCCTTCTTTCTTTTTTTCTCTCTCTTTCCTTTCTATTTTTCTTTTTTTTGAGACAGAGTCTCGCACTGTCATCCAGGCAGTACTGTACTCCAGTACGGTGGCGCAATCTCGACTCACTGCAACCTCGGGCTCAAGCAATTCTCCCTGCCTCAGCCTCCTGAGCAGCTGGGACTACAGGTGCCCACCATGAGGCTGGCTAATTTTTGTATTTTTTAGTAGAGATGGAGTTTCGCCATGTTGAACAGGCTGGTCTCGAACTCCTGACCTCAGGTGATCCGCCTGCCTCGGCCTCCCAAAGTGCTGGGATTACAGGCGTGAGCCACTGAGCCCGGCCAGAAGGCAGAGTTTGGACTGAGCTCAATGGGTTCTAGAAACTGAAGTTTGGTTATGATTAGAATTAGTGACTGACAGGTAGGAACAGCACACTGTGATGTAGGAAGAGTGGGTGAGGGGTTTGGCATTCATTCTAAGTGCTGCGGGAGCCACTGAATGCTTTTTAAGCAGGGAAGCAGTCTGATGTGATTTTAAACACAGCTCTAGAGCTCCCAAGTTGGCAGTACTGAAAATGAAATCATCTTGAAAGAAAAAAAAGATGCTATTCTGAGAGTGCAGAGGAAAATTGATTAAAATATAATGCATGTTTCAAAATGAAATATCAACACTGATGAGATTTCTAAAGACTATCCTTTATTTCTGTACTCATGAATCATCTAACGTATACTTCAGAAGGGATTTGGATGGATTGGTAAGGAAAGAGAAGTGATTTAACCTCAAAGATGAATTAATAAGTGTGTTTTCTATGTTCTTTTTTAAACTGTATTTATCTATCTATATAGAGGGAGCTTGAGTGCAAAATAACTACGGATAATATAGCTGGACTTTAATAGCCCATGTCTGAAGACATTGACATTAATTATTAAAAAGGCCTATCAAAAAGTAAGAGATAATTTTTACTGATTTTAAGCTATTTAATTATTTAAAATGCTACAACAAGTTAAAAACTTAAAAGATTTCTAAAATACTTTGTTATACATTTTTAAACGTTTTTATTTTGAACTTTGGGGAGAATGAAAGAAAATATCATGCAATTAAATTATATCTAAAAATGTTTGATATGAACATGAGATTGTGTATGAAAGCATAATTGATGAAAGACCTAACTTTGTTAGACACATAGATAAGACATTGACCATCACTCTTGTAACATTAAATGGAATATGAATATTTATAAAAGGCCAAGTTTAAAAAATAGAGTTACATAAACTCTTTATTTCAGAAAACTTGGATAATTTATAGATACAATTTTTTGAGAAAGGGAATCAATATGAAACCTTCTGAGCATTCTTACCTCATAATAATTTTGTAGATATGGTATATACATTCAAAGCATTTACTAGGCTTAAATGTTTAAGGATTGGTTGATATCCATTGTATACTTAGCATAATGCTTTTTAAATTTCCTGACATAAAAACAGAAAAATGTATTTTTTTTAGATTCTCAGCATTCAGCATACAGTATGCCTAAGAAAAAAAAAAGCATGCCTAACAAAACATTCTTGTTATTTAGAATTTGCAAAAATATTTTACTTGTAATACAGATTTACACTTTGACATGTGATTTAAAAAACATATAAGAGGTCTTGTAGTATAGATTTTAATTTCATCTTTCAAATGAAGGTATTAAGACTTAGGTCTGGGATCTCAAAACAAATTATTGGAGCATATTCCTTGTTTTGAACTTCTTTTTACAGTCACCAGTTAATGTGATGAATATGTTAGTTTTTCAACTGGAAAATTTTCTTTATATCAAATACCTATTAATTTCTTGAAGAATTTTTCTCTTTAATTTCATCAATCAACTGTAAAACAATAGAAAGGAAAACAGAACTTCAAGATGCAGTTATGATGAAAATATTTTGGAAACTTTGGCAAGCATATAGGTGAGTAGTAACAGACTTAATAGGACTAGAAAATATCAAATCCTGAAGTGGATATAAAGGATGATAAAAAAAATAGCCTGAACTCTAAAGCAGAATTCCCAAAAGACTAAGAAAATACCAGTACCTGGAATGAGAGAATGGAGATAACTAAATAAGGATTGAAACTTGTTTAAGAAGTTTGATGCTAAGATTTCCTTCCAAACCCGTTTCACTGGTTAATTGCTCTTCCCCCAGAAAGCTGAAGATTTACTCATTGGAGAGGGAAAAGCAGAAAATCTATCCACTGGGTGACCATAGCCAGAGTTGAGAACATGCATACAGTATCTAAAACAAGGGAATTTAGTAATTGTGAAAATACCATATGCTGACTGCAGAGAGTCCCTAACATTTTATGCTGAATGATAGGGACTCTCAGCATTCTAGAACCACTCTAGCATTCTTAGAACCATAGTCCCCAGCATGTGGTTCCAAGAACCCTGGGAACTAGTCCTTTGCCACCAAGGCAACATATTGAGAGCATCTTTACTGAGAAATCTGAGTAGCCCACAAAGAAAAACCAACAATTATCAACATCAGTAATTTTTCAAAAAAGAAATGGTCCAATAAATCATCTTCAGCAATGCCCAAATTCAAAATGAATCACTAACTCATTCAGACTCAGATGAGGTTCTTTTAAAGACTTTTATGAGATGTCACAGTCAGAAAATTAATAGGGAAAAATTACCCTTAGCAAATATTCAATAAGAAAATAAAGAAAGTAGAGTTGGACAAAACGAGAAGTTGATCTCCAATGCACTCGTGTGACTGAGGTCTCAGCAAATAAACAGAAGCTATGTAGCTCAGATGGCCTTTCAGAGTTGCCTCCAACAAGGACGTAACACCATCTTGTACCCCTACACATCAGTCAGTACTGCTAATAAGGATAGCTAATCCCCAAGTGTTTTTGAATATTTGTGAACAGATGATTTATCATGATATGACAGCAAATCAGGTGCAGTAGGTTAATTGGAGAGTTTGGCAAACCTATCCTGAGAGGAAAATTTGCCTTCATTCCACCTCCATCTGCAAATGGAATCCTCTTTTCCAAACAGGTGGAAGGCTATACATATAGGAGGTATTAGTCTGACTTCATGATGACTGTGGTTTAATGCAATTGACAATCATGATGCTAGAAATAACAAAGAGGGGGCATGGCTTTTCTAATCTTGGTCATCGTATATAATTTTTATTTAGTAAGACAAGGATCTTTCCTACCTGCTGCCTCAGGTAGAGTGCATATGGCCACACAATATCCAAAATATCAATACCAAATAAACAAAAGGGAGAGAAATACAGAGACATGAAAAAATGGCAAGTGGGAAACAAGGTACATCTCTTTAGATGGTTTTCAGAAATGTTTTATTTTAAAAAGAGAAGAAATTGATGGTGTTTGTGATAAGCAGTTATATAGTGCACAATCAAAATTTGGGGGGTGGGAGAGTCAATGCTACCAAAACCCCACCTGTTAAAGCAAAACAGTAAATTTACTCTCTCTCTTTTTCTTATCTGGAGGGAAATAGGGCTGAAGTTACTCCCTCACATAAAACCATGGAGTCTGAAAAAAAAATGGTTGAGAGGCTGCAATCTGCTAAAATGACAGCGATCTTAGTCTTCTTGCAATGATTTGGGTGAATAGCCTGCAAGTGATATGCAGAGCTACTTAACGATTGCGAGATGAAGGTGCTGTTCAGTGTACAGTAATCCTTAAGAAGAATGGGGATGGTGATCGGAAAGGCTTGTATTTGAAACCGTTAGGGTTGGATACTCTGTAGGTGAGAGGAACAAAGTAGAAGTGAACATAGGAATTGGAATGTGTAACTAGAGATTTTATTTGGTGATTGTGTTACCTATACATGAATGTATAATTTGGATGAATATTATTTGTGATTGTGGCCTGTGGGCATTGCAGTTTTCATGTGGATATTTGTCCAAGTCCAAACATCACATAGTTTAAATTGGTCACACTGAGAGAGCCATTGGATTTGTCCTGGTTTTAGTAGTAAGCATCAAGCAATTTCAGATTCCAGCAGGTCTTTAAGTGTTTATTAATCTGATCAAAGAAATTGTGATAATATTGATTCCTAATAATGTCCTGCCTGACCAGTGAATAAAGTAGATAGTTCCTAGATATTAAAATTAGACTATATTAAGGAAGGATATTCTTCTGTTTGTTTCAGCTAGTCTGGAAGTGATGAAAACTATGCAGGATGTACAAAATACCAAGGGGGCTGGTACAACATTTTAAACCTTGCTAACACAATCTTTTCCAATTCAGTTTCAGAGTCCAGCCAGGTGCAATTTGCATCCTCACAGAATGTAGCCTAGTACATATTTACTGCGCTGCCATAGGGAAATTAGAGTTTGATGACATATTTTTATAATCTAATATGGTGCAGTCTAATAGAACTCTTTATTATTATGAGAATGCTCAATGTCTGTACTCTCCAATAGGATAGCCAATAAGCACATCTGGCTATTGAATGTTTGAAATGTGATTAGTGGTACTGAGTAACTAAATTTGTTTTGTTTAATTTTCATTAACTTAAATTTAAATAGCTATTTGTGTCAGGTGACTTCTATATTGAACAATGAAAATCTGGAGGTGTTCATAACCACCAAGAGCATGTTAGTGTGCTATATTTGTAATAACATGTTAATTAACTCATCGAAGGAAGAAGCTCAAGAGATAAAGGACAATAATGACATATACAACAAATACAGCCTGGTTGATAAATCCAGCTGACACTTAAGCCCTAGCCCAATTTTTGAATTTTTGAGAATTATATATAGTGGCATAAACAGAAAGAGTAATCAAACCATTAAAATAATTACCTCTAACAAACACTTTCAATAAATAAGTCCAGATAATATCAGAGATATTTGGATTTTGGCAAAAATTGTATTCTTTACTAAAAATTACTTTAGAACCTATTGACAATGTCAGAAAAATCTGATTTTTCAAGGAACTCTAAGCAGAAACATTTTTTTTTTAAAAAAAGAGAGTAGTACCAGAATTAACTCACCTGGATCTTATGATTCTACAATTCAGATGAGATTTGTCATATATGCAGTAAGAAGATATGTAGACCAAAGTATTTTGCAGAAATTTAATAGGACTTCTTAAGGAGGGCTACTTGGTGTTCGACTTTTCTTCCTCAAGCAGCTGCTCATATGTTCCATATGAAAGAGAGTTGATGACTTCTAAACTGCCCCCACCATTGGAGAGCATCAGAGAACTCTCAAGACATATCGTCTTAGTATCAGAGAGATATTCGAGGAGGTGATGAAGCAAACTCATTCATAAAGTAGAAGTGGTACAGTCAAACACATTTTAAGGAGCTAATCTCATAGGTAGTCTACTGTATACATGAGTATACATTTCTCTGCTTATTGGGCCAGTAATAGGTTTATTTGAAAACTCTCTACCCCCATCACTCTGTGGCCTGCAATGTAAGCTATTGATTGCATAATTTCCCAAAGTAAGTTATTTATGCATTTTGAGCTTCAGTTCTGTGATGTTCAAAATAGCAAGAATAGAGCTTCCTTCCTGTTGTATTATTTAGTAAGGTACTATGTAGAAAAGTTCAAGCCTCTTATGGAGATGCTAGCAGATAGTCAAGTAATTATTGCTCCTTTTTCTCTTTCTCTCATTTTAGTAAGCACACTGGTCTTAATTTCTGGCATCAAACACTATTCTGAGTCACTATACAAAGTGATGAAACCATTGAAACACATTTTCACCCCTATTTTATTCAATGAGGTTTTCATTTGAATGATTATTGCCCTTGTAAGATAAGTAGAATGCAAATTTTCAGCTTTGATGGAGAGGGAAAATATAACAACATTTTAATTAAGTATACTACACAATACAATGAGTGCCAAGAGCTATAAATAAGCACTTTATTAATTTACTTTATGCTCTATTCTTACTTTCTGAGAAATAAGTTTTAAAGAAAGAATATTACCTCTTTCAATACAAACTTTTGTTAGGTTGTTTTCTTAGAGAAATGTAGACAGCCAATTAAAATAATTGCTTAATTTATTGCTGATTGAATGCTTTTCACTGAAAGTAGTATAAAATTCAGACAATAAAATTGATTTAAGAAAGATAAAACCAGTCACTCCTCATATTTTAGATTTTTTATTATACATAAATCCAAACTTTAAAAATAACAAACCTGCATTTTGTGCACATGTATCCCAGAACTTAAAGTATAATAATTATATGTATATACACACACACACACACACACACACACACACACACACACACACACTTGAATGAAGTCTTCTTTATTCTTAAAAAAAAAGTACTGTGAATTGTGTACATTATATTATTGATTAACAAGTGTTGGGAAAAAAGAATTACGAAGAGTACATGTCAGGTTTTTTCAGCTTTATTGGACTAACACTTATGGGCAAGAGACATTATAAAAGCAGTCTTTTAGCTAATTTTCAAAGATGAACCTCCTCTCCCCAACTAAGTTTCAAATCATTATGCTAAACAATCATAATGCTCAATATCATTTCAAACCAATATGAATATTTTGAGAGATTTCTAGAATATATATCCTTCTTTCCTTAGTCAATTAAATCTAATTTAGTTGTTACTCTACTAATCCAGTAATCAGACTTAAGAACTCCTACATTAACATTTATGTGAAACTAGAAACAAGTGGAAATTACTTTCTTACAACAAGGAATTATACAGCAGGAATTATACATCTTATTTGGAGCTTTGTCGTATTCAGAGGTCTTTTCTGATCCTCACAGAGATACTACTATTCCTGCTTTGTTTTATTTACATTAGACATTATTTCATTGGGAAGTTTTAGATTTATAGAAAAATTGAAAGAGTCCTCATATATTTTGCACCCTGGTTCCCCTATTATTAATATCTTATATCGGCATGATACATTGTCGCAATTAATAGACCAATATTAAAACATTATTTTGAACTGAAATCTATGGCGTCTCTGTATTTTCTTAGTTTTTAACCTAATGTCCTTGTTTTTTGGTTTCAGGATTCCATGTAGGATAACACATTATGTTATGTTCTTCTTGGCTGTGGCTATTTCTCAGAACTCCTCCTCCTCATCCTCCTCCTCCTCCTTCTTCTTCCTTCTTCCTCCCCCTTCTCCCCTTGCCCCTCCTCCTCCCCCACTCCTCTTTCTCCTCCTCCTCTTCCTTGTCCTTCTCCTCTTCTTCTTCTTCTTCTTCCTTCTTCTCCTTCTCCTTCTCTTCTTCTTCTTCTTCTCTCTTTTTTTTAATGAGACAAGTTTTCACTCTGTCACCCAGGCTGGAGTGCAGTGGCATGATCTCAGCTCACTACAGCCTCCGCCTCCTGGGTTCAACTCATTCTCCCACCTCAGCCTCCTGAGTAGCTGGAACTACAAGCATGCCACTACACCTGGCTAATTTAAAAATTTTTTTTTTTAATTTTTAATTTTTTTTGTAAAGATAGGGTTACACCATGTTGGTCAGGCTGGTCTTGAACTTGTGACCTCAAGTAATTCACCTGCCTCAGCCTTCCAAAGTGCTGGGATTACAGGCATGAGCCACTGTGCCTGGCCTAGACTTTTTTCTTTTTGATTACCTTGACAGTTTTGAAGTATACTAGTCTGGTATTTTGTGGATTGCCCAATATAAACATGTTTTTCTCATAAAACTGAGGTTATGAGTTATTGGGAGGAAGATTATAGATGTAAAGTGTCATTTTCATTACATCATATCAAGTGTTATCTTGTAACAGTCTGCATTTCTTCTTGAAATGCCCCCTCTTCTTAAATAATTTATACTGTTTATTGACACATATTCACTCTTTGTGCTATAGAAGTCTATGGGTTTTGACAAATGCATAATATCTTCTGTCCATCATTATGGTATCATATGGAATAATTTTACTGCTCTAAAAATGCCCTATTTCTCACTTATTACACTCCTCCACCACCACATTCCCCCACCTCTCAAGTCCCTAGCCACCACTGGCCAATTGACTGTCTCTTTACTTTTATATTTTCCAGAATGTCATATAATTGCAATTATGCAGCTTTTTCATACTGGCTTTTTTCACTTACCAATATGCATTTAAGTTCCCTTCATGTCTTTTCATGTCTCAAAAAAAGCTTTTTTGTTGCTGAATGATATTCCATTGTATGGTTGCCACACAGTTTACTCATTCAGTTAGTAAAGGACCACTTGGTTGGTTTCAGGTTTTGTAAATTATGAATAAAAGCGCTATAAGTATTTGTATGCAGATTGTTATATAAACATATAGTTTCAAATTAACTGGATAGATAACTATCAGCACAATTACTGAATCCTACGATAAGACTATGTTTGGTTTTATAAAAGACTACAAGAGTGTTTTCCAAAATTACGACTGCAGCACTTTGCATTTTTACCAGCAACGAATGATAGTTCCTGTTGCTCCCCATCTTGCCTGCACTTGGCATTATTTATTTATTTTGATTTTAGCTATTCTATAGACTAGACGTATAGTAATGTCTTATTTTTATTTTAATTTGCATTCCCTGTGAACAAATTATGTTGAGGATCTTTTTATATAGTTCTTTGTCATCTGTATAATATCCTTGGTGTCTGTTCAAGACCTATGTACAATTTTTATTCGGTTTGTTTTCTTATTGTTGAGTTTTAAAGGTTCTTTGTACATTTTTGGATCCAATTTTTATTTATCAGATATGTGTTTTGCAAATACTTTTCTCTTGTCAGTGGCCTGGCTTTTGATTCTCTTAACAATGTCCTTTGCAAACCAGAAGTTTTAATTTTAAGAAAGTTAAATTCATCCATTTTTTCTTTCATAGATCAAGCATTTTATACTCTATCTAGACAGGTATCAAGAAATTCAACATCATATAGATTTTCTCCTATGTTTTCTTCTAGAAGTTTTACAGTTTTGTTTTATATTTAGAACCGTGGTTTATTTATTGTGTGTGTGTGTGTGTGTGTGTGTGTGCATGTGTGTGTAAGCTGTGAATTCTAAGTCTAGATTCATTTGTCTGCATATGGATGTTCATTTGTCCCAGGACCATTTGCTAAAAAGATGATCATTTCCCCATTGAATCGCATTTGTCCCTTTGTCAAAAACGGAGTGATTATATTTGTGTCAGTCTATTTCTTAGCTTTCTATTCTGATTCACTAATTTTTGTGTCTCTTCTTTCTCCATACTGTATTTATTTATGTGTAGCTTTAGAAGTCTTGAAGCTAGGTAATGTCAGTTCTTCAACTTTGTTCTTCAGTATTGTGTTGGTTATTTTGGGTCTTTTTGGGTCTTTGGTATTCACACATAAACTTTAGAATCAGTTTATTGAGATTCACAAAATATCTGTCTGGGATTTTGATTTTGATTGTGTTGTGATACAGCCAAAAAGAATTGACACACCGGCCGGGCGCGGAGGCTCACGCCTGTAATCCCAGCACTTTGGGAGGCTGAGACGGGCACATCACAATGTCAGGACATTGAGACCATCCTGGCCAACATGGTGAAACCCTGTCTCTACTAAAAATACAAAAATTAGCTGGGCATGGTAGTGCTCACCTTTAATCCCAGCTACTAGCGAGGCTGAGGCAGGAGAATCGCTTGAACCAGGGAGTCGGAGGTTACAGTGTGCTTAGATCATGCCACAGCACTCCAGCCTGGTGACAGAGCAAGACTCCGTCTCAAAAAAAAAAAAAAAAGCATTGATACACCAAAAATATTTGTCTTCCAGTCCATGAATGCACTCTTTCTCCATGAGTTCAGCTCTTTCACTTTTTATCAGTTTTGTATTTTTCCCACACATAAATTCTATTCGTATTTAATGATGCTTATGCTTAAATATTACATATATTTGATACTATTATAAATGCCATTTGGTTTTAATTTCAAAATAACCAAAACAGCAGGGTACTGGTACAAGAACAGACACACAGACCAATGGAACAGAATTGAGAACCCAGAAATAAGACCACACGTCTACATCTATCTGATCTTCAAACCTAACAAAAACAAGCAATGGGGAAAGAATTCCCTATTTAATAAAGGGTGTTGGGATAACTGGCTAGCCATATGCAGAAGATTGAAACTGGACCCCTTCCTTACACCATATGCAAAAATTAACTCAAGGTACATTTTAAAGACTTCATTGTAAAACCCAACACTATAAAACTTTAGAAGACAATCTAGGCAATACCATTCAGGACATAGTCACCAGCAAAGATTTCTTGATGAAGATGCCAAAAGCGATAGCAACAAAAACAAAAATTGACAAATGAGATCCAATTAAACTAAGGAGCTTCTGCACAGCAAAATAAACTATCAAGAGTAACAGACAACCTATAGAATGGAAGAAAATTTTTGCAAATTATGCATCTGACAAAGGGCTAATATCAAGTGTCCATAAGGAACTTAAAAAAATTTACAAGAAAAAAACAACAACCCCATTAAAATGTGGGCAGAGGACATAAACAGGCACTTCTCAAAAGAAGACATACACATGACCCACAATCATATGAAAAAAAACTCAACATTACTAATCATTAGAGAAATGCAAATCAAAACCGCAATGAGATACCATGTCACAGCAGTCAGAATGGCTATTACTAAAAAGTCAAGAAATAACAGATGCTGGTGAAGTTGTGGAGTAAAATGAAATGCTTATAAATTGTTGGTGGGGGTGTAAATTAGTTCAACCATTGTGGAAGACAGTGTGGCAATTCTTCAAAGACCTAAAGACAAAAACACTATTCAACTCAGAAATCTTATTATTGGGTATATATCTGCCAAAATATAAATATTTCTATTACAAAGACACATGTACATGTATGCTCACTGCAGCACTATTCAGAATAGCAAAGACATGGGATCAACCTAAATGCCCATCAACTATAGACTGAATAAAGAAAATGTGGTACATATATACCATGAAATATTATGTAGCCATAAAGAATGAGAGCATGTCCTTTGCAGGGACAGGAATGGAGCTAGAGGTCATTATCCTTAGCAAACTAACATAGGAACAGAAAACCAAATACCACGTGTTTTCACTTATAAGTGGGAGCTAAATGATGAGAATTCATGGACACATAGAAAGGAACAACACACACACTGGGGCCCATCAGAGGGTGGAAGGTGGAAGGAAGAAGAGGGTCAGAAAAAATAACTCATGGGTACTAGGCTTAATACCTGGGTAATGAAATAATCTGTATGACAAACCCTCATGACACACATTTACCTATGTAACAAACCTGCACATGTACTCCTGAACTTAAAATAAAAGTTAAAAACATAAGAAAGAAGGAAAACAAAAACAATTTGTGAGTTTCTTGGAGGCAACATATAGCTGGATCTTGTTATGGGTCTTTTTGAGGGGGCTTTTGTTGTTCTTGAAATCCACTCTAGTACTCTCTATCCTTTAAGTAGTGTATTTAAATCATTCATATTTAAAATGTTTATTAATATAATTTGCTTAATACCTGCTAGGTTAATAAATATTTTTCTATTCATTGTTTGTGCTCTTTTTTTATTTTTTTCTTCTTGTTTTGCCTTCTCTAGTTTTAACTGAATATTTTACATTATTTTATTTTATCTCCTCTCTTAGCATATTAGCTATACTTTCTTTAAATGTTTGCCATAGATTTCACAATAGACATTTAGAACTAATCTAATCTCACTCTCAATCTAATCTCACTCTTGAATAACAACTATTTAATGGGTAGTGCAGTTACCTTATAACAGAGTATTCCCAATTCTTCCATCCAGTCACTTATAACATTAGTGCCATTTATTTCACTTATCTATATAATGTAATCATCGAAGACATTATTATTATTATTACTTTAAGCAGATATCTATTGAATCAATTATGAGTAAATCAAATAAAATGTTTTATTTATTCTTTGATGATTTTCTTTTCTTTATTTAGACTGAAGTTTGAAACTATCTCCCCTTCGTTCTCCATGAAAAACTTTTATGTTCTTTTTTTTTAACATTTCTTACAGTGTATGTCTACTGGTGATGAATTTCCTCATTTATTTTTTGAGCAATTCTATTAATTCTCCTTCAATTTTGAGGATATTTATGATGGATATAAAATTCTAGTTTTCTGGGTTTTCTTTCTTATTGTCTCCCAACATTTTGCATATTTTACTCTACTCACCTCTTGCTTGCCAGTTTCAGAACAGAGTTAATGAAATTCTTAGTTTTGTCCCTCTGCAACTATTGTTTAAGTGTTCCTGTCAGTTTATGTCTCTGGTGGCCTCTGCTTTTGGTAAACAGATCTTGGCTATACTTCACTATATTTACCTTTTTTTTAAGAGATTTCAGGGTAGTGTTTGCCCTGTAACTTCAATTCTTTGGTGGGTCTAATAAAGCTCATTTGTTTTCAAATTGTTTAACTTATTTGTTGTTATAGAATGAGTGATAACTGTAAGTCTCTGTACACATAAGGGTGGAAACTGAAAATTATATATTGACTTTTAATATGATAATAACCTCAGAGTTATACATGGTTTCACCTTTTAATGAAGCCAATCAATGAATGAGTCCTGTTATTTTTATATTTTAATTATTTCTTATTTTCATTTATCATCTCCCCAAAATCTGGCCTGGACTTCTGTTCTCTCTACATTTACTGTTCTTTCCAGTTTATTCTCCACACTGAAACTTACTTGCTTATTGACTTTAACATACATTCCAAAATTCATAATATAACCAAGGACAACACGAATCCTTTTTTTGTCATGTGCCTGTCTTTGCAGCCCTCCATATTCCTAACCACACCTCTAGTCACATAGCTTAGCAAAATACAGTATAGTACACCCTAGTTATCCTAAACAGCATAAATACCTTGCTATAATTTAATTCAATACACAAACCTCTTATTTGTAATTATTAAAGATATTTTACATATGGCTTTTTAATTTTAACTTTAAAATACTTTATAACTTTTTTGTACTTTCTGATTTGTATGAACACATTCAAATATTTACAAGTTTTTAAATCTTCATGGTTTTTCTGCTTGAAATACCGTCTGTAGAATTTCCTTTAGTGGCAATCTGCTGGGAATTATCTCTATTGTTATGTTTTGTGGAAAATGCTTTTATGATTCCCTTTCTTCATCAGCACATTTGCTAAGTCTAGAATTTTAACTTAGCAGTCATTTTTACTGAAATGGATTCAGTGTACCATCTTTCTGTCTTCTGATTTCTCTTGCTCCTTGTAAGAAATCAGCTACAATTTTACATATAAACTCATTTTTTTCTTTCCTCTTAAATTATCTGCTGTCTATTTGTATCTCTGTAATATGTTATAGATAATTTCTTCATTTCTATATTCCAGGTTATCTCTTTACTGATATCCAATTACTGTTAAAATGTTCAAGGAAGTGTTTAATTTAATGTATTGAACTTTAATATTTGTAATAGTATAGCTTGTGTTCTTATATGCTTTTTTTCATTTTTTACTAAATTTCTCACTTTCTTTGGAACTTTATTCATGATAATTTGTTAACTCTTGAGAAGATGGGACCCTCTTAAGTGAATTTACATTTGCTTTTATGAATTTCTTGGGTCTGCTAGTAGTCTGGGACCCACCTTCAACTGGGCTTGGGGATCTACAGATTACTTAGGTAGAGAGAATTTAGGCTATGAATCCACATGAACACTCTATTGACTTCCTTATTTCCTCCTTCCTTCCTCTCTCCCTCCCTTCTTTCCTTTCCTTACTTCTTTCCTACCTTCCTTCTTTCCTTGCTTTTTTTTTTTTCCTTAGGCACCAAAGTTTCAACCAGGAAAAATGTATTGTCTTTCTCTTTCTAGTGTATACTAGAAAATCTTACACATTAAGGCTACTAAGTATGTAGTCCTTTGTGGGCCTATTAGAATTCCCCATTGAGGCATGAGCTAGACCTTATTTTATTTTCTGTGCCCCAAGTCTTGCAAGGCCATAAAACTTATGCTAATATTGACTCAATTTAGTGAATACTATGATGTTTAAAGCTCATTTTTGGCTCCACATATTACCTGTCATTTGCTTCTTTTTTAGTGTGATTATTTTTCACTTTTATTTTTCAATTTTTAATATTTATTTTTACTAAAAATATAATATGCTATATTTCAATTTGTTTTCAATGAGGAAGCTGATCTAAGTAACAAGTCACCTATACGGTTGGCAATGGTGCACCTGAACTACTCTACAATAAATATGTTAATATTTTGCTTATACATTTGTACTTTTTTTATTTTTTGTGCAAATAAAATTGATTTAATATGGCTAATTCTTCCCATTTGTTACATTGTTATGTGGATTCTGGAATCAGAATCCCTGAGTTAAAATCTTGGCCCTGCCATTAACTGTATCACTTTAGATAATGTACTTTATTTTTCTAAGCTGCAATTTCTTCATCTATAAAGTGGAGTTGACAGTAATATCTGCCTTGTAGGGTTGGTATGCAGATGAAAAGCATTTAATATATTATTTAAAAGATGAAATTCGTGCCACAGAGGAAGTTATCTTTGTTAACTATTTCTTTAATTGCTTCTAAGTTTAGGTAATTCTTTCTCCTCTAGAGGGTTAATAAATACTCAACTATTTAATGCTGCCTGTTCAGAGGAGTTTACTCTTTGATGAATAAATATTTAATTAATTCATATTTCTATACATTTGAACACATAGAATAACATCTGAGTTTTAGTTAATTAATTAATTTATTTTTTTTTTGAGATGGAGTCTCGCTCCTGTTGCCCAGGCTGGAGTGCAATGGCGCGATCTTGGCTCACCGCAACCTCCGCCTCCTGGGTTCAAGCGATTCTCCTCCCAAGTAGCTGGGATTACAGGCATGTGCCACCACGCCCGGCTACTTTTGTATTTTTTGTAAAGGCGTGGTTTCTCCATGTTGATCAGGCTGGTCTCGAACTCCCGACCTCAGGTGATCTGCCTGCCTCGGCCTCCCAAAGTGCTGGGATTACAGGTGTGAGCCACCACACTCAGCCCTAATTTATTTCTTTATTAAACAGTCAATGAGTTATTTTGATAGTATTTAACAAATATTTGTCCATTCCATGAGTTTCTTTCATTGATCTTACCACTGAATTATATTTTAAAAGTCCCCTTCGGTGGTTTAAAGTTTGACGCCAGATACCAGTCATTTTTTTGACTTAAATTTCAAGTGTGACTTTGAAGACAACCAACGAACTAGAATTCAAAACAGTGTTAGAATTTTAATGCTGAGATGAAAGTTGACCTTAAATTCGTTGACCTGTGGATTGATCACTAGGGCAAAATGGAAGTGAGGAGTCTTCAATTCTTAATCTTATTTCACTTGACTGTCCATTTTCTGAGATTGGTAATGTGTTAAGCACAATTATTTGAAAAGTCATAGTGTAAGATGTAACGCCGTAGGTTCATGCAGCGTTCATTTTGAGTCATAATGAGTACAATTTTTAATCTTGTGTACTTGTTTCAGTTCTGAAGGAAGAATAGTCTCTTTCTAGCACATGGTCGATATCCTAGATTAGTAGTAATTATTAACTCCAAATCTGGATAACACTTCTAAGTTAACTGTTTTTTCCCCCCAGTTCTGATATTTTTTCTGTTAACTTCCAAGTATGACAAGAAGTTATATAGTTAGTTATGAGGGCATTCCTTTATTCCTGAAAAGAGAGTTGAGGACTTGTTTTATTTCCACAATTGTTCCTAAGATTTTTGTCATGCCATTTTTGAAAGGCTTATAAAGACATACTTCATTTCTTTATTTTGAATATATATTTTCCATTAACTCTATCTTAAATAAATAATATTCATTTTATGTTACTTTTTTATACAAGGCTAACTTGTATAAGGAGAAAAAATAATTCCCCAGAAAAATGATCATAGCTTCATGATAATAAAAATAAATGCTAGCTAGGTTTTAGATATGGCAATGGTGAAAAAATGTAATTGTGTAATTAAATTACTGCAATAAACCACATGTGAGAATGAAAGGTGACATGACAGCAACATGTTACATTATGTTGTAGATGTTTGCATTGCACTTCCAATGTAAAAATCATCAAGTAAAAACAAACCATAAAAATATCCAATTTGTAGACTCTTTGTTCTCTTCTTATAATTTCTAGGGCATTTAATTAGCCTTGGGATAGTTTAATAGGCAAATATGAATATAAGGCCCCTTTACATTTCTTTTTTTTCTTTTAAAGGCAAGGTCCAGCTCTGTCACCCACACTGGACTTCGGTGGTACAATCCTAGCTCACTGCGGCCTCGAACTTCTGGGCTCAAGTGATCCTCCAGGTAAATAAAGAACTTGGCATATAAAACAGGTTTATTGAAAGAGGAAAAGGTGAACTAATAAAAAAGAAGCATAAAGGTAAGTATTTACAGAAACTCTGTTTACATTTAGGAGTCATAATTCTTTTTATAATTAAAACAATTTACAATCACAAAACTGAGATTAGAAGTGCTTACATATTTCACGTGTAATAAGTGTTTATTATTTATGAAGAAAAGTCTTGATATGTGTAACATTACATTCACTCATTAGAAATTGACTATGTGTTTAAGTTTCCAAATAATACATTTTCTTTTCACAAAGTCATTTTCCTAAATGAAAATCTGAGTGCTAGCCTAGAATACAAGAGTGCATAGTTTAAAAATAAAGATAAATCATTATTGTTTAAAAATCAATTTGAAATTTCTGGGGGAAATTGAATCATTGCTGCAATTCATATCTATCAAAAATTGCTGGTTTCTCCAGAAGGAAAAACAAAACTGACAGATTTGAAGGCGATCTCTGTATAGGAATACTCAATTACATTCTTCTGCTCACTGCGGTTAATCATATTTTAAATTGTCATTTAAAATCTTGTAATTCTGATAACCTTATGATATTTAGGCACATATAGGTTAAACATTAACATACAAGAAATATAATATTCACTGTTCTTATAAAGTACACAAATTTTATTCTTGAAAATTGTATTTGAAATTAGTAAATTTATGTTATATATTCAGTTCTTATGCTAGTTAATTTCTGTCAAAAGTTCAGGAGTTTTTGATACAATGAAAAGTTAGTATTTTAAAAATATATGTATGCTAGATATCACAGGCTATAATATTAAGAACTGTAGTTGAATATGAATTTAGAATTTTCGTTACAACACATCACCCAGTACATTCCAGTTTTGGTCAAAGCGCATTGAAAATCTGTGACCACATTTTTTTTAAATATAGAAGATTTTGAAAGCACTTAAAGGAAAGCTAAACAAAGGGTATGTGGCTAGTGGATGTGATTTTTAAAGCGTTGTTAGAAGAACATATCATTGATTTAGACTTTGCTTGGTGTCTGGGCCATTAAGAATCATGGATTACATTCCATGGGACCTGTGTAAACTAACAGCATCTTATGGAAATGCTTTTATTCCTGTCAATATCGCATGTTAAAACTAAAATATTATTACAGGGATACTCAATCTAAAAAATGCTTAGAAAACAAAACAAGTTTGGTTATCACCTCACAATCGACAGAGTCTACCTGTTATATTCATAGTGAGGGACAGAGTGAAGAGTCATAGGTTTCCACAACTTAAAAAATCTATTTCAAACTAGGCATTATTTACAGTCAAAGACTTAGAGACTGGTACCTGACTCTGAGATGACTGCCCTTAACATAAAAAAATAGAGTTCTCTTATCCTCTGGGAATAATACATAAATCCTACCACATACAGGAGGATAACACTAAGGTTTACGTTTCTTATTATGATATTGATTCAAAGTTGATAAGCAAGAATCTTTTTGAAGAGCCTGTTAGGATAGCTTTGTTCATATGGTTTCAAACAATCCCGGTGGGAATTGTCCCTGTCAAGATACAGGGCTCTGGAAGCCAAGTCAATTACTTTATTGGAAACTCAATATAGTATGCTATCTAATGCTGTTAGGGAGAAACACTACCTGTGGTTTTCCAGTTTTTGTGATGGTGAAAGATGAGCAAAAGAGGAGAGAGATAAGTCAGAATATAGCTGCAGCCATATTTCTAAATATATCCCTGCCAAGCACAGAGCAGCAGGCAAGGCCCATGCCAAGGCCTGTCAGACAGATTTAGCCAGTAAAATACGGCAAGCCCCTTTTAGATTCAAACATTTTATTACTTGGCCAGAAAAAGGAAGAACAGCAAAAGGAGACAATGCACTGAGCTCTTTGTCCCCCACACTCAAAAGTGTAAAACTCAGACAAAAAGGGCTAGTTGACAATGCAGTGAAAGGGACACTGTGTTCTTGAGGACTCAATGCCAGAAGGTTGTTACATATGTTTATAGACTGCAGCTTTAACCTAAGGGGCACGGAGCAGAAAGCCTCTTCCCTTATCAGAACCTGGGAAATAATGAGAAACGGAGGCATGACTGCCTCCCATGTGATATAAGAAGGTGAGTAAATATGACCTCATGGCATTTTCTCATATCCTTTTATGAGAAGGCTTTTGTCTTCCAGAAAGCCCGTAAGTTGTTCCACCAAGGCTCAGATTAGCTGTGGTTCAAACTTTTGCCTACATGGCCTATATGGACACAGGCAAAGTCACCAGAATGCCATGATGCAATTGTCCCCCTATAATACCGATGAAGTCTAAATTTCCAATTGTATACTATGTGTCTTGAGCGTGATTTTCTTTCTCCTTTTTTTGTGATGTTTCGTTTATTCCTCACTCATCAACACACATGCATGCACATGCATTCACACACACAGATATATGAGAACAAAAAATAATAAAATTGCTTGTAAAATACTTACTAAAATTACCATGGTGCCAGTAACAATTTTTCCCAGGTAGATGAATATATGTAACTTTACAACCCTCAAGCTTGTGAATCGGGGCAATTATAATTACATTAATATAAAGAAATTTGAAGGTCAAATCTTGCTGTCATAATTTTCTACCTTATATACTATCTTTGGTTAGATTACAAAAAAAAATGGCCACAATTTTCTCCTGTCTCTATTCATTCTCATTGCAAAGGGACTTTAAGAGGTAAAATCTATGTCTTAAACCTTTTAAATGGGGTTAGTCTGATGATATAATTTTGCTAATAGAAGACACAGAAGAGATAGGGTGCCAGTTCTAGGCCAGGTTGTCAAGAGGCCTTGCATGCTTTTCTCTCTATTCCTTAGAACCTTAATACCAACATGTGTGGCCAGAGGCCATTATTACTAAATATATGTGTATGGCATCACCCAACAGATAACCAACCTGCAGTTGCGTGAATGAGGCCTATGAGATCAAAAGAACTGCCCAGTAATCCTAGCTCCAAATAGTGAGCATGCACGTTGGCTTCTTTAAGCCAATAAGTTTTGGCCTGGTTGGTTATGTTGCAAAAAAATAACTAACACAAGTATGTATTCACTGGTAGTAGGAAAAGTACTCTATGAAGGGATACCTTTTGGATATTGAAAGAGTTAAACGATGTTTGTACCTAATTATGAGAGATTTCCCAAATTTTCATGTGTGCTCAATTAAAGGTAGTTTTGTAATTTCTAAAATTTGTCATTCCAAATGAAAACCAAGTCTTAAAAATTTCTTCTTTTTTTGAATGTAGACATTTAATGTCTTCATTATTATTCTTTTAATTGCATGAGTGTTACTCCACTACTGCAGCAATTATCGAAAGGAAAACCAGTACAGTGGTAATTTTAATAAGGCTCATACAAGGTATTTGACTATGCTTGATGACTTTAACCCTTTCAAACTGCCAGTTAAGTAATCAATTATTTTTAAAAAGTCTACTCAGTCCTTTTTTATTATACAATGAAAGTCAGTGACCTGGCCAACCGTGGAGGCTCATGCCTGTAATCTCAGCACTTTGGGACGCCGAGGCGGGCAGATCACCTGAGGTCAGTAGTTCGAGACCAGCCCGGCTAACATGGTGAAACCCTGTTTCTACTAAAAGTACAAAAAATTAGCTGGGCGTCGTGGTGCGTGCCTGTAATCCCAGCTATTCAGGAGGTTGAGGCAGGAGAATCGCTTGAACCCAGGAGAGAGGTTGCAGTGAGCTGAAATCGTGCCATTGCACTCCAGCTTGGGCAACAAATGTGAAACTCCATCTCAGAAAAAAAGGGGAAAAAAAGAAGAAAGTCAATGACCTGTAAGAAGTAATTTAATGAACTGAGAAATGGATTTTAGGTGATGGTATAATAGCTTTTAAGCTTACCTTTTCATTTTAATAATAGGGTTACACTGGATCTTGAATCAGATAACTTTGTTGAATTTTGAATTTTATTGTTTAATAAACAATTATGATTTAATTGTTTAAGATTTTATTGTTGAAGATTTAATTTTACTTAAAATATTAAGTAAAACTACATATTTTTCAAAAATTTAATTTAAAATATTTTTATTGATATGTAATGATTTTGAAATTTATTCATTATATGTAATTAGCAATATTAGAATCCTTAAACAATCAACACTTTCACTTTAGCATATGTATCTCATAACAATAAAAAAGCATACATTTGAATGTTTTCAAAATGTACAATATCTTTGGTATCACACTGACTTACGTCACTAATATGAAGATAAAATAGAAAGTGTCTAAATGTTCTAGAATTTCTGATTTAATTTGTACTACTTAATTGTGTAAAATTAGAAATACTTTCCAGGTTTGTTTTAAAATATTTACTAAGTCTTTCAACTATAAAACCATGTCTTGCTCTCTAGCAATGGAGGGGATAATTAAGTGGTTCTTTTTAGGCAAAAATAAATATGAAAAATAAAACATTCTAACTGAAATTAAATACCCTACTTCCCTGTCTTCTCTCTAGCTCATTCTGACTGAAGAAATTAAATCAATTCATCAGGCAAGGCAGATAGATAAGCAGAATTCTTAATCAACAAGACACTTTACTGAATTTTTAAAGATCTTGTCTCTTTCTAGCACATTTAGATTTTATGCTTTGAACTGTTATTAATTAGAGAATATGGTGCTGATTATTAGCGATTTCAGTTATCTCAGAAATGAATGACTTTCTTTCAATTAGTATTCTAACTTAGTAAGACATTTAGTTGAGGCCTTGATTATGAATTCAATCATTTAAAACTATAAATCTTGATGCATCACAAAACTTTCAAAACATGAGATGAGTATAAGGTTTTACCATACATGCAAACTGACAAATTATCCTGCCACAATTTCCTAGATTCTGACAGAAGATACAGATGGAACTCATTGGTCAGAGATCACTCACATCATAGCAAGCAGCATGAGCTTCAAGTTTATGTTGCTTTCTCTTACCCTCCAAGTCCCTGAGGAGTGATATGAAGTGGCTCAGATACATGTTGTATACACAGTAGGTTTATGTCACAAATGAAGAAGCCCAAGCTTAAGGAACTGATTTTTAATAATAGGTGCAAGCAAAATGCTTCAAAAGGTATAATTTTTTGAAAGAATACTGGAGAATGAACAAATATGCCTTCTGCTTCAGGAGAAGATACTACCTGTACCTTTCAAAGTACTTCACTATGTAAGCAATAACAGTTTAGAATAGAAACTATCAGTGCTTCTGCTTACAAAACATACAATACAAAACTGTATAGAAAATTGTCTCCCAACAAAACTGTGGTATCTGAATAGAAAAAATAATAGGTCAATACTGTTGATAAAACAATGATATTTAATTTAAGCTATAGTATAAATTTGAAAGTATATATTAATAAGTTGAGTCAAAGAATTTAGATATTTAATTGGCCTTGGTTTGGTTCTAGATATTCATGTTTAATTAACTTAAGCTCTAGTAGTAACAGCCAATATATTATATCAATGTTTTATTTAGTATTGATAGCAACAGGAGGCAGGCAAATTCCTAGGCAGACAGGGATAGGTCACCAGTCAAACTTGACCTTCAAGCCAAGAACAGTCTAAAGCATGAAAACTAAGCTACCAGTTCCAGATAAAATCCTTGGACCAGAGTGAGAACTCCCATTCCCATTTGGCGTGCTTTCTCCCAATTGCTCAAAAGTCAGAAGTCAAAAATTAAGGTTTTGGAACCTCTGCCTAGATTTCAGAGGATGTATGGAAATGTCTGGCTGTCTAGGCCCAAGTTTGCTCCAGGGGTGGAGCGCTAATGGAGAACCTCTGCTAGCACAGTGAGGAAGAGAAATGTGGGATTGAAACCCCAACACAAAGTCCCCAATGGAGCACTGCCTAGTGGAGCTATGAGAAGAGGGTCACCATCCTCCAGATCCCAGAATGGTAGATCCACTGACAGCTTGTACCATGCACCTGGAAAAGCCACAGACACTCAATTCCAGCTTGTGAAAACAGCCGGGAGTGGGGCTGTACAGTGCAAAGCCACAGAGTCAGAGCAGCCCAAGGCCATGGGAGCCCACCTCTTGCATCAGGATGACTTGGATGTGAGACATGGAGTCAAAGGAGATTGTTTTTGAGCTTTAAGATTTAATGACTTCCCTATTGAATTTTGGACTTGCATGGGGCCTGTAGCCCCTTTATTTTGGCCAATTTCTCCTATTTGGAGTGAAAGCATTTATCCAACGCCTGTACCTCCATTGTGTCCTGGAAGTACCTAACTTGCTTTTGATTTTACAGGCTCCTAGGCAGAAGGCACTTGCCTTGTCTTAGATGAGACTTTGGTCTTGGACTTTTGAGTTAATGACGAAATGAGTTAAGACTTTGGGAGACTGTTGGGAAGGCATGATCAGTTTTGAAATGTGAGGACATGAGATTTGGGAGGGGCCAGGGGTAGAATGATATGGTGAGGCTTTGCATCCCCACCCAAATCTCATCTTGAATTGTAATCCCCAAGTGTTTAGGGGGAGACCTGGTAAGCAGTGATTGAATTAAGTGGGCAGTTTCCTCCATTTTGTTTTCATGATAGTGTGTGAGTTCTCATGAGATCTGATAGTTTTATAAGGCAGTTTTCCCTGCTGTTGCTTGCTCTCACTCACCTGCCACCATGTAAGACATGCCTCTTCCCTATCCGCCATGATTGTAAGTTTCCTGAGGCTTCCCCAGACATATGGAATTGTGAGTCAATTAAACCTCTTTTTTTAATAAATAAATTACCCAGTCTCAGGTATGTCTTTATAGCAGTTTGAAAATGGAGTAATACAGTCCCACAGGAAGAGACATCAAGAACTTTAAGTGTTCTCAGATTTTACTTCACATACAAGCTTGCCTGTCCTCTGTTTTGCAGAGAGACAGTATCTCTATCTTCTAAGCCTCCAACATATAAACATTCTTGAGACACTTTCAAAACGACAGTTAGTTCCTCACTTGAAAGACATGTAGAAATATGAGATAAGGGTTGGTTATAAATATAAAACAGAGAAAAAACGAAAACATTAAAGACACTTGGCATAAGTGGAAAGAGGTTCCCAGAGCAGAAGCTATCTTTTCACAGTAACTTGAAGGCTTATACAGACTTTTTTAATCACCTTATGAAAAGGCAGAAAATGGTGAGTGTATAGAAAAGCAGTGTTTATATGTAGGATTTTAAAAAAAAATTTTCATAGGTTTTTGTTGCTTTTTAAAATATTACCTAAAGCATAAAGCCCTATATAGGTAATGTGATTGTTTATTTTGTTTTCTACTTTATCTGTATAACTTATGACATAAGCAGGCAATAAACAAACATAATCTGAATAAATGAATGAGGGCCATCTTTAAACCTTTCATTGTATGTCTATGAAACAATAATTTATTTATGTGCTATAAGCCATTAAATTGGTGGAGAATGACATTCATTTCTCTGGCAGGAGAATATTCTGACTAACCTATTTTCTTCCCATTTCCTCTGAGTTTTATAATTATATAGAAATATCTGATAAAATCTGAGGTTTAGTGAGGCCTTGATATATAATATATAAATGTAATATTTTATAATTCCTCTGTTAAAATAGTCTTCTTATATCTTATTTAATTAGAGGTTACAAGACAGAGAGGTAGGTAGTTGCCTGCATATTAAAGTAAAAGTTAAAAATTTTTGAGTACTGTAAAGGAACATATCAATTAAAGAGCAGTCTTCAAATTATTAACCTGAAATACTAATGATAGAGTATATGTGAAACAAAGGTGATATCCAAGTTATGTAAATAACCTCCCTAAGATAAATAGGCCATATTACCTAAGGCATAAAGCCCTATATAAGTAATGTGATCGTTTATTTTATTTTCTACTTTATCTGTATAACTTATGACATAAGTAGGCAATAAAGAAACATAATCTGAATAAATGAATATATCTTTGATGCTTTACCTGAAATTCTGCATTTATTGGTTTATCCTTCAAAGAGTCCTTCCAGTGCTCCATGGATGCCCAAGGTATTCTGTGCCACTGCATTCTTTACTAGCTTCTTTCACTAAAATCTTTTAGTCTCCTTTGTTGCTCAGAGAGAAATTTTATTGCTATTCACATGTTCCCTGTGTTAGCACAAAATACAGACTTCACCGGGGCTTTTTTAATCTGCCACCTTCTTAGAGTCTCTGTTTTCTTTCCTTAGGGCTAAAACAGAGTTGGCCAAATTGAACCACCTCTTGGATTTTTCAGGGCCAAAGAAGATACATGTAGTCTGAAATCAACCTTAGTCCAACATGAACACATTAGTTGCCCAGAAGCAAGCTATTCACATTTGAGAACTTCCAAATTGGTGAATATAAATGCAACACGCTACATGATTGCAAGAGTGTTCATTGTTCTTTTTTACTATATTAAAGCTCTAATCAGAGCTTTGAAGTACAATTAAAACATAAAACAAGGAACACTAATGCAATGGAACTCATTTGAAAGGCATGCATTTCAGTTCAGAAGAATGAGTAGGGATTAGTCATGACGAATGGCAAAAAAAGGACACCAGGCAGAGGTAACATAAATCTTCCGCAGGCAATTTGTGGTGAAGAAGATTCAAAGCTTAATAAACAGATAAAAGGTCAGGATTAATTGGGTGGAATGGGCAAGAGGGGAAAAGGAGAAAGATGCAGATAAAAAGGAGCCAACATGAACTTAAGTTCAATGTCTTCTATTATTTCTCTTACAATTAATTTTCTCTTTCTGTTTTCTTGGTAAATTTCTTTTCCCCTGCAACTCCCAGAATAAAACATATATTCTCAACTATTTCTCTATACTTATTTATTTACTTATTTGTTTGTTTGTTGTTATTCTTTTGTTTGAATGCATGTATATATGTGTCTATATGTGTTAGAAACTAAGGCTGGGAAAAATGTTTATCACATTTGGATATCATGTGTGAGATTCACAATGTTGTCTAATTCTTACAGAGGGCTTAGGATGCCCAGATATGCTTTTTCTCATTCACCTAACATATATTTATTTTTAAAGTAAAAGTTTAAATGAAACATTAGATTTCTTATATGCCTTTTAAAAATGTGATGTCTACATAGGTATACTTAGAGAAATATACACAGATTATCAAAAACATACATTCTGAAGTATTTTCTGAATGTGAATACACTTGTGAAATGAACATCCTAATAAAAAATAGAATTAATGTCATATGGATCCAAAATTTGCTTCTTAAAAATAATTAATGAACTGAAAGATTGCACTTACATTTTTAGAAAGTTAGGATGGAAAAGGCTTTTCAAACTGTGTCTCAAAATTCAGAAACCATAAAGAAATTTGATAAATGTTACTACATAGACTATTAAACATAAATAGACATGATTAAAATATGGCATAATCAAAGTCAAATAAAAAATGGGAATATATATTTGTAGCCAATATCATAAATTAAAAATGAATTTCCTGAATTATACATACATACACCAATAAACCAATAGAAAAAATGGCAAATAAGTAGACAATTCAGAGAAAATAAAATGCAAATGACCCTTGACATGTAAAAATATCATCTATGAGAGAATTTAAAATTAAGACCACACTGAGCAACAAATTTCTTAATAATTTGGTGAAAATAGAAAAGTTTGATCACATTGTTCTACTTGCCAAAGCTTTATATTATATATTGCTGGCAGTATGCTTTGGTACATCCCCAGTGAAAAGCAGTATGTTTACAGACATACACTCTTACCAAGAGTGCTACAATTCTACTCCTGGGAATTATCCTATTGATGTATTATAGTCACACACATAAAAATAACACAGAGGAATACTTACTGCAAAACTTTATGACAACTAAAGATAGGAAACAAGCTAGTGTCTATTAAACTAGAGAAGATCTGGAAAGCTGTAAAAGGCACTATGTGGTTGGTGAGACATTGTTCAGGGGTTAGTGAGACATTGTTCAGGGGTTGGTGGGGGTCTCACTGCAGAAGCAAAGAGATTGGACACAGCCTTTTCTTTTGCTACTATGTTGAAAATAGATGTGTGGAGAAAAATAACATATAATATTTCTGTTCTGCACCCTCTTGTAGTCAGAAATACTATCTAGAGTTTTACCATCAATTTTATTTCTTATACTGTATTTTAATTTTGCCTTTTTACTTTGTAAGTAGTAATTATATGGTGTGTAATCTATGTGTGTGGCTTCTTTTATTTTTTAAATTTTATGATACATAGTAGATATATATATTTATGGAGTACATGAGATGTTTTGATACAAGCATGCAATGTGAAATGAGAACATCATACAGAGAATGGGATGTTCATCTCCTCAAGAATTTATCCTAGGTGGCTCCTTTTAAATAATGATATGTTTGTGAGATTAATCTATAGGTTGTTGTGTTTTATTGTTTATTCCTTTGTATATATACACACCTACTATATTGAGTGAATATGGTATAATGTATTCATTATAATTTTGGCTACCGTCTAGATATGTTTGATAGAAATATCTGGATAGTTTCCAGTTTGGGGCTGTTGAGAATATATACTGCTCAAAGATACACAATGCTGGTATGATCATTCTAGTAAATAAATTTTTGTGAAAATATGCATGCATATCTGTTGCTTATACACCCACGAGTGGAATTTCTTGTTCTTTCCATGTCTATCTGAGCCCAAAGAATGTATTACTTTTTCAAAAATTAAAATTTGAAGTAAACAAATAGAAATAAACAAAAACATAAAAAATTAATAGCAAGACCATATCAGCTTATGATTTCTAAGAGTTCTACTTGCTCTGGACTTCATCTTTCAAAAGTCATAGAAAAAATACTTACTTTTAGAATTAATAACTATACAATTTGTCTTCTTGATGTCCATCATAATTTTCCTAGTGATTCAACATGTTAATTTTCTTTGTAAAGATCACTGAAGAAAATTTGCCATGTGATTCACATCCCTAGCTAATATTTATCTGCTGTGTGATGACATGAGAATAAATACAAATTATTTTGATAAATGAACTTACATTCATGCAAATAACTTGAAGTCCTTAGTGCTGAACTTATTCTTTTACTTGAGGCTTTTTCCTATGTGTTTATTTATGTATCTTCAACTGGTTATATGAATTGATTTTTTTTCCTGCCCTCTGCTTTTTTTAAAAAATATTCCAAGTGGCCATGAGAGTCATTTCTTGGGAAACATTGTATATAGTATATGGTTGGTGGTTCAGGCAGAAGCAACAGTCCATAAAGTGTCATGAACACATAGTTTAAGGAAGGATCATCGTTACTGCTTTTCTGAACCCGATGACAGCCTCCAAATCATCCAAAGCTCTTCTCTTAAAATTGCCCCTGGAATATGGGCTTCTCAGATTCAATTGCTTAGAAATATATGAATATCTGTCTTCTCTCAGTTTTACATTGAATTTCTCATCATTTGTTATGGAAACTTTTATATAAAAAAGAAGCAAACAGGTCTACTCCTTTAAATATCATGTATTTGAGGGATGTAGAAGTGCCAGATGATTATTGTAACTATATATTTGAATTCCTGCATATTACTTGAAGACTTTTAATAAGAAATTGATCCCAACTCTATAATACCATTTTAGAAATATGCTATGGCTTTATGAGTAGTTTTGTTGTACGTATTAAATAAAATTTAAACCTTTAACTTGTATTTATCCAGTTATCTATTTGCGTTTGAATGAGCCACATGGTAAAGAAAAAAAGAAAAAAGATATATAATTACAAATGCCAAAAAATATAGTGGTTCAATATGTTTCTACTTTATATAAAAGTAAGCAATTGTAGAATTGTTTAAAATATATTTATTGTATTTTAGTGTAACTATTGTATTCATTTTTTGTTAGTATTTTCCTAGGCCAAAGCTAGGTCTGCCTTTTTCTCCTCTTTGGTAATGTCCACATCTAAATGCACCACACCATAGCCAGTGATCACAAGCAATTCAAAGGTGTATTAGTCAAGTATCTGCCAAGCAATGGAGCTCCTGCAAGAGGAGCTCCACCAGGGAGTATTGACTTCTAGACTCTCTAATGTCCTGGAGGATGGTGGAGAGCCAGTGAAAAAGGAAGGAGGAAGAGACGAAGGAGGGGAAGAGAGATGGGGCTTCATAGCAGAAGTGACTAGGTCTGAGGAGTCTGAAGGTGTCCACCCTGACAAGTGTTAATGGTTTAATCAGATTTTATCTTGTCTGTTAGTGACTTTTCACCTTCAACTTTATTTCTGCATATATACAGCATATATACACACACACATACAATATTGCATTTCCTGCTTCTCCCTTCATTTTCATTTGCTCACTTGAAAGACCAAAGGTGAAATGTAGTATATTTGTATGCTAATTTGTTTCTTCTTTTAACTAGAGAAAAATTTGAAATGTTTATATTTTGCATACAGTATGAGTCATCAACAAAGTATTAAAGTATTTAGATGTATTGTCACTCTTAGGCCTTATAATTAGTATCAATCTATTTTATATTTTATTTTGTGTTATCAGTTGTGATCTCTTTTGATAATTAAATGACTAGAAAATAAAAAGTACATAATTTCAGAATGTAGAATTTCCTTGAATATCAAAACATCGGTATATTTATTCATATTGTCACCTTAAGACAGATATTTTTACTTGGAAAATAGCATATGAGGATGAGCATCATGTGGGAGCATTGCTCATAAATTATAAACTCTGGTAGCTGTTTATTAAATTTCAATGAAAAATATCATAAATATTGTTTGTCCTTGTTAATTGGGATGTATGTTTGGCACTGAAATGTTGAAATTAAATGTCTTATTTTCAGTGTTTATCTTACCTGATGAGTTTTGTGCTCGTTGTGATTATTGACCAATCTCTCTATTCAGACTCTCCTATCTATTGACTTCTTCTCTTCCAGGCTCTCAGAACCCTTTCAATATGGATTATCCTTCTTCATCCATTGAATACTGGTATTCACTAATGTTCTATTTTTTAATTGAGGACAGAACTAGGTTTGAGCATCAGTCTGTCTTCCACTGTACATTTTACATATCTGGTGTGTAATAGAGGCTATGCATATTTTATTTTTTAAAAGGACAACATTTCAGATCCATTCATAAGAGCACATTAAGGGATAAATGTTTTCTATTCCCAGAGAAAAGAGAATAATTAGGCCAGTCATTGCAATAATCTCTTGTGGTTTTTTGTGTGTGTATGTGTGTGTGTAGGGGGAACATACATGTACGTGTCCAATCTTGCTTTGCGCTACGGCTACTTTTATGACCTGTATATTGAAATAAATCATTTTCCTGATTTAAACCTTCAGTGATACCCTGTCACATTTTAAATTATTTTCTCCATCATAATTTGGTCTATGTCAACTATTATTTCTTCATCTCTCATAACTCCCTAAACACCAAACTGCCTATGGTTACTTAAACATGCAATGCCCCCATAATCCTAATAATAAATAATAAATTAGATATGTATTATTTATTTAGACATTTATTATAGGCACAATAATAAGTTAAACATTTATTAGACAATTATTTTAATTCAGGTTCTGCACAACCAGACCCAGATACAAGTTGTGAGTGCAAGCGGCTTATTTGGGAGTTGATATCAGAAAATATAGAAATGGAAAAATGATACAGGGAAAAGAATGAAGCAAAAAAAGAATATCCAACAAATTACCATTGTGGACAACTGAAGCTCAATCCCACATAATGGCCAGTCTAGCTAAGAAAAGAAAGCAGCATATTTTTACATTAACTCCTGTCATCTCTAGGGTTTATTAATTCTCTGGAATTCTAGTAAATTGCTAATTTATCAGAAGTTAGAGAAAGACTTTAGTCAAAAAGATTCAGGTACTGGCCTCTTTGAAGTGTTAAGATTTGAGTAGATAGAGGTAAAGTGTTGAAAATATCTGCTCGAATAATCTTATTTCACATTGTACAGCAGTTTAATTACTTATTTGCATATGTGTCTAACCTAGTAGACTGAAATTCCCAGAAGACACAAAGTATGTTTTTTATTTATCTCTGTTACATTCTAACTCAAGAAATGCCGACTGAATTAACTGAAATATGATGAAATGAAAGCAATATGCCCTTGTGGTCCCTATTAATTTCTTAGCACCATAAAAGAGCACATCAGCCATATGTGTGTTCATGTTTATGTGTGTGTGTGTATGTGTGTGTCTGTGTGAGGGAGAGAGAGAAAGAGAATGCATTTTTTCAGAATCAGCATATAAAATAAGATCTGTAATAGAAGACACATTTATTTTTTTTAAAATAGTAGGGAAAGAAGACTGATGGTAAATTTGTCAGTCTAGTCTTACTTAACCTGTGATAAAACTAGGGATTGTGCTTTCCAATTTTCAGTGCTGCACTGGACAGACAGTGAGTCATCAGGTATGGACTGAACTGTCTGGCTACAAGTTCAATAAACATCTTAGTTCAATTACTTAAACTGGTAATGAACACTGTGTGCAGTAAACAGCATAAAATCACTAGCTGAGGGGAACCTATGACACAGAAGACGTTTTCCTGAAGGTTTTGTTAATGAAAAAGCATAAGTTTAGGAAAGAGGGAAGAGAATAGCAAAGAAAGGAAACTGATGAAAATAAAGTATGCTAATTTTCCTTTTAAAACTGGACGCTTAACTTTCTGATAACTTTCAATCCAGCCCAAATAAAGTTAGAACTTCAAAAATCACAAAAATATACCGATTCACAAATTACTTCTGCTTTATTTATATAATTACTATGGAAAAAACAGGTGTAGAATACAGTTAATAACTTAAGGAGTTTTGTTAGAGTATATTGCATTAAAAAGGAGGCATACTTTCTTATTACTTCTGAAATCAATTTTGTTATCTTTTCCCCTCTGATATGCATTAATATTCCCTCAAATTGCATTTCTCTCCAACACTAGAGACTAAGAAATACAAGAGAGGTAGAAAGAAACATACATTAAATAGCTTTAGGCTAAAGAAAATTAAAATCTTAATGCAACATTAAATATCAACAGAATTTTGTGATTTTGCCATATGAATGAACTGAATTACACAAATGTAAGCAAAGTGATGGCAGGCATCTAAGAAACTTAAGAATTTATTCAGATCTAAAAAACGTTTACGAAAAAAAAAAGGAGAATTCTTAATTATATAATTGTAACTGATTGCATATTCGGTTTACTTTTATGTCCAGTGATTTTTAATTTGATTTGGTTCAAGGATCAAAGATTTTGTATCACCACAGAAGCAACTCTTTTGAAAAAGAAAACAGTAATAATTTAACATTTTTAGTAAAAAAGGTAGCATGTAGCTGTATGAATTATTTGTATTAACTCATGAATCTTTTAGTTTTGCAAAAGACTCACTGAAAGAATTTTTATTTGTCTTTGGAAGTTCTATGATCTAATAAATATCATGCCTTTCCTCACAACTGTATCCATCTGCAAAGCAGTGGAGTTAGCAGGTAAAGATTGAAAAGTATGCCTTATTATTGATAAAGTAGGAATAAGGATATAACTTAAGTGGATTAGTAAAAGTACTTGCTAAAACCTCAGCCCTAAGGTTTTAGACAGATTTACATACCCAGTCCATTTCACAATTGCACAACCATGGGCCTTGGCAATCTGAGAGCTCCCTGCATGGAAGAGTAAAAAATAATTGTGTCCTGCTTCCAAGCTGGCCCCAAAGTCAGCCATATATCTAAGCTGAACAAGAATATTACCTTCACTCAATTTGCCAATCAGGACATCGTGAGGTCATAAATGTTATATTCACTCTATGTTTCAAAAAGACAGAAGCGCTATTTAGCGTTATGGGAAGGGCAGTTTCAGCAATTCTTCAAGACTATTTTGAACATGGCTGAGGAGTTAGCTTTTTGACCCCTGCTGAATAAATGACAATTGGCATTGTAAATGTCTGCCATGTTAAGAGAATGTATGTTACAGGGTTAGCTGTTAAAACAAAGCATACTACATGTTTTGGACTCCAAACAATTTTACTAATTAAGTTTATTTAGATTTTTTCTGTTTTTTTTTTCTTCTTCTCCTTTCTGCTTTCTTAGATTACGAAAAATCTTAAATGTAAATCCCAAAGCATTATGCCTATCATGTACATCATGGTCTAAAACTGTGAACTCCCCATCACAAATTCTGAAGTAGCAAAATACATCATAGCTGCTACTAGTTAGGTGCTCCTAAATTAAGTACTTCCTTCCAGAAACCTGTTAAGCTACTGTTATTTCAATGACTATAAAAGCTTTACCATTTTATTTGGAATAAATATTATCTTTGAATGTCCATACTAATTTTATAATTGTATAATGGTTTTTACATGTTTCATTGTCAGGGCTGTTTTTAAATTATGAGAAATTTCCCTCTCTCTCTTTGTGTGTGTATGTGTGTATCTCTATACGTATATGAAATGGGAAAGTTGTATATATTCATATGTGTGTGTGTGTGTATATATATATACATATATATATACACACATATATATATATACACATATGTGTATATATATATATGGTAAAAGTTTTCCTTTACCATATATATATCCTTTTCCATATATATATATGGTAAAATTTTTCCTTTCCCTCCATTGTATACACTTTGCCCTTTGAGTCAACACAATCTTCTTAAAAGTTACCTTTAAAAAAAAAACCTAGTATTCAAGCCCGGGCCCTGTAGTTCACGCCTGTAATCCTAGCACACTGGGAGGTGGAAGTGGGCAGATGGCTTGAGCCTAGAAGTTTGAGACCAGTCTAGGCAACATGGCAAAACTCCTTCTCTACAAAAAATGCAAAAATTAGCCAGGCATGTTGGCAAGTGCCTGTAGTCCCAGGTACTTGGGAGGCTGAAGGGTGGGAGAATCACTTGAGCTCAGGAAGTCAAGGTGGCAGTGTGTGATGATAACACCACTGAACTCAAGCCTGGGTGACTGGAGTGAGACTCTGTCTCAAAAACAAAACACAAACCCAAAACTAATAATTCAATAGCGTGATCATCTGTGTTTGAGTGGAATTAATAGATAACTTTTTAAACAAAATACTTGTTATAGTTTATTTCATTCTTTATACTATGCATAAAGACATATTTGCTACATTCGATTCTGGAATGTGTGACCCAGTAGGATGGCCAAATAAATAGGATTTTATATTAAGTCTTTTATCCTCCAGTTATTATAGATTTAACCTGTAACTTCAGGACATACTGACCACTGGATAACTTTACTAGGTTTATTTAGCAATAGGAAACACCTGCAATTACCAGATGGTTTCATATTCTTTTCTGCCCCCAATCTTTGCAATTTTCATTCTTTTGCCTGCAATATCTTTCCAGTGATCCTTCCTTGGTTATCTCTTATGTCATCCCCACATCTCAGCTTAAACTTTTTTTGGAAAACCTTCAGTGAAAAATCCCACTGTGCTCCCAACTCCTCAAGCAATGTACACACACAAATACACTCACTCACGCACGTCAGAATGATACTTTCTTCTTTGTACCCTAGTAACATTTACATAATGATAGCATTTATCACAGTTAATTAAAATTTCATTTTTGTTTTCTGTCCATAGACTTCAAATTTCTTGAGGGCAACGACTATTCAATTTGTCTTTGGGTCCCCATTGCACCTCATAGAGAACCAGTAATATAAATGTATGTTTAAATGCATTGATAAATTAGTAACTAGATCTAACCACTCTCCCTATATTTCTTTTGGTTATGATTTTATTGATATTAGTTGCTTTCCAAAGATATTTCAAACAGTTTCAAAGAATGCTTTTGCTTTGGCTGTTATTTTAAACTTATTTGAAAAAAAAATATTTCATATAAAACATCTACAGCACCTGTGTTAATACAAATATCTTCCCAACATTATTTACGTTCAAAGTTATTACTTCCTTGGAGCCCCACAGGAATAGAATTGTGTTAGCGTGATGCTGTCTTGAAGATTCATGGTAATTCTGAACCATGAATTCATACTTTTAGTGTGATATGAAATCATCTGCTAAAAATGGGCAATGGACTCTTTATCATCATTTGGAAAATTACATACAATTCAGAGTCTGAAGTTACATAGAGAAAATTGTATGTGCTTTAAAGGAATTGAGAATCAGTGGGCTTTATGAAAAGAGAAAGTAATTAAGAGTTCAAAGCCCTATTTGTTTTATGTTTTCCTCTATAAAATTTCATATTATTAGAGGCCAAGGAGGGTGGATCAAAATAAATGACGAGTTAATGGGTGCAACACAGCAACATGGCACATGTATACATATGTAACAAACCTGCACATTGTGCACATGTACCCTAGAACTTAAAGTATAATAAAAAATACAAAAAAAGTATTTTACCAATATACACCACTGTGGAAACCAGCGCAGGAATCCAGCCACAAAATAAAGATTCTACCCAGAGCCTTGGCCCTCTGAGAGCACCCAGAAATGAAGCCAATTGACTACACTCAACTCCCACCACAGTTAAAGGAATGCTAGCCCTCTTGGATGAGAAAGAATCAACGCAAGAACTCTGGCAATTGAAAAAGCCAGTGTCTCCTTACCTCCAACAGAGTCCACTAGCTTCCCAGCAATTTTTCTTAACTAAATTGAAATGACTGAAAGACAGACATAGAATTCAGAACCTGGATGGCAAAGAAGCTCAAGATCGAAGAGCAAGTTGAAACCCAATCCAAGAAATCTAGTAAAACTACCCAAAAGCTGAAAAACAATATAGCCATTTTAAGAAAGATCCAAAGTGAAGTTTTGGACCTGAAAATTTCACTACAAGAATTTTAGAATACAATCAGAAGTGCTAACAGCAGACTAGAACAAGCTGAGGAAAAAATCTTCAGAGCTTGAAGACTTGTTCTTCCAATCAAATCGATAAGATAAAAATAAAGAATGAGCAAAACCTCTGAGAAATATGGGATTATGTAAAAAGACCAAACCTATGACACATTGGCATTCCTGAGAGAGAGGGAGAAAGAGTAAGGAACTTAGAACATCTATTTTCTAAGCTGATGCATTGGAATGCCAATGTGTCATATTCCATAAAAATTTCCCTACATATATTCATAGAATACATGTCACATTCCATTAAAACTACTCCTGCATAGCAAAAGAAACCATCAATAGAGTAAACAGATAACCAACAGAATGGGAGATTTTCACAAACTATTTATCCAACAAAGATCTAATATCTAGAATGTATAAGGAGCTTAAACAAATCAGCAAGCTAAAAACAAATAACACAGCTGGGCACAGTGGCTCATGCCTCTAATTCCAGCACTTTGGGATGCCAAGGTTTGTGCACTGTTTGAGATTAGGAGTTTGAGACCAGCTTGGGCAACATAACGAGACTCCCGTCTCTACAAAAAATAAAAATTAGCCATTACATGATGGAATGTACCTGTAATCCCAACTACTGGGGAGGCTGAAGTGGTAAGATCACTTGAGCCCAGGAGGTAGAGGCTGCAGTGAGCTATTATTGCACCACTGTGCTGCAACCTGGGCAAGAGCCAGATCCTGTCTCAATAAATAAATAAATAAATAAATAAATAAAAGAAGAAAAAGAAAGAACGAAAAGAATAAAATACATTTTAGAAATGGGCAAAGGACATGAACAAACACTTCTTAAAAGAAGACGGACAAGTGGCCAATGAACATGAAAAACTGCTCATCATCACTAATCATTACAGAAATGCTAATTAGAACCACAATGAGATACCACTTCATATCAGTCAGAATGGCTATTACTAAAAAGTCAATAAATGACAGATACTGATGAGGCTGGCTATGACTAAAAAGTCAATAAATGACAGATACTGATGAGGCTGCAAAAAGAGAATACTTATAGACTGTTGATAGGAATGTAAATTTGTTCAGCCACTGCGGAAAGTGGTTTGGATTTCTCAAAGAACTGAAAACAGAGCTACCATTTGACCCAGCAATTCCATTACTGGATATATACCCAAAGGAAAATAAATTGTTCTGCCAAAAAGACACATGCACTTGTGTGTTCACTGCAGCACTATTAACAATCGCAAAGACATGGAATCAACCTAGGTGCCCATCAATGATCGACTGAATAAAGAAAACGTGATACAAATTCACCATGAAATACTATGCAGCCATGAACAAGAATGAAATCATGTCCTTTGCAGCAACATGGTTGTAGCTAGAGGCCAATAGCCTAAGCGAATTAACTCAGGAACAGAAATCCAAATACCACATGATCTCACTTATAAATGGGAGCTAAACATTGAGTATAAAGATGAGAACAATAGACACTGGGCACTACAAGAGGCAGGAGGGAGGCATGGAGGTGTGGGTTGAAAAACTACCTATTAAGCACTATACTCACTATGTGGGTGATGGGATCTGTACTCTCAACTTTAGTATCATGCAATATACCCATGTAACGAACATGCAATTGTACCCTCTGAGTCTAAAATAAAAGTTGAAATTTTTTAATGTATTAATATTTTTTGCTTTCATGTTACTTATTGTCTTGTGGCAAAAAATAGTTTAGAACTATATTAATAAATAGAACTTGAGATGATTTGATAGTCATCACCATACACAATGCTAGCAAAACAGGAAGCACTGAAAAACAAAAAAAAAAATTGGGAGTAAAAAGAAATAAAAAAAATATGGTTTTGGCCAGGCACAGTGGCTCACGCCTGTAATCCCAGCACTTTCGGAGGCCGAGGCGGGCGGATCACGAGGTCAGGAGATCAAGACCATCCTGGCTAACACGGTGAAACCCTGTCTCTACTAAAAGTACAAACAAATTAGCCGGGCGTGGTGGCGGGTGCCTGTAGTCCCAGCTACTCGGGAGGCTGAGGCAGGAGAATGGCGTGAACCCGGGAGTCAGAGCTTGCAGTGAGCCAAGATAGCGCCACTGCACTCCGGCCTGGGCAAAAGAGCAAGACTCCGTCTCAAAAAAAAAAAAAATGGTTTTAATAATACAAACAAAATTTGGATCAGGACCCTAAGTTTTTTAAATAAATGGCTCATTTTTCCACTTTAATTTTGTAGTTGTAAACACAGTATTTCTTTATAGAGGCATTTATTTTTATCAGAATTGGCAGCTCTGATTCATTGAAGTCAACTCTACCTAACCTGAGGTGTCCAACATATTTTTTTCAGCCAATTACAGGCTGCATGAATAGTCCAAGTCAAACGAGTGTGGTATACACACATTACCAAGAAACCAAGTTGGTTTGATTTCAAGCTCAAATATTTATTAGCAATTCAGATGTTTCTCCTGATTTACACATGTAAATATCCAACAACCTATTAGGTATGCTTACTTGATGATTGACTTCTCTAAAATGAAACTATAATGAACTCATCACCCTTACAACCCAGGTTCGAAGCTGGCAACAAGCTGAAAATAAAAGCTATACATTTGAACTATTTCTGCGTAGTGACTGGAACCAGATTTAACTGAATTGCCCATTTCTGCTTCAAATAAAAAACTGCTATGAATATTTTGTGAGCAAATGTTCGTGAGAATGCACTTTTTCAAGTTAGTTGAGGATCACCGAAGAACATAACTGCTGCTGAGTCATAGGGTAAGACCATGTTTAGCTTCATAAGAAGCTACCAAATTGTCTTGTAAAGTGGTGTACCATCTTATATTCTTACTAGCACTCAATGGATATTTCTGTTACTCAACATGCTTACTATCAATTGATATTTTCTCTTTTTCAATTGACATTAGCAATGCTAATAACTGTGTAGTAGCATCATTGTTTAAATTTGCAATACCCTAATGACAAGGTATATAGAACAACTTTTCATATGTTTAATTGCTATCTGTATATTTTCTTTCATGTCTGTTAAATATTTTGCCCATCCTTTAACTGGGTTGCTTGTTTCCTTATTGTTGAATTTAAGAGATCTGCATATATTTTGTATACAAGTCCCTTATTCAGATGTGTGTTTTCGCAAATATTTTCTTCCAGTCTATGGTTTGTCTTTCATTCTCTCTATAGTGACTTTCATAAAGAGGATTTTAATTTTAATAAAGTCTAATTCATCAATTTTTTTTCTTTAGGAGCTATGCCTTTAAGATTGTATCTAAAACTCATCACCAAACTCAAGGTCACATAAATTTTCTGCTATGTTTGTTTTATTCTAGAAGTTTATAGTTTTGTACTTTATATGTAGGTCTTAGATTCATTTTAAGTATTTTTTTAATGTTGTAAAGTCTATATCTACATTCTACTTTTGCGTAGGAAAGCCCAATTGTATTATTTGGCTCTCTATTCAGTTCCATCAATCTATTTGTCTATTCTTTTGCCAATACTATCCTGTTTTGATTGCTGTAGTTTTATACTAGTTATTAAATCAGTTAATGTAAGTCCTCAGATGTTGTTTTTATTCAGCATCGTGTTTGTTTTTTTCTAGATTGTTTTTCCTTTCCATATTAACTTTATAATCAGTTTTTCAGTATCTATAAATAGTTTCCTGAGATTTTATTCAAGATTGTTTTGTATCCATTGATCATACTCCTTCAATAGGTGATTGAATAAACAAACTGTGGCACATCCATAAAATGGAATATTATTAAATTATTAAACGAAAGAACATATTGAGCCACAGCAAGACATAAAGGAAACTTACATGCATTTTGCTAAGTGAAATAAACTTGTCTATAAAAGCTACACATAGGATTCTAATCTTATCACATTTTGGAAAAGGCAAATCCATAATGATGATAAGAAGGTCATCGGTTTTCAGGAGTTTGGCAGGATGGGGAGAGAGCTGAATTGGTGAAATGTAGTGAATTTTTTAAAGCAGTAAAGCTATTATGCATGTCACCATAATTGTGGATATGCACATCTAAACATTGTCAAAATCCATAGGACTTTATAACACAAAGAGTAAATATTAACATATGCAATTTTTATAAGCCATTTAGCAGGTCAGGAGATTCCAGAATGTGACAAAACAGCATAACCATGTTACAAATATATGAAACAATGTCACTTAAGGGAATGGAAAAAAAAGGTGGTGGAACATAACTCTTCATGCTTTATATGTGCACAGTAACTTCCTTCCAGAAAGCATAATGTGGAAACGGGAAAAATACAAACTTAAGGGTTGAGAATCCTGACAAACTCTGTCTTAATCAGCAGATCAAGGTTAACATCAATGATTATACATTCTGTTGATACTGTGTATCCTTGAAAGGATGTAATGAAAATGACACTTTATATCTGTTTTCTTCCTCTCTGAAACTCATAAATCTAGTCTAATCATAAGAAAAACATCTGACAAATTCTAACTGAGGAATATTCTAAAAAAAAAAAAAAAAAAACCTGAACAGTACTCCTCAAAACTATTAAGAAAGGAAAGTCTGAGAAACTGTCAGCCAAAGTTTTGTAGTTAGGAGATATGACTATTAAGTGTATTATATTATCTTAAAATGAGATCATAAAACAGAAAAAGAATATTAGGTTAAAACAAAAAAAAAATCTGAATAAAACACTAGTTTTGGTTGATAATGTGTTAATAATTGTCTATTAGTTTTAACAAATGTATCATGCTAATATGTTAGAGAAAACTAGAATCTCTGTACGATCTCTTCAAATATTCTCTAAACTTAAACTTTTCTAAAATAAAAGTTTGGTTGGTAATCAATAAATTCTCATATGAATGATAACATTTCATTACTGATAATAAGTATCATGAAATTATTGCTTACTTTAACAGAAAATAAACTTATTGAAAAGATGCTGTACTACCCACAGAATTGCTAGAGGGACTGGTCAGTGTAACATTATATTTGCACTTGATGAGAAATATTTTACTGCCTAATAAATGACCAGTTTTTCTAGTTCACATATGAGTGCTTGAGGCTAATGTGGACACTTAAATGGCTGGATGCCTATCAGATTTAAATTGGTTACTTTATTGTTCAAACCTTTATTGATTGTTATGGCCAGTTTGACCTGTCAACAATTAATAGTGTTACTTTCAAACCTACCATTATGATGGATTGCTCTATTTTTTCCTGAACTTTACCAGTTTTTGCTTTATTTATTTTGACTTTACTTTATTAGGTGACTATGTTCTATTTTATTACATCTTCCAGTTCACTCACTTAAAACTAGGACTAATCTGTCCTTTTACCCATCCCCAACTATGTTTTTAATTTCAACATTCTTATAGTTATTTTATAGTCTGTATTTGACCGAATAAACTTGTTCAATTGTGACATCAGCATTTATGCTAATCAGTATTCTATTTGCTTCTCTACTATTTATGTAATTTGTTCTGACCAGTGAAATGTAGGCAGAAGTGCCATGTGTCATGTCTGGGCTTAGGCATTGCAAAATCCATGCAGGATTATTCAGTCTCCCTCTTTTCCTGTTGCAGCAACCTAGTAAGCTACAAGATAGTAGGACTCAAGATAGCTTGTTTCCTTGAGTGACTATGTGGAACAGAGCTTTCTGCTTACTTATGTGTGATATGCAGTATTAGGAAAAAGTAAGCTTTTGTTTATTATTCTTTCTGTCACTGTAGCATAACCCCTCCTACTGTGCAGTTCTTTCAATCCTAAAATAAATCTCTGGTTTATTTTGTTGCCTCTGTGTCAGAATGCCTTGCCTTCTGCTGTTTTAGGGTGGTAATTGATTTTAATTTGTGGAAATCTGATAGGACTACATTGAGAAAGTTTCTCTTCAAAGAGGCTATATTTCTGCATTACTTGGAAGCTAGTTGTTACTCCCATTCCAGGACATTTTCAGGCTGTTTTAAGAGTCTTAGATCAAATTAAATGTTGTCAGATTTGGCTTTCCTTCTTTGTTTCTCTTCCAATGAAAAAGACCCTCATAATTGGCCTCCTGACTGCCTGTGCTTTCCGGCTCCTGGATAGCTTTTTGGGTACCCTAGTTTTCATCTACCTTCAGCTCCAGGCTGAGCTCTCACATATTTGTGTGCCTCTTTCTTTGTTTTTTCACTGTTTTCGCAAGGATTCATGGAGATAGCTTCTACATATTTTGAAATGAACAAATCCATTAACAAATCTGTAATGTTAGGATCTAGTTATTTTAAAATGAAAGAGATTCTCACAACTTCTAGTTATTCCAAAGAATATCTCTAGTACTTTTTAAAATGCTTAATGTTCACTCTGTGTGATTTTTAAAAATGTTAGCTTTCCTTTTGTTCATGTTTTGAATATATGTTTTCCACCTTTTATTCCCAAATTTTCTGTGTTCTTACATTTTAGCTTCAATTCTGTTGAAGAAGATATAGCTAAAGATATAGATATAGAATCTATGTCAGAAAACTTGCTCTAACTTGTGTGGGTTTGTAGAATGTGGACTAGATAACATAACTGTGAATGTTTTCTATTTGCTGATGATAAATAATCCAGATAATTTTTTAGACTGTCCCTGAAAAACTGCCAGGCTCAGTGTGCTGGGAACTCACCATTGTAGTAGGAAACAAATAAAAACAAATGGGCATTGATTTTCAGGGGTCATATCAGGTCTGGATGGTTGAAGAGTTTAAAATAGTTATCACAATATTTTCTGTGTGATAATTTAAAGTAATTCAATATGAACTGTGTGATTTAGCTGTATACGAATTAGTACTTATCTATGGTAAGGGAACAATTAGTAGTTAAAGAATTTTAATCAGAAAGTCAATCTTTCACACTTTACAACTCAGCACTTATTTTTCATTTCCTTTAAAATCTCCAAGAAGAATTTGAATATTAGCAAAAAAGGTGATAGGATTTTTTTTAATTGGTAAAATAGTGTTCAAGATAGGTGGGTGAGGAGGATTGTGTAGATCTAAGCTTCCTTGTATGAATGAGACGTAAGTATCAGACACACTTGGCGGTATCACGTCATTGTTCAGTCTCTTCTCATTACTTCCTTCTTCAAGTAGGTTGCCCTAGGTGGTGTCATCTTATGCACCAGTGCTTTTTACTTTCATGAGCAGAGCCAGTATCATTCCTTTTAAATTGCTTCTTTTCGCCCAACCTAATTTGCTGTGTTTCAGCCTCAATAAAGGCAGGTTCTATATCAGTTCTCACTTTTTATTCCCATTTTTGCACAATGGCAGGTACATAGTATGCACTTGACAAACAATGATTATATTAATAAATCAACACTTACTTCATATTGACATAAACATTACTGTTATAAAAATCTGATTCGTAAGGGCTTCCAAACACCCACATTATAAATTCGCTCCATTCTATCTGCACATTGTAAATATGTTTCGTTTTTTTCTTTTAAAAATTATCAAAATAAAACGCTTGCCTAAAGTGAATTAGAATAATTATGTAAATCATCCATTTCAGCATTAACCATTGATAGTAATTTTATTTGAACAATCTCCTTTCACTGTAACCATAGTAAGATATATATAGTAAAATATATAATACTAAAAAGTTGCACAGGCAACATAACTTTCAAACACTTAATGTCCAGCATTTTTTATACCATGTCCAAAAGGCATGAGAATTACAATATATCATCCTCACTTTTAGGTCCACATGACCAAGTTAAAGGAGAGCAAGATATGTGCACAAATAAAAGACTAATACTAGAAAGGGTATAGAGCTACAGTTCCTTTAGTCCATATTTAGCTAGCAACGTGTGTTCTGCCTTAAGAAATTTCCAAAACTAAGTTATACTATTGAGGGTACACTTAGTATTTTGGATGAAAAAATTATCTGTTAATAAAATGCGTTAGTCACAATGTTTGCTTGTTAAACAGTAAGCCATTAAGTATAATATATTCTCAGTGTCACAGAGCCATTATTTTCATTAATTAAAGCACATCAGTTTTATTATGTCCTTCTAATGCTTCCTGCCTTTAGTTCTGCTTCACAGGGTGCCTGCCCCTTTTCAACTTGCCTCTTGCTCTCAGCTATGATTTGATAAAGTTAATAAGCTAGTATGAATGTATGTGTACAAATTAAAATGAATTTAAAAATCGTGAGTTCAAGGAAGATGCAGTGTGAATAAAAGAGGAGAGTCATCTTTCAGTTTCTCATTTAATAAAACTAATATGGAGAAAGAATTAAGCAAATATAATTCAAATGGAAATTTCTATAATGCCCTATTGCGTCAAGAGGCAGACCTAATATTATGCCCTTTTCTCTGAGTCTTATAATAAAAAAAAGAGAGAGAAAAATTGCCTTTGTAGTCTTATCCCACTTGTAGCCTTGAAGTTTTCCTTGGATCAGAATTAAGAGATTGCAAACCTGACCTCATTTCTAGCCTAAAGCTTGAGATGAACAAAGTGGCATGAGCCATGGGAATTACTTAGACAAAAATTCTGTTAATTTACTCTTGGAACTATCCAACAAAAAAGGAAGAAAGAGGTAATCCTGGCTGAGCCAAGCTCTAATCTTTGCTTTCATTGAATAAACAGTTAGATATTAAGATTTTAACACCACTACCCACATGTGTGACTCCAATCGTAGAAATACAAAGAACATTTGTTGCCGCTAAGAAAAGATAGAATAATTTTCAAATTAGTCACCATGCTGAATAATAACCCAACTTCAATAAAAATGTATAATACAGCAAATAATTAAAAATAAAAATAAGGCAGAGTATGAATCCCACTCTAAAATGAATTTACCAAAGAAAACTCAACTAGAAACAGCAAGACCCTGGCAGAGACCTACTCCCAGGGAACTTGGAGCCCCACAGAAAAGGTAAGTGGAAGTGATTCTCTGCTTCCTCTCTCCACTTTGACAATCTTCTGACTGTCAAAAAGTTGTGGAGGCTCTCTGCTCTTGTGAACTAGGGAAACACTGCTGGTGTGTGGTTTGAGAATTTCTTAGGGACAGAGATCTGGGTGGCCAGCAAGTGCAGGCATGCCTGCACTCCTCTGAGACCCTAACTGGGATGGCAAACACCATCCTCGTTGAGCACCTATTGCGGGACACTGTTCTGCCTGGGATTTCTCTGCCCTTTAGTCACCATACCATCAGATCCCGCAGAAACATACCCCACAACCCACTCTGATTTTGGCAAGCGCAAGGGACTGGTTGGTCCCCAGGGTGTGAGCTAAACATAAGGGAGCAAGGATTGTTCTGCAGCCCACCAGAGCCCCATTGGGACAAAGAAAACACAGATATGGTGCCCATCTCTGAAGAGAACAACAGTGATACCCCGGCATAGACATAGAGAGGGTGTCATCTCACTCACCTCATACATTGCTATGGACACAGCAGTGCTTCTTCCTGCTAAAGACCAGCATATTCTCTGAGTGAAGAGAAAGTATTTTTATGGTTGTTGTTGTTGTTGGTTTTTTTTTTTTTTTTTTTTTTTTTTTTTTTTTTTTTTGTGGCACCTCCGCTTCCACTGAAAGTGAGCCTTTGCCACTTGAACTTCCATGGAGGGCAGGGTCCAACTTCCCTACACAGAGCGACAGTGTCCCAGCAATGGAGGACAGACATGTCACAAAGTTGGCTGCCTTGGACTGGGGAAGAGGCTTTGCCCCAAGAACATTTTGGCAGTAGCCCTCAGAGAGGCATATCTTCAGCCCATAAACACACTGTGATTGGAAACCAAAGGATGAATTATCTATGAACATTGGTTTTAAGCCCTGCAACAGGGGCATAATAGGGAGGTGGACTGTGTTCCTGCCAGCTCATGGTGAACAGCTGTTACTCCACCAAGCCCCTTCCTGAAAGACCTAAGTTCATCCCAACACAATCTCCCCTGCTCCTCTTACTCCTGCATCCCAGCATTCCTGCACCCCCAACAGAGTGGGAGCCTCCATTCATCATCAGCCTACCTGAGCTGGAACTGAGTTTTACTCTAAGGGCCACCTACTGTGTGGCAGCCTGAACTACACCACCAAATAAAAACTTGCTATCAGAAAGATTTAGAGCTAGTCTAAAAGATAAGCTTCCTAAGAACTCCCCACCTTCAGCCCTCCAAGTGATAATATTGGCTCATATATCCAATCCATCATTACAACAAGCAGCCTCTGAGAAAGCCATTGCACAGAAGCTATCAACAACCAAGAAACCCATACAGACCTCAGCCCACTGAAAGCATCCAGAAATATAAAGCAAAATGATCTTATGCAATATACACTACAGTCATACCCCCAAAGGAAACAAGAATTAAAAAAAGTAAATGTCCTATTCAAATGATAGTAAGTTCAAAAATAAGAAGTGACAGCCTCCTCAGATGACAATGAATCGGCACAAGAACTGTGTTGGTGCTAAAAGTTGGAGTGTCTTGACACCTCCAAAGGATCTCACCATCTTTCTAGCAATAGATCCTAACCAAACCAAAGAATTTGAAGTGACAAGGAATTCAAAAAATGAATAGCAAGGAAGCTCAACAAGATCCATGAGCAAGTGGAAATCCAATACAAAGAAACCAGAAAACTGATTCAGGAAATGAAAGATGAGATAGCTATATTAAAAAAAGAAACAACAAATCATACTTCAGGAATTGAAAAATTCACTAAAGGCATTTCAAAGTACAATTGGACGCTTTAACAATAGACTAGATAAAGCAGAACGAATTTCAGGACTGTAGATTAATCTTTGACATTAGCCCAGTCATAAAGAAAAAATAATTCTAAAAAATAAACAAAATCTTTGAGAAATATGGGATTGTGTAAAGCAATCAAACTCATGTTGTATTGCCATTCCTGGGAGAAAAGAAGATAAAGCAAACAAGTTGGAAAATACGTTTGAGGTAATAGTTTCTAATCTTGATAGAGAGGTCAACATCCAGATACAAGAAGTACAGTGAACACCTGCAAGATAGTATACAAGATGACCATACCCAATGGCTAAAGTCATCAGAATATCCACGATTAATATGAACATGCAAACACTAAGGGAATTAGTCACCACCAGACTGAACCTACAACAAACACTCAAAGGAATTCTAAACATGAAAGAAGGATACTTGCTACCATAATAAAATCCTTGCTACCAGATATGAAAAAAGGATACTTGTTACCATAAAAGCACACATAAGTACAAAGCTCACAAACACTGTAAAGTCATTACACAAATCTACTAGCTAACATCATTATAACAAAGACAAAACCTCACATATCAATATTAGCTGTGAACATAAATGACCTAAATGCTGCACTTAGACAAAGTGTGGCAAATTGACAAAAAACAAGACTCAACATTTGGCTGTCTTCAAGAGATTCCTATGTAATGAAACTCATAGGCTAAAAGTAAAGGTATGGAGAATTACCTATCATGTAAATAGAATACAAGAAACAGCACAGTTGCTATTCTTGTATGAAATAAAACAGAGTTTAAATAAAAAATAGTAAACAAAAAAAAAGACAAAGAAGGACATTATATAGTGACAAATGATTCAGTTCAACACAAAGGTTTAGCTATCCTAAATACATATGCACCCAAAGTTGAATCACCCATATTTATAAAACAAATACTACTGGCCCTAAGAAAACAGATAGACAGACATACAATAATAGTGGAGGGCTTCAAAACCTCACTGACAGCACTAAGACAGATCATTGAGGCAGCAAACTAACAAAGAAACTCTAAACTTAAATTGGACTCTTTATCAAGTGGAGCTAATAGATATCTACAGCATACTTCATCCAACAACCACAGAATATACATTTTTTCTTATCTGCACAGGGAATATTCTCTAAAATTGAGACATGCTTGATCATAAAGCAAGTCTCAATAAATTTTTACAAATCAAATCCATATCAAGCATATTCTCAGACCACAGTGGAATGAAACTAGAAATCAATGCCAAGAGGAACTCTCCAAACTACACAAGTATATGGAAAATAAACAACTTGCTTCTGCATGACTTTTGGGTAAATAACTACATTGAGGCAGGAATCAAATAATTTTTAAAACAAATGAAAATAGAGATACAACATACCACATCCCCTGGGATACAGTAAGAGGAAAGTTTATAGCACTAAATGCCTACATCAAAATAATGGCAAGATTTCACAACCTAATGTTTCACTTAAAGAAATAAGAAAATCAAGAACAAGCCAAACTCAAAGCTAACAGAAGAAAATAAATAACAAAGGTGAGAGCAGAACTAAATGAAATAGATCCCCCAAAACCATGCAAAGGATCAATGAAACGAAAAGTTGGTTCTTTTTGGATAAACAAAATGGATAGATCACAAGCTAAATTAACCAAGAATAAAAGAAAGAATATTCAAAAAGCAGATCAAAAATGACAAAGGTGACATTACAATTGATATAAAATATCTTCAGAGGCTATTATGAACATCTCTATTTGTGCACACTAGAAAATCTAGAGTAAATTGATAAATTACTGGAAACACAGCTTTCCAAGATTGAAGTAGAAAAAAATTTAAATCCTCAACAGCCCAATCATGAATCATGAATTACAGAACTGGAACGGTAACAAAAAATTAGTTGAATTCTAACAGGTGTTAAAAAATTAAAAAAAAAGGACTTGGTGCCAATCTTACTAAAACTATTCAAAAAAATTTAAAAGGAGAGATTCCTGTTTAACTCATTCTCATGAAACAAGTATTAACCTGATACCAAACTCTGGTAAGAACACAGCAAAAAAAGGAAACTACAGGCCAATATCCCTGATGAACATAGATGCAAAAATCCTCAACAAAATACTCGCAAATCAAATCTGGCTACACATATATAGCCAGTCATGGTGACACGTTCCTTTAGTCTCAGCTACTCAGGAGGCTAAGGTGGGAGTATCAGTTGGGCCCAGGAGGTTGTGACCACATTGAGTTGTGATTCCACCACTGCACTCTAGCCTGAGTGAAAGAGCAAGACCCAGTCTGAAAAAAAAAAAGATAATTAATCTTTTCATCTCATTCATGCGAGTATTTCTGGGATGTAACGATGGTTCAAAATATGCAAATCAATAAATGTGATTTACCACATGAATAGAATTCAAAACAAAAACCATATGATCATTTCAATAGATGCAAAGAAGCATTTGATAAAATCTATCCTTTCATGATAAAAAAAAATCTCACCAAACTAGGCATCAAAGGAACTCAAATTAATGAGCCATTTATGACAAATATACAGCCATCATACTGACGAGGCAAAAGTTGAAAGCATTTCCCCTAAGAACTGGAACAAGTCAAAGATGTTGACTCTCACCACTCCCATCTAACATAGTACTAGAAATCCTTGCCAGAGCAATTAGGCAAGAAAAAGAAGTAAAAGGCTTTCAAATTAGAAAAGAGGAAGTAAAAGTACCTCTGTCCTCTGATGACATAATCCTGTATCTAAGAACTCCTAAGGATTAAAAGACACCTACATCTGATAAATGAATCCAATAAAATTTCAGGATGCAATATCAGTGTACAAAATCAGTAACATTTATATACACCAACAATGTTCAAGCTGATAACCAAATGAAGAACTCAATAACACTGACACTATCCACACAAAAATATAATACCTAGGAATGCATTCAACCAAGGAGGTGAAGGATCTCTACAATAATATGTACAAAACACTGCTGAAAGAAATCATAGATGAAACAAACAAATGGAAAAATATTCTATGCTCATGAATCAGAAGAATCAATATTGTTAAATGACCATACTTCCCAAAGCAATCTACAGATTCAATCCAATACCTAATGAATTAACAATGACATTTTTTCAGATAATGAGAACAAAAACTATTCTAAAATTCAAATGGAACCTGTAAGGTTCTTGTATCTGTTCAAATCCTGAGAGTGCACCAACAATTTTTAAAATGTGGTATGTACACACCATGTGCCACAGCCATATTATGGAATGCTACATAGCCATAAAAAAGAATGAAATATCATATCCTTCACATCCACATGAATGCAGCTGGAAACCATAATTTTAAGCAAATTAATGCAGAAACACAAAGTCAAATACTGCAGGTTCTCACTTGTGTTTAAACAATAGGTATATATGAGCATAAAGATGGAAACAATAGACACTGGGGACCCCAAAATGGGGAAGAGAAGAAGAAAGGCGTTGAACAAACTACCTATTGTGTACTATGTTCACTATTTGGCTTATGAATTCACTAGAAGCCCAAACACCAGCATTATGCAATGCACCCATGTGACAAACCTGCACATGTACCCCCTGAATCTATTATTGATTAAAAAAAGAAAATTCTGACACATTAAGGGGGAAAAAAAACAGTTTCATCTATTTTCCAAGAAAAGAATAGATGACATAATTCCTAAATTGTTGAAATATATATCAAAATATGTTCATTCCACAGAAAGTTGGATTTATGGAATTATTTTTAAAATAAAATAAGCACTCATCTCTTTTCTGAAGTTTCTCTTTTCCCCAGTCTATGAACATTGATGCTTGCTCACTTCAAACTCCTGCTCCTAAATCTCTGATAGAAGGAAAATCATATCTTTTCCAGCCACTAACACTCTTTTTGTTGTTATTGTTTTTATAGCCATCGATACTATCCTTGTTAAAATATTATCTCCCAAGACTACTTATATTCTCTGCCTGAAATATCTTCCAGATGGGTCTTTAATGTTTCAACTGTACACTTAATATGACATAAAATTTGTTCTAAAGTACACTATTTCAGGATGGGTAGGTGGGGGTGTGGGAGTGGGAGAGAGTGAACTGCTTCCAGCTGCACTCAGATGCCAGTCTAGAAACAGATATCATCCACAGCCATCTAGGTCCTGAAGTGGAGACCAGGTTATCAGTTCAGATTTCAACTGTGATGTAATAGTTAAGAGCTCGAACTCTGGGGGCAAAACCACTTATGCTGATGAGTCCTTATCTTGATAGCTGTGTGATTTGGTGGAAATTACTTAACCTCTCTATGGCTTAGTTTCTTCAGCTCTAAAATTAGGATATTAAGATCCTCATAGTGTCAATGGGAGTATTAAATGAGTTTATTATGAAAGAATTTAGAACAGTGTCTTATACATAGGAATGCCATGTAAATATTAGATTTTAATCACTGTGAATTTTCCTTGGGTGGCCTTCGGTATATTTCTTAATCTATTTAAAATGTTCAACATGTAAATCCCTTTCCTCTCAGGAAGATCCTTGTTGACTATGAAATTTTTCTTAACTCTTCTGAGCTCTGCAGTCCAGTGTATTTTTGATGTGGTAACTTCTGTCTAGATACTAATGTCCAATTTAGAAGGTTCTGAAAGCTGCCTGTCAAAGATTCTTCTGAAAACAAACTTGCTGACTCCAAGCTGACAATTTTTAAAGAGCAGCTTCTCTAGCAAATGCTCAGCCAGAACGGTACACAACTACCTGATACATTTTACAACATGGACATGTTTCAATACATGTTCTTAGTCAGCTATTCATAAAAGCTGAAAGTGAACATTAGTGAAAACAGTGAACTACGGACAAAGATAGAAGGTCAACTATCTTCTTTTCGGAGGCAGATCAGAAAGATGCCAGAATTTTTGTACAAAGCATCTCAACCCTGCTCCAGCATTTGGAGAATCACTCTATTGAGACTGGAAAAGATAATTTATTTATAATTACTGACCACTTGAACTATTAAAGAGCCTCACAATAATTCCTTTAAAATGCCCAACACTGAGCTCAGGGCATTTTGAAGTAAACATTGTAAATTTATCTATTAGATATGATTATTTAGTGCAGTTAATTTAATATTACAGTTTGTGAACCAGATTTAGCAAAATTTATTATTCTTCTTATATTCAGTGACCAAAAATTTTAGTGATTTCTTATATCAAATATTATGATTAAAGTTAATCATCATAAGAATATTTTCCCTTGTTTTTCAGATATTCCATTTATTATAAGTTTTATAATTAAGTATGTGTCAAGAAAAAAGTGACTGCTAATATATCACTCTTAGCGAAATGCATATTGTCTCTTTTGCCAGCTTCCAAAACCAATCTCACCTACACAGATCATTTTGCAATGTTTTGCTCATCTAAACACAATCCATTTTTCCTTTCATATAAACATGTAAACCTTGGCAGTTCTACAATATCCAGAGCTGTAAAGAATTTTATGCAGAAATGAAACAAAAACTATATATTGAACAGTGTTCACCATCACTTATGTGCATTTTTATCTTCTTTGATCTTGTTTTTTTTTTAATGTTAAGTTTATTCTAAAAAAAGAAACCCAACACTCATGAACTACATAGCAGTTTTGTTACTTTACTGCATGGAATCCTAAAACAAACAACTAAAAATCTGATAGCTGTAAGAGACAGGAGTTGCAATCACATGGATAATTATCTCAGCACGTCATAGTTTCCCCTAAATGCATTTAGAATATCTGATGCCTTTAAATGGCAGGAGAAATGACGGCATCTTTCACTTCGTATCTGGATGATTAGTCTTATGTAGACACAGTCTGATTTCTAGCTTTGCTATTCACAATATAAAGAGGATACATACATTTTCAGTGTAACTAACATGAGTATTTTTAAAAGTCATATCCACTTTCACTATGAAAGGCTATTAAATACCCATGCTCAATATCTCTGTGCCATCATCATCGACTACCACTTATGGAGCACCCATGGGTACTGTGCTAGACAGGAAAGGGTCATTTTAAATACTTCTTAAGTTTCAGTTAATCTGCACAGATTTATCCAATGACATGTGCACTAAAGCACTTCTGTGAAAAAATACAATTTACTATTTCTTAGTGCTTATTGTAACAAACAAAATGTCTTCTTGTTTTTTTTTTTTTTTCAAGTCAGCCAATTCAGAAACACTGAGGAAAGCTAGAAGCATAATTGCATTTCATAGCTCCTTCCTTCTTCATGCTTCTGTCACTTTGGGTTCTTTGCTGTTGTTGTTGTTGTTGTTGTTGTTGTTGTTGTTGTTGTTGTTTTGAGACAGAGTCTCGCTCTGTCGCCCAGGCTGGAGTGCATTGGCACGATCTTGGCTCACTGCAACCTCTGCCTCCCGGTTGAAGCGATTCTCCTGCCTCAGCCTCCCGAGTAGCTGGGACTACAGGCACCCGCCACCACGCCTGGCTAATTTTTTTGTATTTTTAGTAGAGACGGGGTTACACCATGTTACCCACTATGATCTCAATCTCCTGACCTCTTGATCCTCCCACCTTCGCCTCCCAAAGTGCTTCTGTCACTTTCTAAATTATTTTGGCAATAAAAAAAACTAATAATAGCTGAGAAAAATTGAGAGCAGAAAATTCTTAAAAGAAAAAATAAATGTTTTCAAATTCTTACATTCCACAGTGAATTCAGTCTTTTATTGTTTTTGTTGTTAGATTGAAAATCATATCATCAAATCACAAAATGTGTATTTAGTTTTTGGTAAATGAAGAATGCATTATGATTAGTTTTCTAAATAACATATAAATATGTGTAATTCAAATAAGTGAACTCACACATTTTAACTATTTTTGAAATGTATCTTCTTGGTTAGTATGACTTTCATTGACAAATTATAGATTAAAAAACAGTATTATAATTGTTTTATACACTGTGAAATGGTTAAATCAAGATAAATAACATATGCCTCACCTCAAATATTTAGTAATTTTTTTTACGAATTTTTGAAATTTATTCTCAGTGAAATGTAAATATTCAATACTTAATTATTAGCCATATTCACCATGCTGTGGGATTGATCTCAAAAGAAAAGAAAAAAATATCAAACATTTCTACTAAGAATTTTCACCCTTCGACAGTCATCTTCCCATTCTCCCTATCTTCCTAACCTCTGGTAACCACCTTTCTGCTCTCTGCTTCCATGAGTTCAGTGGTTTTAGATTCCACAGGCAAGTAAAAACATGCAGTGTTTGTCTTATTTCACTTAGCATAATGTTCTCCAGTTCCATCAATATTTTTTCAAATGACAGAATTTCTTTTTAAGGCTGAATAGAATTCCATTGTGTATACATACCAGTTTTTTTTAATCCATTCATTTCTTGATGAACATTCAGGTTGATTTCATAATATGGATATTGTGAATAGTGCTGCCATGAACACAGGGGTGCGGGTATCTCTGACTGGTCTATTTTGTTCTATCAAGCAATTTTAACAACAGATTTGAGAAACAAACATAGATCCTATGTTTGAACTATATTGCCATCGATTTTAAAAAAATCAATTTGCTGGGACATTTAGGGAATTATTATAAATCTCCATCATAATAAAACAGGAATAAGAGAAACATCATAATATATGTTTAGTTGGGCATATCTACAAGTCACCAATATCCTGTTTTCCTGTGTTTAAAAGAACACAAGAGATTTGTATTTCCTCACCTTCTTGAAGTTAGACATGAGCATTTGACCTCCAGTGGGTAATGATATAATCAGAAGTGTGTATCACTTGCAGGTGGAAGTGTTTAGTTGGCATCCAATTCTCCAGTCTGCTCTCCTTCTCCTGTGATAAAAGCAGAAGTACTGCTAATGTGGAAACACAACACCCAGCTGCCGATGGAAAGTTGCTTAGACTTGCAGTGGACGTTGCTTGAGGAAAAAACAAATGTGGTTGTTTTAAGCCACTGAAATTGTTGAGTTTGTTTTTAAGGCATAATCAAGCTATTCTGATAGAATGAGTACATTTAATAAGTCAAAATTGCATATTCTTAACATGAAATATATATTTATTATAGTTTGTTTTTCACCTGACAATGATGGAAAGTAAATGTAGGATATCAAAAGTGAATACTTTAATTTATGGTAAAAATTCTATATTTACTTGATTTTCTTTGCCAATAAAACCTTTCAATTTGTACTCTAGCTGTTTAGCTTGGCAGATAATAAAAGAGAAAGAGGAGAGAGAGAGAGAATGTCTTATTTGCCTGTTGCTATCATTCTATACTTTAAGACATAACTCAAGCTACTTTTCCCTCATGATTCTTCCACTCCATAAGTAATTTTATTTTGCCTTTTGCTCCCATAGCACATTGTTAAATCTTTAATTTTTCAATTTTACACATGTTCGGATTTGCTCAGTTTTCTTGATACTTCCAAACTTGCCACAGGTATTATTTAAAAAGTACATCTCTAGACCCTCATATTTTTATTTTGTAATCTGTCTGGTCTCTATTTTCCAAATCTTGTTTTGTCCTGCCCTGCCTCTTCAAATGCCTTCTTAAGAATCTGGTTTTTATTCTTCAACTGTCCATAATGAAATGTGATGTTAGAGTCTGTCTCTTGCTAAGGATGTCTCTCCTGAAACTTAAAATTCAGTTCATTTTGCCTAGCATTCTCTGCAGTATGCTATCATTAACGTTAGAATCATTCTTAATCACTTTGTTTTTGAACAACTCTGAATTTCTTTGCTGCTCTCTTGCTTTTGCTTTTTTTCTTTAAACCCAGTAGGCAAATTAAAAATCATTGTTATATTCAATTTTCTGCCTTCTGTATACTTTTACTGGCACAACTAACTTGGTTGAGAAAACCTCACAACCAAGCTGACTAGTCTCAATTTCAATCAAGATCATATGATACACGTGATTTCTGTTTATGTGCATAGGGCTTCCCCAGTCCTAGATAAGCCAGTCCCTACAGATGAGTACCAGATCTGGTTCCCTATTCATATCTAACTAAAGAAGAGGGCTCTAGCAATTATCCAATCTCTTGGTTGCATCATCAAATATTCCTTCTTTATTGGATCATTTCACAAAGTGTATGATCATTATTTCTCGCATTTTATTAAGCAATCTCACAAACAAAAAACTTCGTTGTTCTCAATGCCCCTTCAGCAATGACCCACTTCTCTCCTTCTTTTTAGGAACATTCATCCTGAAATGGTTTCTAAACTCATAGTCTCCAAATTCTTGTCCTTCCCCATTCTGTCTTGAATCCACTATAATCAGGTTTTAATTACCACCATCCACTAAAATTGTTTTCAACAAAATCACAAAAGACCTATGCTTTGTTACATTGAATGGTCATCTCTTAGTCTTATCTTGCTTTATGTGTCAGCAATATTTGAAGTACTTGTTTTCTCTCTTCTTGAAAGAAGCTATTCACTTAGCTTCTAGGATATCATTGACTTCTAGATTTTCTCCTACATTTTTACCATTTTAAATAGTTCTTAGTCTTTTTTTATAGTTTAGAGTTTATATTCCTCATTTTACCAACCTGGAAGTGTTGGAGAGCCCAAAGCTCTGCCCTTTAACCTATACAGGTTTTTAGCCTCTAATTTTTTCCTTGGTTTTATCTAGCTTCATGGCCTTAAATATCATCTATATGATATTCCTTTTGAATAGATTATACATGTGGATATTTTCCCCAGTTTATTGTGAAATCTTGGAGATGGGGGTAGTAAGGTTTATATATCCTTACACTTCCAGTAAATTCATAGTTCATAAGTGATGCTAAATACATGTGTGCTTTCTCCTTTCATTTTACCTCTTGCATCTGGAATATACACGGGAGTGATAATAAAAGTAGAAAATGTAAATTACAACTAGCCTTAAAATATTCTTAGAGTTAACTATAAATATTGTTCCTAACTAGGTAAACAGATAATTACATTGTGTGATCCTTATAGTTTTCCACGAAAACTTATAATGAATATGAACTATAAAAATGCCTTAAAATAATTCTGTTAATCTATTTTACATCTCAGATATTCTTTGCACTTCCTTATATTGGGAAAGTGACTACTGACATGAATAAGAATTATTCAAGACAAGAGTTGCCGGCCATTACCAAGAAAAGAATAATGTTAGACAGAATGATATTTGATAACAAAATTTCTGGCAGACAGCAACCAAGGACTACCTAAAATACAGGACAAAGAAGATCAAGTGGAAACTTAGAGCAAAGGAAACAGAGTGATCTAGGACATTTTCTGAATGTCAGCACTATTAATATTTTGAAGCAGATAATTCTTTGTTGTGGGGGCGGGGGTGTCCTGTTCATTATAGGATGTTTAGCAGTGTCATTGACTTCTACCCCATTAGAGGCCAACAGCATCTTCCTTCCAGTTGGAACAATTACAGATGTCCTGATATTGGCACCTCTTCTTTGACATTGCAAATTACTGGTATGGTAGGGTAAGGAAGACATTAAAATACAAGGCCGAGAATATATGAAATCATAAAATTCTAAGTATATTAAACAGAAAACATCAAATTTCTTGTGTTTTATCCAAAGATATCTTTTGACTCTTATGAATTTTTACGCTCTCTAGGGTGTGTGGGTGAACAAGGGTTCAATGTTTAGCTTGCTTCCAGGGAAGATGACATAAGAAAAGACTCCTCCTCAGTGAGTCATGGGTTGTGGACTTTGCAGTGGTTCTTTGCATCTAGAATACCCACTTGGAGTGATAATACAAGTGAATATAACATTTGTGTCTAGCTTCACCTATTTTCAGTGTTCAATATTAATATTGTTATTAAACGTTAATAGGGGAATGATGGGCATATTTTCTGGCATAGGGTATGAGCAACTAAAGAAGAAGAACAGTAAACAAAATCCAAACAATATCACACCACCAAACCATATTACTAAAGGGAAAGGAAAACTGAGTAAGCAGGAATTTAATAAAAAATTAAGTACAATATATTTAGGTTAAGAGAAGGTAGAGGTATCATTAAAAAAAGATGAATAAGAAGATTATGTTGTATAAAAATTATTACAACAAAAAAATAAAGAAATATTCAGGAAGAAAACATACCTAAAGAAATAAAAGACATTTCCTCCAACAAATGATTCATACTTCATAACTGATGAAGTTTTACAAAGGTAAAAAACACAAGCTAGGATTATATAATGAAAAAAACAGTATACACAATTACATGTATAAGCAAATAAATTCAAATTCATTACTAAATAACACCATTAGAGTATTAATCATAATAGAAATAATAAATGAACAATTAAATAGACATACCAAGTTTCAGAGTAGACATATCTGAAAATCAAATTATTGACATGAAAATTTCTGAGAATGGAAAGAAATTTTTTGACAAAGATAAAAGTAATTTTAAAGAAATACATATGGCTGACAAAGAATGAAAATCAAACATAGATAATTTGAGTTCCTGAAGTATAGAAGAGAATAAATAAAGGAGAAATTAAAATTTAAAAGTTATTTTATGGGTAAATTATAAATAAAGATTAAAAATATAACATTTAGAATTTCACTGAGTGTCATAATCTAAAGAAAATAATGCAAGAGACATACAAGTGTGTATGTGTGCACATGTATACAGGCATACCATGTTTTACTGTACTTCACTTTATTTCACTTCACAGATACTGCATTTTTTAAATAAATTGAGGATTTGTGGCAACCTCGTGTGGAGTAAGTCATCAGCACAATTTTTCCACCAACATGAGCCCACTTAGTGTCACTGTGTCATATTTTGGTGACTCTTGCAATCTTTAAGACTTTTTTCTTATAATTATATCTGTTATGATAACCTGTGATTAGTGATCTTGATATTACTACTGTAATTGCCTTGAGATAACCACACCATGTGAGAAGGTAAAATAATTGATAAATATCGTGTGTGTTCTGACTGCTCCAAAAACCAGCTGGCCACTGTCCCTCACCTTGGACCTTCCTACTCCATGAGACATAACAATATTAAAATTAGGTCTACTAATAACCCTACTATGACCTCTAATTTTTCAAGTGCAATGGAGAGTTGTACATCTCTCACTTTAAATCAAAAACTAGAAATGATTGAGTTTAGTGAGGAAGACATGCTGAAAACAGAGTTGTGAATGAAAAAAAAAGTTCTGAAGGAAATGAAAGGTGATACTCCAGTGAACACATGAATGATAAGAAAGAGAATGAACCTTATTACTTATATGGAGAAAGTTTTAGTCGTCTGGATAGATGATCAAACCAGCCACAAAATTCCTTAAACCAAAGCCTAATCTAGAGCAAAGCCCTAACTCTCTTTAATTATATGAAGGTTGAGAAACATGAGGAAACTACAGAAGTTTGAAGCTTGCAGAGGTTAGTTCATGAGCTTTAAAAAAAGAAGCTGTCTGCATAGCATAAAAGTGCCACATGAAGCAGCAGTTGCAGATGTAGAAGTGGCAGCAAGTTATCCAATAGATCTAGCTAAGATAACTGATGAAGGGGGCTACACTCAACAACAGATTTTCAGTGTAGGCAAAATGGCCTTCTATTTGAAGAAGACACCACTAGGACTTTCATAGATAGTGAAGAGTCAATGCCAGTCTTCAAAGCTTCAAAAGACAGGCTGACTCTTTTGTTAGGGGCTAACACGGCTAGTGTGACATCAAGTTGAAGCCACTGGTCATTTACCATTTTGAAGATCTTAGGGCCCTCAAGAATTATGCTACATCTACTCTGCCCGTGCTCTATAAATGGAACAACAGAGCCTGGATGACAGCACATCTATTAACAGCATGGTTACTAAACATTTGAAGCCTATTTTTGAAATAACTATTCTTATTATCAAGCCTGCTAGCACAATATCTATTCTGCAGACCATGCATCGAGTAGTAATTTCAAGTTTCAAGACTTATTATTTAAGAAATAATTTTTATAAGGCAATCACTGCCATAAATAATAACTCCTCTGATGGCTTCTGGCAAGGATTTACTATTCTAGATGCCATTAAGAACATCTGTGATTCATGGGAGGAGGTCAAAATATCAACATTAACAGGATGACTTTGCAAAATTCAAGACTTCAGTGGGGGAAGTAACTGCAGATGTTCTGGAAAAAGGAAGAAAACTTGAATTAGAAGTAGAGCCTGAAGATGTGACTGAGTTGCTGCACTGTAATAAAGCTTAAATGGATGAGGAGTTGTTTCTTATGAATGAGCAAAGAAAGTGTTTCTTTGAGATAGACTTTACTCCTGGTGAAGACGCTGTGAACATTGTTGAAATGACATCAAAGATTTAGAACATTACACTAACTTACTTCAAAAAGCAGCAGCAGGGTTTGAGAAGACTGACTACTTTTGAAAGAAATTCTACTGTATGTCAAATGCTATCAAACAGCATCACATGCTACAAAGAAATCTTTTGTAAAAGGAAGGGTCAATGGATGAGGCAAACTCCATTGTTGACTTCTTTTAAGAAATTACTACAACCACTTCAACCTTCGACAGCCTCCGCTGTGATAAATAAGCAGCCATTAACATGAAGGAAAGACCCTCCACCAACAAAATGATTACGACTCGTTATAGACTCAGATTACCATAGTATGTTTTAGCCATAAAGTTTTTTTTTTTTTTTCAGATACGCACGTTATTTAGACATAATGCTCTTACACACTTAATAGACTACAAATTAGTCTTTTAACTCTACTGGAAAATCAAAAAATGCATGTGACTGGGTTTGTTGCTACCTTAGCTTTATTAGGGTGGTCTGTAACCAAACCTGCAATATCTCCAAGGCATGCTCATTTATACATAATTGCGTTAGTAATTGTTTTAATAACTTAAAGTAAATTAGTAAAATTAATTTAATTTACTTAAATATAATGTATTTGGTTATTTAAATATCAGGATAAAATGGAATTCTAGAGAATCCAAGCAGAAAAAAATAAATTACTAAATAAAATTAATTAGATAGTCTCCTGCTCCAACCAATATTAAGATGAAAAAATAAAAATTCCAAATTTACCTTAGGATTCATATGATATTTGTCAAATTTGAATAACAGCAAAGAATAGAAGTTTCTAATTGCATCATTTATAGATGGCATTAAAATTATAAGCAAAATACTACCATGTAAAATTAAAAAGTAGATAGAAGAATAATGATAACTAAGTGTATTTCAATCCAAAATCTTAAGTATGGTTTTGCTTGTGGAAATTCTGTTTGTATAATCCACAAAATACTCAAAAAAAAAAGGCACTTGACAAAATTCAACTACTTTTTTTTTTTTATCTTAAAAAGAGCAGAAAAATTATGAAAAATTGTTAGTGGCCCGGCGCAGTGACTCACACCTGTAATCCCAGCACTTTGGGAGGCGTAGGTGGGCAGATTGCCTGAGGTCAGGAGTTCGAGACCAGCCTGGCTAACATGGTGAAACTCCATCTCTACTAAAAATACGAAAAATTAGTCAAGCGTGGTGGCACGGCTGTAATCCCAGCTACTCAGGAGGCTGAGGCAGGAGAATTGTGTGAACCTGAGAGGCGGAGGTTGCAGTGAGCCGAGCTCGTGCCATTGAACTCCACCTTGGGCAACAGGAGCGAAACTCCATCTCCCAAAAAAAAAAAATTAGTGAAGTGACTCTTTCTGATAGTAAATACGTCGTAACAGTCAACTAAGTACTATGGCACATTATAGTAATGGTGCAGAAATAGACAAATTGAAAACAGCTGTCTATAAATCTAAGAAAACATGTATTTAATGTAAGATTAATGAAATTTCATAAGATTTGTTTTAAAGACATATTACTTTAGATCAATCTTTTAGGCAATTGATTCCTGTCATACCTATACTACTATTGCTACTTCTGAGCATATCAGGAAAGTTAAAAGCTGGATTACTATTTCACTCTCTGACAGGCTCTTTACTTCTGTACTCAATTTTCTATAGCCTACTCTTAATAGAGAAGCTTGTATAGCAATTTAATAATACATGTGTTATCATGTTGAACTTTCTAATCCTTTCCCTGTCTTTCTACCTTACTCAGTATAAAAGCCAAGTCTGTAAATACTACTGTTTTTCTCCACCTCTCTGACCTCTTTACTACCAGTCTTTCCCTTTGTTTCCTTCCTTCCATCTACTTTCACTGGTCTTGCCGTCCCACAAACATGCCTGTTATGCTTCTGTCTCATGGATTTTGCTTTTTCCTTTCTGTAATTGTCTCCTCTCACAGAGTTCATGGCTTATTCCCTCCTCCTTCAGGTATCTGCATGATACTGCCTTCTCAGATAAGCTTCCCCCTTTCACTATAAGTAGAGTGTCAGCTCCAGGAGGGAGTTTTTTTGTTGTTTTTTTTTTGTTTTTTGTTTTTTTTAGTGTATTCATTGCTGTATCCTCAGTGTTTATTCCAATGCCTAGCACAGAAGAGATTCTAATGAAAGAATCTGTTAATGCATATATGGATAAATGACTAAATGAATGAATGAACTTGTATTTGATTCCTTCAGCTTTATGTATTGATTCCTTCAACTCCTGTATCTTTGAAACCAAGATAACTCAACTTATATAAATTAAAAAAAAAATTTAGGCGTGGTGCAGTGGCTCATGCCTGTAATCGCAGCACTTTAGGAGGCTGAGGCAGGTGGATCACATGAGGTCAGGAGTTCAAGAACAGCCTGGCTAACATGATGAAACCCCGTCCCTACAAAAAGTACAAAAATTAGCTGGGCATGGTGTCACATGCCTGTAATTCCAGCTATTCGGGAGGTTAAGGCAGGAGAATCACTTGAAACTGGGAGGCAGAGGTTGCAGTGAGCCAAGATTGCGCCACTGCACTCCAGCCTGGATGACAGAGTGAACTTTTAATTTTATTGTTATTATAATATAATTTTGAACTGACATTTTAAAGTGAATAAAGCTGATTAGTCACTCATTTGGGGGGGTGTTCAAGTTTATACTTTTGTTTTAAAAGCCTAACCCTGACATAATTCAATATTGTGACTTAATGGAAATGATTACAGTGAGTATAAATCAGTTGTTGATGAGAAATTACTAAAAAGATAATAAAGGTTAATCAAGTCATCATCCCTCAACATTCATGTCCCCAGTAATATTTTCTCTCAAAAGGATAATCTTCCATTCCCAAGAAGGCTGGCAGTATGTCTTGGTCCAGGATTTCTTTTCCCAGAGTAGAAATTGCATATAGAAATCAACCCAGGATGTTCATAGGTGATGCTTTCTCTAGGTTTAACTAGATGAGTAAGCCTAGACATTTTTCCAAACCTTGTCATCCTAGTGTGGGGTGCTGAGAATGTGTTTCTCAGGCCTTTGCCTATGGCAGTGGTCCTCTTTCCTATTGCTTGGGAACATCACCCATCTTGTTTTTAATTTAATTCTGGATAATGTCTGTCTCAAGGATTTAGACAAGTATTTCAACCCAAGCCATGGGTGACTATCACCTTCTTCATTTGCCAGCTGTGACTCACTGCTGATTATTTTATTTGTTTCTTACTCCCTAATGAGTTAAAAACAGGTGCTTTCAATGCCTAAATGGCTAAGTACTTCTACCTTTTATTCAATCTAATTCTACATTATTTTCTGTCTGGGTCAGTCTGAATTGATTACAGTTGATGACATTAGTATTTAACCTATGCTTTTCTAAGGATGGTAATTTATTTCTGGGAAGTACCTTCCTGCCCTGCTCCATTGTTTTCCACCCTTGATACCCCAATAGACACCTGCACCACCCTTGGTAAGACTGAGAATAAAGTCTGTGCTATAATCTTCAATTCTTTGGTAAAAATTGTTCCTCATTTTACAATTCTTGGCGCTTCACTCCAGCAGAGTGACCATTCTGTTCTGCGTTACCCCAAGATTTCTGTGAATTGAGCTAAGATTAATTGCATACTGAGCAAGGCTCTTCAAATTTCACCCTTGTACACTGCAAAACAGAAATGGACAGTTATCTTGGATCTTTCTTGTGTAAAAGAAATGAGGTTAACAGCCAATAGCAAAATCCTGTTTGAGGAATAGCAACTGCTGAGTCCATTGTTTTCTTTGCTCAGGGAAAGTGTCTCCAACAGGCTTAGCATGCTGATAACGAACCACTTCTCCTTTCTCAATTTCTGCACTTCAGCTTGCTGAAATACTTCCCTATAGCAGAAGGCTCTTGAACTTCCCTTCCTGAAGTAAAGTAATTAGACAGCCATACACAGGATATTGGCATAAATTTAGTTGGTGTATTTGCCCACCCACCTGCACAATCCTAGGTGGGAAGAATTTTCACTTAATACATGCAGTAACTAATCACAACATTTTCTGGCTTTTATGTTCCAATGACAGAAAGTCTATACACAGAAAAATCAGTGGTTTGTCTTCTAGACAAGCTGCATGAGTGCTCAGGATATTCAGATACAGGCATAGGGGACAAATCTTACATGAACTTGATTCTTTTGCCAATTGGAAAACAAAACAGAAAATAAAAGTACTTTTTTTTTCCTGGAAAAAGAGCATTTACAAAAATCTATAGCAAACATAATTCATGGTGATTGCTTAGAATAAAAAACATGTTACATTTAAGAACATTAAAATCAGCAGTTCTATTCAACATCATTCTGGAGTTTATAGTCAGTGCAGTAAAGAGATTTGAGAAAGTTGTTGTAAAGGCAGAGTTTATTACAACATCCACAAGGGAAAAAATTAGTTTCATCAAAGAAGGGCAAAATCTTTAGGGAGAATATTAAAAATGTATTTAAAAATATGTAAAAATAGTGAAATAAATAAGAGATATAGGATGCTATAAATGGGAAGATTTAAGATCATTATTATGACAACTATCTCAAGATTAATTTATTATTTAATCTCAAGAGATTTTTAAATAAAACTTGAATATATGATCTTTTTTTTTTTTTTTTTTGAGACGAAGTTTCACTCTTGTCCTCTAGGCTGGAGTGAAATGGCACGATCTCGACTCACTGCAACCTCTGCCTCCTGGGTTCAAGCGATTCTCCCACCTCAGCCTCCCGAGTAGCTGGGATTACAGGTGCCTGCAACCACCCCCGGTTAATTTTTGTATTTTTAGTAGAGACGGGGTTTCACCATGTTGGCCAGGCTGGTCTTGAACGTATATGGAAAGAGAAGTGTTCAAGGATATATGGCTTGCGTTTAAAGAGTTAAAGAAAAAGGTATTAAAAAAAAGGAAGTGGAGAAGGAATGATGAAAAATAAGATGGAAGAAACAAGAGGGAGCGAGAAATCACTCATGAATTTCAGCACTTATTAAAAAGTCATATTTAATAAAAATAACATGTGTCAGAATGAACAAATACATGAGCAAGGCAATATGAACAGCTTATATATAAAACAAAAGTGATAATATGAATTCGTGTAGAAATAAACTATTTGAAATGGCAATAGAAATATTGATATTCATATATAAAATGTTATATATTCCTACTTTTTGCTTTATACACATACACACAAATTTTCATTAAGCAAAATAACAACTTTAAAAGACCATGCTGGCCAAACATGGTGGCTCACGCCTGTAATCCCAGCACTTTGGGAGGCCAAGGCGGGTGGATCATGAGGTCAGGAGATCGAGGCCATCCTGGCTAACAAGGTGAAACCCCGTCTCTACTAAAAATACAAAAAAATTAGCCAGGCATGGTAGCGCGCCTGTAGTCCCAGCTACTGGGGAGGCTGAGACAGGGGAATGGCGTGAACCCAGGAGGTGGAGCTTGCAGTGAGCTGAGATTTCACCACTGCACTCCAGCCTGGACAACAGAGCTAGAGTCTGTCTCAAAAAAATAAATAAATAAAATAAATAAATAAATAAATAAAAGACCATGCTGTTTTATAAGAACAGAAAAAGTCTCTTCAGAGTAAAGAATGCTTATTCGAAAAGATATAAATAATATAAACCATAAAATAAAATTTTAGAAAGCATAAAAAGAAGAAATGATTTTTTTCCACATTAAAATTAAAAACCACAATAAACAAGGTAGAAATATAGGAACAGGGGGAATGTTTTAACCAATCTGAATCAAACAACTCTTCTAAACCAAGAAGACAAACAGAAAAACAATCCACTAGAAATAGGCAAAAGATATGAAATGTAATTCACAGACAAAAATATCAAATGGCCAATAGCTCACAAAGTGTTGCTCAACTTTAGTAATGATTATAAAAATGTAAATTAAAACAAGCATTTGATATACTTACATTAATGTAACTTAAAAATTAAAGGGAGGAAAAACATGCGTGTTTCTGTTGTCTCATATTATGATAAATATAAAAAAAAGAGCATGGTCTAAAGCAAATATGGCAAATGCCTCTTTAATTTTGATGGTGAATACACACACACACACATATACACACATATTTTGATGTGTCTTTCTAACTGATAGAGCCTGAAGGACATATTAAGATCATTTTATTTTTTGCATCAGTGAGACATGATATAAAATATATATTCTTCAAGTTCCTTTTCTCAAAATTACTAGTTCTCTAATAGTCAGTTGAAAGACTTTTGAACACGACCTTTTGTGTGCTGATTCATGCTAATGATTCTTTTCTGGGCATAATACTAAAGGACATATGTATTTTCTCTGATTAATATTAAACTCCTTACATGGTTACTGCAAAGTACAGTCAGCTTTCCCTATCTGTGGGTTCTGCATCTATGGATTCAGACAACTATGGATTGAAAATATTTGGGAAAAAAAAATTTACCAAGTTCCAAAAAGTGAAACTTGAATTTGCTGCACACCAAGCACTGAGTTTATGTGAATAGAATGATGTGTAGGCATTGCATTTGGCATTATAAGTATATGGGAGAATGTGCATAGGTTATATGCAAATACTATGCCATTTTATATCAGGGACTTGAACATCACAGGATTTTGATTTCCTGAGATTCTGAAATCAATTCCCATAAATGCCAAGGGAGGACGGTATTATGAAATTCGAAGATTATGTTGTTAATTACCAGCTCATTAGCATTCATATGCTTATTAAGTCCTTGATCAGGTCAGTGCTTACTTCTTTAATTGCTTCAGAAAAGATTAGTGGTCTTTCACTATGATCTCATTTATCTATCCTGAACAAATCAGCTCATTTATAGAGAGATAAAATCTCTTTTAAAAGCAAAAATTGCTCCAGAGAAATTTAATCAGGAAACAAAACAAAACAAAAAACAACAACAAAAAAAACCTTCATTCAAGACCATTGTAGTAGGCAAGAGGCAAGAACTCAGTCTGAAATTAACTCATCTGAAACAAAGGGCTGAAGTTTTAAGAGCTGGAGTGGGAGGCGGGGGTCTTGGAGCCACCTCTGTTTGCTAATTGGCTTTACCCAAGGGAAAAGTAAACTTTCTCCTGTCTTCATGACAAGTAGTTTTACAGCTTGGAGAAAGGTGCCCACCTAAGTTAGGCTCCTATTTGCCTGCAGAAACTGGACTACCTTCCTTGATGACTACCATCTCAAAAGGATGGCTCCCGAGTCCTTGAGAAAGACAATTCTGGCTTGTAAAACTGGCCAGTAGTTTTTGAAAAGTTTTATATCTCAAAATGACAGAGAAATAATTTACACTTACAAGTATTTTAATGTAAATGATCAAAGGTCTTCTTCAGAGGCAGAGAGAAACTTTGTCTAAAGTTTACTCATGCTAAGGGAAGTGCCTCTGCAGTCTTGGTCCTTTTCCTTCCATTGCATGGGATTTGTGCAGTCCTCCTATGAAAGCTTCATGCATTTCAAACACCACTGTACACTGATGTTTTGATTTAGATGTTTCATAAGTATATCAGCCTTACAAGTCCAAAATCAAATTCCCTTCAAAGGGCCAAAAACTTTTCTCTGCACACCCTGTTCCTTGCCCCACAACACACACCTGATAGACGTATTCTTAGTGTCTGATAAAGTTTTAACACGAGGTAAGTACTCGTGATTACTTGTTAAATACAACAATTAAAGGGGTGGGGAGGGCAGATCTTTTAGGTACAACCTTAGGAGAGAAAGGAATTGTCTGCTTATGCCTGCGTTTATCCTCTATCTTCCATCCTTCAATAGACATTGGCACACGGATCATGAAGAGACATGACATCTAGATTTTAGTCTCTGTTTGGAGTTGACAATATTGGTCTTAAAATTTGAGAAAGATATAATTTGTTTAAATAAGCACTGATACTCTCTAAATGTTTCTCAAGCCTGCCTCACTAGTACTTAATTTACTTTTCATAAGTTACTTTTATAAAAAATTATCACATAGCTACAATATGGATAGGTTACTATTCTTAAACCAGACAGGCTCAACACCTCTGTCTTCAGAATTCTGCAGGCTAAGGGAAAGGAAAAAAAATTGTTAAACCTTAAGAAATGTAAAAAGATCATTTTATACCATTTCCTCAGGGCAGGAATTGCTTCTATTTCTACATTTACATAACTAAGGAATTTTTAGTCATTTAATTTTTTTCCAATAGTAAAGAGAATATTCCCAAAATGACCTGGTAACTCCATCTGTAGGCAGAAAAGAGGTTGACACAATTGCTTCTGAAGTCCAAAGCAGCAAAGACCCAATTACATTTAAAAATTCTCGGTGTCCTGTATTTCTTCCAATATCTAAAATCTTATCTTGTAAAATAAACCTTCAGTCTTTATGTTTGTCTTTTCCCTTGGCCCTTCGGGAATAAATTCTTTGTTCATCTGCAATCTGTTTATACTATGTCTGTTTCTCTCATCATCAGTGATGATCTTGACATCACACCCAGATGTGATCGTTTTGACAAGAATAATATGCAGCTGGATGTTGAAACATCCAAAGCAATTGTAGTGGACATCAGTTATTCTTACCAGTCAAGCATACCTTTCAAATATGTTTGGCAAAATAGGATCTCTTTTCCTTTGGGGAATTAATTCTCCTCACACTATGGTCCAGGTACAATTAGTAACTGTCAGGCTAATAACACCTCCACCCACCACTCTTGAAACTAGAAATGTGTGTTTCTATCTTGTTAGAATAAGACATTCACAGAAGCCAGTAGGAGGCCAGCCAGTTTGTAGGCAGCATGGTGTCTAAATGAGACTCTCTCCATGAGTTCCTGATTGAGATTCTTCCTGTTCCTCTTCTTCCTAGAGCCTAGTTTATGTTTTTCTTAGATTTTGCAAGTTTCTAACTATGATATATTGAACTGTTGACTGTAATTCTTTACCTCGTCCTTTATCTACATGCATGCCATAGATTCATCTGGGACAGAATGTACGTCCCTTTGTCTCAACCATGATCTGGGACACATGAATTGCTTTGATCAAATGAGAATTCTTCCAAGCTGTGAACTTAGGAAGCATTTTTCTAGTGATTTCCCTTGTCATTTGGCATTTTTGCTATTAGAATAATATAGTTGGTGTTTTTGTTTGTTTGTTTGTTTTTTATTTGAGCCAAGGTCTCACTCTTGCCCAGGCTGGGCTGCAGTGCTGTGATCATGGCTCACTGCAGCCTAGTGCTCCTGAGCTCAAGTGATCCGCCTCAGCCTCCCTGGTTATGTTTAATTTTTTTTTTTAATTTTACTTTTGAAATGTTCCTTCCTGCACAATGAGACAATTTTTTTTTTTTTTTTTTTTTTTAGAAACAGGGTCTCCTTATGTTGCCCAGGCTGGTCTTGAACTCCTGGACTCCTGGACTGAAGTGATACTCTCCCTTACTCTCCCTTAGCCTCCAAGGTTGCTGAGGTTACAAGCGTGGGCCACCATGTCCAGCTTAGAATAATATACTTGGGATAACCCGCTGCTCCCAAGAGGATGAAGCAAAGCCAAATGTTACCTAGATCAATCTTCTGTAACTGTCTTGTAGATAAGTGAATAATAATAAACGAATATTATTTTAAGCCATTACCTTTTGGGGTACAAGGTAATATCAAATATTTATATGTTTAGTTCCCTTTGCATAAATTATCTTTCACTGCCTCAAAATATCCAGGTATCATTTCAGACACTGACACCTATAGAACACTAATATAGATTTAATAATTGATGAAAGAATTATGTTATTTTCTATCTTAGAAAGATCCAAAATGGCTAAGAACTTCTAAGCAGGATTAAATATTTCTTGATTATGACACTGGCCTTTGAAGAACATTGTCGGACCTCAATATTTTCAATGCTTTGTTCTTGGATTTTCAATATTTTCGATAAATCTTCCTGGAGTTCACCCTGTTATTCACATTAATAGTCATCTGTCTTAACCTGAAAATTAACTGATTGTTACAGATACCAAGTCTTGGGAATAAAAATTCCACTCTTATTATAGAAAAATCTATAATCATGAAATATATGGTAAAAGACTGCTGCAGTTATTTGGTGAACCTAAACCACCAAAGTCACTGCTCAGAAAATCTCCAAGCTGTCTAGTTAATAGTACATACTGATGTGAATTGTCTAGAAATAGATTCTGAGATGGGCTCTATCTGCAGGTGTTTACCAATCCCTGCATACTTATTATTTTTTTAGCATCACTTGCTCTGTTACAATATCCTTTATTCTAAGGTTAGACAGACCCTAGAATATAGTGAGACTTCAGTGCCACTTCCTCAAACAAATGATTAGAGGCAATGAAGGAGATATTCAGTCACTACAAATTATGACTGCTAGTAGCCTGATCCACAGAGCCTTTATCTGTTAAAGAGAATATGATGACCCCAGAATTTTTCCTCAACCTACTTGTACAGCCTACAGCTAAGAGAAATTTGCCAAATAGGACAACTGACTATAAAGCCATGGTGAATGGTACTAGATTGGCAGAAGAAAAAGCATTAATTTAAGACTAGTTAGGCCATATAACAGGATGATTGAGAGCACAGACTCCAGAATCATGTTGCCTGGATGTGAATTTTAGTCAGACACATAATAGCTCTGTTATTTGTGAATATTTGCTTTCTAATTTTCTAGTCCATAAATGGGATAAAAATTATATATACCGCATAGGACTGATGTGATGTGAAAATTAAATGTTTATATCTACAGTGTCCTTAAGTTAATCATGGCTCATGATAAATGCATTGCAACTTTTAACTACTATTGCTATTGTTGTTCTTGTTAAACATTTAGGGATGACAGAGAACACAATTTTATATTGTTTAAAGTCATTTCTTAAAAAAAAAAAAAAAAGGAGAAAGAAATGGAAAGGAGAAGAAGAATAAATCCAAAACATTTGGTTTACCACATTCCAAGCAGAATGATAGGTCTTTTACATGAGCTAAACTCTCCTGGAAAAAAAAAAAACAAAAAAAAACAAGTCGATGCCACCAACTACTTAAGTCTATAATTGTGCTATCACAATAGACTCTAGTTGCAACAGGCATTTCAAATGTGTCTAGTGGAACTTACCTACTGAATTTTTAATTTTATTTAATGTTAACTAATTTAAAGTTAGAATCCAAATGATTCCTTTTTTTATGTTTAAAAAAAACCTTGAATATGTTTTTCTCTCCGTATATTTTATGAAATCTGAATACAGATTGAAATTTCTGATAAAATTTAATGTCTGATTGAAATGTGCTGTAAGGATGAAAGTACATCCTAGTATTTGAAGACAGTACAAAAATATGCAAAATATCTTATTAATAGTTTTATTATACTGATTGCATTTTGAAATGGAAATATTTTGAAAATACTGAGTTAAATTAAATTAATTTTAACCGTTTCTTTTCTTTTAATGTGGTTACTTTGAAATGTAAATTACATTGTATTTCTGTTGGCCAATAATGGCGTGTATGACCTCAGCTGGGCCCCACATACTTCTTGAGAAGCTACTGCTTTCCTAGCCTTGCTCACTCTCCAGAGCTCTATGGCAACTAATTCAAATCTGCCTCACTCTTCCAAATTTCTGACCCATCACCTTCCACAGTCTCTGCTAAGCTCCTTTTTTCCATCTCCTCACATAATGAAAGAGTTGGGTATATGCTCAGACCTGTATTGGTCTCATCTTTGTGTGCTTTTCCTTCTCTCACACTGGAGGAAAACAACAACAACAAAAACAACAGAGTTCTTCTTTTTTACATGGCCAGGCCCAAACAGTTTGCTTTTCTTAAAAAAACACAAAAAACAAACACTTATCCCATTTAATTATGGATCGAACAATCTCCTCACTTATCCCTCCTCTCTCCAATACTTTCGATGTCTCCCTAATTAGGGGTTCATTATATTTATTATTAGAATTCAACAAATACAAGCCCTCCTCAATCTTAATTTTCTCAGATTTCAATCTCACTCTCTCCACCCTTTCATGGCCAAAAAGCTTCAGACAACTTGACAAGTTCCTCCCTCAAATCCTCTCTCTTTAATTTGTGACAAGCTGAATTTGGACTTTTTACATTATAAAATGTTTAATTACCAAGGGAAGCAAAAATCCCCATGGATATTTCTCTTTTCTTATCTTTACTTTGTAGAAGAACTTGGGATCTTTGACTGCTGTGTTCCTTCTGGCTTCTGGTATACTGTGCTCTTCCTATTTGTCTCTGACGTTGAACTCCATAAATTTTCATGTGAGCATTGTAGTTCCTCAGGGGTTTGCCCTCGTTTTTATTTATTTACTTAATAGACAAGGGAAAATTGTATATATCCATGGCATGCAACATGATGTTTCAATACGTTTCTGTATTGTGAAATGACTAAATCAAACTATTTAACATATGCATTACCTTGCATATTTATCAGTTTTCTTTTAATTTTATACCCTCTTTCTTATTAATAACATTCACTCTCATTTCTAGAATTAGAATCTATATACAGTTGATTCTGGGATAAATATTTCCAGCTTGAATCATAATCCTGTACATGATTTCCATGCAAATAAATTATCTTTATTTTCTAGCAGCACATCAAAAGTGCTGTGGCAGGCAGAATAGCCCCCTAAAATTTGCAAGCCCCAATCCCCAGAACCTATAAATATGTTACCTAGCAATGTAAAAGGGATTTTGCAGATGATTAAGGTTATCACCTTGAGATAGGGATGATATCCTAGATTATCCATGGGGGCCCAATCTAATCAAATGAGTCTTTCAAAACAAAGAACATTTCCCAGCTGTGGTCAGAAACAGGATGGTGAAATTAGAATTGGGAAAGGTTACATTGCTGGCTTTGACATGCAGGAAGGTGGCTACAGGCCAAAGGATGTAGGCAGCCTCTAGCAGCTAGAAAGGAAAAGAAACAATAATTCCTCTAGCGCCTTTAGGAACGAATTCAGTCCCGCTGACACCTTGATTTTAGTCCCGTGAAACCTGTGTTGGACTTCTGACCTAGAGAAGTGTAAGATAACATATTTGTTGTTTTTATAAACCACCAAGTCTCTTATAATTTATTACAGCAGCAATAGAAAACTAATACAGATTATATATTCAAAAAGAAAATTCACCAATTTCATCCTCTATGAAATAAATAACTATTAAAAATAGAGTTACTTCATTTAGAATAATAATCTCCAATCTTATCCAGGTCACTGTGAATGCCGTTAATTCATTCCCTTTTATATGTTCTCACTGACATGTGGGAGCTAAGCTATGAGGATGCAAAGGCATAAGAATGATACAATGGACTCTGGGGACTTGGGGGGAGGGATGGGAGGGGGACAAGGGATAAAAGACTACAAATAGCATGAAGTGCAGTGTATACTGCTTGGGTGATGGCTGCACCAAAATCTCACAAATTACCACTAAAGAACTAAGGAATGTAACCAAACAACACCTGTACTCCAATAACCTATGGAAAAATAAAAAGAAAGATACCTATACTAACCACTGCCTGAAATATCGAAAATTCTGATATTGTACCTGTTGATATGTATTTGATTTAGTATTTTAAAAAAATAGAGAAGTAAACAATAAAACTACTTTTTTCCCCCTCTTGATTTACTATCTTGGTGAATGACTCATTATCTTTCTAATGTGTAAGTCAGAAACGTGGGTTTAAATTTGTGTCCTCCTTCTTCATCACCCCTCACATTCCAACATTCATCAAGCCCCCTACATATGTATATATGTACACACACACACACACACACACACACACACATATTTTTCAGATTTATACTATATCTTTCCTTCCCAATTGCCACTTCCATAGAAAGCAGCTCTTCTATCTATCGTGAATCAAGACCAGAGCCCTTTAATTGGTCTGCCTACTATCTTACTCTCTTCTATTTACCTTCTACTATCCTATATCTACAAGCAGCAGTGCCACTATTTTCCTCTCCATTATCATCTGTTGGCTACACCATCCATTGTGTACATTAAACTCCAGAAATGCTGAATTTTTCTCAGTTTCTCAATACACTGGACTCTCTATTTTGCCTTGAGGACTTGTGATAGCTATTCTCTCCTATGCAAATATTCCTCAGACCTACCCCCATTCCCCTATTTTACTTCACTTCTGCCTAGATGTCAACTTTTAGGCTAGATGTCACTTCTAGTTAGTGTTTATGGTCCCACAGGAGCCTCTCAAATGCTCACCTAGTATTTTTCCCTTCTCCAGTATGGCCAAATTGTAATTTTCTTTTGGAAGTGCCTGTTCAAGTATTTTATTCATTTTTTATTTTACATTGTCTATTTTACATGGATGTATAGGAGAGTTTAAAAATATGTTGCAGGCCGGGCGCGGTGGCTCACGCCTGTAATCCCAGCACTTTGGGAGGCCGAGGCGGGCGGATCACGAGGTCAGGAGATGGAGACCACCCTGGCTAACACAGTGAAACCCTGTCTCTACTAAAAATACAAAAAAAAAAAAAAAATTGGCCGGGTGCGGTGGCAGGCGCCTGTAGTCCCTGCTGTTCGGGAGGCTGAGGCAGGAAAATGGCGTGAACCCGGGAGGCGGAGCTTGCAGTGAGCCCACATCACGCCACTGCACTCCAGCCTGGGTGACAGAGCCAGACTCCGTCTCAAAAAATAAAAAAAAATAAAAAAAAAGGGGACTGTGTGCTTCAGAAGAATCTAGACTACCATAGTCAGCATGAAGCTTTAGTTTTAATATATAAAAATAAAGATATAAAAATTAGTAATTAGATAAATTAATTGGCATATGACACACTAGTTTATATCTTTTGGATTTTTGTGAGAGGAGAGCCTATCCTTCCTCATATCCCTGTAACACGGATGTTGTAAACTTAATTACCACCTAATGAGTCAGCTATGACACATGATTTTGAATCAGTTCTGACCCTTATTCATTGTGCTTAAGGCAGTTCTATTCTGAGAAATACCAATTTACTATCAATATTTTCTTTTTACTTTTCATCATTTTAACTTAGAAATTTATTTCTCAGATACTATATTCTGCAAGTTCCCCTGGGTGATCACACAGCTGAATCTCTGATGTTTTCCTCATGGCCTTTCCCTGATTGCTTTTCACATTTAGAAATTAGTCTATGTCCCATAGATTACTCTCTTTGGTCTTCATTTGAATTTTTACTTCATTTGAATTCTGGACAAGGGTATGTATCTACTTCCTATTTTTTCTGTTGTTGTTTTGGGTTAAAGCTCTTTTTTGAGTACATTTGTGAATATCAAATCCAAGTCCCTTCTACTTTTAGATAACTTGCCTAATTGCTTGACTCATCTTTGCCTTCAATCAAGCTGAGCACTTTCCTAGACTTCACAGAGTGACAGTATGAGAATATTTATTATGATAAAGAATCTACCTTAATTCCAGATATACATTTTTTGAGTCTTGAAGCCTATAATTAAGACTCAAAAAACTATGTTTTTTTGTTTTTAAAATTCCAAAATCTTTCTATGAAGTAATTAGTACTTAAAGAAGCTTGAGTGTCCCTGTTGTGAACATTGTTGAAAGTGTAAAATCTGTATCCTCTTAATTGGAATGGGATTTTATCAGTACTTTTCCACACAATTGCATACCCTTTTTTTTTAAATGAGAACAACAGTGCTATGACTTATGTTTATGGAGAATACTTTTAGCTTCTCATTATATTAGTTGCAAAGTGTAAAAAAACCTTAGAAAATAAACTTTATCAAATACAAATTGTTTATATACCATTGAGCAGTATTTTTCTAAATAGACTGCTTCTAAAATTAAAAAAATATATTATTAATGATGACTATATAGGATTTTTTATAGTATGGAAGTCCAGATTACTAGTCTTAGAAATGAGCAATTTATAAACTAAGACATAATCAAGCAATCAATGTAATCAAGTTCTTCGATATTAAATATTCAATGTATATCTTTTTCAATCATCTATTCTAAAAGGTAATTTTTAAGTTTCTAGTTTAGGAAGCCACTGTGCTAGGTGCTGTGGGGAATCAAAAGATGAACAGAAGCTTTCTTTTCCTTCTATAAGTTTAAAGTCTAGTAAACAAATAAGGCCACATTAAAAAAATAGTAAATTCTTATCACAGACCTAATACATATTACAATTCAAATATATATCAAAAATTCTTCTGAACCTTAAACAATGCCTTTTAAGATCAGAGGCCTTGGAAGAGATAAGACTTATAATTTTGAATTATTAAAAAAGAAGGTTGATTATTAGTGGTACAAGCCCATGTATCACTCCAATCTTCCCCATGAGAAAACCAAATAGTAGATGGTGATTTATATAGGATCTGAGTGAAATTAATAAGATAGCCATTCCTTAACATCCAGTAGTACCAAATATATGTTGTTGACTGCTATTCCAACAGAGGGTGAGTTCTTTACTGGAATAGACCTATGTATCATTCTTTACCATTCTTGTGGATACAGATAGTCAATGTATTTTCATCTTCACATGAAAAGACAGAAAATACACAGGGACACTGATGCCTCCAAGATATTCTGAGGGCCCAAATTATTTTTTACAAATATTAAAAAGCAGACCTTTTGGATGTTGATTTCCTAAGAATCCACGTTGATGCAGTATATAGATGATTTACTTCTCCAATGAGAGGATAAGCAAGCCTCCAGAGAGGATAGAATTTATTTGTTACAACAATTAGCTTCAAATGAACACAAAGCCTCAAAAGCAGAAGTTCAATTCTGTCAAAAACAAACAAGATATTTAAGTCACCTAATATCAAAGAAAGGCCTTTTAATTAATCCAGATGGATTAAAATGAATATTGGCCTTCTCCACCCCCAAAACTAAGAAACAACTGAGAATTTTTATAGTTAGCAGCATAGTACAGAAATATGATTCCAAATTTCTCCTTAAAACTTGAGACTTACTATACTCTTTTCAAACAAGATAATCCAAACCCTCTGGAATGAACAGAGGAAAATCAGTTAACACAGGAAGAAATTAAAAAGACCTATATGTGCACCAGTGTTAATACATCCAAATTACAAAATTTTACTTTTGCTCATAAAAATCAGGGAGATGCCTTTGATGTTCTGACTCAAAAACATGGAGATTAAAATAGACTTGTAGATACTATAGTCAACAACTGGGCCCTGTGGATAAAGGATTGCCACCTAGCATGAGAGCAACAACAGCTACTGCCTCTTAAGTAAGGGCAACTGAAGAAATAGTGGAGTTGATCTCCTCTCACTCTCCCTTCATTGCACATTCTGTGGAAGCCTTCTAAACTCTCACCACATTCAAAATTATTCACTTAGTATAATAGCTTATCATGACTTTTTTCTTCTGTCTGGTCCCCATGTTATAATCTCCAGATGTAGTCATCTAAATTCTGCCACTCTTCTGTCTCTGGCTTCAGATGAAACACCACATGATTGTACGATCTTAACCAACCAGCTTCTTTCTCCTAGAATGGACCTGAAAGAAATTCCTGTTACTAATGCTGATGTTATTTAGTTTACAGATGGATCTTACTTAAAGAATGAATCTGGAATTTATTGTTCAGGTTATGCTGTAACATCTTTGACTGAAGAAATAAAAACTGCCTATCTTCCAGGAGTGACCTTGCTGCCAATAAGCAGAGTTAATAGCTTGAATTAGGGCCTATCAATTGGCAAAAGGAACAGATGTTAATATTTATACAGAGACCAGATATGCTTTCACAGTAGCTTGTAACTTTGGAATGCTGTGGAAACAAAGATAATTTTTAACCTCTTCTAGTCAGTCCATAAAAATTGGACATTTTGTTTTAGAATTATTGGAAGTCATACTATGGCCACAATCATTAGCTACTATCAAGTATCCAAGCCAAAGCCAGACATTCCAGAAAGCAAGAGAAATAAATTCCAAGAGAGTATAACAAAAGGGCTGCTGTAAATATATTTGAAGAAGAAAATCAACCCATCTTAGCTTTCAAGGAAGCACTCAATTTTAATATAAAATTAGCCCAATCTACAGCCCCAGAAACAATAAGAAAACTGAGAAACAAAACTAGGTACTTAATCTTCTGAGACTGGGCTATGATATGGAGCAAATGCTCTACTTATACTTCCAACCAAATCACAGTCATCTTTCTCAGTATGTGTTTTAACTCAATGAAACCCCGATAAGATGATTGCTTGAGAAAAGTAGTGTTATTAGAAACCTTCTCCTATCCTTGCTAATAAGGTAAATGATTGCTACCACATCTACCTTAAACATAACCCCTGGAAACTTTGCATAATTCTTAAGGTTGTTTTCTTTCACCAGATACACTTTGAAGGTATGGCAATTACATTTTATGCAGCTATTGCCATCACGAGGATACCCATATGCTCTAGTGTTGGTTTGTATGTTTTGTCAGTGGACAGAAACATTTCCATGCAGAAGAGTAATAACCTTAGCAGTGCGTGGCATTCTCTTATGTAAAATTATTCCAACCTATGGTGTTTATTATTTAAGAGTGACAAAGGTACGCATTTTACTGGACAAATAATCCAGTCAGTATCCAAAATCTGGCTAATTCTCCAAAATTTTCACTGGGCTGATTCCCCCTAGACATCTACATTAGTGAAACACACGAAGTAATCAAAACTCAAAATTAACTGAGGTTTTAAAAATTATTTGGCCAATAGCTCTCCCATTGGTTTTGGTTATTTTAAGATAACCTCCTTTTGATAAATACTAACTGTACCCATTTGAAATTATAACAGACAGACCTGTGAAATTGCTCCAAGAAATTGTGAATCTATGATATTAAAAGGAAATATGTTGTATTATTGCAGTTGCCTTATAAGATAGCTAACTAAAACTATAATTTAGTAAAAGACTCTTCCACGTGGACTCCCAAGAGATGGAATACTCAAGGACCATGGACTTCAACTGGGAGATTTTGTCGATTAGAAATAGAAAAAAAAAAAAAACTCTCCAATCAAGGTGGAAGGAATCTTATCAGGTGCTTTTAGCCAGCCCTTTTGCTACTAAATGTAAAGGAATTGATTCCTGACCGGGAGCGGTGGCTTACACCTGTAATCCCAGCACTTTGGGAGGCCGAGGCAGTTGGATCAGCTGAGGTTGGGAGTTCGAGACCAGCCTGACCAACACGGAGAAACCCCATCTTTATTAAAAATACAAAATTAGCTTGGCATGGTGGCACACCCCTGTGATCTCAGCTACTCAGGAGGCTGAGGTAGCAGAATTGCTTGAACCTGGGAGACAGAGGATGCAGTGAGCCGAGATTGTGCCATTGCACTCCAGCCTGGGCAACAAGAGTGAAACTCCAGCTGAAAAAAAGAAAAAAGAAAAAGAATTGATTCCTGAATACACATCACCTATTTAAGAAAGCTGCTTTGTCAATTTGAACTTCATCTCAAACTAGTGATCTATAATTAAAATTCCTCAGAGCCAGCAAGAACAAGAACAATATGCCATCTGAAGTAGTTAGCTTTTCTAAGAAAGTGGACCAGGCCTATCTCATAAGAAATATGTAATATTAATGATCATTAATATAGGGGGAAGGTCTTTTATAAGTTTCTACAAAATCTTATTTCTTATTTCTTTTTTCTGTTAGTCCCTAGTTCTTATATTTTGTTTCTACTATCGCTAGCTGTTGCCCATAAAGCAGACCTCTTCTTACCATAGGCTCAGGACTATGCCAATGGATTACAGAAAAACAGCTGTGAGATATGCAGCTTCATGTCCCTTCCCTAAGGTTCTGGAATACCATGGTGGGTATCTCCACTCCAAGGACATGATTGGATAGAATATCAGAAATATCTCTAAGCTTCTCACAAACAGTCATTGGTGCTTGACACTAGTATGACTAAGGACAATGTGCATCTGCCAGGTCCTGGGGACTAGGTCCAGCTCATGCTGTAGTCCGAGGAGAGTGGATAGGTGAGCAGAAAGAACACTCGGGGGGCCGTAGGCAGGTGAAAGATGATTTTATTCAGCAGCAGCCCTCATCAGCAGCTTTCTCACACTGTCTACCTTTATCTTGGCTGTCTGCTCAGGCTCTGCCGCTCCTCCCACCCTCACACCTGCAGCTGCATGGCCGGCCGGCTCTCCCCTGCCTTCAGGGTCAGCAGCTTAACTCTTTCTCTCTCTGTGTACAAGCAAGCCTAGCTGTGTCCTGGACCCCTCCTGTTCGTCTGCAAGAGAGACAGCTTTCGCTCTCTCACTCTCTTTCTCTGGGCACCAGCACAATGACCATGTCAAGCCACGTTGAGCCAAGCCAAGACCCAAGAGATGCCCCCCCACCCCCAGTACAGTGTTAGCAGGGCAATTATACATTTTACAGAAAATAGTGTCTCAGAGCCAAGTATGAACTTACAAAAACAGGTTATATAACAACTGTAAGTGTGCACCTGCACACCAAACTCCCTGAGTCACACAGGCCTGGATATCCGCCTCAGCCTATTCCTTGACCAAAGCACATCCAGGTATGTTACAGCATCACTTTTCTATTAATAAGACTTTACGAAGTCAAAGGGCATGGGAAGAGTTTTTTGGTGAAAGAAACTGGTTTATTAGCTTTCACACAGATTTTACCCCAATTGAGATGACAACTCAATTTTGGGATAGTATTAACACAAATCTGGCATGATTTTATCTGGCATACCCCATCTTTTGGTCAGTTTTGTCATCTTTCCCCTTTATGTTGGGAACAAAACTATTGCACCAAAGATACATAGCCCAATAGCACCAATGAGATAGATATTCAGAGAACGGTGTATCCACACCATTATAGTACAAAGTGCTGATTGACAGGCCACTGAATGGGCACAGCAAACTAGTATTAAATGGCCAGCTCCAAATGAAATCTCTTGGTTGTGTGGCATCAATCTATGAGCACAATTACACCCAACATGGTTAAGATGGTGGTTTTTAGGTTATGCCTGGGTACAAGGATGAATAGTTCACATCCTTTCAAAGCCCACACAACTTCCTCATTTACAATCTTACTGGGTTCGTTTGTATATCACTGGTAGGATCATTTACTTTCCATCTTTTTGCTACAATAGGGTATTGAGGATGTCATTTGGCATGTAGAGGCCCTTATACACAAAAGAACATAAATGATAGTGCATGAATATCTTTTTATAAAAGAATGAAGTTACTTTTATGAGAAAGGCTATATTACAAAACTGTGGGGCTTTAGACATACTCGCTGCAGCCCAAGGAGGAACCTGCATTATTACAAACACTGTGTTGTGTCTATGTCCCAAATGAATCGGATAGCATTATAAATTAATGACTAATATGAAACCGAAAAAACTGTCCTTTCAGATCCAACACCCTCTCTAAATGCTTGGCTAAGCAACTGTTTTGAATATTGGGGAGCTTGGTGGCAAAAGCTGTTACTTATTCTAGAAATTATAATCATTTATGTTTTGTTCTGTTTTTGTTTTCACTGGTGTTACAGCACTTGTTTGCAATTGAGCCAACATAGAACTGAAAAAAATTAAAATAATGATCACTTTAAATATTGCATTAACTGAAATCCAGTTATGTATCTTAACTCAGATCACAAAGTCACTCCCCTCATGTTGCTTTAAATTTGGTCTATACCTCATCAGCTTTGTAGCCTGACAAATTCTTCCTGTTGTGGGATATGACATTTTAGAAATGAGGCTTCCTAGTGTCCTGTGGATATGAGACTCTGAGTGGATATGAGACTATGCTTCTATATATTAAAGGAGCCAAACCATTTGAATTGATCTACAATGCTTTCTTTGAAAGATCTTGATGAAATGTAGAAAATGTAAAATTAAATAATTCAAACTTAAAATAATTTAAACTTAATGCTCTTGAAACTTTAAATTATCCTGAGCCTTGAAGGAATGTGACTATACAACCCATGTCATGTGGCATGCGACTGAAACTTCATTTTTTGTTTCCTGCAAATAATTAAAACCAAAGGGCATCAGAGGTAAGACTTTTTCGAATTACTGCTCTCCTCCCAGAGTAATAAAGTAATCTTTGAAATGCAGCAATCTGAAACCAGCCAAATTGCTATAGCATATGACCTGTCCAGTGTAAAAACATAACCCTGCTGGAACTTTTCATCTTTGTCTACATAAGTAAAACCTTAATTTCTCCACTTTGCAAATGCTGACCTCATTTGATTGGAGACAGTACTTTCCCAGGTGGCCATCTTCACAATTTCTGCTTGAGTAAACTCTATACTTAATCATATTGTTGAAATATCATTATTTAAGGTTGATAGGCTTTTCCACTTGCTCTGGTTTTAGCATTTAAAACATACTTGCAGAATAATGTGAGTCTTCTACACTATCTACCGAGCTATGGAGTTCCATATTGAGATTTGAGTCCAGGGCCTCAGATAAAAATATAATTTTATCCCTTGCTTTTCTCACCTATAATCCTACATCAAGAATTTCATAAAGTTTGATGACATGGGAGGCATTATTCTAGTATGTTAGTCTTAATATAAAATACAACCAGGCAAGATCATCCTCATATAACTTTTTTAACACTACTTTTATTTTTTATTGAGGTAAAATTTGCATAACATAAAATTAGTTATTTTAAAGTGAACATTGAAGAGGCCTTTAGTACATTCACAATGTTGTACCACTGTTAGCAGCAGTGAATGTGTACATGTCTGTGGCAACTCAGTTCTTGTCTCCTCAGAGGAAAGAATTTGACTAAGGGGCATAAGGCAAGGGTAGAGACTGAGGCAAGTTTTAGAGCAGGATTGAAAGTTAATTAAAAAGTTTTAGAGCAGGAATAAAAGGAAATAAAGTACACTTGAAGAGGGCCAAGCGGGCAACTTGAGAAATCCAAGTGTGCCGTTCAGCCTTGATTTGGAGTTTTAGACGTTGGCATGGTTCCATTGTTTGTGTCTCCTTTCCTCTGATTCTTCCCCTGAAGTGGGCTCTCCACATGCACAGTGGCCTGCCAGCACTTGGGAAGGGCCGCATGCGCCATGTGTATACTGAAGTTGTGCACGTGCTCATTTGAGGCATTTTTTTTCCTTACCAGTCGAATGTTCCTAGAAGATCATATACCAGTTAAACTCTGCCTGTTCTGTCTCTTAGTGAGCATGTGTGGGCCCGCTTGCCCAACCCATGAGATCTTATTGGGAAGCTGCTGCTCACCTGCTTCAGGTGTTTTCTATCTATTGGGAGACTGCCTGTTCCTGGTGCTGGCTGCAACCAATTATTATTTTATTAGAGAGACAATTTAACAACTGCCTGACCATCACCTGATGGTCGTCTGACATCCCTGTCCTGCCCTGCTCCTGACTTCCTAACTACCTACTCTACCACCACCACCACCACATCTGTCTGGTTCCAAAACATTCACATCACTTGAAAACTAAATCCTGGACCCAGTAAGTAGTTACTCCTTAACGCTCACTCTCCCCATATTGACACCAGCACTTGTGTTTCATTTGTTTTTTTATAAATTTACAAAATTAGTAAAAAAAATAAAATTTCCAGGCCTATTTTTTATTTATATAATTGAGATTATATACACATGTCATAGTACAGTAGCGAAGAATAAATAAAATAGTGTTTATAGGGCACCTACCACAACAACTAGTGCATAGTAGACCCTGAGTAAAAGGCATTATTCTCTCATCACAGCCCTTCACATATATGTATTATTGTACATTGAACAGAAGAAGCAATTCCCTGCAGTACACTGATTTGTAACTCTTTTGCTTAAAAACATCTCACTGTTATATGTTACCAGAATTGTGTCTGGATCCAGACCCCAAGAAAGGGTTCTTGAATCCTATACAAGAATGAATTCAGGGCGAGCCCATAGAGTAAAGTGAAAGCAGGTTTATTAAGAAAATAAAGGAATAAAAGAACGGCCACTCCATAGGCAGAGCAGCCCCGATGGCTGCTGGTTGCCTACTTTTGTGGTTATTTCTTGATATGCTAAACAAAAAGTGGATTATTTATGCCTCTCCTTTTTAGACCATTAGAGTAACTTCTTGACATTGCTGTGGCGTTTGTAAACTGTCCTGGTGATGGTGGGAGTGTAGTAGTGAGGACAACCAGAGGTCACTGTCATTACCATCTTGGTTTTGGTGGGTTTCGGCCAGCTTCTTTACTGAGACCTGTTTTATCAGCAAGGTCTTTATGATCTGTGTCTTGTGCCAACCTCCTCTCTCATCCTGTGACTAAGAATGCCTTAACCTTGGAATGCAGCCCATTACCAAGTCCCTGTTTAAGATGGAGTTGCTCTGGTTCAAACGTCTGTGACATTTATGTAAAGTTTTTGGTTTAGTATGTAATTTATCCTTCAAACCTCCTTGAAGTATGAAAAGGAGGAAGAAGGACAAAGAGGAAGGGAATGGGAAAGAGGGAGAGGGTGGAAAGCAGAGAAGATAATTTAATTTTTCTAACATTCACAGAAAAGTTCAGAACGCAGAGTAAGTGAATATGCGGCACAAGAGCCAGGTGGCAACCTGATTTCCCTGACTTTCAGTTCATCCTTCTTTCCACTTGGCTACACTGCTTTAAATGAGTTCTAGACAAAGAGATCTCTAAAATATGAAAGAATGCTAAAAAGGTGATCCATTGTTGGGGGGCGGTAGTGACAGGAGTAAAATTTCCTAAAGGACAGCCTCTCAGTCATTAGAAAGTCACATTCTAAAGTCATTCCTGCACAGCAGGGAGGTTCTTCAGGCCTTCCATTTACTTACAAATGAAAGCTTGAAAATCAGAATGAGTAGAGAAAAGCTGAAAAGTTTGAATGCATTGTGAACACTAAGGCCATGAAAACCAAGCTTCTAAGAAGGGAGATTATTGAAAAAATGCCAGGGAACCAAATCATACTAAAGTAAAAACTAAAAATAAATAAATAAATAAAACCCTGTAACTGCGACTAAAAATCAATTTGAAATATAAAAATTGTATGTGTTTGTGTGCATGTGAGAGCTGTCATGAGGGAGAGCACTGTATTTACATCCTCATGGAAAGAACAAACCAAGAAAAAGCTACTTTTATCTCCTCTCTGTCTCTCTGTCTCTGTCTCTCTCTCTCTCTCTCTGTCTCTCTCTCTCTCTCTGTCTCTCTCTCTCTCTCTAACTTTGACAATTTTAGCTAGTCAATAATACATATTAGTAATGTCCACCTGAAAGAAAGAACTAAGGCAAATGCCTTCAGGTAAAGAGTACACTTGGGCCAAATCTATGCATTGTAACCCTGAAAACACACTTCCAAACCAAGTACGGCAGGTGCTCCTAGTTGGGGTGGTTACAGAAGATTTTTAAGGACAAAATGAAGAGACATAAAAAGACAGTCTCAGCCTCTTCAAATAGAAATACCATTGGTTAACAGAAACTAGCTAAGGGATGGTTGGCTAAAGGCTACAGTGCTTCTTGAAATAGTCATTATCAGTTTGTGGTTAACTTAGTTCCTGTAACTCTTTACTTAAGCAGGAGGGGTCCAGGAATTTCAAAGGAGTAACTGTGGCCTCATGTCCACTGCCTTTTGGCCCCTGTAATTTAGTTAGTCTCTGATTTTATCCTAAGAGTAAAGGAAAGCACAGATATACTTCTCTAAAGTGATTTATATATCTTCTTGAAAAGACAAAAGTAAGTATAAACTGCAAACTAAATTATGAATATGAATGTTTAAAAATAACTAGTATGGTAATGATATTTCAATCAATCAAAATTAATGTACATGTATTTACTACCTTGAATCCTTTTGATAATGAGATGGTGATATATATAAATGTATTTTTAAAGAGTTATTCTACTACTTTATGAGTTGTATTAATCCCAGATATCATCTAAAATGTGATTTTTTTTCAAAAATAATGATTTTTGATATATAAATAATACCATATCAGGGCAATAAATGCATCAGTATATATTTGCCAAATAAGACTTAAGTTTTGAAGTTTAAAGCAAAACTCTCTGGAAACTTTATTATACCAACTTACTATTCTTTCATTTTTATTCAGGAAAATAATTTTTCATTACTCATGGTCACCCAAATGTATCAACTTTCCTTCCAAAGCTTTATTACACTACTGAAATACCCAAACTCTATTTAATATGTCAAAAAAATAATTAAGCCTTCATTAGCAAGAGAAAGGTGGTGATTTTCTTTATTGTGTCAATTTTATTGTGAAATAAGACTAGAAAAATTAATGTCATATTATCAATGGTTACATAAAAAAAGATCCTGTTTCTGACAGTCAGGCTAGACTCCCCAACTGTCTCATTTTATACTTATCTCAGTATGAATTAGTGCCCTGGACATAAAGGAAGGGCACTGGTTCAGCTATTAAGAGATGATCACATTGTCACACTGAATAATAACATGAACAGTAAGTACTTAGAGTCTTCAGGATGAAAGTGAGGACTAAGCTCTGATTTTTCCTGATGTTGCCCAGATTCCTATGTAAGGGTCGGGGAGTCAGGCCCTAGGAACCATAAATTCTCCTCAGATGGGATTTATTTAACCCTTTTTATCATGACTTTCTTTTCGATCTGACTCTGGCATAACATTACGTAACAAAGGAAAAAATCAAAATATTTTACCCCAAAACATGTTTCTTTGCCATATTTTGAAATGGCCCTGTAATGCCATCCTTTGTGAGGTGGTAAGGGGAGGATGGGAATTTATATCTGTAATGAATTTATACCAACATAGCTAGATCTTTTTCTTCCAGGCCTCTCCTAATCCTGAAGAGATTAACTGAGAGTCCAGCACCTTTTAAAGGTCTGAATAGGAAACATTTGTCATCTATTGTCCCTAAGGGCAGTCACTATAAGAATTCAAAAGAACCTTGAACTCCACAACCTTTTATTTTAACCTGAACATTTCCTTTCTGTTCATCCCAGGTCTTTTAGATAAGCCAACCAATTGTCAACCAGAAAATTTTTAAATTTACCTATAGCATGGAAGCCCCTCTCAACAGTTCAAGTTGTCCCACCTTTCTGAACCAAGCCAATATACATCTTAAATGTATTTGATTGATTGATTGATGTCTCATATCTCCCAAAAATGTGTAAAATCAGGCTGTGCCCTAAACATCTTGGGCTCATATTCTCAGGATCTCCCGAGGGCTGTGTCATGGGTCATGGTCACTAATATTTGGCTCAGAATAAATCTCTTCAAATATTGCACAGTGTTTTACTCTTTTTGTCAGTAGAAGTCTTATTTATCATCTTCTTTGTCTGAATGTATAGCATATGCAGTCAAGTATATCTTCCATGCAATATACTAGGTGTGCGATATTGGCTAACTTAGAAATCTTGCCCTGTCACACCAACTGGAGTTGCAGTCACTGCAGCCTAGAACTTCTGGGCTCAATGGGTTCTCCTGTCTCAGCCTCCTGAGTAGCTGGGAGTACAGGCCCATGCCACCATGCCCATCTATTTTTTTTTTTTTTTTAATTTTTTGTAGAGATGGAGGCATCTTGCTTGCTTGCCCAGGCTGGTCTCAAATTCCTGGCTTTAAGCAGTCCTACTGCCTCAGCTCCCCTAAGCACTGGGGTTACAGGCATGAGTCACTGTGCCTGACTAGTATCTTGAAAATGTAATCACTTCCCTTTTACTCTAAAATCATGTGATTCTTCATTAACTAAAGATTGATGTCTATTCACTAAGAAAATGATTTTGTTTTATTTTTCCTCAAACTTTAAGATTATTTGAAATATTTGTGCCATGTAATAGTAGGAGCTCCGAGAAGAGAGGGGGCAAGTGATATCACTGGCTGTGTAGCAAGATCCAGGGGAATCCTTTAAACAACAAGGGATGTGAAGAATGTGTTGCCATGAGAGGGACAACTTAGAAAGATCTGCACATCGAAGCTCCTAATTATAACCTAACCTAATTATGCAGTGCTCTTCATCAATATATTTACATTTTTATATTTTCATATTATTTTCAGTCAAGAGCATTTCTTCAATTTTGTCTATAGAAACAGGAAAAAAAATTTTCAATACTGCATCCTTTTTAAAATAATATGCTCATGGCTGGGCGCAGTGGCTCACGCCTGTAGTCCCACCACTTTGGGAGACTGAGGAGGGGGGATCACGAGGTCAGGAGTTCGAGACCAGCCTGACCAACATGGTGAAACCCCATCTCTATTAAAAATACAAAAATTAGCTAGACTTGTGGTGGTGCATGCCCGTAATCCCAGCTACTCAGGAGGCTGAGGCAGGAGAATTGCTTGAACCCAGGAGGTGGAGGTTGCAGTGAGCCAAGATTGTGTCATTGCACTCCAACCTTGGCAACAGAGTGAGACTCTATCTCAAATAAATAAATAAATAAAATAATGTACTCAATTAATACTTGTTTGCTGTTAAAAGCATTTGTTGAAAGAAGTTCCTTTAGAGAGGTGTAAGGATTTTCTTCAAGGTCAATGACACCAACCTAAAATAATCAAAAGGGTCAGAATCTAGTTTAAAGATAACTTATTCAACACAAAGTTTGAGGAAAACTGCCTGGAAAATACATATTCCAAAGAATGGAGGTTAGTGTTCCAAAGTATAGAAGTTTGGGAAAGTTTGTATAGACAAATTTTAGGGAAGCTTAACAGAATTTCAACATCTATCCACATAAAGTTTAATGAATAGTTACAACAATCTGATTAACTCAGATGGTATTTTTCTTTTGGGAAAGGTGTATTTAATATTCCCCACTGAAGATATAACAGTCATGAGATCTTTTGTGCCATCTGGTTTGAGCTAGGTGCAGAACAACAAAGGAGACAGTGAATCTGTAACAAAGATCAGAGATTGGCAGGGAAGGAGACCTGGTGTCTGGTCTCTCCTAGTCACTTACAGAACAGGAACAATAAAGAAGAGACTTACTCCATAGTCTAAGAAGCAGAAGATATATGCTACATAATGCTACATAACTCAATCTCTAGGGCTTAACTTTTCCATTAGCATAATAAATTTAGAGGGTCATAAAATTTTATTTGCTTTTAAATGGATTTCCTTCCTTTATATAACCCTTTAAGAATTGTCAGTTTTAAAGAATAGTATTTGAAAAATATGATTAAGTATAAAGTTCATCTGAGTGAAAAATTTGAAGATGAGGAGAGTCACCTGGGAAACACAGACTCCAAAAACATGGGGTCAGAGTTTTAAAGTGAAGAAGTTAAGGTTTCACTTACATAGGCAGGCACAGAAAAATTTTAGCAAGATCACATTTTCCATATGAACCAATGCATATATTACAGCAAATTTGATTGGTTACAGATTTCTACATTCCAAGGAAGATTATTTTATTCTTCCATGAGGAGGGGTAGTAATCTGAGGGCAGTTATCCTTGGTGCTATTTGATCTCCCTAGTTATTTAGGGGAAAAAAAGGCAGAAGTTGAAACTCTATGCCACATTTATAGTCAGGCTGAATAGCCACATTGCTCTCAAGGATCAGGATAATTTAAAGTTCCAGCAACTTTAAGTTTGAATTATTTAATTTCACTGGATAAAATGGAGGTTTTAAATTTTTAAAAAGTTCCTCAGCTTAATTATAGCCTATTTAAAGCTAAATGAAAGTTCACTCTCTGTCCTTTTTTTAAGCATTTATTTCTCAAATAAGTCTCTATTTTTAGTATTTTTTTGCTTTTTTCATTTTTGTTTTTGTTTTGCTTGGTAGAATAACAGACTATTATGTAAATTTGAAAAATATTACAAAATGAAACAATATACTAACAAACCAGTCAACCAATGGAACAAAAATATTTCTGCTTCTCCCTTTCTGAAACAGATTACATTACAGACAAAGTTGCTGATATAGTTTTTGCACATGAGATTTGCACATATTCCATGCATGGATTCTTCTGATGCTTGTATATGCGTTGTAACATGGTCATCAAGATCATGAGATCATTTATAAAACAGAAATCATGCTAGCACCTAACTTGTAAAAGTTATTATATGAGCTAAATGAGACAATCAACATACAGGACTTACAACAAAGGCTAGCATATAGTAAGTGTTTAACCGATAGTTACTCATATGATCATCATCATCATCATCAATCATCATCATCATCATCGATAATCAAATAAGTCCAGAAATTCTCTGTTGCCCATTAACTGAAAACTGAGTTGTCTACTAATCACCTGCAGATCTTGTAGATTTTGATTCAATGGATCCTAGGTGGGTCCTGAAAGTCTGCAATTCTATCAAGATCTAGGTGATGCAGAGCCTTTAGCCATAGAAGAGCCATTAACTATGGTAGCTTTTCAGTAAGCCAGGAGCATGCTTCAACTGTGCGCAATATTTCCTGAGAGTAATGGTCCACTATTTTATTCCCTGTCCACATATAATTTTTTTTGCTTTCTTTTCTCTTTTTCTATTCAGTCATTGATTTGTTATTTCCTTGAAAGAATCTTGTTTCAAATCTATCAAACTCAAGTATCTTCTCTATTACAGATTATCAAATAATCTGAGAAAGTAAAAACTCACATTAATCAGCTGAAATAAAAGTATGAGTTCAATTCAGTATGTAGAGTTAATATAACTACAAAAGAGTTTTAAATTAGAATTCTTGGAAGGACAGAGGTTTCGGATGCATGTAAACTTTTCAAAGGGCATTTTTAAGCTACTACAAGAAAGCTATGTTCTTTAAAAATATAAGAAGCTAGGGATATCATTCTGTGTTATATACGCTGATAATTTTGACTGTATAGTCTTCAAAAGCATGGGCCTCCTAAAATAGCAAACTATATTTCTTGGTGGGGAGAAAGTTTAGAGGAACACATTTAGTTTATCATCACCTGTTCCTGACTTTTGTGGTCTCTAAAAATCCATTTTCTTGCTGAAAAATATGTAGGAATTATCCCATTTTTCTCAATTAGACTATTACAGATAGTTACAAAGCAAGATAACATTTGATGTTGTGTGTAAAAAACATAATCAAGGAAGAAGAAAACATTCACATTATAAAATATATGTGAACAATATACAGATCTATTCTCCTTAAAATAATTTTGCTTTGCTTTGAAAGATAAGATTCAACCATATAATTTAAAGGGAAAGTTATGTAGCTATCATAAAATACAGTATAGATTTTGCTTTCTCTTCATTGTATATATTTTTATTTTAGCAAAAAAAGAAATATAGGATTTTCCTGGCTTTATGCAGAATACCATAAAAAATTAAGGTCACTTTTTATAAATTGAGATAAAAGGCTCATTTGCTTAAGATAGACATATAATTCCACAAATTTCCTTAAAAACTTAAATTATCCTAATAACTAACTCAATCTTTCAATTTTTTGTTAGATATTACATATATTAAAATAAATTATTTCGTATTATATTGTTTCTTAACTTATTCTTACATTTTATAAATGATAATAGAATGAGTGAATATTCACTTTTTGGGGACTGCTATTCAGTGACATTTTTAGTGGGAATAAAAAATGCTATGAGTTTCTCATTTAGATTAATGATAAGTAGGCTATTGTGGTAATTTTTATATTATACCTAAGTATTTCTGTAACTAGTATATTTATAACTATTGCATTAGTGAAAGAGAATTATGAAGCCATGGAAAAATTCTCTAAGTCTTTGTTAAGTAATACTTTGTTCCCCATAAATGATGCAAAGACAAGTATGTATTATGTAGGAAAGAAAATTCCTTCCTAAGTAGAAAAGCTGTAAATAGTGAAACAATTGATTTAGTATTTACTTAGGAACTTATAAAAGGGACAGGAGTAAACATATCAATGACATCTGGATGGACCACAGTGCTACTTTGTCACAAGTTACAGTCAGATTTTGCTGGAAAGGTAATTGTTGCAATATATCACAAAGATCCCCCAAATACAGGATGGCATATATTATGAAGAATCATGTTGCCACTTTAGAAAACATGCATAATGATATTTGAAGACTACTAATTGGGTACATAAGTGGCATTAAAATTTTGAATTATCTAACTTCAGCTAAGTTACCAATTCTATATCCGATTACTTTATTAATATTTTTTCTCCTATTATATCAAACAAAATGCTTTTGTTTCCATATGCCTTCTGTTCTCTCACATTCAGGTTTTTGTCACCTTTCCATCGACTGAAGACCTTAATAATCACCCAGCTTTCACTAATTTTTCCATTTCTATGAATTCCATGAGAAACAGCATTATATTTAAATTGTCACTGAGTTTGGGGCCATAATAGTACCAGACACACAGTAGATGCCTAGAAGATGCTTATTGAATTACTATACAGAGACTCTGCTATTCTAGCTATTACACATTATGCAAGTTGACTAGGCCAAGTGTGGTGGCTCACTCCTATAATAGTGGCTGGGAGGCCAAGGAAGAAGAATTGCTTGAGCCCAAGATTTCATGACCAGCCTGGGCATCATAGGGAGACCGCTCTCTACAAAATACTTGGAAAAAAAAAAAAAAACTGAGCAAGGTAACACATGTCTGTAGTCCCAGCTACTCAGGGGGCTGAGATAGGAGGATAACTTGAGCCCAGGAGGTCAAAGCTGCAATGAGCTGTGATGGCACCACTGCACTCCAACTTGGGTGACAACACAAGACCCTGTCTCTAAATAAACAATAAATAAATAAGTGAACAAATAAAAATAAGTTTACTATGCCCAAGCTATGGTTATAAGTACCTATATTCTTTATATTGTTAATATCTACAGGTGAGCTGTGAGGAAGGTACAATTATTTCCACTTTATAAATGAGGTAAATACATCTCTGAAAGTTTTACCTAGCCAGGATATAAGCGAAGTTATTCAAAGATCAACTTGTGTGCATTCTAAATGACTGCCTCTACTGCTAATTTTCACTGTTTCATAAGAGAATTAACAAGTGGCTAGAGTAAGTGTTAGATTTTTAGTGACTTGAGTCTCCTTCATCACATTGAAGCTAACAGAGACTGAGATGGTCTTCTCATCTCTACTTTTAGTTAAAAGTCATGAATTGGGTAGACTTTTATTATAAAGAAGAAAACGTTTAACCCCGACACCTGACAGGCATTTGCTTAGGTTTTCAGATAATGAATCCTCACAGTTTTGCAATGTAGTAGTATTTTTGGTGGCATTATAGTCCAGGTGAAATAAACCTGAGTTGTACATACATATACAGCAAATACATTAAGGATAAGTATTTCCAGCGATACCTGTTCCACTTGCTTAAATTGCATAAGGCTAGGTTTTATGGGTCAATTATTTTGATAAGAAAATCATGACTTCATGGAAATGGAGACAGTACAACTCACGACAAGGAGAATAAAAGGGTAGTGCAGAAAATTTTATAAAACACTCCAAGAGTTTTAATGTGACAAGCATATTAAAGTGAGAATAAGTTACCATCATTCAGCCAAAGACTGACAAAATATTAAAAAAACACATCTAGAGCAATATTTATGTAAAACAGTGGGTCACAAATACCATAGAACATTATACAGCTATAAAAATGAGCATTCTTGATGTTATTTATTGACCTAGAGGAAAGAATATAATATATTATTAAATGAGAAAAAATGTGGGTTAATACATATGGTATGGTAAATTGACTACAACAATAAAAACAATAAAATATTTCTGTTTTACACACACACACACACACACACACACACATTTCTATCCACATGGGGGAAATTGTGGAAGATGTTTACAATCTTCTCAACATTGCTTCTCTTAGGCAAATGCGGTCGCAAGGGGGAGGAGTAGGTAATGATGATTATTTTTTCTTTAGATATTTTACATTGTGTTACTTGTTATGGTGATTGTGTTAGTTTTGTAATTTTATAGCAGAATTTAATAAAATAAAACAAAATAAATAACCAGAAGAAGAAATAATGTTCAGAAAAAATAGTTTTAATCAGGCAAACTTAAGAACACCAGGTATGACAGATACATAAATTTTAAAAATCACAAATGATGCACAAACATGAAAAAATAAGCAAAACTTGCATTTCAAAAGAAGTCTAATAGGGTAATAGAGTAGGTATGTTGTCAAGAAAGTATTTGCCTGTATAAAATGCAAGCATTTGTACATAATTGAAAGTATTAAAAGGTTAAAAGTAGTCTGGCAGATACAAAAGCACGAGGTTGAAAATGCAGTTGGCCCTAGCCTCTGAACCGTTGGAAGTGAAGCCTATTGACAGCAACCTGAGGATGCTTTTGTCAGTCTTAAAGCACCTCATAACCTTCAAACTCAAAGATTTTTATTGGTCTTAAGATATCTGAAACTGTATGCTAACTTTTACTTGCTCCCTTTGTTAAACGTTGAAAATATCTTAACAGTAAAAATAACTAACAAATAAAAAGTTTAGTAAATCATTACAGCACTCTTCAAATATTTGAAGGACTTTTCTTCTGGAAGTTCAAGTACCTGTTCTGTATTATACCAAAGAGTATAATTCCAGCCAATCGGTAGAAGCAACAAAAACTCCATTTTGTCTTTGGGCCATTCTAACATTTGAGGTTTTTTGTTTCTGTTTTTGTTTTTGTTTTTTCCAACTTCAGGGAGAACTCTCACATTGGAAATGTGAGATTTTCAAGCTGAGGTTTGGTGAACATTTATTGAAAATGTTTGTAGAAATTTAAGTGCCTGAGAAGTATTGGAAGAAAATGCACTTTCATATTCCTTTCAAATGTAAGGTGATGTCTTTCCTTGGTTTTAAGGATTAAGTGGGGATTAGAGAACTGTTTTCAGAAGGCCCAACAAACCAAAAATTTAGAGTGAAAATAATATTCTAGGAAGTTAATTTGAAGGAAAATGAAAGGAAAAGACAGCAAAGTGTAGTGTATGTGTGTGTGTGTGTGTGTGTGTGTATGGGTGGGTGTGTTGGGTGTGTGTGTCTGTGTGTGGATGTGTTTATGTTTCACTCTGCAGGGAAAAGCTTTGACTTTTTTTAATGTAGATGATCACGTTTAAATAGAGCAAAAAATGGAAGAAAATGAGACAAATTTCCTTTGGAGCTTATATTCTGCTAAAAACTGAGCATCTAAAAAATTTTGACTCAACTGACAGTTTCAGCTCTCACTCAGATAAAAGGTTGGGGAGGGAAACTTACACTGGACTTCCTATCAATAAGAAAGAGCTGGCGGAAGAGTTGGAAGTAAAGAGAAAGTTGCATAGCAAGTTATATGAAACTCTCTGGTTCGTTTTAACTCCACAGTAGGCAACTTAAACCACTTTTCTTGTCTAAAAATAAGAAAATTTCAAAAAATAATTTTGAGATAATCTCGCTATGATGACATATCCAGAAATTTTAAAAGATGAGTCAGCTCTAAAAGTCAGGAATGTAGTAATTCTAAAAGAAAGAAAATTGACAGCATTTCAAAACCCATGAACAAATTAGAAGTATAGTAAAATTTTTGATTTCATGCTCAGAATTATATTACGTATCTTGAGTAAATCTACAAAATGTTATGAAATTCTTTTGTGTATTGAGTTAGGCTTTTGAGAAAATAGGCTCTGTTAAAAACTAGAGTTCTAAAGGTGGTGTAACAGTTCCTGAAAACAAAGATAACAGCATTATAAATGTGTCCAGAATTAAAATAAGTGTAAAAAATAGGACATAATACATAAATTGCAAAAAAAGCCAGTAGTTTAGATTCGCTTTGAAGGAAGAGCAGAAATTCATGAAAGGGATTTTAATCAGAAAGAAAAATATGGATAATATGATAATTCAGAAAACTATCAATAGTTTGATCAGACAAAAACAAATCTGTGATCTAGCAGTAGGTCAGAAAATATAGATAGTTGTAGAGAATAATCGTGGAGATCCCTAGATACCATGCTGTGGAATCAACACATTTTGTCTTAAAAGATTTGGAAATGTTACTCTCAGCCTCTGTAAGTAATGTAGATGTGAGGACAATAAATCCTGAAGGGAGAAACAGTAATTAACAGTAGTCAGGCTTGAAGTAAGTTCAAGAAAGTGGCTTTGGAGAAGAGAGATGGAACTACTTTGGAGTAGATGTGTATTACAGGCTTTCATTAGTTACTTCCAGAATCAGTAGCTTATTCAAGGGCATAAACTCCTAGAGGTTTTTCGCTTTGTTTTGTTTTTTGTTTGTCTTCCCCAAATGAAAGATAGAAGCATTTATTTATAAATATAGGTTAATAAATGTCTTTTTAGTTCATCAAAGGAACAAAGACAACCCCTGCCTTAATAAGATGATACAAAGGGTTATAATACGTATTTTTCCTTTGTAGATAGAAAACAAGACAATTCTTGACAAAAGTAATGTCAATGATCATCTGAAATAAAACCTTTTGTATCTAGGTTTTATATATAACTCATTTTCCTTTGAAATGAGTAAAATTGCATAATGATAAACATTTAACTCTATATATCTCATTAAGATATTCTAGTATTTAGAGGAACATACAAAAGTCCAATTTCAGATATGTGCAGCTATTTTTCTTCTTCAACTGATATCCTTTTAAATTTACCTATTATCTAAATGGTAATGTCCTAGATGATAGAAACACAGAGGCAAACAAAACTGACCCCAACTCTATCCCTCATGGAGTCTTTTTTTTCTTTCTATTGAGAGGAGTCAGAAAAAAAATACATTGTTAAAAAATAGACTGTGTTGGATGGCTATGAAAATAAATTATGGAAAACTGGTGGGATGTGCTAGATTAGGTTGGAGTTTATAAAGATAATTACATGGAAGTTATTGCTGAGTAGGTGGCATCTGAGTACACTTCTGATAGAGGTAAAGAAGTGAGTCAGCCTAATATCTTGTGATGGAGAGGTCTGGTTAAAAGAATCAACAAGTGCAACATCACACCTGGTGAGTTTGAGGATCAAGGACATTGTCTTTATTTGTCTGAAGCAAAGTAGCAAAGTAAGCAAGAGAGAAGTAGGCAAGAGAGGAAACAAAACATGAAAGGTGTGGATTACATAAAATCTGCAGGCAATGTAAGAGAGAGAGGCGCCTTTTATTCTGAGTAAAACTTAAAGACTTACAGAGTATTGATTATACAGATGACAGATAATGTATTGTACTCAGAACCCGTGAAGCTAGGAAAATCATATTTTCTGTGTCAATTTATTTAAAAAGTAGATCTATTATTTGGGTGATAACAAATATAAACTTATTTGAACACTGCCCTCCAAGCACCAAGACAGGTTTCCTTTATGATTCTGCTACTCAAATATGGAGTGAATATATGCTTTGGAGATAGCCATTGCTTCACTGAAAATGATGTAGTTGCACTGGGTAACTCATAAACATCATGGGCTTAACCACATCTCAGAAAATAACTTCATTAGAAGGATGTGCACTCTCACAATTCTATATGATGTGCATAGCCAAGGTTATTAATCAGAATTTGGATGTTATTTTTCATAGGTCTATTTTCTCCCAAGCTTCTACCCATTAGATAAGGCTGACCTAATTATTATTAGCTGACTCATCTTATCTTGGGGATAACTTAGTTTACTCAGAAATGAAACATTCATGTCTCCAAGGTGAGCAATAATGATGATACTTGAAGTTCGTAAACAAGTTGGAAATTTCCTCTGTTCTTAATCTCACAAATTGTGATAACCAGCCTGAGAGCTTTTAGAAAATTCCAATAAACTTAATTTAACTGTACTTAATTGAATAAAATAAAATAATCAATATTATTAAATAATATTTATTTAACAAATAAAATAATATTAAATATTTATTTAATAAATAAAATAATATTATTTTCTTTTTTCTTATTAACATACATTTGAGATATATATATATATTTAAGATTTGCCTTGTTCTGGATGGCAATATCTATTGCTATTCTCACTCATTCAATCATTGCTCTGCCAAATTTTTGGATAGATATCTCATTAACTTTCTGGTCATAGCTCATCTCAACAGTACCTTACAAAATATTTCCTTAAAACTGATGATTATTATTATTTTTCTTCTTCAGTTCAGCATGTCAAAATGTCACATTTAGAGTAATGGTTTCTGAGCTCCAACATCCTCATCTGAAACTTCCCATGGTCTCTTCCAAAGAAGCTGAAGATCCAGACCCACCCAGGAGAATAATGGATTTTTTTCCTCCCTTCTCTGTTATCTCATATGTATTGCAGAAAAGAAAACCAATATTTGATTATACCTAAACAGAGCTTTTTATGAGTATAATGACTTTCTCCAAGGATCATTTAAGTTCCAAAGAAAACTATTTACAAGTTAATCTCTTGTTCCTTCATCAAATCATTCTTCTTAACAATCATTTATTGCCCCTCAGTATAATTTCTCTTTTCCCCCATAATAATTTGTTTTATTTACCAGGATGCAAGCCCTCATTCTTTCTGAAATCTCAAGAAGGTATATAAATTTCTGTAACTCACTGGAAAGTTGGGACTTCATTCTGAAGTCTCCTCGGTTTACATGTTAATTTGTATGCCTTCTGTCCTATTAAAAATAAATGTTAATATTATTATTGATTGAAAAATTATAATTATATACATTTGTGGGTAGAATTTGATGTTTTCATACATTTATTCAATGTGGAATGATTAAATCATGCTAATTACTATGTCTATCACTTCACTTGCCTATATTTTTGTATGATGAGAAATCCTTGAAAATATTTCTGCCTCCCAACAATGTATCTCAAGCTCATTTTTGTCTTTGCCCTAACTGCTTTTCAAGAAGCCCTGGACACTAGCATTACATTTTCTATCATGCTACATTATTACTATCAGTAGGTGTGGAGACGCTTGAGAAAGTATATTTATTTCAGAATTCATGAATGCATATTAAATTTAGAACTACTATTTCTAAGCTATTTTTCTTTCTAACCCTAACACCAGACATCCCAATCAAGTTTCATTCACTTTCTTATGAGAACTGTCAGTGTTCTCTTCTGGTCCATATGCAATTCACCGGTGTATATTCTGTACACGAGATGCACATTGTCACGACAAATTCTGCTTTGAATTGCAGTGGTGCCTAAACTTTGAAAACTATCAGCAATTAAATGACATATCATGACTGCTTATTTCAAATATCTCTGCGATTCACCCCACATCTGTTTATTTGTGAGATTAACAAATACTTTCAAGCCTTCCTTTATAAATGCATATGAATAGAATATTTAAAAAATATTCCTAAGCAGAGAGAATAGTATAATGTACTGTCATGAGCTCATTGCTTAACGTCAATCATCAACATTTAGCCAATTTGGTTTAATCTACAAACCTAATTACTCCTCACAGTTCTCTCTGTTATTTTCAGCACATACTTCATCAGATTGGTTTATTAATACATATTTCAGTATATAACTCTTAAAAGTAAAGACCCTAAAACTTAAAGTATAATAATGATAAAGTAAAAAAAACCCAAAAAAACCCAAAGATAACTAAAATAGTTACACCTAAAAATTATAATTGTTTAATAAAATAAAATATCCATCAGAGTCCAAATCTCCCCAATTGCCTTCTTCATTATCACAAGTGTTAACTTGTCAAAGAGATTCATAGCAATCATAGATTTTACCCAATGCTAAACTTTCCTAATAATTCAAGTAATAAAAATAAAAAGAGGTACCAACATAGCATCCCTCTCTCTTGAGGGTAGTAATATTAAAATCTAACTCTCTGATTGATTACCCCTTCCTTTCACACACACATTTTAGTTAAAGATTATGCACTGTGCTAACCATGTATGTAGTCAACATAATCAGAGAGAGGTGTTTAATTTGTGATCTCTTAGATTTCATATCTGGTTAATAACCCAGGGATTATATATGTATAATATCTATCTAACTATCTATCTAGCTAGCTAGCTAGCTATATGCATATACATAACTAGCTTTTCTTCTCTAGTCAGTTATTTTTCATAAATTAAAAAATTCAAATATATATCACAATCCTGCTGAAAGCAAAGAGCTCTAGTGAAGACCAACATCTTTCAAGGAGAGAACAAGGGATTTATATTAAGGCCTACTGTTAATTATTTCTGTTGCATTTGCAGTTTTGTTCGATAAAATCTCAACATTTCATTTGATAGATTATTTAGTCTTTTTAAATAATTAATATATCTTTCTCTTATTTTTTATCCCCTGACAATATAGCTGCTAAAGAAAACAAGGTATATATGCCTTGTATGTTTTCCTAGTTTGGATATTCGCCTTTCCTTCATGTCATTTAACATGTTCTTCACTGTTTTTGTTTGGTTGGTTTATTTTTTGGTTTTGGTTTGTTAAGGTGTTTTTATTGTGTTGTGCTGTATTTTCTATACATTGATGTCTTTATCAAAGTGCTTCGTTGGTCTTTGTGTTTTGGTTGCTTGCAATACAATTTCATATTTTTTTCTTATTATTTTCCACCTCCATCAGAAGCACGTAATCCCTGTAATGTTAGTAGTTATAAATGATCATTGGCTAGATACATTCTCTTATTAAAGGGTTTAAAATAGTGATTTTTATAACCTTCTTTATTTTGCTTCAATTGCCTATTTTCAAAATAATAAGTTAGGAGATTAAGCATGTTCCATAGGTAGGCATTGAAAATTTTTTTGTCATTTTGTTTTTGTTTTGTTTAGTTTAAGTATTACTATGACCTTATGAGCTTTAGCAGATTTGATATGTTTCTATTTACTGGGTATAGACTGTGTAGGCTCTTATTTTAACAGTATTACTGCTGCGTTGACAATGCACTGATGTGGTAGAAGTTGAAATAGCAATTCTAGCTGATAGGTTGTTGCAATTATTCAAGCCCATGATGATGACATGGGCTATAGTGGTAGCAATAAAATTACTGAGAAGTACTCAAAGTTTTTTTAATGTGTGTGAAGATAGAGCTGGAAGTGTTTACTGAGAGATTGAATCAAATATAAGAGAGAATCAAAGGACTTTAAGTGTTTGAGTTGCACAAACAACCAAACTTGGGTAGAGAGTTAGAAGCTTATTTGGTGGTGCTGAGGCTGAACAGCAAGAGCTAAGTTTGATGATTTTACCAAACTTTTAATTGAAAACGTTGAATGGTTTGTTGCACGTGTCAGCCTGTTCTGGGAAGTTATGTAGGCTACAGATTTAAGTTTGAGAGTGACCATATGTATGGCTAGGTAGCTTGATGATGATATTGCCAAGGGAGTGAGGGTTGACTGAAAAAAAAAACAGAAGATGTACAAGGAAAGAGTCCTGAAAATGCCAACCTTAAGGAAAAGGGGAAGACAGGGAAAAAAATCAGGAAAGATTTAAAAGGAGTAGCCAATGAGAGAGGAGAGAGTCAGATGCACATGGTGTCTTGAAATGAAAAGAAAGTATTTTAAGGGAAAACTGTTGAGTTTTCTCAAATGCTATGGACAGGTTCAGTAAAATAAAACCTAAAGACTATTAGCCAAGAAATGTGGAGAGGAACTGGAGGACTTGACAACAACAACAAAAATACCATGATAGCATAGCGAGGAAGAAATCCTGAGTTTAGCAGGCTCTAAAGGGAATGAGAGAATTAGAACACATGAGTCTAGGCAACTGTTTTTGAGTTATCTTGACTTCTCCATTTTATATGCCTGCTTTCTGTGCTTTGAGAGTAGAATAGTTCATTACCTGTTTAAGTCTCATCCCCTCTCTTTGGAAAAGTAAACAATTATAAGTTCAACTTTATTAAAACGAAGAAAAACTATATAGTGCTAAGGAAAATTTAACATTTCAGTAAGCAGTTTTTTCTTATTTCTTTGTCTTCGGTTTAAAAATCTGTCATTGGAGAGCAACGTAAAAGGTCAAAATTTGCACATGTTGTGGCTCCTAGATGATATAGACTGAAAAGGTATGAAGTCCTTCACTGTGAATGTACTCAAGAATTCTGGAAAAAGATCGAGGTATGGCATTGGAAACTGACATATAGTTATGGCTTAAATCCAAGTTAAGAATGTCTTACGTCATAGGAAGAGTTGTATGTCAATAGTGCAGTGTGTAAACTGAACTCCCATATATTGAGATAGATAGTTTTTATATGAATTTAATATAATAATGATTCATGTAACAATTGGAGGTTTTTAAACTCTAAAAGCTAGGTATTGTGCCCCCAAAGTATATAATGTGAAGTGCCTTATAAAATATGGAGATGGTAAGCATATTATTTGTTAACCTTATGATTGGCTTTTCAACTTATTAAATTATTTAATGATGATTACCAATAGAAAATTAATGATAGAAACAGAAGTATGTGGTTATATTTTAGATTATATGTTTAGGAAATATCATATTGTTTAAACTTTCATAGTACTACTGAAAATTTTATTATAAATTGCCTTAAGTAAAAAAGTTTGAAGTATAAAATATATAATGAGAAAATCTCACTTCATCTGTAATACTCCAACATTCTATTACCCATTATTGTACACAGTGTAATCTTTGTATCATTCCAATGTGAGAATGGCTGTTCTAATAACAATATACTGTGAGATGCCAAGATCATGATGCTCTTAAATATTCAATATTGCAAATAAAAGAGTTAATAATCAAGCTTGACACTAAGCATATCCTCTTGCAAACATCTATCGACAGAGTTTACTGGGAGACAGATATAGTGATCTCAGCAGTGAACTAGAAATGCTTTTGAAGGGTACACTTTGATGTCTAGTTGTTATAAATAAGTCTGCAATTTAAGAGCTGATGCTGGGTCTGACAGGTTCAGGGCTTCCGAGATACTGAAGTTGCATATGCTACATTTTCTGTTTTGTACATTGGCTAATCATTAGTGAATCCTGATGCGGGTTAAGAATTGTATTGTCTGACTATTTGGTCTTTGGATGACACAAATACAATGCAAGAAAATATGATCTTTTTTCTGATTCTTGCATTCAGTGTATTATCTGCTCTCCTTGTCAGATTTCAGGTTTACTATGCTAGTTGCCACCACATCATATTTTTGCCTTCAAATCTGTTTTCTCCAACTTTCCAGATGTCCATCATTCTGCATTCTGATTGGATATCACTTATTAGCCTATTAATTAATTATATTCTGTTAAAATTATAATTGGTTGCAAAATTCACAAGTACAGGTTAATCAGTTTTCATTTTACATTGATTGAAACATGACAAATATTTTGGGTTTAATTCAAAACAAAACAGAGACTTTTTTTTATAACTATATAATATTTTTAAGAAGCATTCAGACTACAACCTCAACCTCCTGGGCTGAAGCTGTCCTCATTCCTCAGCCTCCTGAGTAGCTGGGACTGCAGGTGAATGCCACCATGTCCAGCTAATTTTTTTATTGATTGATTTTTTTGTAATGACATGGTCCGCTTAGGCTGGTCTCAAACTCCTGGGCTCAAGTGATCTTTGTAACTTGGCCTCCCAAATTGTTGGGATTACAAGCATGAGCCACTGTGCCCAGTCAGCATTCTAGCTATTTTGAAATATGCTACAGATGATTGTAAATGAGAGTCACTCTACTGATTCATAAAGCCTTAGGTCTTATTTCTTCTATTAAACTGTATGTTTATTCACATTAATCAGCCTTTCTTTATGCTGTTTTCCTACTACTACTCTTTCTGGCGTCTGGTAACCACCAATCTACTCTGTATCTTCATGAGATTCACATTTTTAGCTCCCACATATAACTCAAAACATGTGATACTTGTCTTTGTCTTTCTGTGCCTGGCTGATTTCACTTAACATAATGATCTCTACTTTCATCTATGTTGCTACAAATGACACAATTTCATTTTTTTTGACTAATTATATTTCATTATGTATGATATGGTTTGGCTCTGTGTGCCCACCCGAATCTCCTGTTAACTTGTAATTCCCACTGTTGAAGGAGGGGCCTGATGGGAGGTGATTGAATTATGGGGGTGGACTTCCCCATCGCTGTTCTCATGATAGAGTTCTCATGAGATCTGTTTATTTAAAGTGTGTAGCACTTCCCCTGCTCACTCATTCCCTCCCCCTCTGCCACCATGTGAAGAAGGTGCTTGCTTTCCCTGTACCTTCTGCCATGATTGTAAGTTGTTC